>NC_000008.11:59677265-60302265 GCF_000001405.40 Homo sapiens | reverse complement strand
TATGAAATGGTGTTGTGTTTTCTTTGGGCATATGGTATAACTATGTTATTGATATGTGTTCCAAAATTATGGGAAACTCCTATAATTCTGATATAACTTAGTGTATATTATCAGTAATAATAGTAATTGTTATGTTAAAATTATTGCATGCCAACAAATTTTTTTGTCAATTGTGTCTTTGACTACAGTTGCCCTAAAACTTTTCATCACCCATGGACCATTGTTGTCTAGTTTTGGTCCTTTTTAGAAGGTGGTTTTATAATCAGCTATACAACAGGTGCTCTTGAATGCAGGTCTCTGATAACTTTGGAGACTGTAACTTCGGAATAGAGATGAAACTTTCAGGATTAATGGAGACCTAAAAAGTTCACGAATATCAAGCAGAACAGGAATTAACTACATGGACTAAACTAATCTTTTTGACTTTTTGCTTAAAATGTTTGCTGATCCTTTGTCTTATTTTTCAGAGTCTCACAACTTTTCTTTTGAGCTATTGACAGCTTTTAACAATTTAATATACTCCCATGAACAAAATTTGGAGCATATTTGTTGCTCTCTACCTGATTTCTCCAGAATCTGGAAACTATTTGTGAGTATTCCCAAATTATGGCAATACAGTTATTTGCATAAGTGCAATAAGAACCTGTTTTCTTTTGTAACAAGACACAACTGGAGAAACTGGTTATTTTACCAAGGCTTTGGCTGGAATGATGTGCTTTCCTTTAAGGAATCAGACTTATGGAGCCAATAAAGCCCTTGGAAAAACTGGCCCCATATTTTGTGTACACAGTCCCTGTACAGGGTTTCTGACCTGTGGTTAGTAAAGAAAGTCATTTATTGACAGATCTAGAAGCCCCAGGTTTATCTTGGAATCTCAAGAGAAGAGGAAATTCACCCAACTCATAGATATTTGATGGCACAAACCCATGGCTGGCTTCAGCTTTAAAAAGTCTTATGTGAGATTCCTTTTATGGAACAAAGTTCCATCAAAGCCAATTTAAAACCTATGTAAAAAAAAACACCAAATTATTCTGGCTGCACTGTATACAAATTATTAGGCCAAGTATAATAACGCAAAACTGTCCTGCCATGATCTGTCTTTAGTAAAAATGGGAAACCAGAGAGAGAAAAATTGTGTTTCAAAACTATAGTACACCTATTGTTAGATTCTAGTCTTGCCTAATGTTTTTTCCATTTTTATTATTTTCTACATTTTGAACCAAATTCTAATTTTTCTTGGCTACGAGTCTTCAAAATAATGTTTTCAATTTTTTTCCTTTTTTCCCATTTTTCCTAATTTGAAGTCAAACATTAAGCCCTGGGAACTGAAGTCAGACAACCTGAACTTTAAAAGAAAATAACAGCAACTTATTTACATAGATAAGTCACTTTCATACCTGCCTACTAATGTATGGACCTCAGAGTAATGTGGCCTATCTCAATGTTTCTAGGATTGCCCTTTTGTTTGTTATTGTTTTTCTCTCTTCCTCCCCCTATTTTCTCTTCATAGGACCTGAGACTTAACAACCTGCTAAAAATGAGCTTTGGGGGCCTACACGTCTAGGAAAAAACCCTCCTAGTCATGAGAGATCAGATGAAACCTGAAAAGAGACTCATTTTCTTGTAAAATGCTTTCTCCAAGATTTTAAAAAAGAAAAGGGGAGAAACGTGAAAGTAAAATATCTTGGGCCCTTTCAAGCTGGGAACTGCTCAGGGCAAATCTGCCTCCCATTCTATTCAAAGTCATCCCTCTGCTCACTAGGATAGATGCAAACTCTGATTGCTTCCTTTGGAAAGACTTATCAGAAACTCAGAAGAATGCAACCATTTGTCTCTCACCTACCTGTGACCTGGAAGCCTCTGGGGGCGGGGGGCGAGGGGGTGGGGGACTTGTTTTGAGTTATCTCTGCCTTTCTGGATGGAATTAATGTCCTTCTTACATATATTGATTGATAGCTCATGTCTCTGTAAAGTGTATAAAACCAAGCAGTGCCCTGACCACCTTGGGCACATGTTGTGAGGACTTCCTGAGGCTGTGTCACAGGTGCGTCCTCAACCTTGGCAAAATAAACTCTCTAAATTAACTGAGACCTGTCTCAGATTTTCTGGGTTCACAGGAATTTTGTGGAGGCAATTTTTACACTTTTAAGAGGTTTGCAATAGACCAGTGTTTTCCTATAGAAATATAATGCAAGTCATATGTAACTGTAAATTTTCTTGTAGCCAGATCAAAAAAAAAGTAAAAAGAAATGGACTAAATTGATTTTAGTAATATACCCTGTATAATGCAGTATATCCAAATCATTATTATTTCAATATGTAATCAATATAAAAACATTAATGAAATAGTTTACCTTCTTTTTTTCTGTACTAATTTTCTAAAATCCAGTGTGTTTCTTACATTTGCCAGCATGTTTCAATTTGGACTAGCCATGTTTCAAATATCCCGTAAAGACATGTGGCTCCTGGTGACTGTCCTACTGGACAGCACAGATCTAGGTCCGTGGTCCTCAAATTTAGCCTCCCCAGAGCTTCTGATTCCCTGGGTCTGGAATGGAGCCCAGGAATTTGCATTTCTAACCACTTCTCAGGTGATGCCTGTGCTGCTGGTCCAAGGACCACAATTAGAAAACCCCTGGTTTAGAGAAACAAAATGCTTCTCTTTACAATGGATATATGCTTTTGATGTTTCTTATTCATTATTGTGAAACAGTGGCCTTTGTGCAGTGAAGCTGAGACTTTCTGGATTGACTCCAAATGATCCTGACTTTCTGAGTCTTCATGCACTATTTCCTCTACATCATTATCTCATTATTGGGCTCCTAATGTTTATTTGCATTTCTCTTTTTTAGGGGAAGAAAGGGTGTGATATGTTTCCTCACCCATCATGAGGGTCACTGCCGATACTCCTGTGACAAAAGACAGACAGGTGAATGAGAGAAAAGTGTAACAAATTTATCAAAGTTTTATATGACATGGGAGCTTTCAGAATGAAGACCCAAAGACCTGGGGAAAACTTCTGTTTTTATGATTGGGTTCGATGAAGAATGGGCAATGGTGTAGAAATGTGATTGGACAAAAGGGTGTGACCTAATGGGAACAGACTGATGGGGAAACCCAGCAAAGCCTGTCTGTTCCAAGCCTTCCTGGCCTCTCTATGTAGCATTTCTTTCTCCTGGGTATGGGGCAGGACCTCTCTGGAATGAGCATCTTCCAGGGAGAATACAGAGAGTGTGCCCTTTCTAGGTTTTATGGCTTCTTTTGGGGGATAGGGGTTCTAGTTTCTACACACCTCCTTGGGGAAGAGAAATTCTGGTTTCTATGACTCCTTTGTGGGGGAGACAGAGGGACAGGAGACAAAAGGACAGGAGAAGGTCGGAGAGAGGCATTCCTTTTGAGGCTGCTTCTGAGGCTCCTCAATCCCTTTTAGTTCAATGTACTCAGCAGGCCAAAGTGTCATATTTTGGGGTACTGTTTTCTGAGTCCCAATGCTTTCAACAAAGGTACTTCTACAAATTTTACTGAGTGTATATAAATATTAATGTAAGAATAAATCAAAGGTGGTGTTTCAGATTCTTGTATTATTATAAAGGACATTTAGTGATGGGACACAACTTCCCAGTGTGTTAGATCCCAGAGGCATACATATCCTTACGTGTTCCTTTTGCAGTGTATCCACTGGCTACTGAACCCATGACTATATCTAAATCTTTCTTGAAACTATAAATTTGTCAACATATATAATTTTTCTAGGCTTAGTAATTGCATAAAGTAGACTTTTTCATATTTCTTAAAATTACATCTTTTAATCTCCAAGAGGAACTTTCTTAATTTTATTATTCCAGGATTTGGTAAACACATCTATCTCTAATGTACAGACACCGCATAATTTACCAACTAGAATGTGCCTGGATATCTCCTTGGAAACTTTAATTAGGGTCTGATTTTGTGGGTGTTTGTCCATTGGATTTATCTAGCTATATCCACAAGGGATTCCTTTTCCAACTTATGCTATGAAAACTCGCATTTTTTTGCACAAATTGGTTTGGTCCCATAACAATCATCTGTTAGTACCAAAGCAGTTACGAAAAGAAAAAAAGGGGGTGGGGGGTGGAATTGCATTTCAGTCTATTGGAAAAGGAGACAGGCCTGGATATTCTTGGAAGCCAAGAAGACAAAAGTTTCTTTTCAATAGATGCAAAGAAAGACAGTTCTGTATTTTTGTGTAACCAAGAAACAAAAGTTTCCTGTTGGTAAGATGTTCTGGAATGCAGCAGGGGCCATTTTCTCATAGTCATCCCCAAGGCACAAGGTTTCTATCAACCCCAAATACAGAAGGGTTTGGATGTGTGTGTGAGTCAGGAACACAAGGTCCTCATCAGGCTTCCCTTACAGAGGGGAAGGTTATCCAGGCTGGAGCAGTTCCCAGGGAGGACAAAATTAATGGTTTAAAAATATAAAATAATAATGAATTCAGATCTTTTGTGGTTTAGAGGCGCTCTGTAAGAATAGGACTTTGGACTTCAAAATGTGCAGCATATGAAACAATACATTTCAGTTATTTTTTTTGCCTGAAAGCTTTTTTTTTTTTTTTTTTTTTGAGACAAAGTCTCATTCTGTCACCCAGGCTGGAGTGCAGTGGTGCAATCTTGGCTCATTGCAACCTCCACCTCATGGGTGAAAGCGATTCTCCTTCCTCAGCTTCCCACGTAGCTGAGATTACAGGTGCATGCCACCACACCCAGATAATTTTTGTATTTTTAGTAGAGACAGGGTTTTGCCATGTTGGCCAGGCTGGTCTGAAACTCCTGACCTCAAAGGACCTGCCTGCTATGGCCTCCCAAAGTGCTGGGATCACAGGTATAAGCCACTGTGCCCAGCCCTGAAAGCTTTCTAAATGATTCTCGGTAGACCCAGAATTTTCATTTTAGAGAGTCAAAGGTATGGAGTTTCCCAAACATTTGTTATCAGTTATTTTTTTAAATAGTAAGATCTAGTTATGTGAATTAGTCGATAAGCATTTGCTGAGTGCCTACTATGGGCCTGACTCTTACTAGGTCTTAGGGATTTGAAGATGAATAAAGTGTAGTTGCTGTCTTTGTGGAGTGTATACTCAAGTGCCAGAGAAAGACATATAAGCAATGATTACGAAGCAAATGTTTCAAGAATACCAAATGCCTTGTAAAGTGTGGGAATCAGGGAAGGCTTCATAAGAAGAAATAATTTGAGCAGTGTTTTATAGGCAATGAGGGATGAAGGTAGGCTGAGGAGGGGAAGAATGGGAAGAGGAGTGAAAGGCGTTCTACATTTGGGCTGAGGGAACAACATTGTAATTCACATAATTAAAAATGCACAGTATATCTGGAGACCACCAAATTCCTGGCACTGGTTGTTATAAGAGGTAGGTTCAATCAATTGAGATCCTGGGTGGAGGGCATGGAAGTTTTGAGAGCATGGGATTTTGGGATGAAGAGAGAAGTCAAGGGAGGGACACAGGTCGGGAGGCAATTGCAGTAGTCAAGAATAGAATTGATGAGGTCAAATGAGCTAGCATCCTCATTCTCTACTCTGTATATCAGCAGGGATCTGAAACATTTTAAATGTCAAATTCATTAAAAAATATATTTTAGCTTGTCAGCATCAATTGGCATCTATTTATTGATTGTTCATCATGTTCCTGGAGTCACAACATTCTATGATTGTAGTAATGGAAGTCACCATCATTGAAGCTAGACGTTTTGTACATATTCTAATTTTACCACTTATTGTTTCTGTTATGTTGGGAAAGTCACATAGATTCTCTGAGCCTCAGTTTCCTCATCTCTAAAATGGAGATAATGACATTTACATCACAGAGCTGTTCTGAGGGTTAAGAGAGTAAATAAGCCCAGCACTACCTGGTGCTGATGTGCTCACCCCTGCACCTGCCCTAACCCCTTGCCATGCCTGGGTGTGAAGTGTGATTTTCCTGTGACTGTTTATAGGCTTTTCATTGAATTTATTTAAATAACCTTTAAAATTTTGTGGCATCTCTGGGGAAATGGGAAACATTTGTGGGATGGTTTAGTTGAGGTTTGCTCTATCTAGTTCGTTGATTTCTAGCCCAGTGACTCCTAGTCCTATTATATATTGACATCCATTGGAAGAGCTTTTAAAAATTATGATTCTTGGCTCTCACCACCTCCCACAGTTTAGAATCACTTCTAATTCATTTAAAGAAATTCTTCTTAAGAGCACACTGATTTGGGGCCATTGTGTTAATTTTTCACACAGATTATAGTCACTGATCTCAGAAAATCTGAATGAGGTCCACAAGACGCCCTTTCATAATCTGTGTTAAATTTGCAGGATCATGTTGAAAATTTGGAATAGCATTTAACTTGTCATAAGACTGTTCACAATACCTTTTTGGCCCAGTCAGTTTCATTGTGAGAGATTTCTTTTCTGGTCATAAAATGAGTTAATTTTTTTTCTGACAGAAATCACATACTACAGTTATTGAATTTCATTCACTTGCAATGACTTTAAGAATTGGTATAGATTAATTTCTGATCTCAGGTGATCCACCAGCCTTGGCCTCCCAAAGTGCTGGGATTACAGGTGTGAGCCACTGCGCCTGGCTGAGATCATGCCATTGCACTCCAGCCTGGGTGACAGAGCAAGACTACATCTCAATTAAAAAAAAAAGTATAGATTAAAATACTCTGTATTTCTGGGCAAGACACAGCTCTATAGATGTTAGTAAAACATAAGACTGTTGGAAAAACAGACAGTGAAGCTACTATAGTCATTACTGGAAGTATTTGGATTTTTCATTGGGTTATAAACATCTAGGGTAACCCCACCAATTACAAGAGAACTCTTACAGAGTCCCAGTTAAGAGTATCCAAGAAAGTGTATTGTCAGAATAAGCCCTGGAAACCCAGAGAGCAACAATTAGAAAAGGAAAGAAAACTTTGCCAAAATTCAAGGTTGGGAATTTCTAGTTAGAGAAATGCTGAATGGTTCTACAGACAGTGGAAAAAATGCTAAGCATCAAAAAGAGACCTGAACCTGGTCTTTGTAGGGTCCAGCCCTACGGGGCTTAGCGAGTGTTCTCCCCGTATGCAGAGATGAGAGATTGTAATAAATAAAGATGCAAGACAAAGAGATAAAGAGAAAACAGGTGGGCCCGGGGGACCACTACCATCAAGACGTGGAGACGGGTAGTGGCCCCGAATGGCTGGGCGTGCTGCTATTTATTGCATACAAGACAAGGGGGTCAGGGTAAGGAGGGTGAATCTTCTAAGTGATTGATAAGGTGAAGCAAGTCATGTGATCATAGGACAGGGGGCCCTTCCCTTTTAGGTAGCCGAAGCAGAGAGAGAAGGCAGCATATGTCAGCGTTTTCTTCTATGCACTTATCAAAAAGATCAAAGACTTTAAGACTTTCACTATTTCTTCTACCACTATCCACTAAGAACTTCAAAGAGGAACCAGGAGTATGGGAGGCACATGAAAGTGGACAAGGAGCATGACCACTGAAGCACAGCACCACAGGGAGGGGTTTAGGTCTCCAGATGACTGCGGGCAGGCCTGGATAATATCCAGCCTCCCACAAGAAGCTGGCAGAGCAGAGTGTTCCCTGACTCCTCCAAGGAAAGGAGATTCCCTTTCACAGTCTGCTAAGTAACGGGTGCCTTTCCAGGCACTGGCATTACCGCTTGACCATGGAGCCCTCAAGAAGCCCTTATGCTGGCGTGACAGAAGGCTCACCTCTTGCCTTCTTGGTCACTTCTCACAATGTCCCTTCAGCACCTGACCCTATACCCGCTGGTTATTCCTTAGTTATATTAGTAACACAACAAAGAGAAATATTAAAAGCTAATGATTAATAACGTCTATACTAATGATTGATAATGTCCATGATCATCTCTATATCTAATTTGTATTATGACTATTCTTATTCTAACTATTTTCTTTATTATACTGAAACAGTTTGTGCCTTCAGTCTCTTACCTCGGCACCTGGGTAATCCTCTGCCCACAGGTCTTGGCTTTCTACAGGGGTGTAAACTTGGGAAAATCACATGACATTTCTGAGCACTGCCTTTAAAATTAAGGTATCTTCAAGATCTCTTCTGTCAGGAAAATCACGATAGACATTTAAAGTAGGCAAAAGAGATGCTTGGGTGTTCTTTCAATAGGAAGTTGGGCATTGTCCAAGGGTCCCTCCCAAGGTACTGTGATTCTTTTGGGGCTGTGAACCATTGATTGTCTTTGATTATTTTGCAACTCTGTAGACATAGATAGAAAGGGTGCCTTAAAGTCATTAGTTTATAACTTTACTGAGTGGCTACTATAGGCGGGAACCTACTAGATCTTGGAAATGCAAAGATAAATGAGATAGGTTTCTGATCAGTTCCTACCCTAAAAGAGACACATAGACTCATTAATATTGAGTCTTCCTGCACCTATTCCCCTGCCATCCCCCCTTCCTGTAACCTACCCAGGGAAAGGGAATGGATCAAAGAAGGAACATTATGCAAAAAGGCATGGTGGGCATGAAAAGAACCTTGGATATTTTGTAGTTAATAAGTCTTGTGTGGTTGGAGTTTTGGGTCACTTATAAAGAGCAAATTTAATGAGGCTAAGTGGCAAGATTTGGCTATCCTTTTTTAAGGTCCTTTTATTCTGTACTCAGGAGAGGGGATCTTACATGCTGCATGCAGCAGGAAGTCAGCAGCGATTTTTCATCAGGAAAGAGATATGATGTGAACTCTACCATTGATATCAAAGATGAGCAATGGAGGATGGAGTGTGGGCGCACTCGTCCAGGTGAGAGTGGATAGATTTTTAACTGTGGCAGTAACTGTGAGGATAACAAGAAAGGCAGGGGTTGTGCGACATGTTTTGAAATGATTTGGAATTAGCAGGGTTGAATTAGAGAGAAACACTGGAGTTGTGAGGGAAAGAAGTATGGGGTGATTCCATGCTTTCCAGACTGGATGAATGGTAGCTTCCCTAGCTGCAACAAAGAACATAAGAAAAGCAAGGTGTGAGGGCAAGTGGGGTGAGCTGGCAATGAGTTTAGTTTTAGACATGTGATTTGAGCAGCAACTTAGTTGTGAAACTAATTTGCATTTGCATAATTATTTACAACGTTCAGGAAACCTCATATATATTGACTTTTATTTGTTTGACAGTTGTGAGTTGATGAGAGTGCTAATGTCTTAGTGAATGAATGTGGATGAAACAACATGTGTGTGCAGTTCTCAGAATAAAGGCACACGAGGTTGTTTTTTGATTTACAGTCAGGGCTTCTGTATATCAGGCTTCCTTGTTGATGGCTCTGTGTGAAACCCAAAAGCCCCCCATCTATAGGACATTTTCCAATGGTTATATGATTTCTAAAGCCTGTTTCTCATGGTTATAACATTGAAGAATTTTGAGTGTGGGTATACTATTTTCAAAGTTCTATGTTCCTTGAGCACAAAGACCAATTCTAGTCATCATGGTATCCCAAGCCTTTAGGACAGTGTCGGCCGGGCGCGGTGGCTCACGCCTGTAATCCCAGCACTTTGGGAGGCCGAGGCGGGCGGATCACGAGGTCAGGAGATCGAGACCATCCCGGCTAAAACGGTGAAACCCCGTCTCTACTAAAAATACAAAAAATTAGCCGGGCGTAGTGGCGGGCGCCTGTAGTCCCAGCTACTTGGGAGGCTGAGGCAGGAGAATGGCGTGAACCCGGGAGGCGGAGCTTGCAGTGAGCCGAGATTGCGCCACTGCACTCCAGCCTGGGCGACAGAGCGAGACTCCGTCTCAAAAAAAAAAAAAAAAAAAAAAAAAAGGACAGTGTCTTCCAGAGTACCTAATCAATAAATATCACCTGGATGAATGGATGTATGATTGAGCATGCTGAAGTCAGTAAAGCTTAGGTAGAGCAGTGTCGTTATAGTATTGACAGACTGCCCAGAAGAACCCCAGGACTTAAGTGTTTGTATTCTCATTGTGTCCTTCAATGTGCAGAAAGCTCATATCTCAAAAGATCTTCTGGCCTTCTTCCTATGACCTCAGCTCCATGATGGACCCGCTGATTACCTCTGTCACTCTTGAAATGTAAATATCATCTCCTATTTATGTGATCATGGGTTAAGGAGGCTTAGAGATAACTAGTCCCAAATGCATGTGGGTGTCTAAAACCAGACTATCTTGATGTCAAGTACCTAGAGCTACTGCTGATTACCAGCAGGTCTTATTTTTATCTGTGGTCTCTAAGGGATATAGATATGTTACTAGGACGCTCAATATGTTTGAAATCCTTAAGTGACAAATGATTCTTGCATTGTTTTATACACTTTGAGCAATGTCACAAATGTATAAATCATCATGACATTCCTGAGTATGAATACAATAAAAATATATGAACAGTACTCAAACTAATGATAATAAAAATTAAATCAAACATGAAATGATCTAAGAAAATATACAGATAATATACACCAACCATTTCTTATAATAGCTATAAAAATAATAATTACATTATCTTAGTACTTATTACATGCCAGAGACAGTCAGTTTTGCTATAATGTAACACGCATTCCCGAAAACTACTGCACTATGCAAAATTGGCAATAACAATCACAGGGTTTATGGGGAAAATGAGTTTAGGGGCACAACAGTCAAAAACCTCACTAGGTACACGTTAAAAACAACAACAAAAAGGAACATAATAAAATGGCAGTAGTTTGTTACACATGTTCAATGGTTAAGAAAGGTATAAATGCTGAAATAAGTATCCATTTTAACTAGGAAAAGACCTGATGCTTGCCTGTGGAAGTGAGTATCACTGTACCTTGTGAGTTACTGTGAAGGGATAGAAGGAGGGTTAGCTGAAATGTGACCAGCAGTTGTAGCACCTGATGAGCATGGGGGATGGCTCACAGCACACAGTGAACTGAGGTAGTTGGCAGGTGTTTGAGGTGTGTATATGTGCGCGTTTTGTGCATTCCCTGCATGACCCAGTTCAACTGGCTGCAGTTTTCTGTATTTCCAATAAATGAAGGTGGCATAAACAAGCATGGAAGTCTCATTGTGCTCAAATTGTTCCCTAATATATCAATTTCATTGGAACAAATTTGCATTTTCAAAACAAGCATTCTAGTAGAACTGACTGTTCTAGTTCAAGTGCTTTATCTATATTAACTCGTTTAATCCTCCCAACAGTTATTTTGGTTTGGTACTATTATGGTTCTCATTTAATTGGTGAGGAAATTAAGGCAAAGAGACGTTAAATAACTTGATCAAGATAAAAACTTATTAAGTGACAAAACCAGTGTGCTACTCTGCCTTCCAACATATTATATTATGCTAATGACATTCATACATTTAATAAGATAAGTGTTTCTCCCAGACTTTTGAAGTTAGATTTATTTTGGAGAGGTTCACTTTAAATAATTCTTAATATCTGATAATTATGTTACTTAAATCTCTGATGTAGTTTTTGTTGCAGGAAGTCAGGGACCCCAAACGGAGGGACCGACTGAAGCCATGGCAGAAGAACGTGGATTGTGAAGATTTCATGGATATTTATTAGTTCCCCAAATTAATACTTTTATAATTTCTTATGTCTGTCTTTACTGCAATCTCTAAACATAAGTTGTGAAGATTTCATGGGCACTTATCACTTCCCCAATCAATACCCTTGTGATTTCCTATGCCTGTCTTTAATCTCTTAATCCTGTCATCTCGTAAGCCGAGGAAGATGTATGTCACCTCAGGACCCTGTGATAATTGCATTAACTGCACAAATTGTAGAGCATGTGTGTTTGAACAACATGAAATCTGGGCACCTTGAAAAAGGAACAGGATAACAGCAATGTTTAGGGAACAAGAGAGATAACCTTAAACTCTGACCACCAGTGAGCCGGGAGGAACAGAGCCATATTTCTCTTCTTTCAAAAGCAAATGGGAGAAATATCGCTGAATTCTTTTTCTCAGCAAGGAACATCCCTGGGAAAGAGAATATGCGCCTGGGGGTAGGTCTATAGATGACCCCCTGGGTGTGGCCGTCTTTTATGGTCTGTAGACTGTAGGGGTGAAATAGACCCCAGTCTCCCATAGCGCTCCCAGGCTTATTAGGAAGAAGAAATTCCTGCCTAATGAATTTTGGTCAGACCGGTTGCTCTCAAAACCCTGTCTCCTGATAAGATGTTATCAATGACAGTGGTGCCTGAAACTTCATTAGCAATTTTAATTTCGCCCTGGTCCTGTGGTCCTGTGATCTCGCCCTGCCTCCATTTGCCTTGTCATATTCTATTACCTTGTGAAGTGCTTGATGTCTGTGACCCACACCCTATTCGTATACTACCTCCCCTTTTGAAACTCCCTAATAAAAACTTGCTGGTTTTGTGGCTTGTGGGGCATCACGGAACCTACTGACATGTGAAGTCTCCCCCAGATGCCCAGCTTTAAAATTTCTCTCTTTTGTACTCTGCCCCTTTATTTCTCAAACTGGCCAATGCTTAGGGAAAACAGAAAAGAACCTACATGACTATCAGGGCAGGTTCCCCGATAGTTTTAGCACATTTTTCTGTTGTTATCTCCACTGTCAAGGTGGGAAATATCAAGCTATCATGTCGTGTTAATGCCCCTTAAATAATTGAGGACCAGTTGAAAGCAGTGTAGTCAGTCTTTAGTGCTCAGCATGTACTCAGCACCAAGCTTGACTGTCTCTCATCATTGATAATTATGCTAAAAGTTATATTCAGTGAAGTCTAATCAATGGGGTTCCAATCATAATGTAAACATGCTGTGCTCCATTAGCATTAGAAATGTTTACTGCCTTGTGTATTTCATTAGTGTCCCTGGTTCCTCCTCATTACACAAACTCTTTATGGAATAGAAATATTTAGCATAAAACATCTTGAATGCTTTCTGTTTTTGAGGAGTAGCTTTTTAGATTGCTAAGTATGCACTTAACCATTCATATCCCATGGAGAATTGGTTGCAAATGTGAATGGATGAATAACTAATGACACTTTGAATGGGATTTTTGGCACAATAGTGACTAAAAGCTGACTCTGAGGTGTGAGGTGGGAAAGGGTTATGGATCTCTGGCTTTAAAGCTGGTTAGACCTAGGTTCAAATCTTAACTCCTCCACTTGTTAGCTGTGTGATCATGGGAAAAACACTTCTCTGTGTTTCAGTTTCATCTGTAAATACCTTTGTCATGTTATTATGAATTAATTAGCTAAATCATGTTGCACACATAATATATAATAGGTAATTAGTAAATCAACCTCCAATAAGAGAGAACTCTGCAACCTATCAACAGACATCAGTTCCTGGGTTGTTGGTCTGAGTGGTACAAGCCTGAGGTTTAAGGTAAGTGGTGGACAGGGAGCCATGAGACTCAAGGCAGCAAAGCTAGCGAATGGGCTAAAACTGACAGGGGCCACGAGGACAGGCGGGGAGAGGCCAGACTTGTAGCACGCAGAGATCGACTAAGATGTGCTGGACAGGAGGGCTAGATTGGGAACAAATCTCTCCAACATAGGATTCCAGCCACTGATTCTCTTTTCTGTACCTGTGCATAGAATGTACAACACAGGATGGTCTCGATCTCCTGACCTCGTGATCCGCCTGCCTCGACCTCCCAAAGTGCTGGGATTACAGGCATGACCAATATGGTGAAACCCCATCTCTACTAAAATATAAAAAAAATTAGCCAGGTGTGGTGGCACGTGCCTGTAGTCCCAGCTACTCAGGAGGCTGAGGCAGGAGAATCGCTTGAACCCATGAGGCAGAGGTTGCAATGAGCCGAGGTCACACCACTGCACTCCAGCCTGGCGACAGAGTGAGACTCTGTCTCAAAAAAAAAAACAAAAAAAAAGAATGTACAACACAAAACAGTGATCTTTAATGTAAGCTATGGACTTCAGTTAATAATAATGTATAAATATTTGTTATATCAATTGTAACAAATGTATGACACTAATGTTAATAATAGGGGAAATGGGTGAGGGGAGGGGGTGTATGAGAACTCCGTACTTTCCATTCAATTTTTCTTTAATAAGAAACTGCTCAAAAAAAGAAAGTCATCTGGGCACAGCAGCTCATGCCCGTAATTCCAGCACTTTGGGAGGCTGAGGCAGGTGGATCACTTGAGGTCAGGAGTTCAAGACCAGCCTTGCCAACATGGTGAAACCCGTCTCTACTAAAAATACAAAAATTAGCTGGATGTGGTGGCAGGTGCCTGTAATCCCAGTTACTTGGGAGGCCGAGACAGGAGAATCGCTTAAACCCAGGAGGCGGAGGTTGCAGTGAGCTGAGATCGCACCCTGCAGTCCAGCATGGGTGACAGAGCAAGACTGCCTCAAAAAAAAAAAAAAAAAAAAAAAAAAAAAGAGAAAAAGAAAGTCTGCCAATAAAAAAAAAAATTTCTCTTGTAGTTTTCCAACCTAGCTTCCTTTATTCCTCCTTTTTGGACCCTTCTAACCATAGCAGCCAAGACTGGTCCAACATATCTCATGGTTTACCCAGGAAGGATGCAATTGGACTGGAGTGTGCATGTGAGTTGGTGTTTGATTCCCAACAGCGTTTGGTGGATATGGAGTGCCTTGGCTGAATTCACCCTCTCTGAAGGCAGTAGGGTTTGGTGGCCAGGAGCATGGATTCTGGAGTGAGACAGACCTCTCAGACCATTCACTGCTTCTGTCTGTGGTGGGGGACGCATCTAAACTTCCATTTTCTCATCTGAACACTGCATGAGATTATTGAGCTTCTTAAGAGAATTAAAGAGAATAATCTGTGGGAAGTGTCTGGCATGATATCTGGTTCATAGGAAGTGTTGCTTCTGTTGTTTAGCTGCATAATAAGCCACTCCAAAGCTTAGTGGCTGAAAACACTGATTTATTATTTCTCATGATTCTGTGGGCCAGGAATTCAGGCAGCACTCTGATGGGCATTTTATCTGATCCACATAGTGTCAGCTGCATTCAGCTGGTGGCTAAACTGGGTTGGAAGATCTGAGAGAGCTTTACTCACGTGACTGTGCCTCAATGTTCCTCCACATGTCTTTTCACTCCCTGTGGCTGGCTTAGGTTGGGTTTTTTCACAGCATAGTGGTCTCAGGATTTCTTACATGTTGACCGGTTTTTGAGAGCAAAGAGAAATTGTCCAGCCCTCTTAAAGGTTCAGCCCCAAACTGGCATAGTGTCACTCTATGACAGTCCAATGGAGATGAAACAAGTCATAAAACCAGCTGTGGTTCCACTTCAAGGGGAAATAGTCTCCCCTGTAAACCGGAAGAACAGCACATGCCTACTGAGGGCGGGAATTACGGCAGCCATCTTTGGAGGTGACCACAGCGCTCAAGTTTTTATTTTCCTGTGCTTTGGTTTGCTGTCTTGCCTAAAAGGCATAGCAGCATCTTTGACAGCCAACAGCATGCTGTAGGGCAGAGTGAGCTGTGGGAACTAAGGTATAGGTGTGGCCTTGAGGCTATTCTAACTTGGCACCTTCTCTTAAAGTCAACAAGGTCCAATACATTTTCTCTTAAAGTCAACAAGGGTCCAATACATTTTCAGTATTGCCATTCTGCCAACAACGGGCACTGACTTAAGCATTCCATCTGCTTTGTATTTTATCTCATGTCATTATTGTTTTGAAACATGTTTTAAAAAAATACTAAAACAAACATAGACATACTATTTCAATATGTTGTTTTCCCTTTTATTAATACCATGGAAAAAAGAAAATTAACTTGATCAAAAAAGTGAACCCACACTGGCTTCTATATGTGAGCTTTTGTTTTTTCTTTTATTGGAATGTCTTTCTTTTTTTCCTTCTTTTTTCTTATCAGTCTACATCATGCTTTGAGGAACGTATTTTTTTTTTTACCTCCTCCCCTTCCGTTTCTGAGGGTAAAGCAGCACTTATTTATCTCCCAAGGCTCAGCTTCCAAGTCACTTCCTTTATGAAGCCCCTATTGACACATCTGCCACCAGGTAAACTTGATCACTCCCCTTTTTTGTGGCTTTACTGTGCCTTGAAAGCTTCCACCTTAGTAACCACAACTTTTATTTGCACTAATATATTTATCCAGGCTAATCAGGTTACTGTATGGCTGATGGCACAGGGAAACGAATTCCTAAGTGCCTACCATGTGCTACATGGGGGCACACAAAGCAGCATCGTTGTTCACACCTGGAATGTTATTTGCTCACATGCTGCCCACCCAAACTGTACCCATTTCCTTTAGTTTGCCTCAAATGCCATCTTTTCCAAGAAACTTTTCTGAATCATTCCCATTAGTATGAAAATCCCATCTTCCTTAAATGTAGTGGTACCTGCATTTCTATTTAACATATTTCTTGTATTATCATTATTTACTTGTATTATAGTTATAATTATTTACTTGTATTATAGTTTTAATAATTATAATTATTTACTCCTCTCCTCCCCCAGAGAACTGTGAATTTCTCGAGAGCAGAAGCAGTATTTTATTCCTTTTTTTTTTGGTTCTCCCACAGTGCCTAGTGCCTTGCTCTTTGGGAGCTCATTGTTTAGAGGAGAAGGTCATAAAATACATATTTAAAATACAATCTTAACTTCAGGGTTAGAGATCTATACAGGGCATTGTGAAAGCACTAAGAAGAGGTAACTTTAACCTCTGTGGCTTAAACACATAAGGGGTTTTGTTTGGCAGAAGGTGCCCTAGAGCTTTTGGTGACTTGGGAGTCACCAATGTAATTATCTTAAATATTCCTATTTCAGCATAAGTCATTTTGGTGCTGAATTCATGTAGGGCCTCAGGCATAATTCGCATGGTCTGAGAGAGGGGAAGAGAGCTGCGGTCCATGTTCCTTAGAGAAGATGGGGATTTTCTATGGATAAGGGCTTTCTCATTCTGCCATGAAGTGGTAAGGGCCCTAGCTGGGGTTAGGGCGTCCAAGAAATTGGTGAGGTGAAGATAAGAGCACTGTACTAGACTGTTTGGTTTCTTTGCAGGCCAGAGATACTTTTTTTTTTTCTTTGAAGAAAAAGATAAAGGCAAAAACAGCATTTGAGCAAATAAAAATTATCCTTGAACTCACCTTTACTTGATGGGCTACTATGTCTGTTTTTGATAACGCCTAAATCTTTCTTCTAGGAAATGGCACGTGCCACCTCTACTCATATTTAATTCGTCAAAGAAGTCACATGGTCAAGCAGTGAAGGGGCAGCAAATGATAGAGACAATGATGTCATCTCCAATGACTACATGGAGCCCTAGTCGTTTGTTTCTGAAGATAAAAGACCAAGAAGAGGTCAAAAAAAAGGAGGCTCGTAAATGTAACTTTAAGCAGGTGAAATAAAAGATTAATCAGTTGAAAAAAGTAATTTAAAAGGAAGAAGTAAATTTTTTTATCAACAAAGTTTGAAACCTTCAGAAATCAAAATATATATAATGAAGAAAATTTTGCTGTCTTTCCTGACAAAAGAAAAACTAGACATAAGGAATTAAACAACCATAGGAAAAAGTGCCTTACCTGAGACATAAGCCTAGAGAAGTGCTTATTTTTAGTGTATCTGAATTGGTTTTGGCAGTCACAGATGGCATTTAAGGGAGCAAATAGATCCGCAATGAGCACTTGCATGATTCGGCATCTTTGTTCACACCTGGAATGTTATTTGCTCACATGCTGCCCACCCAAACTCTGCCCATTTCCTCTAGTTTGCCCCAAATGCCATCTTGTTCAACTTTTCTAAATCATTCCCATTAGTATGAAAATTCCATCTTCCTTAGATGTAGTGGTACCTGCATTTCTATTTAACATATTAATATTGCGTATTGCCTTGTATTATAATTATTTACCCCTCTCCTCCCTCCAGAGAACCATGAGTTCCTTGAGAGCAGAAGAAGTATTTTATTTTTTATTTTTGGTTCTCCCACAGTGCCTAGTCCAGAGCAGCGCACATGAAGGAACCCAATTCATTGCTGTTGAAGTTTATGAATTACAGTTTGTATAGGAGCCACGTGACATGCATATGTTAGCTGTACCCTTGAGGTGATCCCAGAGCATAAGATGCACATAAGAGGAGGTCAAATTTATGACTCTAGGGCCTAGACTCACCGATACAATAAGAAAGCTTTGGTACGGTAGACAAGCAGTGAGGAAAGACAGGAGCGGGCTGTCTAGGTTGTGGACTCTGGGAAGCGACCTTAGTACTTTGGTTCCTCTGACATCTAGATTAGTTTGTCCCTTTTAGATATTTCTATTTATATTCTCTTAGTATCAAATGGTAGTTAGTTATATAGGTCTTAGTTTTAATAAATTGTTCTACTAATATGGTTTGGTCTTAGCTATGCAAGCACTAAATGTGAGCAATATAAAGTTAATTTAAGGGATCAAATATAATATTAGGCTGAAAGCCTATTAAAAATTATAGAGGAATATGTGGAAGACACATTCATAATACAGAGTATGAATATTTTTAGATTCTCTGGTATTGGATTTAGATGTGCTTGTTCTATTTTGTAAAACAAAGAATTGCCCTATATCTTTGATCTGTGTGTTTAGATTTTTTTAGTGACAGACACCTTATAATAACTAGAAATAGAAATTCCATCTTTGGTGGTAATATAGTGCAGGGACCTGAGAAGAGAAGGTCTTAAGGTGCTGTTAATTAGCAAAAATCTGAACCCCACAGTCTCAAAGCAATTAAGGCTGTTAATTGAATATTTGGGTGCTTAGAGGATTGGCTCATATGTGGCTGGACAGGGAACCCTAGGCTTGCATACAGGAGTTACATTCTACAAATAATCATGAACAATTCAGAAGGAGCAAATATAGGCCAATGCTAGTAGTCAACTGCATATTTGAATAGTAATACATTGCTGGCTATATGCAAAATTGTCTTTTTACTGTAAAAGTAAATACTAATAATTCAATCTTTCAGCCTATCTTTTGTAAATATGGCACAGTATTTATTCATGGAAAATTCAGTTTTTTACCATGGTGATTGTACCATCCTCTGGTTTGATAAACATCTCTATGATTCACCTGATATTTTAAACACAGTTGGTGGTCACACAATGGCTACAATGTCATACTTAGGCACATTTGGGGGACAGAGGAGAAAGGCCATTGCTGATGAGCTCAGAGTGGCAGTGCTTTTATTATCCAATTCCTTCATAGCCTTTGTATGGGCTTCCTTAGCTGTGGCATTTAATTAACGTGTGAACATACTTCTAAAAAGAAACTTAAAACAAATAGAAGATTACAAAAAAGTTTTCAAGAAAGGAAAAATAAATGTTCCTTTTAGAAGACCTTCAGTGAAAAGTAGTTAATATTTTCAGTAGTGCTTATTATTTTTAATAGCTCTGGCTTTGGGGTAGGCTTCTGCTTCTGCCAGTCCCAGGCTTGCAAAGATGCAAACGACCGTCCACTAAAGAACACCCAGAATGCAGTGAGTGAAAAATGAATTTAGTTTCTCAAACTGTTTCAGTCCTCTGCACAGTTAAGGAAAAGAGAAATTATATGAATGCTTAAAATCCACCGGTTATCCTCCAAGCTAATGTTGGCCAGTAGTTTTCCATATATTTGGTTAAACCTTCCAGAAAGTGGCAGAATTGAGCGAGTTGAGGGTTCCCCCCACTTCTTTCCATCTCAGTGTACTTTCTGGAGCAGTTTGTAATTTTTTTTTTTTAAAAGCTATGAAGTGTCTTTTTAAAAAGTGGAGGTGCTTAGCAGGCAGTAAAGGATATGAGCACTGAAACTAAACATTCCCAAACGGATCATTTCCATCCTTATTTGAGGAATTATGCATTCATAAGGCTGGTGTGATTTAGGAACAGGTTATTCAAAGTGCAAATAGATATCTTCATGAATGACCAGAGCATATAAAAAACAAATTGTACTTAAGGTCCTAACTCGAGTTTATTGTGCACATATATCTTCTAAAAATGTGGAGTTAACCTACTTAGGGGTTACTGACCAGGGCTTTTAAAAGGCACAGGAACAGAGGGCTGAAGTCGTTAACACTAGACTGAGAAGCACGTTTAAGGGTAACAATGCCACCTCTTTGGATCAGAAGAGTTCCTGTTTGTTATGCAATGTGTGCACTTCATTATTTACACGATTTCACTAGGTGAATGGGAGCTGTGTACACAGCCAGGTGAGCCTGCAGCAGCGCCCCAGACTCTGACAGCGAACACCCTCTGTCTACTGCCTTCTGCTAGCCCTGCTTTGAAACAATACCCTTTTCTGGAAAAAAAAAAAAAAAAAACACAACCCTAAATCATAGCTACTTCTCTAGATAACAACCATTTTCTTTTCTTAAACGTTTTTAGGAATTAATAGAACTTTCTTGGAAAAATTTCCAAACTCGTTTCCACTGCGCTGAACGGACGATTTAAAAAGTAAATACTCAGAAGATACTAAGAAGATTCCGCTGGAGAGTCTCTTTTTATTGTGTTACGGGGTCTCCTAGCCCTCTCCTTTCTCCTACCCACGGCAGCCCATCTCTCTCCTCCAGGACCCCTTCTTTTTGGTATTTCCTGGAGTACGGATGAAAATGAATAGGTGAGCAGCCTCTGGGCTAGGCCAGGCACACAGGGGTCCCGAGTGACCTTGGGAGACTTGCGGGCTTCTGGAAGGAAGGCTCGGGCGGCCAAGCAGGAGTCGCCGCAGCGAGGAAGCGCCAGGAGGCGGCGGGGGCGACCCCGGGGGAAGGGCGGGCGGGGATGCGCCGAGGTTTCCGTGACTTGGGACTAGTCGCCCCGAGGCGCATTCTAACTGTCGGCTCCCCTGGCCCCAACGGCCAGAGAGAGAAGGGGGCGGATCCTCGCGTACCAGACACGCCCCGGTCGGGTATAAAATTCGCCAGGCGCTCGCTCCCCAGGCCACAGCCGCTCCCTCGCTCTGCTGGGGCCTCCGGACGCGCTTCCCACGCGGGTCTCTGGAACACTCGGTCCGAACGCACGCCTGCTTGCACTCACACTGCGGTTCACACCCGGAGGCGCTCTCGCACTCACACTGCCGCTCACGCGTGCTCACACTCCCCCACGCGCGCTCCGCTCCGGCTCCAGCCCCGCGCCCAGCGAAGGCGCAGGCACTGCTGCCGAGAGCGCCGAGGGGCCCCGCGGCCTTCCCATGGCGGACCTGAGCTTCATCGAAGATACCGTCGCCTTCCCCGAGAAGGAAGAGGATGAGGAGGAAGAAGAGGAGGGTGTGGAGTGGGGCTACGAGGAAGGTAAGTGGCCGCGAGTCGGGGTGTCCGGGGTCCCGCGGCGGCGTCAGTGTCTCGCCGAGCGCGGGACTCGAGTCCTGCTGCCGCTGCGCGCTCCGAGCACCCCCACGCCCCCTCTTTCCCACGGGGGTCTCTGCCACTTTCCCACTCCCCTGGTGCGTTTCGGGCGGGAGGCGCTCCAGGGAGGCGTGCTCGCCGCCTGCGCTCTTCCGCCGCCTGCGCTCTCACCCGGGAGCCTTCCGCAGGGCTGGCGTTCGCACCTGCTGCGGTCCGGAGGGCGGGCTAGCCTCCAAGCCGTGGCTGTACCTTTTATGTCTTCTGAGTAGTCAAGAAGAGCAGCGGTACATTTTACTAAACACCTGAGGAAGACAGTGTTAGCGTGAAGAATTCGTTTTTGGCTTGGAGACTTTGGGGAGAAAGTGTTTCTGCCTCTGGTCTTTTCGTGAAGCCTGCTAGCAATGCTCAAGTCTTTCTAAAACATGTCCTAAATTTCAGACTGAATCATTGGGTTTGGCGAGAAGCGGTTGACTTTCTGAAAAACTCGAGTTTCCTAGATTTATTCCTAAAGACCTAGGGCTCCTATTAGAGCCAACCAGTAGTGCTGATGTTTACTACATATGTTGAAACCAATATAGAATATATAATTTTAATTATAAAAAATTTGGAAAGACTATGGGAATATGTATGTACACAGATATATACATATGCACACTTTAAAATACTACACTTGCATTTCTGATAAGGGGCGTCTATTTACTAGCATGAGAGTTAGGGTTCTGACTGTCACTAAGTATGTTGAAAGTTACAGCTGTTTCCCAGGTACTGAACGTAATTGAACTAATAAGCAGAAGAAATTGTTCTGGTATTCTTTTTTCCTAATCACTTAAAAATGACCCAAATTTCCTAGAATCATAAATTATTATGTCTTTGTTGACAAATACAAATAGAATATTTTGCTAGTCCGGGATTTTGTGTATGGTATTTGATAATAACAGATCATTCAAATAATGAATGCAAAAACAAATAGAATTACCATATTTCATCTGTATAGTGATGGTATCATTACTCTCTTCATGATATCAAGGGTTCTAAGTGTTTAGTTTTTACATGTTAAATTTTACTGTAATTTATTTTTTAACCTGTTTTTAATTTATTTCATTTTGTTCTTAGGTGTTGAGTGGGGTCTGGTGTTTCCTGATGCTAATGGGGAATACCAGTCTCCTATTAACCTAAACTCAAGAGAGGCTAGGTATGACCCCTCGCTGTTGGATGTCCGCCTCTCCCCAAATTATGTGGTGTGCCGAGACTGTGAAGTCACCAATGATGGACATACCATTCAGGTTATCCTGAAGTCAAAATCAGGTATTTTAGAAAATATGTTTGTGTGGTCTTTTAAACTAGAAGTCAGCGTAGAGTTATTGAACTGTGATTTAACTTGCACAATTTAAAAAGTACAACTGACGTATCTCTATTTTCAGGATACCTTTGTATTATAATATAAAGCATTTTTGGGAATTACCTTCTGAAACAATTTTGAAAGGACAAAAGAGTGAAATTATGAAGATTATCAGTCGGTTGTTCTGCTTCTTATGATGTTACTGGAAAAACCTTAGTTTGATCACCTTATACCTTGTGAAATATGAGGACAGGTACATGCAGGTGCAGTAATCTGCGTTTTGTCCAAAATTGTTGATTAGCTTAAATCACTTAGATAATCATAATTCTCTGTTTTGCTACTTTGTGAAACCAAAGATTAGAATTTATTGACATAACGTGGCATTCAAGGTAGACTTCTCAGGTTAATTTTCTCTACTGTATTAGTTTGCCAAAAATAATTTTAACTAATAACAATAAGAAACAGCCTCTAAACTCAGCCAGAGATTTAAATGGTAAACAAACCTCTTCCTTTTATTTATTTATTTATTTATTTATTTAAGTTCCATCCCATGAAACTTCTCCTACCACTTGCAAACCTATTTGAGATGGATCTGAAATGTTCTGTGCAAAAGTTGTTAGGTAATTACCAAGGAAATCAGTTTTTGGCTTTATCGTAGGAAAGAGGAAATCAGATTTTTAAAAAATGTAGCATTAATAGCATGCATTTCATAGTGAATAATAACTGTCTTTTTCTTTTGGGAAAAATTAAAGTATGTTGAAATATTAGGACGTACTTGATAAATAGAGACTGTGCTCGAAAATTAATTCCAAGTTGATAAAGTTGATACCTCAAACTATAAAATCTTTAGGTTTGTTATTAATCAAGGCAGCTGTTGATTTCCAGCTATGGATTTATTTTATTCATTGTAAATGTTTCTAAGCTTTAATTTAGAATCCATGAGATAGTCATAGATTCATGTAGTCTCCTTCGCTGTTCTGAGTTTAGTCAGCATGTGAGCATTGCCCAAAAGAGTTACTGGGCTTTATATGTACTTAGTCAGAGTCAGTTTAAGATGGAAATTTCGACTTGAATTTTTTTGGGGGTGTGGGTTTAGCTTTGATGGGACATTACTTACTGTTTTTTAAAGGATATTGTAAAATTATTGAATGCTGACTGTTCTGGCATATAAAAAGCAATTTAAAGAAGTACATGTGTGTTGATGTGTTGAGATGCTTTGAACTTCCGGAAATAAATGTTTATATATCCACAAAACAAAAATACATTTCATGTCAGGTGCCATGATCAATATTGGTTGCATATAAATTTATAAGACAGTTCTTGAGGATTCATAGCCTAGTGAAAAGCCAGTTCTTTAAAGTACTAGTGTACACTTGATGTGGCAAGTGTTACAAAGGGTTGTGGGAGCAGAGAGCAATGACTAAGCACATATACTCCACTGCATCTGTGTGTGCCTAGTCCTGCTCTGAGATAAAATTTACTTCATCAATTTGAACTTACCATTTTCTTCTGCTACCTTCTCAAACACAATTTTCTTTAATCTTCTGCCTCACTCTAAAACAGAGACTATGGACCAACATCTGGGCCCTCTCACCATGAAGTGTGTTTCTTCCTCACCTAGCATTTTGTGCTTTTCTCTTCCTCCTTCTTCCACCCCTGCCCACTGAAGAAGAAGTGTCTGCACTTCTGTCTAGGCCTGATTTGGATACTCATGATCCAGAACCCTTTTTTCCTGCCTCCCTGGAGACCTTCCTCCTTCAGATTCCCCTTATCCTCTCTGTCATGGTAATAATTTCCTCCTTATTGTTCTTTCCCTTCCAATATTTCTGCAAACTCAAGAAAAGTAACCAAAATAACCATGTCTTGAGTAGTTGTTTTTTCCCCTAGGATATTTAAGCTCCTCAGAGGAACCATTTGTAAGCTCTATATACCCTGTCATTCGCTTATTTAAATAATGTTTTATCTTTATCAAAATAGAATATATACAAAATAGTTGAATAGGCTGGGTGTGATGGCTCACAAGTGTAATCCCAGCACTTTGGGAGGCTGAGGTGGGTGGATCAGTGGAGGTCAGGAGTTCGACACCAGCCTGACCAACATGGTGAAACCCCATCTCTACTAAAAAATCCAAAAATTAGCTGGGCATGGTGGCACACGCCTGTAATCCCAGCTACTTGGGGCGTTGAGGCAGGAGAATCACTTGAACCTGGGAGGCGGAGGTTGCAGTGAGCCGAGATTGCGCCATTGCTCTCCAGCCTGGGCGACAAAAGCAAAACTCCGTCTCAAAAAAAAAAAGGTGAATAATACTCTTTCTGCCTGTGGTTCTTTCTGCCTGTGGTTATCCCCTGCTCTTCCCCACCTACGGCTGCTGTTCCCTAGTAACAACTACTTTGAAACTTTCTAGCTGTTTCTCCTGTGGTTACCTCCAAGAATGTAAGAATATAATAATGCTGTTATGCTTTGGTAGTAAGCTATGTATGAACTCTCTACTATTGAAGACGAGGCCAATTTTCTTTCCTTTTTTTTTTTTTCTTTTGAGACAGAGTCTCGCTCTGTCGCCTAGGCTGGAGTGCAATGGTGCGTCTTGACTCACTGCAATCTCCACCTCCCAGGTTCAAGTGATTCTCTTGCCTCAGCCTCCCCAAGTAGCTGGGATTACAGGCGCCCGCCACCACACCAAGCTAATTTTTGTATTTTTAGTAGAGACGAGGTTTCACCATGTTGGTCAGGCTGGTCTCAAACTCCTGACCTCAGGTGATCCGCCCACCTCGGCCTCCCAAAGTGCTGGGATTACAGGTATGAGCCACAGCACCTGGACGAGGCCAGTTTTCTTATTGCCCTCTTTCTTATGATTTCACTCTCGTATTATCGCTGTATACTTAAATTAATTTTAAAAATCTGTATACATTTAGGGGGTACAAGTGCGGTTTTGTTTCTTGGATATATTGCATAGTGGTGGAGTCCGGGCTTTTAGTGTAACTGTCACCCAAATAGTGTACATTGTATCCATTATGTAATTTCTCATGCCTCATTCCCCTGGAGTCTACTTAAATTAATTTTTATTTAAATTAATACTCATTATTTTTATTATTACAACTGCAACTGTTGTTTCCAGCTGAGATTATATTTTGTCTCACTTAAACAGTGTTTTGTATTTTCCTGGAGTTAATGCATTTTTGTTAATTGAATTTTTTATCTGTCGGTAATTAATTTGCAAACTCTCTAACATATGACGGATCTTCTCTTAGGACATTAGCGTGCATCAGGTTGTCTTCCCTCCCTCGCTCCTCCTTGTCCTTTCTTTTTCCTGTGGAGGCTGCTTTTCTTTTCTGCTCTCCAGGCCTCTCCTAACAGCCTCTTCTCGCAGCTCCTTGGACCTCAAGCCTGGGAAGTCCCCTTGTTTGTCTCCTGTGTTAGATCGGATGTTTCCTGGATGCCGTGGAAGTCCCCTCGTTTGTCTCCTGTGTTAGATCGAATGTTTTCTGGATGCCGTGCCATCCTCTTTTTTGAGTTGCTCCGTCATCTCAGGGAATTTCTTGGTTTATTTGCTTGTACAGTTCATCTTCCAGGAACTTCCTGAGAAAAGGGGCAAGTGAGGGCTACATGCTTGGATGCCTATGTGTCTGTAAGTGTCTTTATTATACTTCACACTTGATTGGAGTTAGCCTGGAGCGGCAGTCTGGGTTGGAAGTATTCTTGACTTCGTTTGATGTTTGACATCATGATTACATTGCTTGAAGCTTCCAGCGTTGCAGTTGAAAGATCTAGCGCCGTTCTGCTTCTCAACCCCCTCTATGTGTCTCTTCTCTTTTTTCCTTTCTGGAACCTTTTACAGTGTTTTCTTTACTACTGTTGTTTTGAAATGTTACAACCATATGCCTTGGTGGGATTGTTTCTGCACTATATGCTGGGCACTTGGTAGGTTTTTCCAGTCAAGATAATTGTGTCTTTTATTTACCAGCAATTTTCTTATATTTCTTATATTATTTCATTGATAAATTTTGTATTTTTATTTTTTCCTCCTCTTTTGGTAACTCCCACTTTCTTCTTCCCTTTCTCTTCTACTTTCTAGTAGATTTCCTCAATTTTTAATCGTTTAGTCTTTTGATTGAACTCTTACTTTCTGCTTTCTTGTTTTTAATTTCTAAAACATTGAACTTACGCTGCAATTAAAAACCTTTTTTTTTAAAAAAAATACAACATCCAGTATTTATTTCATGAATGTATGATCTTTCTTCATTCTTTTCTATATTGCTTCTTTTCTATCCCTACCTGTCTCTGTTTACTCTGGGTTTCTTTTTCTATTTATATTGGCATCCCTCTTTTATTTCGGAGGTTCTCCTCAAAAGTCCAGTGATCTTTGGCTCTTCGTTCCTATTTAAGAATGAGTCTAGGAAGCAGATCAGAAGCTCTGTGCACCTGGGCAGGGATTGAGGGCTGTTGGGCTTCACAGTACCATGATCAAGAAAGGACCTGGCCATGTTGTTGGAGGAGTCTTTGTTGCTTATATTGGTTTATCTGGAATATGCTTGTTTCCTGTTTGTGTTTTTGTTTTGGGGTTGGGGATGGCTCAAGTTGGCCACCAGCTTTCTGGTTGTTGGCACAGACAGGAGACTATTACCATTTAGCAAGTCCACATTTCCTTCATCTTCTGCCAGGGATCTCATCATCATGCCTGACCATGCATGATGAGGTTTAACTGCTCCTTTTAAAAACTTTAAATCTGTTTTTCTGTTTTCAGTTTCCTACTTTGCACTGCCACATTCAGAAGTATCTCTAATGCTTCCACCTCCTGAGTCTTTTCTCGTGTCTTAGTCTGTTTGGCTACTATAATAAAATACTGTGGAGTAGGTAATTTATAAATAATAGAAATTTATTTGTCCTAGTTCTGGAGACTCGGAAGTCCAATATCAAGCTGCTGACAGATTTGGTGTCTGGTGAGGGCTCTTCCTCTGCTCTGTACATGGTGCTTCGGTGCTACGTCCTCACATGGTATGAGGCAGAAGGGTCAAACAGGCTCCCTGGAGCCCTTTTATAAGAGCCTCATCCCATTCTTAGAGCAGAGCCCTCATCCGATTTACCTGATCACCTCCTGGACATCTTATACTGTTGCATTGGGGATTCAGTTTCAACATGGATTTTGGAGGGGGATGCAGGCATTCAAACCATAGCATCTGGGTTCTGCGGTAGGAATTACCTGCCTCTTGTGGCCTTCTTCCTGTAGTTACTTAGCTTTTAGCTTTCTCTTTTTGCTGAATCACTCACTACCTTTGTCTGCTTTCCAGCACCACCCCCCTACCGCCGCCCATTATTTTGGGCATTTCTCTTTTGCTCTTGTTCTCCAGTCTTGTTCATGTTGCTCTGGCAAGTTGTGCCCTCTTCATTTAGTGAGAATTGAGGAGGGAGGGCAGATAAATGTTTTGAGTACAATCTTCCTTGTCTAACTGGAGGTACCCCCTGCAAATACAGTGGGCTGTCTTCTTAAATTAAAAAAAAAATCCACACAAGAAGCACAGTTCTTTTTAGAAATTAAAGCTGACTTCACACCACCACTGTGCTAAAACCTCAGCCCTCCCTGAGGCTGTCTTTGGCCTCAGTTATTTTGTTTTATTCTTTATTTTTGCTTAGTTTATATTAACAAATCATAAATAATTGCCAAAAAGGTTTAGAACAGTTGTAGTATAATTTAAATGCTTAAACTTATCAAACTAAAACTTCTAACATAATTGTAATGATATTGTTCCTGTATATATAATCCCATCTGGAGTTACTGCCTTAATATAAATTTGAGGGTTTTCAGGGGCATGAGCCCCTGCCCCCATCCCTCTCTGCTGGAACTTCTCAAGCCAAGGTCACTGATGAACTCATCATCCCCTAAATCCAATGGGCATTTTTATATTCTTACAGGACTTTAACTCTGCTGCACTGGAAATGGAATTTTTGGAAGTTTTCTCTCCTGTTAGTCTCTGGGCCACACAGTTCCCTGACACTTCTTCCTAATTTTGACTGCCTTTTCTCTGCTGGTGCTTCATCTTCCACTGTGCTTAAATAACAGGGTTTCTTAAGGTTTCCTTCTGAACCCTCTTCTCCTGCATGTACCCCATGAGCAGTGCATCTGCATAGACTGTGTGCTACTTTGTTCGTCTTCTTTTTCCCCATAAGAGAGCAAAGGAGCTTAGAAAAGGAGCCACAGTGATAGGCTCTCTGAGTGGCATGGGCCAGTGTAGCCTCCCATCTCAGACCCCTGGCAGGTGGGTGGGCAGCTTGAATAGCTCAGGGAAGGAAATCCATTTCTCACAAGAAAACCCATTTTGCTTTTGAGCAATTCCAAAAGTCAAAAAGTTCTATGATCTCCGCCATTGTCTCTCTTTAAGTCTCTGGACATATTTAGAACAAATATAATTATACTTCCACTTTCAAATACTGCAGTCATAACATGCAGTTGCCATTTTTCTTTTCAGACATTCTTAGTTCTTTCAGCTGTTGCTCACATGACAGCCTTTCATCCTTCAATACTTACTTATTGATAATTTACTATGGGAATTATAGACTCACTTGTCTTTTAGACCCAGGCAGATATAATACTATACATGAGAGCAACCAGGAGAGCAAGAGATTGTAAATAGCTACTGATCCTCTGCTTCATCTGCAGTGTCAATAGACAAGACAGTAGGGGCTGGTGGGGACTGCAGGAACTGGCAAGCTGCAGAGAGCAGGCCTACTTTGCCAGATGTTTAATGTGTCAGGAGAAACTGGAGATGTGCACCTGTGAACTAAACATACGTGTTCATTGGTTTCCTCTGGCCTGCAGGGTGAGGTTGGCAATCTTTGTTTCATCTTTTGCAAACAGTTACATGCTTTGGATAAGGTAAGTATAAATCAGATCCAAAGCCTGCCCTCAAGGAGGATACAATGGTAGGTCATGGAATATATTATAGCTATACAGGGAGAGATTATTTTTGGTGGAAATTCTTAGGGAAGGATTTGTGGAGGAAAGAGCATTTGAAATAATCCTTGATGGATGAATAGCATTTGGATATGGGGAGCCTGAGGTGTGTGGGAAGAAGGGACAGCTTGCACAAAGGATAAGATATGGAAAGTTCTAGAGGTTGTATGAGGAAAGGCCAATCCTTCAGTATGTCTGGAAGAGATTTGTTCATGATAAAGGGGGTTAACAGGAAATAGAATAGAGAGGGTATTATGGAGCAAATTCATGAGGGACTCTGCACAGAGGCTAAAGAGTAGAACCTTTCTTTTTTTTTTTTGTAGGATAAAGTCATAATTAGAACATTGCTTTAAGAAAATCAAGCTGGCAGCACTGAATGAGATGGGATCTGGGAGAGAGTGTGAGCCAGTTTGAAGGTTAGTACAAAAGACTCAACCAAAACCACAGGCATTGCAGTGTCAGTGGAAAAGGAGGGGAAGACACAGGAGTGATCTCTGCGATGCAATCTACAGAATGTCATGGGTCAGTTATGTGGAGCAGGGATGTGGAGGAGATCAGTGGAGAGAGATGGCTTGGATGGAGCCCCCGGTTTCAGATCCTGTCACTATTCTACCTCTGCTCTGGGCAAATTTCAAGGTAGCAGAGTCCCTCCCTCCTAACATGGAGTTGAAGCAAGCATCACATTCCAGGGTGATCTGACCAGACTATTGGTCCTATTATCTCCTAGAGCATGGAGAATTTTATTAAGGCTGCCACATGTATCATTTAGCTTCTCAGCAGGACAAGTGGGTCACTGTCTCTCAGGAATCTTGACATTTAAGGTACACAGGCAAATTAAAATTAAACATCTTTGCAGTGGTATAAAGAGGATTGTAAGCATAAAAAATAATTACAGATTTCTAGCCTGAGTGGCTTGATACTTAAGTAGTGAGAAAATGTGTGAGACTGCCCACACTTGTGCAGTAGTGTCACTCCAGCTGACTACAAGCAATGTCTTAAGGGTAATGACATTTTTAATCAACCATCATTATGGGAGAAATTGCCAATCAAGATAGGTCATTTGTGCCCTTCACTGTTTCTTATTATAGAAACTTTAATTAGGATATTTTATTTCTGGGTCTCTTGTAATTCTCAATACTAATTTTAGGATAGATGATGATGATTATTAATCCTACTTTTCCCCCCCAAACATGGCAACTTTTTAACAGTGTTTCTTGGCAACCTTGCTGATTTAAAGATGAAATTGTCAAAAATATCTTAAAAATTATTTTCACTGAAGAAGAGGCTCTATCTTTTTTATTTATATGAAATGTCAGGGCTGAACTTCTTTTTCCTTCTTTCTTTTCTCTCTCTCTGTCTCTCTTCTTTCTTTTTTTTTTCAGGCTCTCATTCTGTTGGCCACGCTGGAGTACAGTCATAGCTCACTGCAGCCTCCAAGTCCTGGGCTCAAGCAATCTGCCCACCTCAGCCTGTCTGGTAGCTGGGACTACAGGCCTGCCACCATGCCCAGCTAATTTTTAAATTTTTGGTAGAGACAGGGGTCTTGCTATGTTACCCAGGCTGGTCATGAAATCCTGGGCTCAAATGATCCTCCCGCCTTGGCTTCCCTTAGAACCGGGATTACAGGTGTGAGCCACTGTACCTGGCTGGATTAATGACTGTATTTATTATTGGCTAATTTTGGTGCATTTGAATTACCTGGTTAGTTCCTGTCATCTGCATCATTTTGCATGTGCTTCACTTTGCCCGGCCTGCTCTCTGTGCTATTGTTATGATCTCTACCCTTAAGAGCTGAAGATATTTAATAAAGCCATAGGTTAAAAGCCAAAGACAGTTTAAAAATATTGAAAAATTTTTGCTTTTAAGGCCTCAAATGTTAAAAAAAGAACTAAATGATACTATTTTGGGGAAGTTTTAGAGATAACATTGGAATTTCTTAAAAGTTACTTTGAGGTTATAAAGTCTTTAAATCCATTAAGAATGAACCCTTTGGAGCTGGGCATGGTGGCTCATGCCTGTAATCTACGCACTTTGGGAGGCCAAGGCAGGTGGCTCACTTGAGGTCAGGAGTTGAAGACCAGTCTGGCCAACATGGTGAAACCCCGTCTCTAGTAAAAATACAAAAATTAGCCAGGCATGGTGGTGCACACCTATAATCTCTGCTACTAGGGAGACTGAGGCAGGAGAATCTCTTGAACCTGGGAGGCGGAGGTTGCAGTGAGCCGAGATCACACCACTGCACTCCAGCCTGGATGACAGAGCAAGACTCCATCTCAAAAAGACGTATATAAATAAATAAGTAGGTAAGTAAGTAAATAAAATAAGAATGAATCCTTTGGATCCTTCGGGTGGTGTACCAGGGACCCACTGGTGTGGGGTTTCCTCTGTGTTGACGGTGTGGCTCTGCAGGCTTCATCTCCTGGCCTCACCATCTGTAACTGGGCATGATAGCAGCTTTCTTACTGGTTAGGCTTACCCTTTGTTATTCTGTCATCTGTGCAGATACTGCACGAATAATACTTTAAATTGCAGATATGATCATGTTAGTCCCCTGATTAAAAGCCCTCAATGGTTCTGGACAGGAGAAATCCCAGCTCGTAAGCATAGGCTGCATGTCTCCTCCTCATGCCCACCTTGACTGTAGCTAACTTTTGATTTTATTCTCCTAGAACACTCTTAAGCTGCTTCATGTCTCAGAATATTTCTCAGGCTCTTCGCTCTACTCTCCATGCACTTTTCACCTCTCAGCTTATTCAAGACTCAGCTGAGTTGGTATCTTCTGGGGAACATCTTACCTGACTTTATGATTCATGCTTGTTATTGGCTTGTCCGTTGCTGGATGCCCTCCTGCTACCCTTTCCTGCTCTTGATGTGTTCTATTTAGACTATTCAGTTTACTTTTTTAACCACTGAGACTGCCCAGTCAACACCAAGGCTGGATCTTCCTCGCTTTATACACTCAGTGGCCAGCACAGGGCCAGGTGTCGAGTTGATCTCAAAACTTAGCTTTGAAGTCAAATGAAAAGGAATAAGGCTTGAGCACTAGCCTTTGAATTATCTGGTAAATTTGTTTTCAGCAAAGGATTGTAGAAGCTTAGATAGATTTAGATAAATGTATATACATCATGTCTTTATAGGGTTTTCAGATCTTACAAAAGCTTCCTCAGGGAGCTCTTGTTTATGTCTTATAAATGCAATTGCCAAGCGTATTAAAGAGCATTAAAGAAAATGGAGGCTGTGGCAATGGCATCAGTTTATTTTATATTCTTTTCACAAGTTCCTTTTCTAAAAAAATTCAGCCTGTCATCAGTAGGAGTTTCATGTTCTTTCATTGTAACTTTATTGAACCAGATGACATCATAACTAATAAACCTGCCATGTAGTGACCCAATATCACTCAGCAAAATTTGATTTTCATAAATGTAGGAAAAGGCTACCCCTTCTGAGATGATTTGTTTTTTTATTTAAAAAAATGTAAGCAGTAAAAAGGGAGAATAATGCTGGAAGAGGGTTACCAGATGGATAAAATAGAAGCTGCTATTTATTTTTAGTCCATAAACACAATCATTCTTGGGGGATGAACAGGTAATGCTCTTACCTGGCACCTCGTAAAACTCTGAATTGAGAATTTTGTCATTTTTTATGGCATTGTATGGCTATATGACTTTAGTGTGGTTTATTTTGGATTATTCATCTGCAGCAACAGTGAAAGGTACCCAGAGCCTGGTTCCTGGCTGACAGCCACCTCTTTGTCACCTCTCCCTGGAGAACCAGGCTGGGGCAAAACACTTCCCTTCTCAGTGTTCCTTTCATACCATAGAATATAATTACTTTATTGTAATTGTATTGACTGTCATGACATGACAGTTAATAAACCTGTGTAGTAACCAGATAGGACTCAGAAAAAATATGATCTTGATAAATATATGAATTTACACTTCAGGATAATAGAATGTAAGATCTACAAGGCCAGGGAATTTTGTCTGTTTTGTCAAAATCAATGTATTCTAAATACTTAATACAGTACCTGGTACAAGGTAGTAGATGATCAAAACAATATCTGTTGGAAGGATTAGTAAACTTCCCTGGATTTTGAAGTTCTCCCTATCAAAACATGGGTCTGTGCAGTTTGAATTTCCACAGTGTTTCACTTAAACCGTCTCCAAGTTTAAGTGAAAGGGTTCATTGCTGTTAAGGAAGTTTTGAGCATTGGTCATGCGGGGAGTATATTTTTGAAGCATGGATCTCTTTATGGTTCCCTGAAATCACTGTCAAGACCAGCTACAAGCTGTATCATTCATTTCCATATGACAGTACTTAGTAGACTGCTGTTTACTAGTAGAACTAGTAAGCTGCTTTGTAACAGAGCAGTTTTAGAAATACTGTGTGCCTTTGTGTGTGTGTGTTCTGAGTGTATGTGATAAAGGGGTTTTGGGGAAGGAGTTTTAAGAATCCTCTTTCCCATTTCACATGTGCTTCATTTCATGACACTCCTCTTTCTTTTTCCTTAGCCACGTGGAGCTGAGCCTTTTCTAGGACAGTTTTATCACTTTGTTTTAGAAGTGGAGTTATAGAGCTCACCTGTTGAGGCCTTGGGTCCCACTGTTGCTGGGGGTGGCAAGGGGTGTATTTTCTCTTTCTCTTTTTTCATTTTGGTTTGGGAGGTGGGGTACACAGTGGGTAGACTCCTGGTCTCCTTCCTGGTTTTTCTTAAGACCAAATTTGGACAGCCAAGAGAAAGGAATGAGTTGTGAGGTTGTTTAGAAACGTTTCATACATTCTTAAATCCACAGAATGGATGTTTATTGAAGAGGAAGGTGAAGTGAGCTTGCACTGTGGTTCTGAATATCTACAAACCTTTCTGATCCATATATTAAAAGTTTTTTAGATTGTTCTGGGAAATAGGATGAAGTGCAGTTCTCCAAGGAGCAACTTCACTTTATAAATCTAGGCTTAGATAATTCATTGTTTTTTAGTTCATGCTCACAGATACTGAAATTTGGGTTTCCCTATCCCTGCCTCAACCCTGGGATGTGGGTCAGAAGATTTGAGTTCCAGATCCTGTCCTGGAGCCTGCTAGGAGGCTGACTGTGGCAGGTCACATTCAGCCCCTCTTCATCCCGCTTTTCTGCCCTGTCTGTGGAGTTGATGATGAGACTATCCCCTTGGATTTGTTGTGTGACCTAAATCAGACCAAGCATGAGGACAAACACTAAAATCTAAAATCATACATGACAGTGTGATCCTAAGGGCCATGAATCTCACTTCCCTTTCCTGTTGATGTGAAGTGTATCCACTCAAAAAATTAAAGTTACTTCTTGCTCTGGATGTTCCTTGTCTTCGTTGTTTGAGCTGGTAGAAAGCTTGGGAGTAGATTTGTAGGGCACCTTTATCAAGGACTCCATGACCTCCATTGTGTCTAATAGCCTCATTTCTCCATCTATTTTCTGCCTCTTTCTTGGCTTCCCCTTGTTCTTCTTCCTAATTTATGCTGTCTGACTGTATTATATGTACCTTGACATAAGCAGCCTTAAATCCTTTTTGAAACAAGTCATTAGATGAAGAACCAACCAAACAAGTAAATATTGTTGCACCAATTTGCTTTCTTCTCCTTTGAGTTTTTGGGTAAGGATGAAAGAACTCTTCCTCGAGAGAGGTGTGGAATCTGTTATGTCCTCCTCAAAGGCAACCCAAAAGGACAATCTGTTTCAAAAAGTCTGCTTCTAGGAAAGATGAAGGTGTTGAATTTTGTTAGCTAAATAACCTAAAATGCTTAGCTGATACTGTTCAGAATTGGGAGTTGCTAGAGGAAAAATGCCCTGAGTTAAACAACTTTTATTTGTATTGAAATTGACCATTTATTTGTAGGAAACTTTATTTCAAGTTTGTACATATGCTGTCAGGGAGTTTTTAACTAAATAATTTTATTGTTTTAAGACAGGTTCTCATGCAAATGTATTTTTCATTATCCTTTAGTGTGCTCTTGTTGGGGATAAAGGTCTTGATCATATCCAGCAATGAGAAATAGAGACATGGTCCTGTGGGACTGATGTTAATATTTTGAGGATTGTTAATATTTTATTGCAGTTTTATTTTGTGTCGTTTGTGGTAATGAATGTCCATCAGCTATTAAAGTGTGATTTCATTATTGATTGACTTAATGCTAATCAATCCTCTTCATGGATAATTTTGTTAGTCCACACACCCGTTCGCTAAATTGGAAGCCTTCTAGTACAAGTGGATGATCTGCAAACGTGGTTTAATTTATTTAGATGTCTACAGAATATTATTGGTCAGTCAGAGAGTCAAACCATATTTTTGTCTCCTGATCAGTGCTAAGCTTAAATCTCTAAGGGAGGAATTTGTTTTTCTTGTCTACTTCTAGACTGAAAACACACAGGAAATTAAAATATGCATATCATTATGAGTTTTTCAGAGGTTTTGAACTTCCGTGTCTGAATGGCCAATACAAGAATTTCAGCCAAGCCTAGATAGTTTAAATTCACCTCACAGTTGTGATAAATTTCTCATTTTGGCTTTGTGAATTTAATCTGTAGAGCCCATGAGAGCATTTTGGTGGAAAAAAAAAAAGTCTCTAATGTTTATAATGCTGAGGTAAATGTGTGCTGTAATTCGGTAACATATATTTTCTTTTTCAGTTCTTTCGGGAGGACCATTGCCTCAAGGGCATGAATTTGAACTGTACGAAGTGAGATTTCACTGGGGAAGAGAAAACCAGCGTGGTTCTGAGCACACGGTTAATTTCAAAGCTTTTCCCATGGAGGTAAGAATAACAAATCATCTTGTAAAAATCTTGTTTTCTGAATAAAGTATTCAGCGATTTACTGAAAATGATTTAGTTTAAAAGTAGATGCATAGCTCTTGAATTTTATCAGTTTATACTAAAATTTAAAAAATGCTTAATGCAATGGAAGCCTAGGGCAGCACATGAAACCTCCTGTCTACTCTCGTGGCTTGGCGTGTGCGCATGAGCACATGGCCAGAAAGGCAATCTACAGTATTAAATTTCACCCTAGTGTTACTATTCTTGTAAAAATTCTGCCTCTGCAAATTCAGTAGGTCATTTTTGTGGATGCTTTGGATAGGTGACGAGCTGAAGACAAGCAACCGTTGGAGAAACCTCAACAGTAATGAAAAGTGTAGGTTTGCTAGTTTAAAATTGGTGGGTTGGTTTTATTCACCCCAAGCCACTTGGGGAGGGAGGGAGAAAGAGAGATTTTTTGAGAGTGATTCTTTTGTCCAAAGAATTCCCTCCCCGACTTACGTTCTTAGTTAACTTCTGCTGTTTCTTTGATACGCAGTTGAAATCTTATGTCTTCTGTGGGACTTTTCTCTAGTTTTTTCCCTAGGCAGAATTCATCTCTCTCTCTCTGCTCCCTGTATGCTTGATAGGGCACTGCCATGGCGCTGGCCCCATGGGTTGTACCATTTAGTCTCCACAGCGTCTTTCTTGCTGCCTGTGAGCTCCTGAGGACCGAAGCTCCCTCTCACCCCCTTTTTACTCCCATCATTTGCCCACTGCCAGGCACAGTGGAGATAGACAGTTCACACTGGTGAAAGTGAGGGGATGTTGGATTCAGTCCACGTCTTGATGTTATTTCTAGAAGGAACCTCAGTTTACCCCAGAAAATAGCCCTTTGGTGTCATGTAAGAGTATGTTCTGGGGGCTGCTGGTCTTCCAGTCTTTTTTTTTGACATTCACAACTGTGCATGTGCTTAATATTAAATATAAAATTGCTCATGACCAGATGCAATATCCAGTACCACTTCAGTGGCTGGAAATCATGGCTGTATAATTCTATGTCAGTGATACATGTATTTTAGAGTATTCTGTTGAAGTGTTTGACAGCATTACTGTAATTATAATAAAAAAATCTCTGGAAGCTCAGGATATCTCTTTCATTAAAAATAAAAGACGTGAACCTTAGAAGTGAAATGTTCATGTTTTAAGGCTGGAGAGAAGAAAACCAAACCAGCATGTTGAAGAGTGGAGGAGGTGTGCAGTGGTGTGGACAGTAAGGAGAAGCACTTTCTCAAAGGCCTTGATGGGGAAGGCCCCCAGAGCTTACCTGTCTAGGAGCTGTTTGCTCAGTGCCTATAGACATCCTCTCCTTTCTACTGCCTGTGACACTTCTGTGTCACCTCTCTCTCCTGTCCCATCCTCAGCCAACCTGACAAGGAAAAATTCATACCAGAATGCATCAAAAAGGAAAGAAGACACAAAATAATCCAAGACAGTTAACCCCACTGGGTCGCGGGTCACAAAGTGAGGGGCAGGACCACCCTGGACTGTCAGCGCCTTTGCCCTGCCTCCCTCTTTGGGTTTGAAAGGCCATTTCATCATTTCATCTCAGCCCCCAAAGACAGACTCTAGTAACAAAAGTTCTAGGGAAAGGTAGCTGTAAATGGGGAGGCGAGAACTTCTGGATGAGAATTCCATGGCTTTGCTTGTGACATGCAGAACTTAAAAGCTGTAGGAAACGTAATTAGCGAGCTGTGCTCTTTGCTCTGTACTGAGATAGCATTTCCGGACCGAATGTCCAGACTGGTCTGGTTACTTGGTGACGTTTCAGCAGCTCCGGTCCATTAAGCACAGGTAATGGTTTGTTTTGAATGAAGATTAAATCCTGGTAGTGAGGCTTTGTTTCTGCAGAAATATTTGTATTTAGGATAATGGAATTGCTGACTATGATTTTTCCAAAATATGTGGTGAATAATATTTATATTCTTTTTTATCCCAGATTATCCCTGATCCAATTCCAGAGAAAATACTTGTATCAGTCATCCAGTGTTCACTTAGTGCTCTATCCTGTTGAGTGCATAAATGCTGTGGTTATGCAGAACTAGAAGGAGATCTCTGCAAGCCAGGATTGTTTATTGATATATTTTTGTGGAGACTATGAAAACTGAGGTGGGTTCTGAGGAGGAGAGGGCTCTTGTGGTATGGTGAAAGAGAGGAGAGAGGGTTTCCATGTGGAAGAACATCCTGGGACTGGGGACGAGTTGGCTCATACAGGGGACTACAGGTCCCCTGGTTCTGAACTGCCACCAAGGGCCACCTCAAGCACAGGGGCATGGCCAGCAGCACAGTGTAGAGTAAGACCAGGTACCCTTTTGGGAACATGGTTTTTTTTCCAGTGTTTTTTGTTTTTTGTTTTTTTTGAGGTCATGTTCCATATTTTACTTACATTTTAAGACTGACTTTTTTTTTTTCTCAAAATCACACATCCATGCACCTTTTTCTTTTTTGTTGATTTCATTGAAAATTAAATGGCTGGCTTGTTAGACAGACAGACACTATAAGCAAATACTTACTCTGTCTGTTACATGGAACACACAGGAATTACCTTTTTTTTTTTTTTTTTTAAGATGGAGTCTTGCCCTGTCGCCCAGGCTAGAGTGCAGTGGCACAGTCTCGGCTCTCTGCAGCTTCCGCCTCCCAGTTTCAGGTGATTATGTGCCTCAGCCTCCATGGTAGCTGGGATAATAGGTGCATGCCAGCACACCAGGCTAAATTTTGTAGTTCACCATGTTGACCAGGCTGGTCTCGAACTCCTGACCTCAGGTTATCTGCCCGTCTCAGCCTTCCAAATTGCTGGGATTACAGGCGTGAGCCACCGTGCCTGGCCAGGAACAGCTTTTAATAGAAATCCATCGAGCTGTCTTCCCTCACCTTTTAGAAATTATAAATATAACAACAGCCCTAAAGAGATTTTTGATACTCCCAGTAGTCAGCACTGACATGGTTTCAAAACTTAACACAATTTGGGACTTTAAATGGTTTAAACTGCTGCTCTACACTAAGCAAGATGTATTTGTGTTTTTCCTTCTTGATACCTGTAGGTTTCAGAAACACACATCTTTCCACAGCCATCTGACACACTGCTTATCATGCTCTCATCTGGTAAATCTGAATTCTATTGTGAATACTCCAGGTTTATGCTTAAATGACAGTGCCTTAGCAAGAGAACGATATAATCATGCTACATTTTTCCTCCTGTTACCTGAAAGGGTCTCACTATGTTGCCCAGAGTACATTTGAGCTGGTCTCAAGGGACCCTCCTGCCTCAGCTTCCTGAGTAGCTGGGACTATATTTGTGTGCCACTGCACCCAGCACCAGCTGGAATCCTTTTCCATAATGTGTGGGTGTTTTGCATTGTGATATTCAGTCAAGACATTAATGTGAGTAGAAGATTATTGATTTAAGACAAGTTTGAGTTCAACTAAAATTAATTCTTGTGTGTTTGTTCTGGTGGCTGTGGAAAGCTCCTTATTTTCTTTGAACTTTGTTGGATGTCTTAGCTTGTGAAGTCTAACTTTAATGCTATATGATTTTTTTTTTTTTTTTTTTGCCATTTTGCTAACACACTAGTACACTCTATGCATTCACCATTCCACTGGAACTGTTTATTCCCTTCACATTAACTTCAGATTTAAGGCTCTTGGGTATTTAGGCTCACAGGTTCACATTCTGCATTCAGGCTGTATATTCTATGTGTGTCATTTGTGGACACTGCCATCTTTGCTGCTTCAAAGTAGCCTAACTCTGTGGACTGTGTAATTTTTGGTAAATTAGGATGAATTTTTATACACGAATAGCTACTCTCATAATTCCAGGGAAGAGAGCTTCTCAGGCATTTAGATTTTTCTGGATCAGTGCAATTTACAAAAAAGTGGGGCTGGGCACAGTGGCTCACACCTGTAATCCCAGCACTTTGGGAGGCCGAGGCGGGCGGATCATGAGGTCAGGAGATTGAGACCATCCTGGCTAATATGGTGGAACCCCGTCTCTACTAAAAATGCAAAAATTAGCCGGGTGTGGTGACGGGCGCCTGTAGTCCCAGCTACTTGGGAGGCCGAGGCAGGAGAATGGCGTGAACCCGGGAGGCGGAGCTTGCAGTGAGCCACCATCACGCCACTGCACTCCAGCCTGGGCGAAAGTGATGGGGAGACCAACAGTGTGTCAAGTTTTAATTTTTCCAGTTAAGAACATTACTCTCTGCTGTCTTCATCATTTTATAAAGAGAGGATCTTTAATAGCCAAATGTAGGAAGGATGTGATCTCAAAATAAGGCATGGACTCATAAATTGGATAGATTTAGGTTTTTAAAAATGTATATTATTTAAATTTTTCTTGCATCACTACAGATGAATGATAATTTTGTCAGGGATAGGCACTGATCCTGCCCACAGACTAGCAGGAGATCATGTATGGGGAACCTGACTTTCTTGCCTTCTGGGCCTAAAAGCTATGATTGAAGAGTGAATTGCCAAAAAGGAGGTCTAGCCATATTGTATGTTGGACCCTTATCTTTCTTTATATTGTATTTAAAGAGCATCTGTTGCTCTGTGTACTCTGAAAGGACTTAGTGATGATTGTGCCACATACCAGCTGTTGATGGAAAGTTGGGTGCATTAGGTAAATAGAAAAAAAATTCATTGTACAGGGCAAGATGCTTTAATTGTGAAGAGTCCAGGCCTTGGTTGCAAAATAGGCCAACAAAAATATTCTGAAGACTTTATCTCGTAATATATTGCTAATCCTTAAACTATATTTGGCCCCTGTGCCAGGTCGCCAGATATCCCACATTTCTTCTTCTCTTTCCAGGCGGCACATGGTAGCATCTAGTATTTAGTGTTCTCTTAGTAAAAGTGAATGGTCTTTAAGATTGCTGCTCCCCAAGTCATTTGCATGTTCACCTCCCAGAAAGATTTATTTTTATTCATGTATTTTACTATTCTAAGGAGATCCCAGGAAGAGTTTGCCTGGTTAATAGTGAAATTATAACCTTTCAAGTTATTTAACTTTCAGGAACATCTCAAATAGCACTTCATGTTTGTTGAACCTCTTCTAAAATAAGGGATTTCCATTGATTTTCCAAGGAGATGTAATGGGATGACTTTAGTTTGAGAGTGAACATTCTGAAGATTAGATACAAGATATATCACTAAAGAAATATAGATTTAAAAGGAACTTTCAAGATCATCTAGTCCAAACTCCTATCTAGCAAAGAAGAAATCTAAGAGTTCAAAAGGTCAAATTGCACAGGATCATTTATAGGAAACCATATGTATGGCCTGGATGAAGAAGAGTATCATCTGGTTAATTAAATATTTCATTTAAGGATTATCCTCTATGGTGCTCTTTTTGCTTATGGTTTAGTTGCAGAGAGACAACACAATGGGCTTTGTCCTTGCACCCCCTAATGATATAAGGAGTTTTGATGTCTGTAAGCACCCCACATTCAGAAGGGGACTGCTTTCACCTTCCACAGGAGGGTGGTAGTGAGGCTGTGGCACCCTGCCCCTGCCTTACAGGCTGTGAAGTTAGAGTGGCTTTGTGACAGCAGAGGAGGGGTGTGTGTTGCAAAGTTGGAATCCCTGCTACCTCCAAGAATGGGGTCGAAGGGGTGGTGGATTTAGTAGATAGCCTACTCCTGCCCACTTTACAGAGATGCTTACTGCGGTCTGGGGAGGAGGGAGGTTAGCTCAGGGCCACAACCTCAGAAATGGCCCATGAACTGACTTCTGCTCTAGGCAGTGCTTTTTTTCACCTTCCACAGACAATTATTATCAGGAAAATCAACTCTAGTTTGAAATTTTATTTGCAGCTCTAGTTAATACTTTGGATTGAGGTTGCTTTGGGAGTAAAAAGAAAGGTTTGTATTAAGAGGAGTTAGGACTGACACTAAAGGAAATGATTTGAAATTTGAATGTTCAGCTCTTCTGGAAAGTCTCATTATTTTGACCAGAAAAAAGGAACAACTTGTCTCTAAATGTAATAATTATTATGATGATGATTATTTGGTATCCTGGAATCTCCTATAGAGCTAGCAGATTGAGCCTGTGTATAAACAGATGAAGGCGTTAGAGCCTTGTGCAGTGGCCTCTCCAGAAGTCATGATTGCAGAATCTCCCTCTCACATCTTGGCAAAAAAAAAAAAAAGCAAACAAATTTTATGTTTCCTGAATTCTAATGAACACTTGCATTTTTACTTCATAAAAATCATGGTTTCTGCTTTGATTCAGCATATTTATTTTTACATTTCATGCAGAAACCTCACAGTTTACTGAGTAGAAAATAAATTACAATGTTGAACAAACAGAAATGTTCTTTTAGCTGTATTCCCTCTCAGAAGTGAATAAGGCCAACTTGACCTTTGAGAAGCCACTTTGAAGCTACCTTTGATTTTATATTTGTTAGTATTTCTTTTAGTAGTTCATTCTTTGCCATTGTTTGAGGATATACAAAAGGTTGTTTTGGCAAACTAAATTTGCAAAAAAGCATTTATATTATAGCTGATTTTATGATAGAAGGCAGATTTGTAGAAAAACTGAAAATTAGTTCCTATAATATGTAATTAATGTATGGGTAAGGTTATAGATACTGCAGTAGAAAATATTTTCAATTGGGTTCTGACAGATCTAAATTCTGCAGTAAAATACATTTTCTGTCAATATATTTTCAGATAATAAATAGCCTCTGATTTGAATATATAGTCCATAACTGGGTGGCCATCTAAATAACTCATATCCATGTATTCATTCTTTTATTTGTCTGTCCGTCCACCCATCCATCCATCCAAAGTATTTCATATTTAGGCCCTGGACTAAGTGCTAAGGAGACAGCTATGAGTACAATAGACAACTCAGGGAGTTTTTCATGCAGTGGGGGAGTTCGAATGCAATTTGTGATTTTTCTCCTACTCACTTTTTTTCTAAATGGGCGAGTATTTAGAACAGGGGTCCTGAAGTCCTGGGCCATGGACTGGTACCTGGCCTGTTAGGAACCTGGCTGCACAGCACAAGGTGAGTGGTGGGCCAGTGAGCATTACCTCCTGAGTCCGCCTCCTGTTGGATCAGCGGTGGCATTAAATTTTCATAGGAGCATGAACCCTATTGTGAACTGCGCATGTGAGGGATCTACGTTGCACACTCCTGATGAGAATTTAATGCCTGATGATCTGTTACTGTCTCCCATCACCCCTAGATGGGACCATCCAGTTGCAGGAAAACAAGCTCAGGGCTCTCACTGATTCTACATTATGGTGAGTTGTATAATTATTTCCTTATATATTACAATGTAATAATAATAGAAATAAAGTGCACAATAAATGTAATGCACTTGAATCATCCTGAAACCATCCCCTGCCCCCTGTCTGTGGAAAAATTGTCTTCCATGAAACTGGTCCCTGATGCCAAAAAGGTTGGGCACTGCTGCTTTAGAAGATACAGTAGTACCCCCTTAACTGTGGAGGATACATTTCTAGACTCCCAGTAGGTGCTTAAAACTGTAGCTAGTAACAAACCTATATATATTAATAGTTCGTTTTTTCCTATACAAATGTATCTGTGATAAAGTTTAATTTATGTATTAGGCACAGTAAGAGATTAACGAGAACCAATACTAAAACAGAACAATTATAACAATATGCCAACATCACTACTTCTACACTTTAGGACTGTTATTTAGTAAAATAAGGGTTACTTAAACATGAGCACTGCCGTGGTACCATGACAGTGAATCTGATCTCTGAGAAGACTCTTAAGTGGCTGATGGGCAGGGAGCGTGTACAGTGTGGAGACGCTGGAGAGAGGAAGGATTCATGCTCTGGGCGAGATGTAGCAGCATGGCGTGCGATTTCATCACACTACTCAGAATTTAAAACATATGAACTGTTTATTTCTGCAATTTTCCATTTAATATTTTTGGACCAGAGTTAACTGAAACCACGGAAAGCAAAACTGTGTTACTGTAACATTGAAAAGACCTCACTCACCTAACCTGCCTGTGCAGTATGCAGATTCAGGTCATCAGAAGCTAATTAGAGGAAGATTTTGAAGACATTTCTTAGAATGCAAATACATTGTTTGAGATGTGAATGACTGTCAACCACACAAAATATTTATCAACTACTATGTGGAAGACATTGTGCTAGATATAACCAGTCACGGGTCACTGTAGGCTAGACTAACTTAAGTAACCCAACAAAATGAGAATCAGACACAGGGTAGGAAAATTTTCTTGATGGGGAAGAGTTAAGAAAGGTGTAGGTTCTGAAGAGACGCTAGAGAACCTGGGACCCCTGTGACATCCTCCCTGAGGACTCTGGCAGTGTGGGAGGAAGTCTGAATGATGTAGTTGGTGAATTTAGGGCCCAAAGTTGAAAAAAACCTAGATTTACATCTAACCTCTGCAATCTCAGGCAAGCTAGTAAACCTCTTCCAACCTGCCTATAAAACTTATCTATGAAAAAGGGCTAGACATTAGCTCAGAGGTCAGCGAAGAGTAAACCCTGCTGTGTTTCCTGTTTTTAGGAGGAGATGGGGAACATCAAAGGTGGGATTGGGATTGTGAGGATAAAAATCTTGTCAAAACATCCTGAGGGGGATGCAAAAAGCTTTTTGGATTGGGCGCCAGTGGCTCACGCTTTTAATCCCAGCACTTTGGGAGGCTGAGGCAGGCAGATCACCTGAGGTTAGGAGTTCGAGAGCAGCCTGGCCAAAATGGCAAAATCCTGTTTCTACTGAAGATACAAAAATCAGCTGGGCATGGTGGCAGGCCCCTGTAGTCCCAGCTACCGGAGACTAAGGCACGATATCGCTTGAACCTAGGAAGTGGAGGTTGCAGTGAGCAGAGATTGCACCACTGCACTCCAGCCTGGGTGACAGAGCAAGACTCTGTGTCTCAAAAAAAAAATTAAAAATAAACAAATAAAACAAAAAACGTTTTGTTACTATAAATAAGAAATGCAGAGAGTATGAATGGAGAAAATAATGTAAAGTCTTCTTTTTTCTTTAAAACTTCTTCCCTGTTTAGTCGAATATATTGTATTTTTATAAGTCTAATCAATATGACATTTCCAGGTCATTTTTCCTGACACACCTTTTTATTATGATGATTATGCATGCATATACAGTAAAATTTGTTTTATCACTGTATTTTGCAAGGAAAATAAATATTGCCTTGAGAAAGATAATTGGGCAATACTATGATAAAACTTCTAATTGAGTCAAATGATGATAGGAGATTTTAACTCTGTAAGTTTTTAACCTGTGTAAAAACCATATGTTTTGCTTTTTTTTGTTTTTTTCTGGTATTTAAGATTGACAGCTTAAAATGGCACAGGGATGTTAGTAAGATATTTGCGCCCTTGCTACTGCTTTGCTGTGCTTGAATACATTTTCTCTTTTAGCTTTGTAGGGTTCTACACACCAAAAATTCGTGACAGAAGCCTAGAACAACATACCGTGAGTCCTCTGAGATGCTGGACCTTTTTCTGACATGGTTCCCTAGGCAACAGCCTACTCTGGCAATGTAAATTCTTAGTCAGGGAGAGTGGCATTTTGCTTGCAGTTCACAATGACATTTGTTTTCTGACTGTTTAACCTCAATTCCTTCATTAGTACATAAGGATATTAAAATTCTACCTACCCTTATACAACTCAGGAAGAGACTATAAAAATTAACCGTTTAGGCCGAGTGTGGCGGCTCATGCCTGTAATCCTAGCATTTTGGGAGGCTGAGGTGGGCGGATCACCTGAGGTCAGGAGTTCAAAACCAGCCTGACCAACATGGTGAAACACCATCTCTACTAAAAGATACAAAAAATTAGCCGGGCATATAGGCACGTGCCTTAATCCCAGCTACTACGGAAGCTGAGACAGGAGAATCGCTTGAACCCGGGAGGCGGAGGTTGTAGTGGCCTGAGATCGCATCATTGCACTCCAGCCTGGGCAACAATAACGAAACTCTGTTTCAAAAAAAAAAAAAAAAATTAATAGCGTAATGTTGGAAGCACCTTGCACTGAGTTTCTCATGTAATGGTGGAAAATGTTGTTAAACAAAAGCTGATATTCACTTGAAGTGCTTTCTAAAAACATTTTAAGAGCAGTATTAGGTATATTGGATGTAAATGTTGTACCATAGGGCAGTATAGTTTTGTTCTTTAAGAAACCTGAAATGAATAGAAGAACCTGAGTTTAAGTTGTTGAAATATAAGCATTAAGTACAGAAGGAAGACATTTATTCTAAGACCTGACAAATGAAAGGTAGACCCTTTTTCATCAATTAATGTCTTCACTTGGGAACCCAAAGGCAAGTAAATTCTCTAAACTCAGCTTAATGAATCACTTAAACCTCTGGATGAGAGTTTATTCAGTGGAACCAGTTTATTTGGCTCCAGAGTTAATGCATTTTCCAGGAATATTCCTTGGGAACTATAAATTGGTGAGTTCTCAGAGGAGATCCAATAAAGAGATCCCTTCTCCCTAGCCTGAGTTCTGAACAAATTAGGAAAGAAGGTACTCTTAGAGTCATCAGATGGAGAACAAAACATCACCTCTATTGTGGCCAGAACGATACTGGAGACATAGCTTAATTCGAGAGAAGAGTGTCTGTCCAGAATTAGGCGGGGGCGGGAAAGGTAGGGCGGTGGGGGGCTGGGGGTGTTCCAGGTAGGATTTATGAGTCTGCTCCCTAAGAGTAGCTCAGATTTCACAACAGTTGAAACAGAATACAGGAGGAGGAGTTGGTTGAAGGAGCAGAGAGGAAAGCCAGCTTTGTTCAGGGAAAACCCCTCCTTACAGAAACCAGGAATAGGGAAGCAGCGGTCCCATTAGTAAGATTGATGACTCTCTCAAATTCCCCACTTACCCTTTAAAGCTCACTGGCACTGGACGCTAGCAAGAGGACAAAGCTCTGGGAATCAGTAAAGGAAACGTTGTTTCCTTTCACTACAGGTTTGTTCATTTTAGCCGTCTGGGATTTTGTACATCCCTTTTTGTTTGCTCCATTGTTATCTAAGAGTAACATAGTTTTCTACTTTCTAAAATAATTTAGCAGTAGGGTTTGGTAAACAGGGATTTTGAATCATCCAGGGCTTGCTTATTTGTTTTTTCTTTTCTAATTTACTTGGGTGGGTTTTTGTGCAATTTACCATCTTGGCCTGAGCTGATCACCATTTGAACCATGGATATAACTAAGGGTGGTTTATGGATGATTCACTTTTCAAAGACTGTGACCCTGGTCCAGGGCTTAACTCACTAATCCTCTTTCAAATTTGTGTTGTACAGCACTGGAAATATTTTGCAGTGATTTTTAAAAACAAATATCACTTATCCAACTTGTTGCGGAGAACAAATATTACAGATTTTTATCAGTGGGCATTGTTCCTAATTAACTTACCAGCGCTGACGTGGTTTGTTTAACTGTGTTCCCAATCTTGCTGTTTTCTATTCTAACTGATCTAGAGACTGACTATATTAAAGGGGTCTACATACAGGCAGTGGTGTGGGTCATAGTGGAATCAAGGCTGTACCGTTGGCCATGGTCTGTCACCTTCTCCTCAGCTGAGCTGCAATGGGATGTTCTGTGGTTGCTCTTTCTCTTCCACAGGCTGTTTACTGAGTTTTGAGTCTGTTAGGGAGGGAGATGGTAGAGTGGCATATACCATTCAGCAAACAAGTTTTAAGTGTCTATGTTTAAAGCCAAACCCTGTGATAAATATAGAATGTAAAAAAACAACATTTGTGTTTAATGATTCTACAGTCTGGTTTAAAGAGGTGGAAGTAAGACAGAAACATGTGAAAAGATAACGATTAAAGGGTTAAGTGACAATGTAAATCAGTTCAAAACACACTCAGGAAGCCACTGCTGTGTGTTTGCCACTGTGGCTGGTGCTGAGGGTATGACCGTGAGAGATAATCTAGGCCACAGTTCACATTCCCATGGTGTGGCAGGCCTATTCAAAAGCTACTGTGGCTACTATATATGAAAAAAGCCCTAGGGAATGGGATATAAAGAACACAGATCAGAGAGTAACTGATTTTTACTGGGCTCAGAGAATACTCTAGAAGGGAATGGCTGTTGGAGCTGGGCCTTGATGACTGAGTAGGAGTTCGCTGGGTAAACAAGGCTGGGGAGACCATTTCAGGATGGGAAAGTAGCATGAGGCAGGGCAGAAATGCTGGTCTCCTCATGCTGTGTGGGAAGGGGCACGAGAGGTAACCCCAGAGGGTCCTGGAGTCAAGTTGAGGAGGGCCTAACTCCTTCCTGAGAATGAGATGCTACCTTGATGAGGCAACCGAGAACTACTAGCACTTTTAAGCAGGTAGATGATGTCAGCGAGTGGACTAGGGTGGTGGAATGTGAATGGGAAAAAAAGATGTGGATGGCAAAAGAAGAGGTGGTGTGAGAGATGCAGTTGAGGATAAATGGAGTCGGCTTGAGGAGTGTTCAGAAAAAGCCAAAAGGATGCTGAGAAATGAAACTTGAGAAATGGAATATTATTGGAATGAAATTATTGGAATAATCGTGGTACACTTAATAGAAAAAAAAGGGAGTTGGAAAGTGAGGTACCATTATGAAGGAAGCTGATGAATTTTAACTATTTTAACAATAGTGTCACTTTCACTACTATCCATATTGTTTTTATTTTTATTTATTTTTTTGAGATAGGGTCTTACTCTGTCACTCAGACTGGAGTGCAGTGAAGTGATCTTGGCTCACTGCAGCCTCCACCTGTTGGGCTCAAGCCATCCTCCCACCTCAGTCTCCTGAGTAGCTGGGACTATAAGTGCGTGCCACTATGCATGGCTAATTTTTTTTTTTATTTTGGTGTAGAGACGGGGTTTTTCCATGTTGCCCAGGCTGGTCTTGAACTCCTGACCTCAAGTGGTCTGCCTGCCTCAGCCTCCCGAAGTGCTGGGATTACAGGTGTGAACCACCACCCTGAGCCATGTTGCTTTTAATTCCATTCAGTTTCAAATTAGTTAAAGAACAATATAGGTTGAGTAGCCCTATCTGGAATGCTTGGGACCAGAAGTATTTTGGATTTTGAATTTTTTTCACAGTTTGGAATATTTGTAATATATTCATATATTCACTAGTTCAGCATCCCAAATGTGAAAATCTGAACTCTAGAAGCTCCCAAATCTGAAACTTTTTAGTGCCAACATGATACTCAAAAGAAATGCTCACTGGAATATTTTGGAGTAGAGATTTTTGGATTTGGGATGCTCAACCTGTAGTAGTTGGGGTTGCGGTTCCTTGAAAAGTTATAAATATATCCTTAGCTCTAGGTAGGGTGAGGAGATTAAAATGTTTGAAGCTATACTATGCTTTGTATAATTTGAGTCCTACTCAGAACAGTGCTGATCTCCCTCCCCACAACAGAAGAGTGAATTTAACTAAGGATTAGTAGATTTTAGCATTTACTTATTGCTAATTGGAATTGCTTTGTATTCTCAAGGGAAAGGATTCAGCTTTGGAATTTCTATCCCCATTTAAAGTCCGATGGTCTTAACGTATTGATATTCACAGGGTACTATATGCCTCTGCCTGAGTTTCCGAGGCAACACCAGCAGAACCTCCCCTTTTGGGGGTGTCTTTTTGAGGGACTTTTTCTTGATATCTACACTCCTTGGAATCACCACAGCTTGCTGTTGTCAATTGATGGTCCTGAAATCTCTCCCTTTCTGTCACACCCTTCTTATTGTTCATGCTGTTTTTCAGTGTAGATGTACATATCCCATCAGTGCACCTGGGGGCTCTTATAACTTTCTATATCTTTATAAATTTTTTAAAATAGAATATAAAGATAAGGAATATTGAGTATGAAACCCACAAATGAAGATGCATCAAATTACATGGATATTTTACATTTACCCATATCTAAATTTTAATAGAGACTTAACTTATTGATGTGAAAGCCAGTATTGTGTAAGCACTACATAATTCTATTTTAGATTATTAGGATTTGTCCTACTGGCATTACTGATATGAAGGGAGCTAAAAAGCCTTGGGACAACTAGACTTTTGTTTCTTGAGCACATTTAAATTTGAGCCTTCTTTGTAGGAAAAATTATACTTGATTGCCCTACTCTAATTTCAGAAGCATTTTGAATGCATTATTGAATAAATTTTGAGTTTTATGGCAGGCAGCAGGGAGTTGGGCAAAGATTTGAAAGAATGGCAGATGACTTTGGCCTTCTCTTCTAACCTTCTTATTTGGGGTATGGACAAAGATAGGAGGTATGAAATTGGGCTGACCAAATACGATGTTATTTTTCAGAATAATATTCAGTGAGCATGTACATAGTGTTATGCATGAACTGCGATTTTGAGCATGAGGCTCAGGAGACCCGTATGTTGTTAAATGACATGGCAGTGTCGGGAGGGAAAGGGAATTGGGAGAAAGTTTTCAAGGTCAAATATGGTCACGCTGAATGCGTGAGTGGTTGAGGTTTTTATGTAATTAAACTCAAAGCTAAATTCTAGGAATTTTATATTTGAAAGTTTGGCTTGACTTTTAATAGAATTTTAGTTCCTGGCATATAGTGGGCTATACATAAGATGGGCAAAAGAGTAGATGAGAAGGTTCTAGGCATAGTGACAGGTGTTGAGGATGTAAAGAGGACAGAGACGTCCTTCTCCCACCTAGGGGACTTTGCCTTTGCTATGTCCTGTGTCTAGAGGATTTCCTCCTCCCACCTTGCCCCCAGATAGCCACATGGCTTACTTCTTTAGCATCTTTGAATCTGTGTTCAAATGCCAGATAATCTGTGAGGCCAACCTAAACTTTCCTTAATCTACTTGGAACCTGTGTCCACCTTCTCTAATTTGTTTTTCTCCATAGCATTTTGTAGTAATTTAATGGCATATAAATATATATATAGCTATTATTACATGTATACCATATATGTATAAAATTAAATATAACTGTTTTATAATAGTCTATTTTGGCTGGATTTGGAGGATCTAGAAATTAGTTAAGATAAATTTAGAATGGTAGGTTGGGGACAAAGAATGGAAGCTCTTGAATGGAGTTGGTCAGATGTGTGATGTATATATGTTATTTGACCAAGAGCAGTGGAGCATCACTGTTCAACATTACACAGTTATGAAATTTATTTTATTCACTAAATATTTATTGAATGTCTTCTGTGTATGCTCTAGGCAGTTTTAGGTATTAGGATAACACATTAGTGAAAAGATATGCGGAAATCACTTCCCTTACAAACTTTTCCTTCTAATGAAGTGAAATGTAACCAATTACTTTGGTCATAAGAAGTGATGCCCTTTAGGAAATCATGGCTAAAAATCAGATCTGACATTCAGATGACGTGAAATGGGATGATGGCCTTGACAAAAGGAAAAAGAACGGGTGTTAGAACCAGTGTGGGGAAAGAAGAATGTGGAGAGCTTACCGAGCTTTGATTGTTTGGAGATCAGGGAAAAGAGGAGCTTTTGGTTCCTCTAAGATTTGAGTCTTGGTAACTGAAAGGATGGCAGAGCTCCTAAGGATTGTCAGAAACGGGGACTATTTTGTTGGAAAACTGTGGTATGTAATTTGATATGTTTTGAATTTGACAGTTGCCATTTATTCTGTGGAAATGCCCAGGAAAGGGCTGGAAAAGTGTATCTGTAACTCAGAAGAGAGGTCAGAGAATGAGATTTATTGCAGCAGCTGATATTTACTTATTTATCTATTTAAAAATAGTCTAGCTCTAAGTAAATGAGTTAATATAAGAACACACAGTATCTGTTCTTTATCCAATGTCATGGGGTAACGGTTGCTGTTTTAATTTGGTATCCTATCACCAATGCTTATTGGTATTATAGGAATATGTAATGTTTCTGAGCAAGTCTAATCATGCAGTACTTCACCAAAGGGATATTATATTTCTGATGCTAGGTAATGGCTATTATATGCTCCCACTTTGCGTATTATGATTGTCGCTAAAATAGTAGCATATGTTGTCCTTATCCACATCAGTAATCAATCCATTCTTGAAACTTATTAAGCTACTCACAATAATAAACTACTAATAATAAGATCTACTGCTTGATTATTAGGAAATATTGATGTGAAAATAAGAGATTTGGGATTAGGTTTAGACTCTTAAAATTGCTTTAGCTGATAATACATTTTATGATCATTCATAGTTGGTTTATATTCTTCATGTCTTTATTTTTGGGGATACTGTAAAATGATGATACAGAAAATACCTTTTAGTTTTTTTGTGTGAAAAATTTCTAGATCAGAGCAAAAAGCTCTAGATCAGAGCAAAAAGCTCAATTTATTTATCGTTAGACACAATTTTATTTTTAAGAAATATTACTTTTCTGTCAGAAGCCAACATTTGGATTGTAGTGAAAATACACAATGAAAATTTTATTTTATTTGTGTTTGCTATGCATACATCTAAAGGATTTGATATAAGTACCCAGTGGAGTGTTTTTGCTCAGTATCGTATTTCTCCATCGTATGAGTGCATTGGTTTTAGGTAAACAATGGAAGACACCACTAAGAAATAGTAGGAAATATTTCCTCTCACATTATAGGAACTCCTGAAGGGTGGTGCCACTGTCGGTTTATGTGGCCACTCAGCCATATTTCCACAGGCCAATTTCTTTCTGTTTTTCTGCTAAGCTATTTCAGCATTTTAGCTTTTCCTCTTTGCTTTGTTTACTCATGATTGCCAGATGGCTACGTTACCTCTAAGCATCAGATCCTCACAAATTAATGGTTAAATGTAAGGGAGGGATTTTACTCTCTTGCATTAAAAAAAAGCTTTATTGAGATATAATTTACTGTAACATTGACTCATTTAAAGTATGCTAGTCAATGGACCAAATCTTGAATAAACTCCCATTCACAATTGCTACAAAGGGAATAAAATAGCTGGGAATATAGCTAACAAGGGAAGTGAAGGGCCTCTTCAAGGAGAACTACAAACCACTGCTCAAGAAATAAGAGAGGATACAAACAAATGGAAAAACATTCCATGCTCATGAATAGGAAGAATCAATATCGTGAAAATGGCCATACTGCCCGAAGTAATTTATATAGCATTATATATATAATGCTATTCCCATTAAACTACCATTGACATTCTTCACAGAATTAGAAAAACTACTTTGAATTTCATATGGAACCAAAAAAGAGCCTGTATAGCCAAGACAATTCTAAGCAAAAAGAAAAAAGCTGGTGACATCATGCTACCTGACTTCAAACTATACTGCAAGACTACAGTAATCAAAACAGCATGGTACTGGTACCAAAACAGGTGTATAGACTGATGGAGTGGAACAGAGATCTCAGAAATAACACCACACATCTACAGCCACCTGACCTTTGACAAACCTGACAAAAACAAGCAACGGGGAAAGGATTCCCTGTTTAATAAATGGTGCTGGGAAAAGTGGCTAGCCATGTGCAGAAAACTGAAACTGGACCCCTTCCTTGCACTTTATACAAAAATTAACTCAAGATAGATTAAAGACTTAAATGTAAAACTGAAAGCCATAAAATCCCTAGAAGAAAACCAAGGCAGTACCATTCAGGACATAGGCATGGGCAAAGATTTCGTGACGGAAACACCAAAAGCAATTGCAACAAAAGCAAAAATTGACAAATCGTATCTAATTAAACTAAAGAAGTTCTGTACAGCAAAAGAAAGTATCATCAGAGTGAACAGGCAGCCTACAGAATGGGAGAAAATTTGTGAAATCTGCCCATCTGACAAGGTCTAATATCCAGAATCTACAAGGAACTTAAATAAATTTACAAGGTAAAAAAAAAAAACATCAAAAACTGGGCAAAGTATATGAACAGACACTTCTCAAAAGAAGACATTTATGCGACCAACAAACATATGAAAAAAAGCTCAACAGCACTGATCATTAGAGAAACGCAAATCAAAACCATAATGAGATACCATCTCACACCAGTCAGAATGACAATTATTAAAAAGTCAAGAAACAGTAGATGTTGGCGAGGCTGTGGAGAAACAAGAATGCTTTTATGCTGTTGTTGTGAATGTAAATTAGTTCAACCATTGTGGAATACAGTGTGGCGATTCCTCAAGGATCTAGAACCAGAAATACCATTTGATACGCAATCCCATTACTGGGTATATACCTAAAGGAATATAAATCATTTGACTATAAAGACACATGCTCACATGTGTTTATTACAGTGCAATTCACAATGGCAAAGACATGGAACCAACCCAAATACCCATCAATGAAAGACTGGATAAAGAAAATGTGGTACATATATACCATGGAACACTATGCAATCATAAAAAGGAATGAGAACATGTCCTCTGCAGGGACATGGATGAAGCTGGAAACCATCATTCTCAGCAACCTAACACAGGAACAGAAAACCAAACACTGCATGTTCTCACTCATAAGTGGAAGTTGAATGATGAGAACACGTGGATACAGGGAGGGGAACAACACACACCATGGCCTGTTGGGGGTGGAGCGGAAGGGGAGGGAGAGAGTTAGGACAAATACCTAATGCATGTGGGGCTTAAAACCTAGATTATGGGTTGATAGGTGCAGCAAACCACCATGGCATATGTATACCTATGTAACAATCCGGCATATGTATACCTATGTAACAATCCTGCACATTCTGCATATGTATCCCGGAACTTAAAAGAAAAAAAGAAAATATGCCATGAAGTGGTCACTGTAAAAGCCGTTATTGGCTGGGCGTGGTGGCTCACGCCTGTAATCCCAGCACTTTGGGAGGCCGAGATGGGCGGATCATGAGGTCAGGAGATCGAGATCATCCTGGCTAACACCGTGAAACCCCGTCTCTACTAAAAATACAAAAAATTAGCTGGGTGTATTGGCGGGCGCCTGTAGTCCCAGCTACTCGGGAGGCTGAGGCAGGAGAATGGCGTGAACCTGGGAGGTGGAGCTTGCAGTGAGCCGAGATCGCGCCACTGAACTCCAGCCTGGGGGACAGAGCAAGACTCCATCTCAAAAAAAAAAAAAAAAAAAAAAAAAAGTGGTTATTATTTTTCCCACAGAAACAATGTTTTTATTACACTTTCTATCCTTTTAAAGGCTTAACAGGAAATTAGTTAAAAATATCGAATACTTTTATATAAAAGCAAAGATAGTAGCTGTACCTCTGTAATAACTTTACATAGTAAAATTTTCTTCTGAGTTACATTATGTACAGCAAAGATAGTCCTTGGCATTTTTAAGGGGCTTTTCTCAGTAAGTACATATACATATACAAATAAAGTTTTTTAATTGATATTATTTCTATCACAAATGTGTGGCCGGGCACAGTGGCTCACATCTGCAATCCCAGCATTTTGGGAGGCCAAAGCAGGTGGATCACTTGAGGCCAGGAGTTCGAGACCAGCCTGAGCAACATGGCGAAACCCATCTCACTAAAAGTACAAAAAAAAAAAATTAGCCAGACATGGTGGTGCACACCTGTAATCCCAGCTACTCAGGTGCCTGAGGCACAAGAATTGCTTGAACCCGAGATGTGGGGGTTACAGTGAGCCGAGATCATGCCACTGCATTCTGGCCTGAGCAACAGAGTAAGACTGTCTTAAAACAAAGCAAAACAAACTCAACCCCCCCCAGAAATGCATTATTCGTAATAAAAACTTTTAGAAAAAATAATTTTGTTTTTGTTATTTGAATTTACATAGGTTTTTGAGAATGCTTTAGATGGCTGGGATGATAAAGGCATTGAGCAGTACAGTGTATGTACTTGTTAGGCACTTGTGACTGTGCAGACCAGGGGAATGAGCAGTGCTGGGAAGTCGAGTCTCTAGTCAGTCCTGGAGAAAGAGGTTCACGGTTAGGTAAGATTGGGTATAAGGGAAGTCCTCACTGCCTAACTGGAGCTCCCATATCTGCTCTCAACATTTAAAAGCACTTTGGCCATTGATGATTGTTCACTTTGGATTATGTTCAAAATGTAATAATCTTGTTTTAAAAATCGCCCCCCACCCCGGCTGCACCCAGCCCAGTCAGTATGAGCTGTACTGAACTGAAGTGCATTGCCTTGTAAACACAGGTAAAATTTCCTATCTGAATTGTTGAGCTTTTTTGGTTCACACCCATTGATGCCTTTCCTGTTCCTAATTGACCTTTTTGAAAACCTCACAAGCTGTTTTGGTACAAGTTCCACCTCAATCAAAGAAAATGATACTTTACCTTGTTACAACATTGAAAGGGAACTTGGGCTCTGTATTTCAGGTCACTAGTGTGTTAAAAGTCAGTTTTCTAGAATGTCCTTTAAAATAAGTTGATTGCCTATAGCACTGTTATTTTATTAACAGGAGAGTCTTACACAAATCTCAGCGAAGCATAATTCCCTTTAATTAGCACTAGAAATAATGTGGTTTATGATGAGTTTGCTAAAGAATGGTTCTTTGTGCAACTCCCTTGAGCAACAAGTGAGTTGGATTAGTTTGTTATGATTTTAAAGTAAATTACAAAACTTATATAAATAAGGAAGTACTTTATGGGAAAAGCATAGGTGTAGATTTTCACAGGGCTATTTGTCTTTCAGATTAGGGCAGTTTCATTTAGTTGTAGAGCAAGAAAAATTCCTCCACTTAAGATAATTTTTTTTTTTGGTAGAATTCTGGTTACATGTGCCTTTATGTATATATTTGTTTTTTTAGCCCATCAAAATTTACTTTTCTCACAATATTTTGAAGATATATGGTGTTTATATTGTTGAAAAGTTTTGTGTTCTTTGCATTGTCTCATGGCCGTGGAGTTAATACAAGATGCACTGTACCATAATCCCCAGGGAATGGTGGGAATGATTATGAAGACTATGTTTGCCAGACACATGCCATATCTTATTTCATCATTAAAATATTCCTTAAAGGTAGATGTTATGTCTGTTTTTTAGCTGAATAATCAGGTCATGAGACATTAGTTGCCCAAGGTCACTTAGGTAATGGCTGAGACTTGGACCAACTACCGTTCTCATCCCTATACACTGTACCCCTTCCCCTATTTCTAATAAACAGGTTCTGATTTTTGCTTTAGATAATTGCAATTCAAAAAGTGAAAGACCCTGAGTAAGCAGTGTTAACAGACAAGTACCTTTCCAGGTGTAGTGGGAATTAAAATAGAGTGGTTTTTAAAAACATTTTCAGATACATGCATTTTATTGTAAATTGTAATAGTTTGAATTGTAATTGGATTTAAAAAATACTCTTTCTGAAAACTGGGTTATTAGACAATCTATTAGCTATGTAAAGTTGGAGTGTGAAAATTGACAGTGGTATTTCGCGGGCAAATGAAAGAGAAATGAAATAGTGCTGAATTTTAAACCCAATTAAAATTGCTCTATGTGCATGCTTATTACTAAAAAGAGCTTATTACTCTAATTGTTATCACCAACACACCTGAAATAGTTAATACATAATAATCCAAATTTGCCATACTTATCAAGATTGTAAAAAGATATATTCATTTAGTGAATGCATTGCGTGTGAAGGAGGTTGGACTGTACCTCGTGGGCAGATAGGAGCACCTGATGAGCAGGCTTGCAGTATATAATTGCAGGGTAGAGAATGAATCAAAGCCAGCTTTGGAGGCATGGAGACAGTTAAGAGACGGGCATAAGTCTATCTATAGATTATGGATCTTGAAACTAAGGCACTGGTGATGGGAATCAGCCAAGTGGATGCATTTGGGAGATTTTTGAGAGGTGGAAAGGGCAGGACATAGCTCTTCGTTGTTTGTAAGGGAAGAGGATGATGGAAGAGATTTCTGGCTTGGGTTCCATCACCAGAGGTGGGAACTGAAGACAAAGACACAGTCCGAGGGGCGGTGGAGGGAACTCAGCTGTTAAATGCTAACTTTAAAATATCCCACTGGAGATATTTTACTGGGCAGTTTAATAAAGGGATATGGTCTCGGGACAGAAATTTTGATTTAAAATGCTGGTTTTGGAGTCATGAGCATCCAGGTGAGGATTGAAGACATGTGAGTAGATAAGAACAGCCATCAAGAACATGCTCAGAGAGAAGAGGTGTTAGGGCGGAACCCTGTGAGGGGAAGAGAACCAGTAATGGAGCCTGCGATGGAACTGCTGTTGAAGAAGAAGGAGACCAGGAGAGTGTGGCACCACGAAACCCAGGGGAAGGGGCAGTGTGAGAAAGACAGGCAAGGCTACCGGCTGCTGCAGAGCAGGTGATCTGGTCTCCCAGGCGAAAACGTGATTTAGTGGGGAACATGGTGAGAAGTTTCAGACGAGATCGGGCGCGTTCAGGGTGGTATGGCCGTAGACGGTGAGCAGTTTCACTAAACTGATGGGACAAGAGACAGATTTCAGTAGATAGCAGAGGAAATGGGCAAGGAGGAGGTGGTGATGGGAGTGGAGATAATTTTTTAAACAGTTACCTGTGAAGAGAAAGTAGTAGGAGGGTATGTGAGGTCCAGGAATTTTTTTTTTTTTTTTTAAAGAGGAGAAACATCTATGCATATTAAATGGTGTTGAGAAGGAGCTAAGGGGAGAGAGGTTAAAGGCTCAGAAAAGAGCTGGTGGATGAAAGACCCTTGAGTGCTGTGGCAGAAAGGAGCAGATGTTTACTCCTGGAAAAGAGGAGGAGGGAGGAAGGACTGGCAGGAGGTCCTGGCAGGAAGCAGAGACAGTTCCTTCTGATGGTTTTATTTTCTCTGGGAGGCAGGTGACCTTGGTGTTAGAATATTAGTGATGTGTATGTGGGGATGCTGACTGGTGGGCCTTTGGGCTGGATTTAAGGACGGCTCCAGCTGGCACTGTATTTCGTAAATTGTAGAGTTTAAACACTTGGAGGCATGGCCCCAATTCTTCAGTTTTTCACAGCTCTGCTGTCCTCACTTCTGGAGACATTTGACATTGGGGCTCTATGGCGGTGATCTGGCTTTCTATAATGGAATGCATTATTAGTTATCTTTAAACTGTAAGAAAGTAAGTAGATGAGTTCAGCGGCATAATGAGAAGATAGCCCTACTGAAGGTAAGTGACCATAACTGTGTTTTCTAAAGTGGGGCGCTAGACCTTTCAGTGCTGCCCACCTTTCTGTCGCCAGAGAACCTCCCACTTCTCTGACTCGGATTCTGCTCTAGCCAGCACTTGCTCTGTATTTTCTAAAACCTTTCCAGAGACTATTCCTTGCCCTTGTAAGGGCATCACACGATAGACAGTCTGGTCTCCCTTTTACAAAGGAGACTCAGCTCAGGTAGCTTTCCCAGGAGCTGGAGTGAGAGTGCTCACTAACACCAGGTGTGTGGCTGGCATGCTAGCAGTGTCTTGGGTCACACATTCTCCCTTCCTTTCCCTAGTTTTTCTTGTCTTTGCGGATAACCTTGCCATTCCTCCGTGCTTTGTGTGAATACTCACACTGTGCAGTGTACCCCGCTCTGTCTTTTCCAACCCTCCCTCTTGGGATCAGAGGTGGCATAGGTGGTAGAGCCATACTCCCTGTGTCCACAGTCTGTCTCTGTCACTTGTTTGCTGTATAATCCTGGGCAGGTTACTTCACTTTCTGTACCTCCATTTCCTTCTTGTTAAATTGAGGTGTTTGATGGCGGTCATAGAATCTATTATTATAAAGATGCTAATGAGGATGGAATGAAGTAATATTTGTAAAGAACAGTTCTTGGCAGAAAATGTCATATCAGTGCCTATTAAATCAATAAAAATACCCACAGCATCCTTTAACATTTCGATTGTGCACTAATCCTTTTCACTCATCCTTTTCTTCTATTGGGCTATAAATTTCTTATTTTTGTTTATTTACATCCTGGATTCTTTTATAACAAGATTTGAGTCTTTGCATTTCCAGTGCCAGAAGCAGTGAACACTAAAACCCTAGATACTGTCGGTGCTCAATAAATGTTGAGATGAGTGCTGCCATTATTTCAGAACTCTTTCATCATCGTGGCTCTCATTCAGGGATGAGCAGGGAGAGGATTGCAGCCATTAGTCACTGATTCACTGTATAGAATGAACAGATCCAATCTATAAATGACTTACATTCTATAACAAGACCCGTTGACAATCTCTTTGCTTTCTTTATTTTACAAAATAATAAATGAAGTAGGGAAGTTATAGCAATTTAATTGCAGCTATAGCCTACAATTCAGGTTTTTTTTTTTTAGAAAATAAAATGTAGGATATTTCCTGGAAATCAAGAAACCAGTGTTGAAGAATGAGTTTTAATTGCTTCTGATTTTACATTAAATATAAAACATAAAAATGATGTAGTTTTTCTTTTCTTTGATCTATGACTGCACCAAGCTTTTCCCAATCTTTTATAGTGAATTTCATAAAGGAAGCTTCATTTTTGGGAGAAGAGTCCAATGGTGTTATAAAGCCCTGTTCCTAAGAAGGCAGGAAATCAGTCAGCATTTAAAGAGGCAGCCATTCTGCTTTGAAATAAGATCTTCTTTTTATAAATTACATAGCACTAGTGCCTTTTACTAAGAACACTATAAATACCTTTTGATATTAATGTCTTCATGGGGGAAGTTGCTCTGAAGCCCTCTGTCACATTCCCCTATTTCTCTTCTACCTATCTGTATACAAGACTTGGTTAGGTTTTGGCAGACATAACAAGTAGGTGATAGCTAGAGATAGAATTTCGAATAATTTATGTTCCATTCCATGCTTTACAGTATTTTGTCACTGTTATATCTGTCTACACCTTGAACGTCCTTCTCTGAATAATAGCAGCATAATATATTGACAGTGATGACTTAAAGCGTAGCAGCATCTGAGAATAATACACACTAAATCTTGATTTATCTGCTGATGAATGGGCTGCTTCATATAATTATGAGTGGATCTGGAAAGAGATGGTGCTTTCTCTGTTAACTATTTCTCAGTTATTTAATGACCCATTTTGTGACTTAAATGTTCTACTTTCTGTTTCCTTTTCCCCCTTTTTTTCCTTCTTTTTCCAGTGCTTACTATCTTCTTTCTTTCAATTTCCAGTATCATAAGAACAGCTGAGATATAATCTTTTTTTTTCTTTTTCAAAATTTTATAGCCCCCTCTGAGTGCTCTGAGAAGGGCTGTTTTGAGTGTGGCAGAGCCTGGGTGGGTGAGATACTTGGCTTCTGGAACTCAGAATCTATTGGGACCTGCTACAGTTTTCTATAGTTGGATTTTTTGGGGGCTGAGGAAGGCAATTAAGCAAAATCAGGACACAGAAATAAAGATCTGTTCTTGATGATTTTTTCCCTCTGTGAAGCTATACTCTATAGTGTCCTGGCTCAGAGGAAAGTTCTTAATGACTATACATTGGGTAGAAAGTGGTTTACAGGTCCAGTTACATCTGAGTTCATGGGCTGCATTGAATATTTATTATTCATCAAAACTTAACAGCAGCCTGTTATTTCTCTCCAGTTTTACTTTTAACCATTAAGAAAATAGATAAGAATATTAAAAAGTCAAAGGTGAGCTTTGCTCACTCTCAACCAGTGATTTCAGCTGACTTCTAATGTCTGTTTTCTGATAATCCTGCCTACCTTATAGGCTGATTGGCCTTGCTCCACTTGTTTTATCCTGATGTCTCTGTGTTCTCCCTGTGTGCCTTTCACTGTCTTGAAACTGCCATCTCAATAATCTAAAAAACAATAGGTCCAAAGTCTCTTTCTGTCCTCATTTTTCCTTGTTTCTTTGCAGCTGTCATAGCTTTGCTGCTAGTATCTCCTTGACAGTATTGATGCCCACACTGTCTTCTAGAAAGTCTGTTCTCTTTTAATGGCACTTTGGAATTTTCTGAGTTCCCTCTTGCATATTTGATAGTCCCTCTTTCGTTATCTCACCATTTTCCAAAGCTCAGTCTTTGGTCCCCCGTCAGTTTCTCTCAAGACTTGATCCATGTATTAGTCTGTTTTCATGCTGCTGATAAAGACATAGCCAACACTGGGTAATTTATAAAGAAAAAGAGGTTTACTGGACTCACAGTTCCACGTGGCTGAGGAGGCCTCACAATCATAGTGGAAGGTGAAAGGCACGTCTTACATGGCGGCAGGCAAGAGACAGAGTGAGAGCCAAGTGAAAGAAGAAACCCCTTTTGAAATCATCAGATCTCGTGAGATTTATTCACTACCACGAGGACAGTATGGGGGGAACTGCTCCCAAGATTTGATTATCTTCTACAGGATCCCTCCCACAACAAGTGAGAATTATGGGAGCTACAATTCAAGATGAGATTTGGGTGGGGACACAGCCAAACCGTATCAATCCATGAGTGAACCAACTCTACAAGGTCACATTTCTCTAGGGCAAGCTTGTCCAACCCATGGCCTGTGGGCCACATGCAGCCCAGGATGGCTTTGAATATGGCCCAACACAAATTTGTAAATTTTCTTAAAACATTATGAGATTTTCTTGCAATTGTTTTTTTCTCATCAGCTGTTGTTAGTGTTAGTATATTTTCTGTGTGGCCCAAGACAGTTCTTCTTCTTCCAGTGTGGCCCAGGGAAGCCAAAAGATTGAACACCCCTGCTCTAGGGGTATCTGCTCCCTGTACCTTTAGCCCTTTCTCAAGGCAGCAGCAGTTCTGCACCTCTCACTAATGGGGCACTAGTTTGATTGTTCTGATGTGGGTTTACACTCCTATCTAAAACTGAATTCAATTGTGGCTCACACCTGTAATTCCAGCTCCCCTGGAGGCTGAGGTGAGAGGATCACCTGAGCCCAGGAGTTCAAGGCTGCGGTGAGCTGTGATTTTGTCACTGCACTGCAGCCTGGATGACAGCAAGACTCCATCTGTTGCAAAAACCAAACCCTCAAAACACCCCTGAATTTATCTCCCTTTTGATAAAATGATTTTGGTAGAAATCCCAGTTATCTCCCCTCTTTCTCTTCCTTTTTCTTCCTGTCTGTTGGTTGAAGTTCTCTGTCTCTTTCTCCCTTCCCACTGTCTCCCCTCCTCCCTGCACCCTTTATTTCTGGCATCTCCAGCCTCCATCTTTCTGTCAAATGCCCATCAGTGCCTAGGAGGACAGGTAGGATTTGTCTGGGTGTCAGGGCAGATTGGGGAAAGGCATTCCAGGTGAGTGGGCATAAGCAGAATGGGGAGGCTGTTGTGAGGAGTCAGGGTCATGCTTGGTTTGAGCATGTGGGGAGAGTTAGGGTGGGGAAGGATGTGGTTTGAGAAATGTAAGTCTGATATGGATAGGAAATAAAGGAAATCAGAGATTTTCAACAGAGGAAATGTGGTGAAAGTTGTGTTAAAAAGAGATTAGTCGGGCTTCATAATGTAAATGCCAGGGCCCAGGAGAGGTCTAGATGAGCTCTGGAGATAAAGGCACGGGGGTCCCAGGTCTCAAGCCTGGCAAGCGGGGCAGGAGGGGGAGTTCTATGAAGAGTGTGTGAGTGGGAAGCTCCTTTGAAGAGGGTTGATGTCAGTTGTAGAAATGTTCATCTTGAGGTGTCAAGAAGACATCTGAAAGGAAAGGTCCCTGCATTTGCAGTTAGGAGATGTCACAGAATTTGTATGAGTGCCCAGGGCTGGGGAAAAGGAAATTTGTGAGTCATAATTGCCTTTTCAGTGTTTACTACTTTTTCCGTTCCTCATGATTCATTCTTTGGTACTTTGCTGCCGTCGTATTATTTATGTTAGTAATAAACCTCATTTGTCGTGAAGATAGCTTTCTGTTAAGCTGCCATGAAGTCTTCAAACTTATTTTTCTCAGTGACAAATGATGATAAGGCTGTGGCATGTCGCAATTTCTTAACTTTGGACAAATTTATCTATTCTGTGAGTTAAGTGCATTAAGATGAACGTTTTGAACGTTTCACAGGTGCTAATGGTAAGGCAGCATAATCAGTTGCGGGAATATGAAGTTGTGAGTCCTGTAGCAAAAGCTCGGTCCAAGATTTTCCCTGAAGCTGTAAAAGGATGCATCATGGTTGTTTTCCTGTGGTCCGATTTTTTAACAGAAGACATAATGGTCATCATGCTGCCAGAGTAATAATGGATCTTGGCTGTTTTATGTCTTTGTAACACTTGCCTCCTGTTGGTGGGCTGGGGGGAAGAGTTATAAGGAGTGAGGAAGGACTCAGCTTTAATTGTTACGGAAAACCACTTTCTTCTACCCTGAGGTGCCCAAGTGTAGGAGGAGGCCAAACCTTTTGCCTTTGGAGGGAGAATGGCTGAAGGGAGCCTGGAGGCAGATTCTTTCAGCAGGAGGGATTCTGCTGTTGTTGTTGGTAGCCATAGTAGGTCTTGGGTTCAGGCTGCAAGAGGCAGCCCCTCAGCCACCTGCTGTGCAGTGTGTTTACCAGGTAGAGCAGGTCCAGGCTCTTGAAGGCCTGTGGGGCAGGGTCCTGCCTGGAGCCATCTTTAGTCCAGTGGACCCTGGAGGAGTAAGTGACCCTATGCAGTGACCCGTCTACTTCTAAACAGATGCAGTGCTAATGCGGCCGACCCTTGCTCTCCTTAGAAATGGTAAGTGGCATTTACATACTTGGTCTAAACTATAATCCAGTTGGCTGCTTTTCTTTGTCAGAATCCATCATCCTGCTTCCCTGCCTTTGCTGGCTATATATAATGCTAATAACAGTAAAACGTGATAAGAATATAGGAAAAAGAGTACTATGGGAAGACAGAGAAAAGCGTGAATAATCCAAGCTTTTAAGATACAGTCTCCTGTGTTACAGAGAGACATGCTGAAAGAAGTTAGTGACTAGTGAAGTTCACAGAGCTAAAGAGTTGTAGGACTGAAACAAGAATCTAAGACGAGATTCCTAGCAGAGGTCTTTTATGAGAGCACATTGCCTCTCAGAATAATGGAGCTGGAGAAGTGCACAGGGTTGCCGCCTCTGTATCCTGCCCTCTCCATAGACCAGACACACCCCAGAGCATATCTGGGCGGTTAGGCTTTGAAGTGAGTCTTGTGAGTCCTCTCTGCTGATAATAGCTGTCTACTTGGACCTTAATAAGCCAGTTCATAAGATGTACTGCAGGCCACTTCATCGTTTCCTAAGCCATATCTGTAGTATCATGTGCTTTTCCATTCAGACCTGTTTGTCTCCAGATATCTTTAACCACTGCATTAGAACAAACTTTGGAGCGTGTATCCATAATATATGTATTTGTTAATAAATTATATTCATGCACTAATATGTATTTATATTATGTATTTTATGAAGCATAGAAAAAGTTGAAATAAAAAGGCATTTGATAAAAATAAATATAAGTAGAAGTTTTAATGTGTTATTTCTGATCATCAGAGGATTGTTTTGTCACTTCATCCCCCCTCCCCAAAGGGATCATGTTTTGTCTTAGAAGAATAAATCCCAAATTTTGTCACTTTAATTGTTAGGTTCATTTTTCTTTATTCCCATTGGTATTAGTCGTCATCAGATTTAAACTTCTGTTGGTTGCCATACTTTTTTTTTGTTTGTTTGCATGATCTGTATTAGTCAGGGTTCTCCAGAGAAACAGGGAGAGGGAGAAAGAGAGAGAAACAGAGGGAGAAAGAAGAGATTGGGATTTAATTTAAGGGACTGGTTCATGTAGTTGTGGGGGCTGGCAAATCTGAAATCTGCAAGGTAGGCCAAAAGCTGGAAATTCATGCAAGAGTTGATGTTGCAGCTTGAGTTTCAAGGCTGGAAACGCAGGCTGATTTTTATCCAGAGTTCTGGAGGCAGAATTCCTTCTCCCTTGGGGGACCTCAGTCTGTGCTCTTAAACCCTTTAACTGATTGTATGAGGCCTACTCATGTAGTGGAGGCATTCAGCTTTACTCAAAGTCTGTTGATTTAAATGTTAATCACATCTAGGAAGCACCTTTGCTGCAACATCTAGACTGGTGTTTGATCAAACAATTGGGCACCATAGCCTAGCCAAGCTGACACATAAAATTAACTGTCCTGCACTCCTGTCATAGTTTTTTCGCTGGGACTTTTGTGGTATCCTCCTAGCTTATATTCCAGCTTTCAGTGTCTGCTACTTCCAATCCAGCCCCTGTACTGTCAAAAAGACCTTTGAAAGAAAGAGGTTATTATGGGGGAGTTTGATTCCAGACTGCATACATAATAATAATATTCATTGCAATAATATATTGCTTTAGTGTTTTCTAGAATACAGCTATGGTAACATTTAAAGCTCTGTGCTGTCTGACCCCTCTAGCTGTCTAGCTTCACCTCTTGTCATTGCCAGACTTATGTACCCTCTAGCTACCCACTAAGGTACTGTTAGTCCTTCAAAAGCACTTATAATTTTCCTGCCTCTGTGGCTTTGCTTTGTGGAACAGAACCAGCACTAATTAATATAAGGCACAATATGATAAAATTATTGGAATAAAGAAGGGGCAGTGGCAGAACAGATGTCAATGTGAATAATTCAAGCTTTTCAGATTTGAAGAGACTTTCTTATGGTGAGCAAAAAGCAAAGGGTGAGATAGCTGGTGTCATGGGCAGAATTGTGTCCCTGCCAAATTCATGTTGAAGTGCCAATTCCTAGCACATCAGACTGTGGCTGTATTTGGACATAGGGTCATCACAGAGATAATTAGGTTAAAAGGAGGTCATTAGGCATGCCCTAATCCACTGTGCCTGGTGTCCTTATAAGAAGAGGAAATTTGGACACAGACTCCTAGAGAGGCAAGACTGTGTGAAGATAAAGGGAGAAGGTGGCCATCTATAAGCCAAGGAGTCAGGGCTAAAAAGGAACCAGCCCTGCCCACACCTTGATCTCAGACTTCCACCCTCCAGAAATGTGAGAAAGTAAATGTCTGTTGTTTAAGCCACCCAGTCAGTGCCACTTTGTGATGACAGCCCTAGCAGACTCATACAGATGGAGAGGAAAGGTGCATGGGTAGCAGAGTGAGCTAACTTGAGAGGCAGCGCAGGTGCAGAGTGCTGTGCCTGTGAGCCACGCACCTAGGTTACCACTACTAGGTTACAGCTGAAGGTTGGCCAAGTTCCAGAATGGGTTGGACATTTGCCTGGTACTTGAATTAGCCAACCTCTACTGGTGTAGAAAGGGGGTCTGTCATGATTTGTTTGGCCTGAAAATGAGAGAAAGGACCTTCAAGAGAAGAAGGTTTATCAGAAGCAGGACAGAGCTTTGTTTTTCAAAGCTTGGGTCCCTTGTTATTGTGAGGGGAGGGAGAATCTCTTCTGCCCTGGAACCGCCAAGACTCAGGTGGTTATTGAAGACCCAGAAGGTAGAGTGAAGGATGCGTGGGAGAGCTGCTGTTGCTGCTTTCATTTCGTGTTATTTTGCTGGACATGTGGGGGTCATAGCAACCTTCTGTTATCCTTGTTAGCTTGGGTTGGCTGAAGTGCCAGCATTTCTCTTAATTTTTGTCTTTTGTTAAAAAGAATATTTTTTAGAACAGTTTAACATTTATAGAAAAATTATAAAGACAGTACAGAAAATTCCCATATACCCCAAACCCAGTTTCTTCTATTAGTAACATTTTACATTAGCATGGTTACATTTGTTACAATTAATGGACCAATACTGATATGTTACTAATCCACATTTTATTTGGATTTCCTTAGTATTTACCTAATGTCCTTCTTCTGTTCTGGGATCTCACCTATGGCACCATACACCATATTACATTTAGTTCTCATGTCTTCTTAGGCTTCTTTTGGCTGTGACATTTTTCTCAGGCTTTCCTTGTTTCTGATGACCTTGACCGTTTTGAGGAGTACTTACTGGTGAAGTATTTTGTGGAGTGTCTCTCACTGAGATTTGTCTGATGTTTTTCTTGTGGCTAGATTGGGTTATGGGTCATTGAGAGAAAACACAGCAGTAAAGTGCTCATCACATATAGGGATACATACACCCTATCAACATGACTAATCACTGTTGATGTTGACCTTGATCAGATAGTGTTTGTTAGGTTTATCCACTGTAAAGTCACTATTTTTATCCCTGTTCCATACTTTACTCTTTGAAACAAAGTCACCACCCACAGTGCACACTTAAGGAGTGGGGACCCTCAGCTTTTTAAACACACAAAAAATGTGCAGCAGCTTTTGAAGGGCAGCTGTGAGTGATGATGTTGCTGAATTGTGGGGAGTAGGGAAAAAGAAAAACCCATGCTTTTGTGGTTTATTAATGTTTTGTTTAAAAAAATGCCCCAAAATATTGCTGTGAGAAGTAAGAAAAATGCCAGTTGGAATTTTGTAATTTGTGGAATAAAAATTTATTTTAACCTTGGGCCTAGACCTTCTTTGTTGGTGGTTTAATTAAGGCAATCAGTTCTTACCTCTACCACTAGGACTCCTATGCTGTTGTTGCAGCTGGAGAAGGGAAGATTAAAATTGTCTTTTATTATTGAGAGATTATAGGACATCATTTTCTTAAAAGCAGTGCCTTTCAGTTGCATTTACTGGGTAGTCACAGTCTCTGTGAGTTTTTCACAGCCTCACAGCCTGACCTGGCTGAGTGGGCCATGGGTACAGTGTTTTCCTAGTTATCTGTTCTATTATTGGTAGAGGACTTCATTAGCTCCCCCTAGTGGTCAGTTTTATAATATCAGATTCTACCTGGGTAAATTCAGCAGTGGAAAAATCCAATTTGTGGCCATCCTTATGATAATTTTCCTGAATATTTTAATATAAATGCTAAAATAAATAGTGGTTGAATTTTAGCTATGTCTTTTGGTGTTAGAACTAATTTTAAAATAAGGCGACGTTGTAAGGCGGTAAGTAATTATAACGATGAAAAGCTATAGTGATGAAGGTAATATTCTAGGCAGAAGGTTTACCTACCTACTATTATACTAGGAACCTCAGTGGACATTTGGTTTTTAATCAGGAATTGAGCTTGGCTTCTTGCAAGTGTTTTATCAGTGCTGTAGGAGCAAGTGCATATTCTAGATAAACTTGAAAGCTGCAAAGCTTTATGAGGCTAGGAGTGAGGGAGGCCTCTGAGCATTGTTTGTCATTTCTTCACAGATAAAATTTTATCGCCAGTGCAGGAAATCGCCTTCTTTTAGAGATTTACATCAGCATTTATTATTTTACCGTGGCTTTAAATATGCAGCTTTTTTTTTTCCAGGATGCTATCTCTGAATATTCTTAGAAAGTTGAAATAATTTACTGGAACTGGAAACTGGCTTTGTACATCTCCTGATGGAAGTACTGGGTGATGCAGTATTTGATTATGCAGGTATTCATCCTTTGAATGAGTTCTAGTGTTTGTGCCCAGACCTGGAGTTTTGTTTCATGGAGATTCAAAAGGATGACATCCAAGGAAAGATAACTGAATCAATGTGAAGTCTGTGAGTCCCTCCAGTTGTCTTCCTCCTCATCAGGACTAAAACTGGACTTAAGAGGCAGTGATCCACTAAGCACTGCTTCTGTTCAGAAATAAGAAGGAAGGAATTCATACAGAGAACTCGTATTAAGCCAGTAGTTTGTGTCTACTTGTGATCCTCTTGTGGTATGTGATACCATATAGAAATAGTAAAGAAATGGCTATATCTTTGCTTTTATGATTAGAAGTAGCACATTAAATGATGTGGTCTGTCTGTTGCCACTCACTCAGCTCCATCTGATCCACTGGAACTCCACTCTGTTTGGCAGCATTGATGAGGCTGTGGGGAAGCCGCACGGAATCGCCATCATTGCTCTGTTTGTTCAGGTAAACGGTCTGCTGTGATTATCGTATTGTTTAGAGATGCTAATTTCTAAATCATTTTGTAAAATTTTTTTATTCTCAATTTTATTGCTTAGAGATGAAATTACACACATAGAGAGAACACCTGATAAAAACAGAAAACTTGATCCTTATGGTTTATCGGAGTTCAGACATATTCATTGGTAGAAAATAGTTCCTTTATTTATTAGAAATTTTCTTCAGAGTAGCATTCAGGGTCTTTGGAGAAATGATTTAGAAAATGACTCCTGAAGGTAGAGTTTATTTTATGAAAAAGGATTTCAGAAAATTTCTTTAGACCCTGGTTTACAGAAAAATCTACAAAAAAAATCAATAACAATAATAGAAGTATGTAGTAGATTACTTTAGCCCTTCTTTATTAACAATTTTCACTCTGAGATGACTTGAAATGCCTTATAGGAAACACTGATAAAAATCAGACTGGCAAAGACCTTGGCAGATATAGTCAATATAACATTTGGATTTGAGCTCTGTGGTAGGCAAAGAAGAGTATATAAATTTACCCAAACATATGAAAGCAGGCCACGTGCTTTCAGAGGTAAAAACTTAACTCAGTTTTTAAGGCGAATCTTCTAAATTTTGTCTTATTACCTGTTTGACATCGTAAAAGATTTAGAGGTGAAAGAGTATCTGGAAATTTTAGCTTTAAAGCTGCCATCAGGACCAGAAACCAGAGTTGCAGCTCTGCGTGGCTCTGGGCTGCCTATTGGATAACCTGGGATTAGAGCATGTTAGCACAGTGTTCTTCAGAAACTTAATTTTCCAAAGAGAGTTCGATAATGGGCCCTTTTAAACTTGTTTTTTTATGGCATATATATCAAAAATTAATTGCAACAATTTTTAATACATATCTCCTAGATATGTCTTTATTGATGTTTGAAAGTAGCCATCCAGTTTAGGCTCTTAATATTTTAAAATCAGCATCTTGCAAATATGACACGTCATAGAAATTTAAAGGAAATCCTTACATTTTTCAGTGAGTCCTCTTACTATTTATTTCATGGTGTCACAGGTGGGGACCTATATTCCTTGTGTTTTATAACGGCGTTATATAACTAGAAAGAAATCACAAAATATTAATGAAAAATGTTTTCATTATACAAATATATTTTGATAATTTTTAGTATATTGAAGTAACAATCATGAAAGACTACTGTTATAACCCAGAAAAGTTAATAAAATATCTAAATCTGAGAAATTGAGACAGTAGAATGTACTATCTCATTATTAAAAGTAAGAATAAAAAATAATAAAATAAAAATAAGAATACAAATAACCACATATTCATATATAGAAGGGAAAGGAACATGTCAGTTTCATCTTTGGAATTGGTACTCAATAAATATTTGTGGATGGAATTAGGTGTGATAACTTAGTATTTTCACTTCCTGATTCTTAGCATTTAACAGGTGACCTGGATTCGTAGAGCCCCGGACTGAAAACCCAGCCCCTTAGAACTACTGCGAGTATTTCCAAGAACAAGCTGCATTATTGCAGGGAAGGGAAAGCCTGGAGAGCAAGCACACTTTTTCTAACTTTTCATAAGTTTCTGTGATGAAAAATTCAGGTTATCTGTGTGCAAATTCTCAGGAGAGAGTGAAATCACAGAACTGAGAGCAAAATTTCAGGAAGGAAGGAAGGAGGGAAGGAGGGAAGGAGAGGGGAAGGGAGGGATGGGCTGAAATCCATCGGGGGGGTCGGGTCCTCAGGCTGGATGAGAGAAATTTGGAGGGAGGAGGTCGGAGACATTGAGTAGACTTTCCTTCCAAGAAGCTTGGCCAAAGGAAGGAAGGACAGATGGGGCAATAACTGGCGATGATGTCCAGTGAATCTTTTGAGATCTGAGATCTGCATGTAGTATTTTTTTTTCCCTGAGCAATAAGAGCTATTGCAGACATAGAGATTAAAAATACTGGAAAGAGAGGGTGTCACTGATGTGGAAAAGTCCTGGAGGAGGCAAGAGGGCATGGGATGGAGAGCTTATGCAGGTGGACTAATCTCAGATAGGAGCAGACCCACCCCTTCTCCAAAACAGAGGGCCAGGAGGAAAGTGTGGACACACATGGGGCCGATTTGTAGGTGGAGAAAGGCAGGACATTGAGGGAGTTCATGCCTGACAACCTTCATTATCTCTGAGACACACAAAGCAAAATTATTTATAGAGCAAAGAAAACGTGGGTGTGGGATTGAGTCTTGAAATAGACCAGAAGGGGATGATAATATATTTGGCAGTCACTGAGGGAAACCCCCTTGGGATTGGATGCCCCAGATCATACAGGACAGGGTATGGTGGGTTGTTCTTTATCCGGGTAAAGGAGTAGAGAGTTCTGGTAAGTCGTGTTGATCCATCAGAGAGCAGATGATTTAGGAGGTAAAAGGATTAAAGAATGGAGAGTGGTTGGAGAGATATCATTCTGTCTAGCCAGTCCCACACCATGTCTAGGCAGGAGGGGGAAGGAGAGGCCACAAGGACCTGCCAGCCTTGGCACCTGGTGATCAGTGAAGGGGAGAGAGGAAAGAGCAGGAGAGCTGGATGGCCCGGGGCATCTGGTCAGAGAGGCCAGTCTTTCAGAGTTAAAGTTTTCAGAATGAGAGCACGTACCAGCAGTGTCCTCAGGGTTGGTTTGCTCAGGTGGAATGGGGCAGAAGGCCACGGACTGACGGGTGAAGAGACTTAGGCCAGGGAGGGGATGGGTCACCCCCTGAATGCTGAAGTCATCCAGGGTGGCAGCAGGAGGTGATGCCTGGGAGAGATTGACTAGTGGGTCAGTAAGGGAGAAAGAAGGAGGGCGTGATAGCCTTAGAAGATGGTCCCCTCGGGAGGATGGCTTGAGCACGTGGGTCAGAGTTCCACCCTGAAGGGAGCAAGAGTGCACTGACCATGGACCCCAGTCTGTCTCCCTGGGGGACTGCATGGCGTCCACTTGAAAGGCCTGCAAAAGAGCTGTGCCCTTGGGCAGACTCGAAGGGTTCAGGTAGATCAGGAAATGGTGGGAGATGTTGGCAGAAATGCAGAGTTGTTCTGTTCTAGAGGGTGCAGTGGAAGATAAGGAGAGATTGAGTTAGAAGTAAAAAACAAAAAAAAAACAGGTGGTTCAGGGCTGAGATGCCAGGAAAGGAGAACGGACCAAAGTGGTTTGCATTTCCAGTGGTGGCGAAAGACAGCAAAGGTGAGAGGTGAGAAATGAGTTGTTCTCAAGGTTCCTGGTGGACTCTTGGTACCAGGTTGTGTTATCTGAACAGCTGCTTGCACGGTTTTAGCAGCTGGGGTGTGGAGATTATCATCAGTACTTGCTTTTTGCTGGTCATCATTTCTTCATACACAAATTTGGCAAGGAAGGAAAAGAAAGAGATGGCATAATAGCAGAGTTTATAGAATTTGCAAGATATGAGGTTTTGCCCATAAAGTAGAGTCTTTATAGATAGAAGGAGCTAGTAATAGTCGTTAAGAGCTACTATATGGAAAAACTATATTTGATGCTGTAGGGCATCCAGATTAAGAATAATAATGGACATTAAGTGAATTATGATGACCCAAGCCTGTTCCACAGTCTTTGTTTGATTTAATCTTATCTTCAACCCTATCATTTTTATCCTCTCCAGCAAACAGCTGAGGAAGCGGAAGGATGTAGAGGTTAACTACACTTGCTTAAGGCCACACAGCTAAGAGGTGGCAGAGTCAGGATTGGAATCCAGGCAGTCCAGTGCAAAGTGAGCCTGTTCCTGAGCACCACATTGAGTGGCCTTAGGGTTCATATGTGGACTCTTCAAAGAGTTTACAACCCAACAGGAGATGCCTGAGATGAAAACAGACCCCAAGTGCAGACGTAGGCCTCCCAGTGCTATAGTATGGTTAAACCAGTAAGACAAAAGAGAAGTCCATTTCTCCTGAAGAATGGGTAATGATTTCTGCCTAAAATTTCAGGCTGCTGCCACAGGTACATATGCATTAGGTTTTAAATGTTTTTTTGTTTTTAACTTTACAAAATTTATTTTCTGTTTTTAGAGCCTATCTCGGGAATAATTGTAGACTCTTGGAAAGTAGTTCACGTCTTGATTGTTTAGAGCTGACTGGCCTATCTTAGGTAGAGCGTTTCTTGTCTCTCTCCTCTCCCTTTGGATGCTCTTTCATCTGCATGTTTTGCAGTTAGTTAACATTGGGAGAAACAGAGAATGTAAACATATCTACAGCTACTCTGGCTTCTCTTAGGTCATTCTCCAAATATCTATGTGGAAGGAGAAAAACTGACAAAAGCAATGATTGTTTATTTGAGGTTCTAAATGACCTCCATTACTCTCCTCCATTATCATGGACCACTGGAAATTGGTCAGATTTCACTTAAAAGTTTTAAAGCCAAAGTCAAGAATATTAAATGTTAGAATTTTTTTGTCTCCATTTTTTGGGAGCATTTTATACACTAATAATATATAGTGATATGTTTTTAAAAAGAAGGCTATAAAAAGCACATTATTATTTATTTAAGAATAGAAGGGTAGTTATAAAATTATGTCTAGAAGTAATCAAGAAAGGTCTTGATTTTGGTGAATTTAACATACAAAATCACACACCTGCTTTTCTAAGTTAATATAATTTTTCAGTATTGTTAAAATCTTTATAGCAATGATCTATAAATGCCAGAGTTAAACATGGAAGGGTTTGAACATGTACTGAGTAGTTTTAATTCAAAAATATCCTTGATATTTTTATATTTAACAGTATTTTGTAATTTGATATACTACATATAGCAAAGTGAGTGATTCCTATACACAGTAAAGAGAATTTAGAATGAGTTCTTGGACATTTACGTAACTAATACTTTATTATACTAGGTTTGTCACAACTTTAATTACCTTTAGTAGACATTGACCTAGTTATTAATAAAAGGCCATTTAATTATTCCTCAAAAAGGACATTCAGATGGACTAGAACCGAGTTCTGTTAGTTTTTTTTTTTTGAGACAGAGTCTTGCTGTGTCATCCAGGCTGGAGTGCAGTGGCATGATCTTGGCTCACTGCAACCTCTCCGCCTCCTGGGTTCAAGCGATTCTTCTTCCTCACCCTCCTGAGTAGCTGGGACTTCAGGGGTGTGCCACCATGCCCAGCTAATTTTTTGCATTTTTAGTAGAGACAGGGTTTCACTGTGGTAGCCAGGATGGCCTCGATCTCCTAACCTTGTGATCCACCCAACTCGGCCTCCCAAAGTGCTGGGGTTACAGGCATGAGCCACCACACTCAGCCCTATTAGTTTTTTTTTAGTTAAAGCTAAACACTGAAAAATGTTGTGGTTGTGGTTTATGCTTTATGTTTTTCAGATAGGAAAGGAACATGTTGGCTTGAAGGCTGTGACTGAAATCCTCCAAGATATTCAGTATAAGGTAAGTCATTATTTAAAATAATATAGAAATACTGGTTGTGTAGGAGCTCCCTGTGACCACCTGCGGGCTCGATGCTGTGTTAGAAGGACTCACAGATCTCAGAAAAGCTGCTGTCCTTGTGGTTATGGTTTATTACAGTGAAAAGAAATAGGTCAAAAAGCAGAGGGAAAAGGCGCATGGAATGAAGTCCAGGGGAAACCAGGCACAAGCTTCCAGGTGTCCCCTCCCAGTGGAGTCACTTGAGGATGCCCCTAATTCTCCTAGCAATGATGTGTCACAACATGTGTGAAGTGTTGACAACTACGGAAGCTCACTCTAGCCTTAGTGTCCAGAGATTTATTAGGGGTCAATCATGCAAGCACTAAACGCATGCAACATAGCTGACCTCAGCTACTCACTCTCTAGCAGCAGCCGTCTCCCTGCCCTCTTCGCCATAAGTCACATTGTCAGCATCAGCTTATCTGTTCCAATTGGTACAGTATGTCTCAAGGCCTCAGACATGTAACAACAGGAGTTCACCATAAATACAGGATGGCCCAAGGCTGCAGGCACACAGAAACAGTCTTATCAGGTAGAATATTCCAAGCTCAGAGGTTATATCCCAGGAGCAAAGAGTTAGTCCTGAAGACAGGCCTTTATATGGGATGTGCAGGGTTTGAGCAACTCAGGCTTGCTGAGTTAACCCTTTCCTACCTGCATGCTATAGGAAAGTTGTATAAATGAAACAAATAAAAATTTGGGGAATCATATTTCAAAGTATTTATGTTAAATAAATTTAAAAAAAGAAAACAAGTACACATATGTGGTAAGATAATATCCAAGAGAAGGTGATCCACATGACCCTGCCATGATATGGCCTAGCATTGCTAGGAAGCCAATGCCACCACCACGCCCAGCTAATTTTTGTATTTTTAGTAGAGACAGGGTTTCACCATGTTGGCCAGGGTGGTCTTGATCTCTTGACCTCATGATCCACCCACCTCGGCCTTGCAAAGTGCTGGGATTACAGGCGTGAGCCACCATGCCTGGCCCAATGCCAGTCTCTCTTATAAGCAGTGCCTTCTTGGCTCACACTTAGCTGAATGTGAGTGGCCTTGGGGAGGGGAAGTAGTCTAGTCTTGTAGGGCTGCTGGAGATACAGAGCAGAAATTGAACTTGTTTAATTACAGAGGATCCAGAGACCCAAAGCCAGTTTTAAGAAAGATCAATTTGGGAATCAAGTTTGATTAGCTTTATACTAGCACAGCCCAGGGTATCCTGAACCAGGCAGAACCTCCACTGAAGATCTCCTGAGTAGGTTTGGAAGGAACCCAGCTTCCAAGGGATGCCCAGTCCAGATAAAAAAAGCTGATAAAAAGACAATAAGGGCACATTTTGACTTATATTTGTACAACTGCAGTGGACTGAGAAAATTTCCTTTATTTCATCATCTAATAGGACACCAGTCATTATGGAATTCAGGGGGATCGGGGAGGCAAGTAAGCTAGATTCTTTAATGTTTGAAATAGTCCCAGGGAGTCAGGAAGGGACTTGGAGGTTATGCAATAACTTTCCCTATTGCATCTGTATCAATAGAGAAAAATCTTTTAAGAAACATCTGAGTCACATGACAGGACTATTTTCCTCTAAAGTCTAAGCAATTTAAATGACATGATTTAAAATGATGATCTTAAATGTGAATTGTTGAATAAGAGCACAAATGATTCCCTTGAAATTTGTATCTAGCTTTGATAAACACTGATCGGAACAGAATATTTCCATCTATATCAGATCTCCCTTTCCAGATGAGGAGAGCATCTAGCATAGATCCCAGAGCTGAGTTACCAAATCCAAATAGGACAAGACAGGAAGTTGCAAGCCTGGTTGTAATGCCGGAAAGGTTAGGAGCTGAAATGAAAGCAAGCAGGAGGAAAGGCATTTTGAAAATTCCCCCATCCAGGGTTCAGGCATTTTACAATGAGAATTTAGCCCAAATCTCTGTTATGAATGTGCTCAGAGCAGAAAAGGTAACTGACATGGGGCAGATGGGGCACCAAGTGTAGGTTCCACACCAGGACTTACAGGGAGAATTGAACTGTGGTAGCAAAGAAAATAGCCATAGAATTAGAGCAGGAACCAGACAATGTTACTCCAATGAGAAGGTGGAAGGAGATACCCACAAGTCTGTGGGACCTGATGAGGCCATTCAGAAAAGACTTCATTCTAATTTTTTAGTTCTAATAGATTTTTTATTCTAAAATCTAGAAATATTACATTAACATTGGGTAAATATTTTTTTCTTTTTCAGGGGAAGTCCAAAACAATACCTTGCTTTAATCCTAACACTTTATTACCAGGTGAGTATTTACCTGATTGCATAAAATGAATTTTAACTGTGGCTATAGTCACATTGTTTTCTTCAGACTATGTAAAACTATATATTGTTAATTAATAAAACTTATTTGCAATTTGTATTCTGTTTAGCAGATACCATTTCCAGATTACTCTAAATATGGAAGTAAACCTTTTGAAATAATAAAGAGACACTTTGCCACTAGTTCCATTGATCCATGAAGAGCTTTCGTAGGATTGTCATTTGTAAAAATTGCTACCTCTGTGTAAAGCATCAGTATAATAAAATAACTTTGGCTGGGTGTGGTGGCTCATGCCTGTAATCCCAGCTACTCAGGAGGCTGAAGCAGGAGAATCGCTTGAACCCAGGAGGTGGAGGTTGCAGTGAGCCGAGATTACGTGACTGCACTCCAGCCTGGGTGACAAAGTGAAACTCTGTCTCAAACAAACAAACGAACAAACAAAGAAAAAACCTTCATGTACTTCTAAGATTGATCAGTGGAGTTCTTAATCTTTAGAGTAAAATAAACTTTGTATCTAATTTTATAAGGTTACCTCTCTGCAGTAATACTATTATTATGTATTATTCCACTTGTATTTCTGTACAGATAACAATTATACATTAAGTACTCAGAATATGATTTAAAGGTTGTTGTATATAAAATTTTGATCTTCACATTTCTCTGCCCAAATTATGTGCTGTCCCTTAGTGTTTTAAACAAAACCAGTTGATGCATTGTATCTTCTATTTTCTACATTTAATTGCTCTACAACAAACCAATTTCTATCGTATGTTAACCATTTATCCATCATATTAGTCATAAATTCCTCTAATGCAGAGCTAAAGGATTTCATAAGAATGACTCATTTTGTTTTATTGTAATATGATTTTAGTATTTTGCTGTTGCAGAAGCAGTATAGTGGTAGCTAGAACTGAATGGTTAAAAATACAGGCTTTCAGACAGACATGATCATACCTATGTAATCCCAACACTTTGGGAGACTGATGCAAGAGGATTGCTTGAGGCCAAGAGTTTGAGACTAGCCATAGCCAGACCTTGCTCTCAAAAAAAGAAGAAATAATTGCTGGCTGTGGTGGTGTGCACCCATAGTCCCAGCTGCTTGGGAGGCTGAGGTGAGATGATCGCTTGAGCCCAGGAGTTTGAGGCTGCAGTGATTCATGGTCACACCACCACACTCCAGCAGCCTGGGTGATAGAGCCAGACCCTGTCTCTTAAGAAAAAAAAAATACAGGTTATGAAGCCAGATTGCCTGAATTTGAATCCTGGCTCTGCCAGTGATTATTAGCTGAGTGACCTCAGGCAAACTACTACTCTTTTGAGATTCTGTTTCCCCATCTGAAATATAACATTAATATTACTACCTATCTCACTGGTTTGTTGTGAAGGTTAAATGAATTAAAGTAAATTGCTGGCACGTCATAAGCATTCAATAAATATTAGATATGAAATAGGTAAATTCTTTAATAAAGTGAAAAAACCCAAAATATAGATACACTTCTAAAGTGATTAAACTTGACAGGTATCTATAGTAATCCATTGATAGAAATCACTGTAAATAATAGAGAATTCATCATGCTTTTTATCAATTATTTTCTCCACAATGAGTAGTGTAAGACTGTGGGGCTCTAGTTTAAAAATGACATCCATCTTAGAAGCATCATTTGGACAGTTTGTAATTTTGAAAATTGTTGTTGGAGTCATCAGGATTGTTATTAATTCACTTGCCTTTTCCATTACATGTCCACGTGGCTGTGCAGACCCTCTGCTGCGGGATTACTGGGTGTATGAAGGCTCTCTCACCATCCCACCTTGCAGTGAAGGTGTCACCTGGATATTATTCCGATACCCTTTAACTATATCCCAGCTACAGGTGAGTGTGCTACTTTGAATCTTTCAGAGTGAAGTTCTGAGTTAAACATTGTTTCTGAGAAAGGAAAATGTCTGTTTTGTGTTTTAGCTTCCTGTAGATCAGTCATACCTTTCCAGATGAAAGTTAAATGGCTTGAACTAGTGAAAGTGATTGAAAGGTCAAGGATGGACAGAATCCAACACTAATTTATGGTCTATATTTTAAAAGTTAGTCTTTAGAGAGTTAATAGAAATCACTGAAAGAGCAAAACTTTTTATTAGTCTAGTTATTTCCTTATGTGAATTTCCCCAGGTGTGGAGAATGGAAAGTCTGGACGTAAAGTGGGGATGCCGGTTATTTCTGTAAGTCACTCATAGGCTTTGAAATAGTTTTGCCTTGGTGTGTACAGGAAAATTCTGCATGTGCGGGGTGAAGGACCCAGAAGGAGTGCCCTAGAAAATTCTGGATTGTTTTCTAGCTCTACTTTTGGTCGCCCACCCCCGGCCTTGGGCTCTTCATAGGTGCCCTAAATGGTACTGCACGGTGGGTGGGAGCATCCAACTGAATTGTCACTGGGATGTTAGCTGGTGGAACATGAGGCAGCGCCACTCGAATGTATTTAAGCCATGATTTTAATATTACAGAAGGGGCTTTAAATATCTCCTGTCTTTCAGGGATCTGTGTAAGGGATGGATATGTTCTGGAGAGCTATATTGTTTCTTCCATGATCAACCTCAAAAGGCCTGGGAAATACTCTCAGCAAACCAGTTTTCTTTGATAGCTTTTAAATATTTGCCTTTAATTCTTGAAGTTAAAAAGCTCAAGTTCACTAACTTCTCAGTAAAGCTTTCTTTATTTTGTCCTTAAATCTTAAAAAAAAATCCTTCTTCCAACATTTAATAATTTCTCTTTATTTCTGTTTTGCTAGGGATTAATTTAAAAATTTCCCCACTCAGCCTCTCCTCCCCATACCCTTCATTATTTTATGAACTTTGATCATATCACTTTTGAACCTTCATATTTTTATGACAAATCCTAATTCCTATATTTAGTCATTCATCTATTTGTTCTTATAAGAGACTGTTCTCCACATGATTAGATTAGGGGTATGGGTTTGAGAAAAACAACTGTGGAGGTGAAGGGCTCTTGTCATCACACTGAACAGGGGTATATGCTGCCAATACTCACTTATCACTGGTGATGTGTTCTTGTTTCTTAGTACCACTAAATGCACTTTGCTTTTAATTTAAAAATGAAGAACAAAAAGAAACCCTTCCTGAATGCTAACTGGACACAGAAGATAACAAGATTAAAACACAGTCTTTACTCTCAAAAATTTCACCATAGAGTTGGGGAGGCAGATGACTAAATAATTAACATGATAATAAGTAAGGTGCTCTGGAAACACATATGGAAGAAACCCAACCCAGTCCAAGAGGTTTAGGGAATAATTTCAGCAAAATATTAGAAGTTAGTCTGGTGAAGGACAGGAAAGAAGTTAGAAATTTGGGTCTAATGTTAAGCCTAGAGTTTTGGATTCACGATATCTAGATTTGGGACTTAACAGCGAAGATGTTGGCTGCTGCAACAGATAAACCTCAAAATGTCAGTGGCTTAACACAGTAGAAATTTATTTCATGCTCACATAAAATTCAACATGTGTGTTTCTGATTCGCAGTGAAGGCTTTTCTCTGTGTAGTCATTCGCAGTCATTCTGTATAGAAAGAAACACTTCCATCTTCACTGTCCTCCTCCCACAGTTGCCCTCAGTGAAAATAGGGCGAAGGATCTCAACAGGGATCTTTTGAGGGCCAGTAGTAGAAACAGGGAGCTCCACTTGTGCTTGCTTTCTGTTAGCTAGAACTGGTCACATAACTACCCTAACGGCGGGGGAGGCTGGGAAGTGCATTCTAGCTTCATTCCCAAGAAGAAACTAAAAAACAGATTCAGTGATCAGACGAGCTAGAATTCCTGGCGCCATAGCTCAAGCTGAGTAGGAAGACAAGAAGATAGCCCCCGCTGAGTGCAACACTGCAGTGGAGATGGGGGAGATGATGCCTTCTTAGGAACTAAGGACCAGGGGTCTTGAGAAGAACAGGGAGGGAGTGTTGCCAAGATGTGGAGGAGGAGGGGGTTAATACTGAGAAGTGCTGTGGACGAGTGCTGCCAACCCAAGCATCAAATAACTACAGGACCTTTTAAAAATGGGCCCAGGTGTTCAGAGTTCTGAACTTCTGGCTTCCATCTGGCTTAAATTCTGGATCTCAGCTTGTTCATGTCCTCTGGTACCTAATGTTTTCCCTAGCTAGGTATGCTCACTGCTTGATTCTGGTTTTAGTATCCTCCTCTGTTGCTGAGTTTTGGCTTCCCTTCTGCAATACCATTCCTCCTCCATCCCTTCCACTGTGCTGTTTCTGGTTCCTCCAGGTAAGTAAACACCTTAGCCCATCTAAGCAGTTTGCCTTGAGGCCCCTACCATGATGAACGCCTTCTTTTCTTTTCTGATTTGCCTCATCACTGCAAACAAGATTCATGAACAAGAGCTATAATCGCCAGTTAGGCCATTGTTAACCCAAAGGAGATGTTTCCGTAGAATGTTGAGCTGAATGTAGAGGGACCAAGCATAAATATGGACCATATATAGACCATCTTTCTAGAAGTTTTGTGGGAAAGGCAAGGAGGGTTTTAGGGACAACGTTTAGAGAATAGTCAAGTGTTTTTTTTTTTTTTTTTTTTTTTTAAGTTAAGATTTAGGAAATACTAGAGGTTTTGTAGGCATATTGAAAATAATCTGTGAATACAACAGTTGATCCCTTGATATGGTGACTGCCGTTATCATTCCCAGGTTTCAGATGAGGTGATTGAGGCCTAGGGAGATTAAGAAACCTTTGCCTGGTTGACACAGGTAGTAAGGGTGGATTTGGGGATCCAGCCAGTCATGTGTGATGTCAGTGCTGGGTGCTTAACTCCTGCCCCTTTTGGTGTGCCCTCTTCAACACTGCAGTTTATTTGAGACCTTTCTACATGAGGCCTTGTCAGGAAGCCCCCAGCAGTGTTAGAGGAGGTTTCTGCCTTTTCTGTTATTATGTTCTGTATCCCCAGTTGGAGGAGTTTTGTTTCTCTCAGACAGTTGGAAACACATGACAAGAACTTCAGAGGCTGAGGCCTAATGTGCAGATTTAGGGATCCTTAGCATCAAAAAAAGAGCAGAATAGGCCGGGCGCGGTGGCTCATGCCTGTAATCCCAGCACTTTGGGAGGCCCAGGCGGGCAGATCACGAGGTCAGGAGTTCGAGACCAGCCTGGCCAATATGGTGAAACCTTATCTCTACTAAAAATACAAAATTAGCCGGGTGTGGTGGCAGGTGCCTGTAATCCCAGCTACTCAGGAGGCTGAGGCAGGAGAATTGCTTGAACCCGGGTGGTGGAGGTTGCAGTGAGCCAAGATTGTGCCACTGCACTCCAGGCTGGGCAACAGAGCGAGACTCCGTCTAAAAAAAAAAAAAGGCAGAATAACAAAAGAAATAAGACACCCAAGAAAAGAATATGTACAGAGAAGAGTCAAGTAGTGAGGATGGGAGCATACAGTCCCCTGAGGCACTTTCCTGAGGCTGATAACTTCCTGAGGTATCCTTTCTAAGACTCTTCTAAACTGGTAGGACCCCGTGCAATGCACTCTTTTCTGTTTGCTATCTAGTTGCTCCAGGTCCCTTCTCTTGCTGACTTTGTATTTCTGAAGCAGAGAAGGGGTCTGGGGTTAGCAGGCATGTGAGGGCCATGCTCACTGCCGGCCGCCCCATCCAGGTCAGACTCAGGGACTGCAACACGAGCAGGGGCCGTGGGTCGTATAGTCACTGTTGTTCTATGAATGATACATGTAAAACATCAAACTTTCCTCTGCATTTACTTTTCCTACAATTTGTCTCGAGGATACATACACATTTTTTTGTTGTTGTTGCAGATAGCCAAAGTCTTAGATGCCCAAATTTCAAAGCCCCAAGGCTTAACATACAGCATGTTTTATGATACTCGAATGCATTCATTTGCTTTTACTTGTCATTGACCCTGTTAATACAAGCAGTGTATTGATGTAGTAAGGTAATTATGTCATAGTCCTAGCTTCCTTTTTTTTATCCTTTTCATAGGCAGTTTTTAGCATGTGAAATTGCTCCTTTGAGACTGATGTGGAGTCTGAAGGAATGCATGCATTCATTCATTCATTTATTTGGCAATTATTCGACATTTGCTATGTGCCAGTTACTGGAATCAGTACTGACAAGGGGAGATAAAAAAGACACTCTCAAAGAATTCACCATCTAGGAGGAAAGGCCAGCTGATACATAGGTGTACATAAAAAAAAAAAACCCAGTCATTTGCTGTGTCCAGCGCTATGGGATGGTATGGACGTAGTCTTGAGGTAGCACATAGGAAAGGTACCTGGATGAGAGCTAGTTATCTAGAAGGCCTTCCCCAAGCCAGGTCAAGAGGTGTTGTCTGAGTATTCGTGGGAATTGCCAACAGGGGAAAAGTGTCTGTATGCTTGTGTCTGGCAGGGAGGCCAGAGAGCAGAGTGTATTTGGGGAACGCTTGCGGTAAGTGTGGAGAGCCTGCGACATGAGGGGGTTGGAGAGGGAAGCAGGAGACTTCCTCATTGAGCCTCAGGGCTGTGCCATGGAGGTTGGGTTTTCTCCTGAAGGTAGCAAAGAATCACAGAAATGTTGTAAGGAGGAGAGAGATATGACCGAATTTGAATTCAAGAAACATGCTCTGTAGCTGCAGTATGAAGATGTGGGTCACATGGCAATGAGATGGAGGGAAGGGAGTAACTTTAGAAATAATAAAGAAGTAGAAGCAGAACCTGGTGGCTGATGACATAGGAAGGATTTTGGGAAGGAAAGACCACCTTGTCACTGGACCTCCCCTGGATTTGGCTTGGTTGACTGGCAAGTGTAAGGTATTGCTTTCTACCATGATAGGGAATCAAGGAGGAAGAGCAGCCTTCATGGAGAAGATGCCAAGTTTATGGTTGCATATTGAGAGTTTGAGATGCCTTTAAGACATCCAAGAAAGGGGTATGGTATACAGGTGGTGGGTGAAGCTGTTAGTGTAGAAGAGGAAATCATTCAGGGAGAGAAAAGAACTGATTCAGAGAACGAGGGATTTGTAACCAGGGATGTGCACTGTAAGAGTGTCCCCAGGAAATGTCTTGAGAAGTGGAAAAAGTCAGGAGACTCATGTGATGGTTAGAGAAGCCATGGGAGAGGCAAGTTTCAAGAAGGAGTGGAGAGATTACGAGTGTCAGATTCTGCACACACATTCAGTTAAGGACTAAAAAGTGATAACTGGATTTAGCCACAAGGAGAGATTATAGACTTGAGAACAAAGTAGACGAGCTGGGTGTCTATGGTCACATTTGTTCAGCATTACTTTATCGAGGGTAATTTCCTAAAAGTAGATCAGATCTTTTAGTGAAACTTTTTTTTTCTTGGCCAGGCGTGGTGGCTCACGCCTGTAATCCAAGCACTTCAGGAGGCTGAGGTGGACGGATCACCTGAGGTCAGGAGTTAGAGACCTGCCTGGCCAACACGGTGAAACCCTGTCTCTACTAAAGATACAAAAATTAGCCAGGTGTGGTGGCAGGCGCCTGTAATCCCAGCTACTTGGGAGGCTGAGGCAGGAGAATCACTTGAACCTGGGAGGCGGAAGTTGCAGTGAACCGAGACTGTACCACTCCACTCCAGCCTGGGCAACAAGAATGAAACTCCATCTCAAAAACAAAAATGTTCTTTATAATCACAACAAATCTTAATTTATTGAAAGGTTTAGATTTGTTGAGTGCCCAACATTCCCATTTCTACCTAGAATTCCTTTAAGGATTCCCTTGCCAGCATTCACAATGTTAATGCTGAACTATATTGAGAATGTTAACGGATCCTGTAGATATGATACAATATTTTACTACTATACTGGCCAGTGTATTATGCTAAGATCCAGAGACAGACCATCGTGCCTTAGGCTCTCTGGCTTCAAAGGGAACCTAACTTTGTATTTTTCCTTGAAATAGGCCAGTGACAAAGTCTAACCCTAACCTACTAAAGTCATGCTCCCTGATGATTGGGAGATAAACCATATCTTACCACAGGGGAGCCGAAGCTGAATGAATGCATATTAGAAGGAATAATCTCAACTGCCCTTCAAAATAGATGACTTTTCAATTAGCTGTACTTCTCAAGGAAAAGATTTAGGTGCTATTAGCACAGAGCTCCATCATAGCATCTGTTCAGAGGGCAGCAGAGTTAAAATGTAGACACACACAGACACACATTTACGTATATTAAAATGCAATTTAGAGTGATTTAGAAAAAATTATAATCTTAGGGGAATATAAGTCAGTCTGTCCTTGAATGTTTTACTTGGTGCTGCTCATAGAATTTCACAGGAAGCAGAGTAAAAATGGAAAAGGTCCAAAGAAGGCAGCAAAAGTGAGAGGAATCAAAAGAAGAGAATGTGATTCTAGGAGTTAGACCAAGAAAAATTGAGAAGCCTCAAGAATTGAGAAGGGGAGGAGAGAGATGCTTGACATATAACATAGCAAAAGGAACAATGAATGGCAGGTAGTTTCCACATAGCTGATTATATTGAGAAATTAAAAATTTTGCATTAAATTAAAGAGCAGTGTTTTCTTCTATACCATAAGGTTTATGTATGTAATTAAGCTGCTGAATATTATTGTGGAAAGAATTGGTATCTTGACATGCATCACCTGCCATAGGATAATAGTATTGGCACTAGCAACATTGAAGTTCTAAATCATAATGGTTTCCTATTAAATGCATAGTAGCTGTGATTCAGGGAGGTGTAGACTTCAGCTGAAGTGTAGTGTGGACTGTTAAGCCCATCATACATTGTCCTGAGTACTATTAATAGGAATTCTAGAATAGGAATTCTAAAATTGGAAGCCCCTTCTTAGCTGAATTTTTCATATTATTCCTGGTTAGCATGCCTTATGTAGGGAGAAAAAACACAATTGAACGGATCTGAATGAGTATATATTTCTTTTTTAAAAATTACCTCTAACCATTACATAACTTTATTAAAATTTTTTTATTTCCATAGGTGTTTAGGGAACAGGTGGTATTTGGTTACACGAGTAAGTTCTTTAGTGGTGATTTGTGAGATTTTGGTGGACCCATCACCCAAGCAGTATACACTGAACCCAACTTGTAGTCTTTTATCCCTCACCCCCTTCCCACCCTTTCCCCCTGAGTCCCCAAAGTGGGGATCCGGTGTGTGTGTGTGTGTGTGTGTGTGTATACACACACACACACGACAGTGTTTTTATCCACTCATTGATTATGGACATTTTAACCATTAAATAACTGTAATATAAACAACCGTCTAAGCATTCGGAAGCCAATCAGCTGGATTGTCGTGTTTAGAAATGAGATTCCAAGAACAGAATACAAATACCAAAACATTACCAAATCTAACAACAGAAATTTTAAGACATATTCTGATTTCACAGAGTCATTAAAATGTGAATACATATTAATCTTAGAATTGATAGAACAGGGTATTATGGTATAGTGCCATCTGTGCAAATACGTATGTACACATACAGAAATGGGTTGATAATTAAGTTTTGCTGTCCTTTTCCTGCCCTTTTCTTCCTCCTTTTTCTGCATTCCCTCCCTACTTATCTATTTCTTAGCTTATCTACATTTTCATATTAAATGTCTGTTTTTTCCTGTCTCTTTCAACTTAAAATAACACCAGTGAAATGAAGGAATATGAATGTGTTTGTTGTTTTTTCACCCTGTGGATACATGATACGTCTTCTAGAATATTGAAAACTGCTTTAAATGTTCTTTTCTTCTGTCTTTCCTCCTCTTCATTCCCTCTGCATTCCATGTTTCCTGTGGGTTGGAAAGTAGGACTCTTTACATCCTGACAGCCCGAGTTAGTGCCTGGCATGTGCTCAGCCTGTGGGATCTGGAAGCACATCTGGCCCTGGACAATTGAGGAAGTCTGACCCCATTCATGAAGCAGCAAGTCTTTCTCAGGGGTCTTCATGCTCCATATGGAATCGAAGGGGCTGTTTCCCTAAAGTCCAGGTTGCCGTAGGGCCACAGCATGGTTATGTTTGACAATCACTTCAAATGATTGGGAACATTTGTTATAGATTTTCAATGACTGGGAACATTTGTTGGAGATTTTCTTCTCTGTCCTTTCTTCAGGACCCACCTGAATGGGTCCCCTCTGACATTCAGGTGTTGCCAATGTGATGTATTAAGACATGGGACCTTTAAGAGGTGTTTAGGCCATGAGGGTCCTTCCCTTGTTAATGGATTAAGGCCCTTAAGAAAGAGGCTTCACACAGCATTTTCTTGTTGGCTTGCTTGTCCTTCTGCCTTCTGCTACATGAGGACGAATGAATAATGCCCTCACCAAATGCCAAATGTCTTGATCTTGGACTTCCAGCCTCCAGAACTGTGAGAAAATACATTTCTGTTCTTTATATATCATCCAGTCTCAGGTATTCTGTTATAACAGCACAAAACAGACGAAGACAGCCATGGTTTTCAGACTTGAGCATGTGTCAGATCCCCTGGAAGGCTTGTTGAAGCACAGATTGCTGCGTTCCACCCCTGTGTTGCTGATTCAGTAGGTCTGGGGTAGTTGCTGACAACTTAAACTTTTATTCTGGGAGGATACTTTGAGAACCACTGTTTCATATGTACCTGCATTCGTCTTTACATGTAATTGAGATCAGCGCTATAACCCGAGAATGCCGAGGTCCTGAAGGTGCGTGTGAAGGGCAGCGCTAGGCCAGCCCTGTCCAGTGGGAACATGATGTGATCCACATATTAAACTTTCTAGTAGCCATGGTAAAAAAAAAAAAAAGTCAAAAGAAACAGGTGAAATTAAGAAATTAATTCAAATAGTGTATTTAACCCAATACGTGCAAAATACTATCATTTTAGCATGTAGTCAAGGTAAAAAGTTATTGATGAGATTTCTCTCCTTATTTTCATACTGAGTCTTTGCCTTGCAGTGTGTATTCTGCACTTCCAGCACATCTCAGATTGGACAAGCCAAATTTCGAGTGCTTGGTGGCCATGTGGGCCTGGTGGCTGCCATCCTGGACAGTGCAAATCAAGGATCTTCTCTCTGGGGAGACTCTTTCTTCCCTTTCTTAAAATGTGTTATTTTTAATTGCTTGTAGAGATTTTTATATGTATTTTCTCAGTGTCTTAAGTGATAGGCAGCACTTTCCCTGTGGTTGTGAGCTCTCTAATCTGTAATTCTTTAGTATGTTTAAATCTGTGTGGCTCAGAAACTCTCTTGAGGTGATGAGGGCCGACAACGGCCAAGGCTGAGGCTCCTTTAGGCTGGGGATGGCTTCAGGACCGTTGACGTCGGTGTTACCAGGGAGTGAATGTTCTTCCTACTCTCTTCCTCAAAAAAATTGAAAAGATCGATTAAAGAGTCATGACAGAGTGAGAGTTGGTTTATGAATGAGAGGTTGGTAAGGAAGAGGGAGCATTGGTTTTAGATAGAACATTATATAATGGGGTAGAAGAGAAATGAGGCAAAAACAAGGCTGCAGTACATGAAAGGTGGAGAGTCCTCTCTGTCTATATCTGTCTCTGTATACATATATGGACTGTTTAAGTACAATTTGCTTTTGACTTTTTAATTTGATTAGTACCATTTGGAATTGTGTTATTCTGACTCTTGTTATTGATAATAAAAGAAAGTGAGAGCACTAACTTTTATAAAGAACCATTTTATCAAGGTCATAAAATATCTGTCACCTCCCAAAGTTTCCTCCCATGTCCTTTGTTGTTAAAATATTTTACTGGGTCAGAACGCTTAACATAAGATCTACCATCTTAGCATTTTAAAGTGTACAATGCAGTATTGTTAACTATAGGTACTGTGCTGTATAGGAGACCTCGAGGACTTATTTATCTTGCATAACTGAAATTTTGTACCCTTTAACCATTACATCCCCATTTCTGCTTCCTGCCAGCTCTTGGCAGCTGCCATTCTTCTCTCTGCTTCTAAGAGTTTGATTGTTTTAGATTCCACATATAAGTGAGTTCATACAATACTTGTGTTTCCATGTCTTGTTGATTTCCACTTCTGGATATAGATTGAAAGAAATTGAAGTCAGTATCTTGAAGAGATACCTGCACTCCCATGTTCATTAAGCCAAGACAGGGAAACCACATAAATGTCCATAGATGGGTTAATGGATAGAGCATACTGACTTTTATGTGTTGTATTTCTCTTTTAACATGATGACACATGAAATGCAAGTGAAAATAAATCTATTAGAACTTGGGAACTCCTGAAAGTTAAGTAGCCCTAAACTGCAAACCCTGGAAATTAGCCCTTTGAATGCATTAATAAAGAAGCAGTTTTAAAGCTGAACTTTTAGTGGATAATTTGGTTTTTGAGGCAGTGAAGATTGGAATAAATGTCTTAGACCAATTGGAGTGCACCTGTCGTTCAAAGAACAGTGGCTGTTGAATCTAGTACCTTCAGAAGATGGCGACTTCTCCATGAAATGTTCAATGTTGGTGCCCCGCATTCAGTTTTCTCTTAAATTGGTTAAAAACAAATAACACATACTATGTTTAAGTGGAGTAGCATTAACAATAGATGCAGTCATACATTCAGATATATGTGATAATAATGGTCTCTGGAAGGCCTTGACATTTGAGTTTCATTAAAGATTTCTATCCTGAAATATTATTCTATTATTCTGTTCATTTATCACAATCTCTCATTTCAGTGTGGCTGATTCAGTATGCACTTGAAACCATTTGAAGTGACTAAAGGGTTTTGGGGGTGGTTGCTTTAGAAAAATTGGCATTTCAGAAAGACACATTTTCCCCTCCATCTCTGTTGATGTTGGAAGTCTTCAAAGTGTTGCTGTGATCAGAGAAAAACATTTCTTGTGAAATAGTTTTCTCTGAGAGTACAGTGATTTGAGACTGGCTGGCTGTTGATTCAGATCATCTCTTCTGGAAGAAGTTGTTTTCACAGAATGTGCTTCAGGGTGAGGCCTGGGGCTTGAAAGGTTTATCTCCAGTTCAGAATGCATAAATATAAAATTAACCCAGCTTTAAAATAATCTTCAAAGTCAATAAAAAATGGATTCTTTCATATGTTGAGGCAGTAAAGTTCCCAGCCCACATTGCTCCTCAGTGACCTGTGCATGCTTCATAGGTTCAGGTTGCAGGTATTAAGTATGATTACATGGAAAGCGAATGCTAGGAGAGATGACTTTAAATTTCCTCAGTGAAATTATTGGTTTATTATAAATACTTTCTGCATATACAACTGTAGCTAAATATTTATCTCAAAGTGCTGAAGGTTTCACTTCAAAAGAAGTTGTGCAATAGAAGTGCTAGTATTTGTCAGACACTTCCTATGTGCTTGGAACTATGCTGAGTGATTTTCATGAATGTTCTTTCTTATTTCCTAGGCTATCCTTGTGAATACTGTTATTATTATGTCTGTTATACACATGTGGAAACTGAGGTTTGAAGAGGTGAAGTCATTTGATCTTTTGGGTCTTAGGTGGCAGAGCACGACAAGAATTGGCCTTTGGGTGCAGAGTCCACTGCCCTCACTGTGATATTCTTCTTTTTGAAAAAGCATAAGATTCTCTCACTGACCAGGTTCCTTTTCACTCTGTACTTAGGGAAAACTTTAAGGTGAAAGCAAATAATAAGGGATTCTCATGCAGCTTCGTCTCTAGAAGTTTTTCAGATGCAACAAGCAATAGATGCTACTCGTATTTTCATTCTAATAGCTGAAGAAGATCTAGCGAAAAACCATCAAGTAGATTAAACAGCTGATTGCTTATCTGACTGGCTTCTCTATGTAAATACAGCATATAGGTACAATAAAAAACTAAACAGGACAATCCCAGTTGGGTCAGACTTAATCTCATTAAGGGAAATCAACCAGTATTCAGTGACATGGAAAAATAAGACATTCGAAGCGCATGTAAGTACAGAGAGAAAAAAAAAAAACCCACAGAAAAGAAGCTGGCTTTCTGACCCGGATTCTAATTGAACTATCCGTTTAATTTTTTTCCAACTCTATGTATGAGTGTGTTGAATTAGAATGTTGTGGGATTCAACTCTTGGAGTCAGGGAGCCTCTCCTGAGGAAAATGCACATGTAAAAATTTGCATATCATTCAGGGCTTTCGTGGGCCCCCTAAAGTCTCTATAGGTGTCTCTTGACTTTGTTGAAACCCCTGAATTAGTTGCTGTCTTGTGTTTCATTTCTCTTTATGAATGGCAGAATTCTATAGCTATGTCATATTAAGGATCTTTGTGGATATAATCCCTTGATACACAGATGGTGAACTTTTGGTGGATTGATGCTGCCCAAATCACGTTTGCTCAATACCCTGGGGTATGTGAAGGAGATAGATTATATTGAATTGACTAGAATTCCTAAAGAGATGACTGTGGAGCTGAGAAAAGAGCAGGTAGACTTGGAATTGTCAGACTTACCCACTAGCTAATCTGGTAATTTTCAAAACTTCCAGCCTCAGTTTCCCCTTCTGTATATGGAATGAAGAATGTGTCATGTGACTGTGTGGCACTTAAGTGAATTAACAGACAATGAACCCTGTAGTTAAATTGATAGATGGGAATAATCCTGGGGAATGCTCATCACTTTTGCTTGTTGCTTAAACATTAGTATTCCCCAGAGAGTCACGTCTGGCAGGCTCTGGGTTCTTAGAGAAACTGTAGGGTGGCTGATGGGCAATGTCCCTGAGGACTCTGAGAACCTTTTCACTTACAGTGGGGAAGCCATGGGACCTGGAGAGCCCACCTAATAAAGGGAAATGAACTTGAAAATCAATATTGTAAAGACAGGAATTTGGGCTCAGACTTTTGAAAAATCATTTTTTTGGACCTGTGCTCTCCAGAGGGCTAGAAAAGTGGCAAAAGTCTTTTGATGAAAGGAAACCTTGAATCTATCTGATAAATCTAAGATCTAATCAGTGTTTACATACAGTAACATAAGAATCCATTAATTAAAATGTACTTGGAAAGCATTTAAGAGCACATTCATTTGTTCACTTTTTCTTATTATGCTATAGATAGGCATAAAACCTTTTTGGGAGAGGTTTGTATCATTGTTTTTTGGAGATGGAGTCTGGCTCTGTCACTCAGGCTGGAGTGCAACGGTGTGATCTCGGCTCACTGCAACCTCCGCCTCATGGGTTCAAGTGATTTCTCCTGCCTCAGCCTCCTGAGTAGCTGGGATTACAGGTGTGCACCACCAAGCCTGGCTGATTTTTGTATTTTTAGTAGAGACAGGGTTTCACCGTGTTGATCAGGCTGCTGTTGAACTCTTGACCTTGTGACCTGCCCACCTTGGCCACCCAAAGTGATGGGATTACAGGCGTGAGCCACTGTGCCCGGCCTGTATCATTTTTACATTAACAAATGGAGCAGATTTCTTTATCTATTTGAGTTGTTCAGAGATCTTGATATGTCTACTTCTGTTGTCATTTCTTGAAAGGGTCCTCTCTAACGTCTTAGGTCTGGAAGAATTAAGTCTGTTTTTTTTCTTTTTGAAGCTTAATTTTAATTTTCTCTTCAATAATTCTTGTAATTTATACATATTTTATGCATGTCATTTATGAAACTCCAATCTTGTTAATGTCCGATAATTGATTAATCTATTTTCTTCTGCTTTTATTTTCAGATAGAAGAATTTCGAAGGCTGAGGACACATGTTAAGGGGGCAGAACTTGTGGAAGGCTGTGATGGGATTTTGGGAGACAACTTTCGGCCCACTCAGCCTCTTAGTGACAGAGTCATTAGAGCTGCATTTCAGTAGCCAAAGAGGACAGGAACAAGTCTGTCTTCATGAGGGTATGTCCAGATTAAGTAAGGAAAATGAGGTGCACAGCTACTTAAACCTAGCGTACCAAAGGTACACTTATTGTGATCCTGGTAATTTAGTAATAAAAGCGTATGTACTTCATCTTGATAAAATTTATGACACATTCTTGAGCTCTGTTAATTACAGGTCAAGTAGGTATTTTAATTTTATGCAGTATTGAAGAAAAACTATGATTATATTTTCCTATCAGAGTAGCCTTTAATTCCAAGTTTTGGTGGCTTTCATAAGAACAGACACCCTCAGGCCCAGAAAAAGTGACATGCATGCATACCTCTTTAGTAACTTACCATGTTGTCCCCGTGAAGCAGCACCAGTCATGTCCCAGTGACCAAGGAGCACATAGGAGGGGACTTGGGGAGCGTGTGAGCCTCAGTGTGGACCCTTCTCGTCTCCTGCAGAATTGATCCTCTTGTTTCTCAGGGGAGGGAGCATATCTGGCATGCATTGAAATACTTCTTCTATGGAAGTGCCTTTTATATGATAAATTGAGAAGCACTTATTAATTATCTGAATATGATACACTATTGATTGAAACATAATCTATGTATTTTAATATATAGAATTCAATGTATGTATTCCTTACTCTTAAGGAACTAACAAAATAAAATATCACAAACACGGAAGAGATAAAATATAAAACAAACTATATATTGGATTATTTATTTACCTTGTAAATTTCCTAAGTGCATAGGTCATTGTACATCACTGGCAAACCACAGCTTCCCAAGGGGAAGGCATCTGTTGGAATAGAACCTAGGGAAGCAGCGAAATCTCATCTCTATAAACAATTTAAAAATTAGCTGGGTGTGGTGGCATACGCTTGTAGTCCCAACTATTCAGGAGGCTGAGGTGGGAGGATCACTTGAGCCTGGGAGGTGGAGGCCGCAGTCAGCTGAGATCACACCACTGTTCTCCAGCCTGGGTGACAGATTGAGATCGTGTCTCAAACAAAATGAAACAAAACAAAAAAACGAAGAAGTCTGCCAGGTAGCCAGGGTGATAGATGCGGAGGCTTGGACACTAGAATAGGAACAGTGGAGGTGGAGAGAAGTTGATGTATATGAAATAGAAATCGCAGGTTATAGCTAGTGATGAATTGGATGAGGGGTGGAGGGAGATGGAAGTGTCAAAGATAAATTCCGGGGTCTTACACTTTGGAAACCCTGGATGGAGTGCCACTGAGTGGCAGTGGGAAAGCTGCGGGGAGGCCCTGTTTGGTTGAAGATAAAGAGTTGAGTTGCAGCACAGTGAGTGAGAGATGCCTGTCAACCACAAACTGCAATAGCGGACTCTGGTCATGAAGGTCATTAGCATTTCAAGAGTAGAGAACAGAAAACAAGTCTGGGTTGAAATAGGGACGTATTGGGTGTAGACATTGTATATGTTCATATAATGTTCTGATGGATCTAATGGGGTTACTTAATTAAGTGTGCATAAAATCTTGTGGGAGGCTTTACAGACAAGTTAGCCAAGACACAGATAAGTTAGGTTACGGGCCAAAGTAATACAGTGATTGAGCAGTGGAGCTGAAGGAGATCCAGGCAGCTTGACTGGCAGAGCCCTTTTTCTTCACCACGACATGGGCAGAGGTTAGAGAGTTTTGCCACACTGGCGGTCGAGTGACACATCAAGGAGGGATGTGGTTGCAGCAGGCTAAAGGCCATAGGAAGGGAGGAGCTGGAGACTCCAGGTCGCAGCCACCTTGGTGGGCTGGGGTGGGGCAGGAGGCCGCAGCAACAGAGACGGGGTGGGATTGAAGAAGTCTTTTTTTTTTTCTTTTTTAAACAAAAGAAATAGAACTTGTCTATATGCTGGGGTGTGGGAAAGGAGCAAGTAGATGGAGAGAGGCTGAAGATACTGCTTCTGGGAGGAGCTGGAGCAGTGAAGTCTGAAAAGTTGAAAGGGATGAAATCCTAAGCACACAGGGAGACTGGCTTTTGCTGAGAGGATGGGCACTCTCTGTGCTGCAATGGGAAGGAAGAAAGAAGGAGGTGGTGGTTTAGAGCTGCTGTGTACCCATGACTTGCTCTTACCATTTAATGATGAAGGGGCAGGAGCTAGGAGTGGGAGAGCAGCAGTGAAGATGGATAGGAGCAGAGGAAGAGGGAAGGATGTGTTCACAGGAGAGGCCAAGAGGCAGCGGGGGTGGGATGAGGGTTGCAAAGCGTGAATTTATGCATTTCTCCAGTCTAGGTTTAGTTAGTATACTCCCTGTGAATGTCAATACCTGTAAATGATACTTTTAATGAAGGGAGATTATTCCCTTGAATGTTTGGTTTGTATCTTGTCCTAGACCAGAGTTGCCATTCTCTAAATATCTAAATGACTATTATTATTTTCTCTCTCTCTTTTACACACACACGCGCACACACACACACAGAGAAATGTTGTTTATGAGATTTTGTATATTTCACATACTTCATATTCTTTATATGATAGATGAATAATGTGTAGTTTTTCAAAGTTTTGAGTTAATTACAATTTAGGTACTATTTCTAAAAGGAAGATATATTTGTGTTCTTACTTTGGTGGCTGAGATTACTTAAAGGGGATAATTTGCTCCCAAATTCCTAAGAATGGTACAGGAATTCTAAGGTGACTAATTCTTATTTCATTTTTTTATGAATACTTTTATCTTGAAATGTGTAATACAAATCTGGTCAGAGTTCTATATAAAAATTATATTGGGAATCAGACTTATGTGTGTGTACTTTTTATTTGATATTTAATAATGCCCTAAGGCAGGTAATTCAAATTTTTATTAAAGTGAAATGATTTGACAGTCAGACTTTGAATTTAATGCATGAATGTTTCATTTAAGCTCTTGGAACTAAAAAGGAAAAGACATTTCTCTGGTAGTTGTTCTCTAAAAAATGTTTAAAATAATTCAGATATATTTTAGCTATGTTTTACTGAAATAACTTTAGTTTTAGACTTAAAATGACAGATTTTTAAAAAAATGACATGTCTGGGCACCTGGAAGACTTTGATAACCAAGCTTTATTATTCCCATGAGTAATCTGTGACTTTTTATATTACCATTTAAGAAGTATGAACTATGATTTTGTATTATACTTGTTTAAAGAATTAGTATGTAAGTCATCCAGGTGCTGGAAATTCTTTGGTTCAGCGGTGCTAATTCAGATTTATGGGTGCCTATTGATATTAAATGATCCTTTACCCATTGAATTTTCTATATGATGCAGGAGAACTAAATGTATTTTAATAACAATGAACAAATGATATAACAAGTTTAAGGTCCAGTTTACTTGTTACTTTTGGTATCATGACATTGGTACTCATCTTCCAGCAAAATGATTATTTGATTATTTGCCTTTTTACTTCATAAAGTGTTAGCCCATTTTTAAAAGGCTGTTCTGACGCTCAAAGACTGTCTCGCTTGTGACCTAAATATTGTTAAGCTGTATACATGTTTACAGTAACTATAATGAATTATAATTATTTTCTGTAAAAAGCAATGTCACACGGCTCTTTAGTTTCTCTTTTTTTCTGCCTTAAATGTGGAAAAATAAGAATGCCCTAAATACGTTAAAAAAGAAACAAAGCCAGAAAAATGGGGTTATTCAGCAAGCATCTCCAAATAGTCCCATTGTCAAACTTGCCCTTATTTTTCTTTTGGGATCTTTGAAGTTATCCTTGACTGTTGAACTCTTCCCTACTTGTACTTTTGCGGTTAATAATATTGTCTTCTTAGCTTTAATAAAGCTATAACAAGTATCAATTTCATATCAGTCTTCTTTGATAACCTAAAAGAGTTACAGGTTAGAAGAGGGTAAGGCATTATAGAGAAGGGGGTGCCTGTGTGAGGAAAGGAAAGTGAGAATGTTCACTCTGAATGACCAAGTAGGTGAAAGCTATTATCCTTCCAGATTAAATGGAAAGCTCAAAGCCATATTTTCAGTCAGTAGAACTTGGACTCTCCTCTGATAATTTAACATGGTGCACAGCATTAGGGTTAGAACTGAAGGCTCTACAGATGTAGCTGTTTTCTATTTATTATATCTCATAGAATTTCCTCCAACTGGAATGGATTTCCTACCAGATCTCAAAATGATTTCAGTAAAATGCCAAAACACCAAGGATGCTCAGAATACCTATTATGTTTTGATTATGTGATATAAAAATTATTAACCCACCAATGAAAAATACAAGAGCTGTATGAGCTCTCTTCAAGATTACTAAACAAAGAAAATAATTCGTGCTTTAAAATATATCTCTTCCTTTTTATGTTTTAGAAATGTTAATAATTTATCATGGATAAAAATTTCAGAATGATTTTTTCCTCCCACTATGAATTAAAACAAAATTGTGTTTGGGAGGAAGAATGTTTTGCAGTCATGGGCCAACTTGTATGTCGAATGTTAATATGTTCTGATACCCTAGATACAGTAGATTTCATGATTTTAAACCTAAAGAATATATTTTTCCATAAGGAAATCACTGTGACCAGTTTGTCATTTAAACATGTTCTTTCATGCCTTTTACCTCATGTATACTCAAAAGTGGACATTAAAAAATGGCTTTCAAGTATCAGCAAAAGGCTTTGAATTAGCTAAGGAAAGAATTTATTTCTAGAGGCTCCAAGAAAGACCTTTCCTGTAAGTAGGTGGTTTAAATCTTGAGTGGGTTTTTGAGGAAGACTAAGGCATTAAATACTTGAGGTTCCTAGGTGGTTTAGGTGGGAACCTGCCTGGACAGGGATTGGGGAAATGTTCCAACAGACCTCACAAAGGCCCTTCGAGCACTGGATATTATAGTTCCCTGGTTTATGATGAATATGCTTTCCTGTGTCTCTATTAAATTTATCATGGAAAAGAGAAACCAGAGAGAACAGGAAGCAGGTAAATGAGGAGGAAAATGAAGTGAATTTTTTTTATGAATTAGGTTTTGTTAGTAAGTCTCCAACTGAAAACATAAAGCTTAAAAATTCATCTAAGGAAATTACTAAAAATGCTAAAAAAACAAGTGCAGAAATCATTGGAAATCACCTATACTTTAATCAGGAGTATAAGGAGATACTTTTTTAAAAAAGCATTGAATAAATTTGTTTTAATATTTTCTGTACCTCTTAAAAGAGGGTATTATAGAAGCAGTAGTATCAAATAAAGCTTTTATGTCAGCATTTCATTATGATTAAAAATCTTAAAAATAGAGGGAAAATAGAATCAAAATAGGATTTATACTGAGATTACTATTTTTTCAATTGGAAAAACTGAGAGACTTGCCTAAAAGTCTACCTCATTCAGATTAAAATAAGGGGTTAAGGAATTGAAACTTTATTAAAAACTGGATTGTTACTAGGCAGATACCAAGAGTTCATATTAGACCGTGTAAGAGTAGTGACAATCAGGGAAGTTATCCTTTTTCTTTCAATAAAATTTTACCTGACCTTCAGTTTTCTATTTGTAAGCATCTCATTTTTCTTTTTTTTATCTCCAATCTTAGCACCTTGACAATTTGTTTTAGCTGTCTGCCTTTTTTGGGTCACTCCTAGAAATCTGCCAACCTAAAGTCTAGAATGTTCTCCTCTCTGTTTTCTGTTTAAATGCTGTTGATATTTGAAGGACCAGGTTTTACCTCCATGAAGTCTTTTTCCCAAGTAAACTGACCTTACTAATCCTTCTTTGCTTTCTGAGTTTAGTACCATGTTAGTTTAGTTTTAAATTATTATTTTTTTTTGTTTTCTACTGCACTTAGCAGTTTTAGTTTTACTTACTCCACGAGACTATAAATGTCTACGTAGTAGAGTCAAACAAGTTTGTAACATACTTCATTAAGCAGGTTTTCTTCATGCAAGACTTCTGAGAATCTTTACTATGCCAGGGACCTATGTGAACTCCAAGAGGGTATGGTATAGTATACAGCATTTCACAAATTTATTTAACCAGCTAATAATACGAGATTGCAGAATATGTTTTGGTAAGTGCTTTGGAATGATCCAAAGCATTCGTTGTGATCTTGGAGGACCTAAAATAGGGAGTATGGTAGAGTCTACAGGTGGGGGCCAGAGCCCATAGATGCCCCAGCCTCTCCTCCACATGCCCTTTAGGGATGGAAGGTTGAATCCTGGATGTGTGCTGAGATCTTGTTAAGCTATCTTAGACACAGCATGAAGTAAGTGTAAATTAAAAAATAGTTTTTAAATTTTATACTTGAGTTAAAGGCTAACAAACCCTTCATGGAAACCCTCCAGTAGTAATAATAATTTGTTTGTAATAAATTGCAGTGTGCCATAGAGTGCCAAGAACTATGAGGTGCGGTTCATATATGTCTCATTTCACCTCAGAACAACTCTTCAAGATGGACATTGCTTTTTGAAGATTTTATCAATAAAGAAACTGAGTCCTGGCCAGTCGTGGTGGCTCATGCCTGTAATCCCAGCAGTTTGTGAGGCTGAGGCAGGCGGATCATGAGGTCAGGAGATAAGAGCATCCTGGCTAACATGGTGAAACCCCATCTCTACTAAAAATACAAAAAAAAAAAAAAATTAGCTGGGAATGGTGGCAGGCGCCTGTAGTCCCAGCTACTCAGGAGGCTGAGGCAGGAAAATGGCGTGAACCCTGGAGGTGGAGCTTGCAGTGATCCGAGATCGTGCCACTGCACTCCAACCTGGGCGACAGAGCGAGACTCCATCTCAAAAAAAAAAAAAAGAAACTGAGTCCCAGAAAGTTTGTCTTCCCAAAGTACATAAAGCTATCAAACTATACAACCAATGAAACTGATGGAAACAGTCATTTAAAAATAATGCCCTTAAAAATTCAGATATTTATTTTGTTATATTGGTCAATTCTGATTCTGAACAGCTTTCAGCTTTCAAGGAGATGATTATAGTTGCATTAAAGTACAACACGAAATTTAAAACTTCTAGGTTAGGAAATAATGAAGTAAACCTAGTTGACCAATCTAGAGCCTCATCTAGTACCTTACAAATAAATATTTGTCAATTAAATGGAAGTATTTACTTACTTCTGTGAACGTCATATTTATCTTGGAATTATTTGGAAATTATGAAAGTATGACTGCAGGTTGTCTTTTTCATATTTTAGATATTTTATTGTTATATAGTGATGCAACAAAAGGAATGTTCATTTTTTTCCTCACCAAAAAATGATACATTTTTTAAGGGGCATTTTTAGACCTCATTTTACTGGATCTCTCAGCAGGTTCTGATACTGCCTGCCTTCTTGCCACGTTCTTATTTTGGTGTCCATATACCCAGTTTTCTTTCTACCTGCACCACCTTTCATCCTCTGCATGCTACACGAATGTTCTTTTAGGAGGCTACTTAATGTTGGAGTCCACTTAATGTTGGAGTCCTCATGGTTCAGCCTTTGGGGCTGTCTCTGTAGGTGAACTCATCCATTCTCACAGCCTGTCACCACTAACAACACATGACTCATTTACATTCCTAGACTAGGTCTTTTAATTAACTTCTAGAATTGAATGCCCAGCTGTCTGTAGAACTTTTCTTTTAGATGTGTCAAAGACATCTCAAACTCAACATATACAATATTGAATTTATGGTCTTCCTTCACAGACCTGCCTCTCTTCCAGTTTTCTTTGAAACGTGAGCCGTGCATGACACCTCTCTTCTTTACCTTACCCCATATTTCCGTTTTATCAAGTTCTGCAGATTTGCCTTCTGATAGCTCTCAAAGCCATCTATGTGTTTCCATCTTTGTCATCACAACCCATAAAGTTAGCGTCATCTCCTCATGACTGTTGCAAGAGCATCTCCCCTTTCTTCTACATAGGATTGTTATGGCAAGATTAAATACAAGATAATAAATACAAGATTAAATAAAAATATATAAAATAATAAAAGACAAGAAGACCTATAGCACTCAAACTTGCATGCCAGCTCTGGTTGATTTGTACCAGCTGTCTGGAGAGTGTTGAGAAGGATTCTGAATCCACATCTGAGCACAGTGAGAGTGATGGAATTGATGGGGAGGATTGTGGTGGTTAGTTATTGTCATCCACAAAATAAGGTAGTATTATTGGCATTTTATTTAAATATCTGAGCTATTTATATGAAGTCTTTTAAAAATGGGCCCTGGAAAACTGATCTACATTAGATCTACTGATATGTAGCTAGGTGTTAGCAATTATTGAGGAAACACAGAAACATGATAAAATTACTGACGTCTCCTGATTTACCTTCTTGTTATTATTTTTATCTCATTTATATATAGGTTATGGTTCTGATGCTTATGTATGGCAAATTGCTTACATATGGCAAAAACTAGAGAATCTAAAATCTCAGCATGGAAATGAAATTACATAAGGGTGAAGAAAGGATTATGGTAGTGTGGAGTAATTTACCCAGACCCCCTTATTGGGGGTAGAAGCCATCTCCCGAAGAAGGGAAAGGGTTACATGTCTTCCATTTGATCCTCTATAACAAAATACCATAAACTAACATCTAAGCAACAGAAATTTATTTCTCACAGTTCTAGAGGCTAGGAAGTCCAAGATCAAGGCACCAGCAGGTTTGGTATCTGGTGAGGCCCCACTTCTTGTTTTGTAGAATGGTGCCTTCTCACTGTGTCCTCACATGGTAGAAGGGGCCTACTGGTTTTCTGGGGTCTCTTTTATAAGGGCAGTAATCCCAATCACTAGGCCTCTGCCCACATGATCAATATAATCACCTCTCTAAGGCTTCACCTCATCACCTTAGTGGTTAAGATTTTAACATAGGAGTTCTGGTTAGAGAAGAAACCATGTAACAGAAAGGTAAACACTGACAACCCTCAGAAGGGTGAGAAACATGCTATTTAAAAATATTTTTAACAAGAATATACTAGAAACAAAAATTTTCATTTTAACTAAAGGTCTTTGAGATATTTTTATGTTGGTACATATAGATTGGCCTCATCCTTTGGGCTACTTCAGTTTTACTTAAACATTGCAGTTAAAACTTGTTTTCATTACATACAAAGCTAAAATAATCTAGATAATGCCCAGTACTAGATAATGCCCAGATTATCTAAAATAATCTAGATAATGCCCAGAATCTGAAATATTTATTGGATAATATGGAGATTTCTCCAGTCAAGAAGTTTGCCACCAGGTAGCACCAGGTAATAAATTAATTGTTAAAACTGTAAAACCACATTGGTTTCAGATGGGTCTGTTCTCCATTTCAGTGCTTCTTAAAACCCCTTCAGAATCTCTGAGTTCTTACTGCTTTTATTGCTCTGAATTCTTATTGCTCATTCTTTTATGAGTTTTATTAGGAACTCATAAATGTCTTTAGGGCTTGTCCAGAGAACATATTTTCAGAGACATCTTAGGAGCACGGAGTGGAATTGTATCTCAAGAAGTTCTTTAATCTAGTTTTTGCCTGAAGAGGTCTTCAACTAAATTATTCCAGATGGTTACTCCGCATACATAGAAAAAAACCGAAGCAATAAACCTTTGTTGTCTGATAATATCTCCTTCAGCATTTACTCCTGCCTAATGCCCAAAGGGAAAAAAAATCTTTTATGAGATATTCTACCTGTAAAGTGTTAACTGAGTTGGAATACTATTTTGTTGGTAATATTTTTAGTTTTTTGTAAATAAACATTTTTTTCATGAATATAACTGGTTGTATTTGAAGCATTCCAAGATTTTTTTTTCCTTTTGTTAGCAGCCTGTGAAAATTCCTGCAACCTTTATGTTGCAGAGAAACTTAACGCAGTTTTTTGCAGGTATGAATGTTCATTCGGATTTTAGTATAGATACAACCAATGTTTCTCTAATGGCATCTTTTCTTTAAATAATAATTATATTTAGCGGATCTTAGCAATAAAATCATTGTAACGAGGAATAAAGGATGGTAAATAAGAATAACAGTGTTATTAATCATCTAAATTAGTTGTGTATGGAACATTCCTGTACCTGAAATATTTCCATAGGAAATAAGGCTAAAATACACATTTACTTATAATTAGATATAATACAAACCTTCTCTCATTATAATAGTTGCCCAAATCCCAATTCAACTTAATTTCATTGACTTTGATTTCTGAACTAAAAACATTAAGCTCGAACTAGTGAAAAATGTATAATATGTGCATTCAATTAAGAAGTAATTAGATAGTCAATCACCCTTACAACACACCAGGGATTAGAGAAGAAGGAAGAAAAATGTGACTCACTGTAGTGTGTAAAACAGTTTTGCTAATTAGTTTGGTGCTAATTGAGATGGAGAAAGTGTCAAAGTATCCTAACACAGGTTTACTTCTGAACTTTAAAAGCTAAGTTTAGCGTTTTATAATATTACCAACTTCTATGATTTATCCTTGAGTTTTGATCAAAGCTTATTTATTCATTCTAAGTTACACATATTAGTGAGTGATGGGAACAAAAAGAACAACTGCTTTTTAATATTTCAGACATGATGCTGTATTTTGTCTCATTTAGTCCTCGTAACAATCCTATGAGACCGGTATTTTTATTTTTCATTTTAGAGATAAAGAAACTGAGGCTGAGATGCGTTGAGTAACTTGCTAAAGGTCACAGCCAGTAAAGTGCAGAGCAAGAATTCAGACCTAAGTGGGCCCCACTCCCAATGCTGAGCTCTTTTCACGACACCACATTTCACAACAGCAAAGTGCAGAACATTATGCACTGTGTTTATCTTTTGCCTTCTTATCTCTTGTAGATAAATTCCTAGGAATGACATTCCTGGGAAGAAAGAACCATATGTTTTCATTTTTTCATAACATATTTGCTGAAGTACCCTCTACAAGGGTTATGCTAATTTGTGCTTGCACTGTTGATTGGGTATTTTATAGAAGGCATTTTTGCCATTTTTTTAACCAATTGTTCAATATATTCTACATCTCTTTCTCATCTTTTTACTCTTCAGTTTACATCTCCTACCTATTGAAACTGCTGTAGCAAAGGTCACCTTTGATTTCTCTGTTTGCTTTTTGTTTCCTTGTCTCCACATATATAGCACATGTTCATGGTAGAATATTCAAACAGTACAGAATAAAATGGAGCAGCAGCAAACGTCTCTCAAACTCTCCTCTTAGTGATAGCATCCCCAGCACTGGGGGTTGTGATGGATATGGAGGCCCTGGAGCACAGTGGAGATGGCTCAGGTTTCATTCAGATTCCACCAGTAATTAGTTGTGTGACCTTGAAAACGTTAACTGATAACTGTCTCTTGTTTCATCACTTAAAAGAAGGCTATAGTGGTATTTACCTCGTAGGGTGGTTGTGAAGATAACAATGAGATAATGCAATTAAAGTGCTTAACATTTTTTTTTTTGTCCACAGTGTAAGGATTCAAAAATGTTACCTTTATCATTATGATTGTCCATTGACCTCTCTTTATATATGTGTCTCATATGGTTACATATATATGTAATGTATCTTATGAGATTATACTGTGCATGCTATTTTTCAATCAGCTTGATGATATATCTTTTCATGTCATTGCATAGTTATTTTTAAAATGGTTTTACATACATTGCTTTTAAGTATATGCCAAAATTTGATGAGCTGTCATCAATAATACTGTGGTTAACTTACCCATTTCCTTAAAAAATTCTTAGAAATGAGATTACTAGGTCAAAGAGTTTTATTGTAATCCATATGCAGATTGCTTTTCCCAAGAGTTCTATGTTTATGTTCCCAGTAACTATGTGTCAGATTACACTTTTCACCTTCACCAGTGTTGAATATTTAAAATTTTTCATCCTTGCCAATCTCATTAAAAATGGCTCCTTACATTATATCATGTCCTGTAAATACTTGGTTCTATTCTTGACTTCCCTATTCTGTTCCATTTATCTGTGTATTCATGTGCATCGACCACAATGTATGTGGCATTAGTGTATATTTCAGTGTTTGGCCAGACAAGACCCTCTTTACTAGTATCTTCTGCAGGATTTTTCTGGCTATTTTTACATGTTTAATTTTTTCAGATAAACCATAAAATCATTTTATCAGAAGGATAGAAATAAAGAGCAAAAGAAAGAGAGGTTGAGAAAAAGAAAATGAAAGACAAAAATAAAAGAGAAAAAGGAATCCTATTAGGATTTTTAATTTGCATTGTATTTATAGAGTGATTAAGGAGAATTAATACCTTACAATATTGAATCTTTATATCAAGGAAAAATGCATAGGTCTATGCTTATTAAAGTTTTTTTATGTCTGTCATGCATTTTATAATTCTCTGTTCTCACAATATTTACTCCAACTTGCATATTTGGTCTCTGGAGTCAGCTTGAGTATGGCTTTTTGGGGAACACAGCACCTCTATTTGCTGTTCCACAACTTGGGCAAACTATTGATTCTCTTTCAGCCCTAGTTTCCTCATCTATGAAGTGGATATAGTAAGAGTTATAACCTCCCAGGGATGTGAGGATTTCATGAGCTATGGTAAAATGCACATCACAGTGCTTTGTGGAGGATTAGCATTAAATGTGAGCAATTACTATTATTATCATTATAGATTTTGACTAGCTATAGATTTTTCCATTGTTTAATTTTTTTATTGAAAAAACAATGGATTAGATTTGTCCCTGGCTTGCTTATTAACCTTTATATAGTTTTCGGTAAGATTTCCGCTGATTATTTTGAGTTTTCCAGATAGACACTGATAACACCCAACGATCATGACAGTTTTATCTCCTTCTTTCTGATTTTATTTCATTTCATTATCTAGTACTCCAGAATAATGTTAAATAATTAACAGTAATATCTGGCACCCTTTTAAAAATGTCTCATGTGCTTGGATTTCTGTTTCCAAATCCAGTGGCATGTTTCCCTCTTCTCTTTTGACTCTTCAAAAGTGTTTGACACTCCTGACCTCTTCCTCTGTTTCCTTCTCTCATGACCCGATGCTGTCATGAGTGAGAATGTTGAAAAAGAAGGTGTCTATATGCCGTTGCTTGTAATGGAAGGGCATTTATTTTTAACCCTCTGTTTGGTGTATGGCAGTATTCTAGGGGCTGAGTGAAAATATAAACATAACCAGTGATCAGCTCTCCCCTGACATAGCTCACAGCCTAGTGTCATGGGTAAATCAGACACACAGCTAACTCCAGGTCAGAGCAGCATGTACAAACTGCCTGAGGAAGTGTTCCACTAGTGTACAGGACAAAGAGCCCCCTCTGAAGAGGAGAGTTCTTATTTCTAGCATATTGCTGTTTCTTAAAAGACTCTATTTTGGAGATGTTACACTGAATTACTGTACTTAAAGAGGGATACTTTAGTTAGTTATCAATGAGCTGAGCCAAAATCACTGGAACTTACATCAGTACTGTGACCTGCAGCAACCTCTGAGGAGTAAGATGTGTGTGAACATGTGATTTTTAAATTTTTGGTAGCTTTTCAGGAAATTCTCCAGTAGTGATTTGCTTTGCACTCATTCCCTTGGGCCTCTTCATAAAAGATAATTCAAGGTTAAGAAAAAGTCATGTGAAAGATGGCATCTGCTATAACTATATTGAAATAGCTGATGATTTAGAAGACTTCTTAGGATGTGGCCATACTTTGAGGTCATCATTATGAACACTGATCATTGTATAATAGAAAATTTCTCTTTATGAGTAAGCTTCCTTATTATTTAGATGTAGATAAATGAATATTTGGAGAAAATCCCAAAGGGAGGAGTTCAGCCTTAACTTCATATATTCAAAGTGTTACTTCTTTAGGTGGTTTTACCAAATAAATTTGTATTCTGATTACTAACTAATGTAGTTATTGTAGGAACTTTAGAAAATACACAAAGGCATAAAAATGAACTTATATTTCAAATAATGACCATCAATTGAAGGTAGGCAACTAATTTTGTTTCCACCACAGACTGCATTAAAATAACAGGAAAGAGATTTTTTTTTAAGTGCATTGCCTCACAAGGATACAGAAGCAAGAGAGGAGACAACAGCCACAATACTTTGGAAGCTGGAAGCAGATGGTCTTGTAACAGATTTAGCAGATGTGAGGAACAAACCCGTTCGCATGATAGAATCTCTCAAATTCCCAGGAATTGGTGGCAACAGACATCATCTGGAAGCTGGAGTAAAAGGAGGCTAAAGACATCTGTATTGGTTGAAAGCTATTTAAGAAGCACTTAATCTCTCAGCCCCCTCCAAAGCCTTGGTGGACTGGAGATACTTGTCTTCTGGAGATGATTAAGAGAGAGACTCTGTACTTGGGGACACAGACACAATTGAGTGAGTAAATAACATCCTCAGACCTCATGTCATCCTCCCATACACTGGCAGAAAGGCCCCTACTCTCCAGATGAAGCTGGAAGTATCTTCTGGGGAGGGTCTGACCAGCCCAGGTGACTTCTCTGCAGAAGTGGACCAACGGGCTTATCCAGTGGTGATGGTGTAATAAAGAGGCCTCCACGGTGCCCTCCGCCTCCACTCTGGTTTTGTTGTAGTGGTTGTTTGCCAGTCCCAGATATGAACAGTTACAGATATTTGAAGAAGAACTGTAAATGAAAGAACCCAAATCAGACAATAAAGTGAGTTAAAAGACATAAATACTTTGTAAGAAGAGAAAAACTGTCAAGAAGTTGTCACTCATATATTTGGAGAGGTAAGGAAAGAAATTGCATTCACAAAAAAAACAGGGTGCTATTAAGAAAGGAATATTTAGAAAACAGAGCTTTTGGAAACTGAAAGCATGATAGCAGAAATGAGAACTTCTACAGATGAATCAGAAGGCAGAATTGAAAATTCTCAGAAATTACAGCAAAAGGCAAAAAGATGAAAAATACAGTAATGTAAGCAAATTAGAGGACCAGTTTAAGAGGTCTATCGTCCACGTAATAAGCTAGAGAGAGAACACAGAAAGTGGAGGAGAGGAATCAGGCAACAAAATTATCCAAAGCATTTCCCCAGAACTCGTGAGCATAAAGTTACAAATGGAAAGAATCCACTGAATTCCCAGCACAGTAGATCAAAACACACTCACACCAAGACACCATCATTGTGAAACTTCAGAACATGGAGGGAGAAATTCCAGAATGGCAAAAACCAAAGCAACAAACATGTCAAAATCAAGGAATCTGGAATTTGAATACCAGACTTCTCAAAAGCAACGCTGGAAGCTAAGGCAGTGAGCATGACCTTCAGAATTCTGAGGGAAAATTACAACCCACCAAATTCCTTACCTAGTCAAACTTTTAACCCAGTGTGTGGTTACAGTAGTCATTTATAGATATCAAAGCCACCACAAATTTATTTCCCAGAAGCTACTTGATATTGCCACACCAAAATGGAGTAAGCTAAGGAAAAAGATGTGGGATCCACGAAACAGGAGAGCCAGCAAAGGAGAAAAACCAAGGGGATGAATAAATGCCAGAATGACAGTAGAATGAGATCATAGGCAAACCAGGCAGTCAGTCCAGATGTGAGCAGGTGAGAAGGTTCTAGATGAGCTTTCTTCAGGAATGGTGAAGTTGATACAATGCATGATATATCTTCACTTCTTGAGAGGAGAGCTAGGCAATGGGTAGGTATTTGTGCATTGAATCAGTTATGAGCACGTAGAACACTTAGGTGGAAAAACCCAAGGTATTTATCACTCCAGAGAAAACAAAATGTTGTGCAGGAAAGAAAAATTAACACATGTAGTTCACCTCTGAATACTTTTACATCATTACAATAATAGAAGTTGCATAATTGATTCAACCAGATTTACTATATAGCCATATTTGGAGGATGGGGTGATGGGAAGATGGGAAGGGTTCATATGGGGTGGGGTGTGTGTGTGTGTGTGTGTGTGTGTGTGTGTGTGTGTGCATGATGTTGACAGGAGGAAAGAGGGTCAAATCTTCATTCTCCATAGGAAAAATTTATACATAATACTGAAACAAAATTGAAAGGTAGCAATACAATCATGCCATTTAGCTCTCTAGTGTTAAAATAATCAGCTAAAAGAGTTAAGGAGAAGGAAATTGGTGACACATAGGACAAGGGACTGATAGTTTCATAACAAACATTTAAAAACTTTAAGCCTTTATATGCATGCATAATTTTGATATAAATAATATTAGCAATTGCTACTGTCATTTTGTTGCACTTATTTATGCATGCACACACACATTTTCTGAGTGCTTTGGGTCAGGTGTTGGGCTGGAGCTTGGGAATACGGAACAGATGAGACCAAGCATTACTTTATCCTATGAAAACTTTCTCTAAAACACTGAAAAGTAAACTTCCAACACATGGCATAAACATAATGGGCCATACTTCACATTTATGTTGGAGCACAGTATTGTAGTTTAATTTTTAGCTAGTGAGATGATTTTAAAATCAACCAAAATTATTACTTATAGTACTATGCTCAGCACATGATATCTGCTGTCATTACAGTCCCACACATTCCCTAAGAAGTAGATATTGTCTGAGTCTCAGAAGGGGCAAGTAAATTGCCTAAAATCTTACAGCAAATTGGATAGAAGAGCTGGGATTTGGACTTGGTTCTCCCTCATTCCAAATCCATACCCCAGATTGTGATTTCATTGAAACATTTTTTCAGTTAATCTGGTATTTGCAGTAAACAAGATCAAGTGTACATTTTTGAGGCAGGTAAAGCTAATAAGATCATCATCATATGATCTTGGCATAGGTGGGTGTCATTTCTTTGAAAAATATATAAGTAAGAAAAGCTCAATAGCATAGGGTATTGAGTTTCCCCATGTGAGGGAGATTTTAACTGAGTGAGTGTGCAAATTCACCAGCAGATTCTACACGTAGGTAAATTAGAATTCATTCAGCATTTACCAAGAACCCCCTGAATCATGCCCTGAGAGCTTCAAAAATGAATAGGACACCAACATGTATGTGCATCTGTTGCACTGTGGATGTATACTAAATGTTAAATTCTGCTTTGGCTTGAGACCTGACCTCGTATGATTAGAATGACTGTGTATTTACCTACCCATATTTTATTTCATGTTTTGGGCCATGGTAGCTTAATATTTAGAAGGCTGGATATATTCTTTATAATGAAATTTCATAAACTTAGGATACATGCTTCTAGACCAGCCTCTCCCAAATGAGTTCTGCAGCGCACTGGTCCTCCAAAATGTGTGTTAAATCAAGAGGTGACTGTTCACATATATCTGGAGAATCCTGGATGTAATAATATCCTCCTTTTGGAGATTTGCAATGCACATCAGCATATTAGAGCCTCTGAAATGGCTTTGAATTAAAGAACCATATTTTAACAGAGTTGATACAGTATTTTTTAACATGGATTCGTTTTTTCAACCAGGTTGTTGTTTTTTATGGAACATAGTTTGGGAAACACTGGACCCCAGGTTATTTCCTTTTGCAGAAAATAAATACATTGTGACCTTTAGGCCCCATTAACTCTGAATTGGTGTGATTTTACAGTTTGATAATCAATTTCATATCACTTTCTTGAAAAGTGCTAAAAGTATATTTTTAACTATGTGAGGTAATACACATGCTAATTAGCTCGATTTAGCCATTTCACAATGTGTATATATTTTAAAACATTTTGTTGACATGATAAATATCTACAATATTTTCTGTCAATTTAAAAAGATTAAAAAATTTAAAAAGATTTTATTGTGACTATCATATTTGAAATGTAGTTTGGTCCTGGTAGAGTGGGAGCAGGAAAAAATATATAGTTTGGAAATACATAACCCAGCATTATAAATATTTTCTAATAAATTTTTCCAGACATTCTATATATTTGTATGTATCTATGTTTATATATGTATGCATATGTAGAAATGTGTGTGTGTATATATATATATATATATAGTGTGTGTGTGTGCAGGTGTGTCCACAGATACATATATACTATATATGCATAATTCTGAAATACTGCATAGTAATATAATTTATTAAGGAAAGGAGGCTATTTTGTTTTATTATTTTTTCTTTTTTTCCAAAGGACATTGCCCAGAAGGAGGCCATTTAGTTTGTTTCCAGTTTCTTTTTGCAGTGAATATCCTTACACATAGACTCTTTGTATGATTGGATAATTATATGTCTATTATAAGTTCCTAGAATTCCAAGTCCAAAAGTATATGCATTCTAAATTTTAATAGAGATTTATTACCTACCTTAGGCAACTAATAAGACTGCAAATTTCCCACTGCCATTGCTAGCAATGCTAGTTCAACATCAAAAAGTTCAGTATCATTGAACTAAAATCTTAGCTGATGTTGTTTTCCTATATGAGAAGCACATTATTTGTTATCTCAAACAAGTACTATTGTCATATATATATATATATATATATATATATATATATATATATATATTCTGCATTTATTATTTATTTAATAGAATTGTAAGTCATTTGGGAATTAGGAATGAAGGGGTCTGTGTGCTCTTGAGCTACCATCCATCTGTGATTATTATATGTGAAATGAATGACAAGAACTTAAAGCTTTATTTTTATTATTTGACATGATATACATATTTTTTGTTTGTAAAATAGTTCAAGCATTATTTATTTTGGATGAAAGTATTTGCTTCTGTGAAATCCTGCATTAATAGGTCTGCCATAGAAATAAAATTATGGTAAACTTTGTGGAAAAATTGCAGAGATAACAAACTTGAGCACAAAGATATTTTTGAAATTTCCACATTTTCTTATGAAATTTTTAGTTTTTACTATCTCTTGTACTGTAAAAAGACTTTTCAGTCTGCTGTGGAAGAATATCAGTAACATAATTGATTCATTTTTTTTTTTTTTTTGCCTGAAGGAGGAAGACAATGGTCCTATAATGCCCTTGGATAAGAAAAGGAAACTTTTGAGCTGCACCTTCAGTTTATCCTCAAAGCCTGCGTTGTTTGTCTTCATCTAATCCAGCTTTGATGGACATCTGTGATGGTTGCCTGTACACTTGCTGAAATGAAATATTAGAAATGGCTGTATATTCCAAAGAAACCCTATATTATATATCCACATTACTGCTGCTAGGATTCATAGTTGCACATACTGTTTATTGCTTATGTGTAGAAGGAATGAAACTAGTTTCCAGAGTTGTTATTAATATGAATATATATCATGTGTTAATATTGAGAAAGGAAAAATACATTCCCGGTGTTAGTAGTTCTTCATTTCCTGTCTCCAACAGAAAATTCACTCATTTTAGAACTAGTGTAATTCTTGATAATAAAATAAGAGTTTTGATTAAGAACAGCATAGAGCTTCAAAATGCAAAGTGAATGATTAGTAAAATTATGTCTCATTTTATTTTTTCAGCACCCATACCACAATTAATATTAGGCTGGATTGCCATGGGAAACATTTTTTGGCATTAATGCAGCAACATAATACTCACTTTAGGTATTACTACATAGTTGAAGGATTTAACTGAATGTATGGATCAAATTTATTTATTTGACATATTCGAAGCTGTGGTTTAATAGGAATTTGAGAAAGGTGTAAGAAATAGGATAAAAAGAAGGTCAGCACCATGTACCAGGAATAGCTTTACTTTCCATACATAGAAATATAAATTTAGTGGTATCCTATATTACTTTAGTGTCGTACGCTTTGTAAGACTTAAATATTTTATTCTATTGATTCCACTACTTTGGTATGTTAAGACATTTCTTTAAAGATGACCAACAATATCCTTATTTTAGGTGCCACTAGCAGATGTAAGCGTATACTTAGTTGCCGTTAGATGTGACAGAATGAGATAATTTATGTAAAGCAGTAGAGTACCTGGCACAAAGCAAACAATAAATATTATTGTTATTGTTGTTATAATTGTAAAATGAATGACTTCAAAAACATAGTCCCAGTTTGGAGGGATTTTGTGATGCAGAATATCTAAGTCATAGAAATAGAAGACAGGTGGAATAAGTATATGTTCAGAGTTTTTAGATGTGTTGAGTAGAGACGGTAATAATGGAAGCATTAAATACAAATGAAAATCACACCAGATATCCCTGAAATTCAAGCAAAGAAAGTTCATCATGTATTCTTGGGCAGCAAGAGAAAGGACTAGGGTTATGGCAATGTGTGGAAAAGTTGAGGCTTGCTAAGGGTTGAGATCTGTTGGTAGCCCTGGATCACATGGGGTCAGCACCAGGCAGTGCCTCTGAAAGCGGAGAGAGGTCCTGGACTTCCCTTGTGTATAACAGTTCCTAGTGTCCAACAATGAGGAAACGGTGAAGCATGGTTACAAAACTGTGACAAAAATATTTACATCTAGCACTGTTACCACTCACATGCCAAACATTGGCTGCACACGTGCAGCCTTATTTGTAATTAACATCAAAAGACTAGATCTGAAGCCTTCCATAAATGAGAGGCCATTCATATGGCATTCCTGGAACAAAACACTGCACAGGTACCAGCCTCTCCACTCCTGACCGGGTTGGTGCTGAACAGTCAGGGATTGTTCTTGAACTAGACTTCTGATGCTTCTTGCAATCTTCTTTCATCTTTCCCTGAAATACACAAAATAAACAAATACAATAACAAATAGTAATTAAATGACTTTCAGGATAACATCTAGTTGTTCAGACTTCACCCTTCACAGGTGTGTGTGTATGTGTGTTTATGTCTGTATATTGAAGCAATTTGAATTTATTTACTGTATATTTTCTGAGTAAAAGACTGAAATGAACTACTTGGTTCAGATCATGGTGTCCATTGGTGACATTGTTTGGAGGCATAATATTCTTTATATGGAAAATCCTTTAATTCCACAGTTAGTTACCTCAGATTCAGAATATGAATACTGTTTATAATACGCTTTTGTAGGAATGAATTTGAAAGGTAGTTTGTCAGTAAACGAAAGCACAACAACTAATCTCAAATCTGTTTTGATGGTGTGATAGGAAAGAAAGTAAAACCTATGTGATGGACCCTGTAATTGGGGCAGGAATCTCCCAAAGAAAAAGGGGAGAATTAATGACAAATGTCATAGATCTTGAAATTTAATTTAGGGTGCATTTTGTTTATGAAACAATTTAATAAGGCAACAAAGTGAAATGATTTTTCATGTAGCTTATACACATGTAAGTGCCTCTGATTCATGGTAACTAACGTACCTGATGGTGTGTAAAGTAATACTGTTGTCAGAAGGTTTGCCAATTAAGATAATTTGAGTTTACTCTTTTTTTGTTGGTTAGTTTAGCTGAAGGCTTGTCAATTTTATTGATTTTTTTCAAGGAGCCAAAGTGGATTTTGGGGTTTTCTCTATTGTGTTTGTATTCTCTATGTCATCAAACTCTGCTCAAATCTTACAAAATAGTAAGATTAGTAAGAAAGCAGACTAACTTCTGCTTGCTTTGTATTTAGTTTGTGTCTTTTCCAGTATTTTAAGGTGGAAGGTTAGGTTATTGATTTGAATTCTTTTTTGAATAAAGGCATTAACAGTTATAAATTTTCCTCTGAGCATTGCTTTAGCTGCATCCAATAAGTTTTGGTATGCCATGTTTTTGTTTTCATTCATCTCAAGGTATTAGAAAATACTTTGCCTTTTAATTTCTTTTTGATGCAATGGTTATTTAGGAGTACATTGTTTAATTTCCACATATTTATGAATTCCCAAATTTGTTATTGATTTATAATTTTTTTCTGTTGTGATCAGAAAACATACTTTATATGATCTCAGTCTTAAATTTATCGAGGTTTGCTTTCTGGCTTAGCATATGGTTTATCCTGCAGAATAATCCATGTGTACTTAAGAGTATGTATTGTACTGTTGTTGGATGCTGTGTTCTATAGATAGATGGCTGTTAGGTCTATAGTGTTGGCCTGTTGTGTTGTTCAAGTCTTCTATTTCCTTGTTGATATGCCTATTTCTGTCTATTATGAAAGTAGTGTATTGAATTCTCTGACTGTTGTTGAATAATCTCTTCCTTCAATTCTGTCAGTTTTTTTCTACATTCATTTTGGGACTTTTGTCCTTCTTTATCTCTAGTAACATTTTTTTATTTTAATATATACTTTGTCAGATATTAATATAGCTGCCCCAGCTTTCTTATAGTTGCTATTTGTATGATGTATCTTTTTTCATCTTTTCACTTTCAACTTATTTATATTTTTGAATCTAAAGTGTGTCTCCAACTTATAGTTGGATCTTGTTTTTTTTTGAAATCCAGTCTGACAGTCTCTCTGCCTTTTGGTTGGATTATTTAACCCATTTGCACTTAATGTTATTGTTTATATAGTTGGATTTGTGTCTGCCATTTTACTTTTTGTTTTCCACATGTCTTGTATCTTTTTGTTGTTGTTCCTTTATTCCTCCTCTATTACTTTTTTTTTAATTAGGTGAATATTTTCTAGTATATTTCAATTGCTTTAATTATTTTTTTCATTTTTTTGAGTATATTTTCACAGTGGTTGCTAAAGGGCATATCATATACTTGTTAATTTATCAGAATCTATTTCAGATTTATAATAACTTTATTACAGTGAGTTATTTAGTTACTACTAAATAGCTCTGAACTCTCTTCTCCCTTTTTGTGCTATTATTGTTATACATATTACATCTATACATGCTGTAAGCCCAACAATACATTGTTATATTTTTCCTGTAATTGTATGTATATTAAGCAAGCAGAGACTTGAGAACAAATTATATTTATAGAGTTTCTTCTAGTAAGCTTTTAATTTACCATTTCTGGTTATGTTCATTTTGTCTTGTAAATTTGAGTCACCATCTGGTGTGATTTCTTACTCCAGTACTACTTTGTTCTTATTTACCTCCTTTGTGTTGTCATTGTCAAATATGTCACATTTGTATATGTTCTGGGTCTAAAGCATAATTACATGATATTTTATACAATTGCTCTTTAAGAGAAGGAAGAAATGCATTTATACTGTCTTTCATAATTACATAATTACATTTACCAGTGCCCTTTTTTTTTTGGAATGGATTCAAATTAGTATCTGGGGTCACTTCATTCCAGGCAGAAGTCCTTTTTTTAATATATTTTTATATAAGGCAAATCTGATAGGGACAAATCTTTAGTTTTTGTTTATATGGGCTATCTTTATTTTACCTTCTTTGAGATAGTTTTGCTAAATATAAAACTCCTGGTGAAAAGTTTCTGTTTCTGTTTTTGTTTTCTCAGCATCTGCTGAGATGCCAGCTATAAAGCTTAATGAGGTTTCCTTCTACAAGACAAATCGTTTTTCTGTTTCTGCTTTCAAAAACAAATGGTTTCCCCCCTGCCCCAGATTTCGTACTATGATGTATCTGGGTGTGAGTCTGTATTTATTCTGCTTGGAATTTGTTGAGCTTCTTGGGTATGTAGATGAATGATTTTTTTTAAGAAAAATATTAAATTTGGGATGTTTGAGCCATTATTTCCTTGACTATTCATTTCCACTTCTTTTTCTCTCTCCTTTTCTTCTGGTACTCCCATTATGCATGTATTAATGCACTTAATAGAGTCTCATATTTCTCTGATCTTCTGTTCATTTTTGCCCCATCTTACACCACCCCTCTGGGGCTTTTGTTGTTTTTGATTGTTTATTTGTTCAGTGACTTGGCTGTACTATTTTATTTTATTTATTTATTTATTTATTTATTTATTTATTCATTTTTGAGATGGAGTCTCACTTTGTTGCCCAGGCTGGAGTGCAGTGGCAGGATCTCAGCTCACTGCAACCTCCTCTACCTGGGTTTTCTCCTGCCTCAGCCTCCCAAGTAGCTGGCATTACAGGTGCCTGCCATCGCGCCCAGCTAATATTTTTGTATTTTTAGTAGAGACATGGTTTCACCATGTTGGCCAGACTGGTCTTGAACTCCTGACCTCGTGATCCACCCACCTCGGCCTCCCAAAGTGCTGGGATTGCAGGCGTGAGCCACCGCACCCAGCGGCTGTACTATTTTAATTAAGTCTGTTACTCTTGTAGTGTGAACCCTATAATGTGGTTTCTCAGAGAGCACTGCCCTGGGCATGTACACAGTCACTCTGGGATGACAGTAAGTTAGTAGGGCTCTCTCTGTGTCTTTCCTTGATTTCTCTGCCTAGCTCTTTGCTTCCATTGGTATTACAACTACCTGTTAGGTTCCACTAATTGCTAGCTAATTATTCTATTGTTTTTGGCAATGCCGTGGGGCATAAATTGCTCCACATCTGATTCAATTATATTTGGGCCCTTTTGCAGGATTAGAGATAGAACTTCTGCTCTGTTAGTGGGGATTGGGTAAAGGAAAAGGGCTCATGACCTCTGGGTCACAGCCCCAAGAGATTTAGCCTCTTGCAACCCATTAGTATCCCTTGGCTGGGAGCTGAGGGAAGAGGGAGACCCATCTTCTTGATCATATTTCCCAAAGAGTGGAGTTTTAATCATACTAAGCTGGGGTAGAAGAAGGGAGGCAGCGAATTTGTGGCTCAAATTTCAAATCAAATACTCTCACTTTTCCTACTGAGATTTAGTAGATTTTCTTGAGTAAATGTTTCTCCATTTGCTATATACCCTTAGGACAGTTTTCAGACACCTATTTATTTATTTACTTTAATTGCCACAGTTTTCTTCACTGGGGAGCAAGTCTGTGGAGATCCTCACACAGCTATCCTGGATGTAGTTTTCTGTCATTTAAGATAGTACGTTACTCAAAATGTCAGGCTATCAGTCCTTTTTTGGAATTTTCTCAAGTAAGCATATTTCTCAAAATTTTGTATCATATTATAATTAAGGGTGGGCTCATGCTTTTTGATAGCTTAAAGTTTAAAAGGGAATGTTTCTTAATATGAAAATGAAGTTGACATAACCTAATATTAGTCATTAACTTATTGAGTTAATTACTCTGAAATTTTATTTCTATATTTTAACTAAAGAATTAATTAGAGTGCTCCAATTAATGATTTTTAAGTCTTCACAAACAACTCCAACATGGCACAGTTATAAAATAGACATCTAGAAAAACCTCATTTTCCTTAGAATGCTGTCCACTTGTTTCTATTAAAACATATGAATATAGCAAATATTGATTGATGAAAAGCAGGCTATTAAATATAGTTTATAATCTTGGGTCGTAAAGAATTATGAAGAAGATGAGGCATTATCCACCAATGATGTAATGCAGCTCTAAGGATATGTACAAGGAAATAGTCTTTTCTTTTTTTTATGTTTCCTTGCTTTGTGTGGAGCCGTTTTCCTGTAGCGCTTTTGTATGAAGCTCTTACCTGGCACTCACTGAGGATGTGAGGTGGTGAGACGTGACTGAACCTTCAAACACTTTTAGGAAACAACAACACAGAAGCAAAGGTTTTTAATTGGAAATCTTGTGCTATATCAGATTTAGATCAAGTTTTGATAAAGCATACTAGAGGTTTTACACTTCAGGTTATACAGAATGCCCATTTGGAAATGATGTTATTGAATTTGAAGAAATTTTTCCATTTCTGAAACTTGAGCGGAGCCTGTGACACAACTTTTTCCTGCACTGGAACAGTGGCTGTAGTGAGTCAGTAAAACTTAAGAAAATTCTTAGAGCTGCTCCAAAGATCTAGACTGGCTTGTTTTACACTTTTTGGATCTGATTCATTTCCAGGATAACTGTATTGCCATTCCTTTGATGGACTTTAATTGCTTTCAAATTATTCTGGAATTCAGTCAGCCTCAATAGGAATTTTCCTGTGAAAATATAATAGACTCTGGCCCAAAGGGACTTTTCAAAAATGCAGATGGAAGTCTATACATTGCATGAAAACATTTTATCTATTATAACATGAAGATACTTCTTTATGGCATACAGGAAATCTATTGTATTATAGCACAAGACCGGGATGAAAGCTGACCCCTTGCAATTTTAGTCATATTAAATAAATTTTCTTGCTAATGCTTTTTGAACAAATCTCACTTGAATGAAATAATCTCTTAATATGAAACTATAATATACATGATTTCTTTTTCATTTTTTTACTCACTTATGGAAATTATCTTCATATGAAATAGTTCCAGATACTCAAGAAAAATATTTGGAACTCTAAAAAATCACACTCAAGTCTAGTGAAGTCTCTTATGATGGTTTTGCAGAAAGGGAACTGCCTCCGCTCTTAGGCTCAGTAGTCATGATAGCCAAGCTCAGCCTCGTACATACTCAGAAACAGGAAGAAGTTTAAGAAGGACAGGGAGGAAGTAAGTATGAAGCCTGTAATTCCAAAGATTATTTTCTGAGTCCACAGAAAGGAAATGTGAGCACAGTTCTTGTGGGTAAATTGGTCTTCCCAGGAAGAGGAATTAATGCTTCTAGTGCACAAGGAGATTCTTTTCTCTTTTAAAAAATTTTTATTTTTAGAATTAGTATCTTGCTTTGTCTCCCACTCTGCAGTGTAGTGGTATGATCATAGCTCACTGTAGCCTTTAACTCCTGGGTTCAAGAGATTCTTCATGTTAGCTTCTTGAGTGGCTGGGACTATAGGCATGTGTTGCCACACCTGGCTACATTTTAAAAGTTCTTTTTAGAAATGGGGTCTTGCTATGTTGCCCAGGCTGGTCTTGAACTCCTAGCCTCAAGCAATCCTCCCTCCCCAGTCTTCCAAATTGCTGGGATTACAGGTGTGAGCCACCACCCCTGGCTGACTTTCTTATTTATACAAGTATAAGGTAATGTCTAAGTGTCACTCTGCTGGAGAGATGAGTAGCAGGTGAGCAGTTAACTCCCAAGGAACAGTACATGTCACCTAGGTTAGGAATGTTATTACTGTTAGTGCTTGCACAAAACTATGTATTTGAAGCATTTCATGGATATTGATTACACCTGCTATTTCTCAATGTAGTTCTGACCCTCGGGCTCCAGCCTTGTGTTCCTCTGTATCAGAGCCTCCCTGAGAAAGCTGTTAAGTCCATTGCTAACTTACACATCTTTGGCAAGAGAACACATATTTTCAGTGCCACCCTGGGAGGCCTTACTTATGTTTACCATCACATGCATTTGTATTTGTCAAATACATGCTTATTATCAAATCATACTGTAGAAATGAGTTCAAAGGAGACAGACAATGTTTGAGCCAGTAATGTTTTTTTCTTTCTTTCTTTCTAAATTGTCTTTTAAAAACCGGCCAGATAAGATGACAGAATTGATCAGGGTTTCTTTTCTTCAACTTTTAAGTTCAGGGGTAGATGTGCAGGATGTGCAGGTTTGTTACATAGGTAAATGTGTGCCATGGTGTCTTGCTGCACAGAACATCCCATCACCTAGGTATAAAGCCCTGCATCCTTTAGCTATTCTTCCTGATGTTCTCCCACCTGCCCACAGGCCCCAGTGTGTGTTGTTCCCTGCCATTGTGCCCATGTGTTCTTATCCTTTAGCTCCAACTTGTAAGAACGTGGTGTTTGGTTTTCTGTTCCTGTGTTAGTTTGCTGAGGATAATGGCTTCCAACTCCATCTGTGTCCCTGCAAAGGACATGATCTTGTTCCTTTCTATGGCTGCATAATACTCCATGGTGTATATGTACCACATTTTCTTTATCCAGTCTACCATTGATGGGCATTTAGGTTGATTCCATGTCTTTGCTATTGTGAATAGTGCTGCAAAGAACATACATATACATACATGTACCATTATAATAGAATGATTTATATTCCTTTGGGTATATACCCAGTAATGGAATTGCTGGGTCAAATGGTATTTCTACCTCTAGATCTTTGAGGGATCGCCACACTGTCTTCCACAACGGTTAAAGCACACTCCCACCAACAGTGAAAAAGCATTCCTTTTTCTCCACAACCTCGTCAGTATCTGTTGTTTTTTGACTTTTTAATAATAGCCATTCTGACTGGTGTGAGATGGTTATCTCATTGTGGTTTTGATTTGCATTTCTCTAATAGATATAAGGATTTCTTAATTCTGTACTCCAATTTAGCCAAAGGAAATCTTCTACTTCTTTTGACCAGAAAGAAAAGTGTGTTAAGTGTGTCTGTGGTCAAAGAACAATTATTTAGATTTTGAATTCATTTAGGATCTTTCCTATGACTTGCAAAATACTGGTAAAAAAAAACAAAAAACAAAACAAATATCCCCCAGCATCACCAGTTCCCCCATCACCTTGAGAGGCAGGAAAATCAGTAACAGGAAGCTGTGGCACATCTCCTCCGGCTGAAATGTGAAAGTGGTGCCTCAGCACAACCAAGTGGAGGGCATAGAGTGACTCTAAGCAGGAGCCGATGTATTACAAGAGAATGTGCCTGGGGTAGGTGCAGAAATGAAAGCGGCAAGAGTGACGAGAGATGTCACAAAAGGAGTAGAGGATTCCAAGGCAGCCAGATCCCCAGTGGAGTAACAACTGGGGAAGACACAGGTCAGTACTTTAGATGAATCCAGTTGATATTTGTAACACTGTTCTCTGGACACAGTTTTGTGACTAACTCCAAGTAATGCAGTCATGTGGTTACATTGTGTCATATGGTCCTATGGGCAGGCAATATAGAGGTTCAGGGCATAGACTGGAGCCAGACTCCTTGTATTAAATCCTGGCTCTGAGTCCTCCCAGCAACGTGTGCCTTGGGCAATGTACTTAATTTATTGGGCCTCAGTTTCTTCATCTTTAACTTCAAGACATGAATCTTAAGATGTTTGTATTTTAGTACTCATGGGAATATATTTGCATAAGTGTTTGCTATTATTACTCCATCACCCATAGGAATATCTAAAACATTAGGAAAGCCCTTTTATCCTACAGTTATGCTTTAGTAGTTTACAAAAATACTGATTCCACAACTGTTTATTGAGCATTTTTTCAAGTTCCAGGCACTGTGCTAGGAAAGAGTAACAGGGATGAATGGGACCGATGTAATCTCTACCCTCATGAGGTTGATAGACTTTAAGTGGGTAGGCTACCTGGATGACCTAGGCTCGGCAACCCATTCTGCACTCTTCCTGGAAACTTTACAACCTACATACTTCTGTGTTTAGCCTATCAGCATCCCAGGCTCCGCTGCACCAAAGGGCCTGATCCCTTTTATCTTCCCAGATCTCATTTCCTATCCAAGATGATTGACAAGGATGACATCCAGTTACAGCTTCTCATTCTTCAGTCAGAACACCAAAATGTGGGTTTTCTCTGATCTTCAATAGTAACATGACAAAACAGCAAACATGAAAAACTCATGACCTTAAGTAGGGCCTAAAGAGTGAGGAACTTTGTGGTGCTTTCGTTACCTCACCTTCCATGACCTCTATTAATTCTGTCATGAGAATGGAAGGGACCAGCCTTGTGGTTCTGTGCTTTCCTAGTGATTGTTGGCAGGCCCACATGTTCAGAGACAGAGGAAGCACTGCCACATGCCAGTGGCTAAGAGCCCTGGGCTGCTGGAGCAAACTGCCCAAGGTCCCACTGATACAACCACTGTCTTGCTTCTCTTCTTTCTCACTCACTTTTTCTTTTTGGAAGGATAATCATTCCAGGGCCCATCGGCTCCACAGGAGCCCTCTGCACAGACAGTCATGGATCGCTGTCTGCAGCCTATGCCTGTATTGATACATGCTCAGGTACCAGGAGAGGAATATCACACTCTTCAAGGCAGAGACACCTGAGGTGCCTCTCACCCCTTTTTTTTCTTTCTGCACACTAGGCATCAAAAGTAACTGCATTGCTTAGGAAGGATCAACCTAAAATAGGTGCTGGACATCAGAATTCTTGAAGGAAGATGAAATAATTCATGAAGGATGAGTAAAACCTTGGGAGTTCGCTATGTGGGAAAGGCATGACAAAGCAATGCACTCACCCTTGGAATTAATTGATTCCAAGGAAGGGGCAGGTTCTCTGGGGCAGGAGAGGGGACTGGGGACAGCTTGGGGAGTCTCTCTCCCCAAGAGGATGCTTAGGCCTCCTATTAATAAGAGTATGGGTGCCAGGCACATTGGCCCACACCTATAATCCAGCACTTTGGGAGACGGAGGCAGGAGGATCACTTGAGGCCAGGAGTTTGAGACCAGCCTGGGCAGCACAGGGAGACTCCATCTCTACATAAAATAAAATTAGTTGGGTATGGTGGCACATGCCTGTAGTCCTAGCTACTCGTGAGGATGAGGTGGGGGGGATCACTTGAGCAAAGTTTGAGACTCCAGTGAGCTATGATGGAACCACTGCACTTCAGCATGGGTAACAGAGTGACTCTGTCTCTTAAATTTAAAAAGGATATGTGGAGGTACAAGTGCTTCATTTAAAAAAAGTAAAAGCTGTGTGACCTCTTTTGATGCACAAGCTGGTAAAGGAAGTCATATCTATTATTTACACACAACAAACTGTAAAGAAGATGCAGTGGGTTTGGATGCACATCTGCAGCTCTTCCTCACGAAGGTCGTGTCACTGGCCCTGAGCCACGTGACAAGGAGAACACATGCACCTCCTCTGGCGCCCTTCCTTGTGCTGCAGATTGTTCTCTTCCAAGCCAATTCTTCTGATTTTTCCTCGTGATAATGTCTTTTTCATCACAGATAATTCTTCGGTCTCTTTTTATGTACTTGCCCCAAAGTGCAGTCTTGAAGTCCTGAGTCTTTTTCAAGAGATTTCTCCAGGAGATGTCTTTCCTCCAGAATGTTCTGTGAGGTGATGGTGCCTCATGGACTTGTTGATGAAAATGGCTGCAGGAGGCCCTACTCTCTGCCTCTCTCTGTCCTGTGGCTGCATCACTGTTCTCTATAGCAGCTTCTTTCTCTACAGTGACACCAGCCTTCTTTACAATGTAATGATAGATGATGAAACACTTATCACCTGTTTGATTAGAAAGAGTCATTTTCTGCTTGGATCTGACTGGAATAATCTCCCACATTTCCTCACAACACACTAGACTTCCTATGCAATAACATTAAATCGGGGTGGGTGATGTGGGCTTTCTTTTTTAATCAATTAATTCCAAGTGTTGTATGTGTTACAGAATTACTGGGCTAAGTAAAAAAGAATGAACTGATGTTCTTTGCAGAAACATGGATGCAGCTGGGGTTCATTATCTTATGAAAATCGATGCAGAAATAGAAAACCAAATACTGCATGTCTCACTTATAAGCAGCAGCTCAAGACTGGATATACACAGACATAAAGATGGGAACAAAAGACACTGGGGACTACAAGAAGGGGGAGGCAGGAAGGGGGACAATGGCTGAAAAACTTCCTATTGGGTACTGTGCTCACCACCTAGGTGACAGGATCATTTGTACCCCAAACCTCAGCATCATGCAGTATACTCATGTAACAAACCTGCATGTGTACCCCCAAATTTCAAAGTTGAAAACATTTATTAGGTTAAGAATTCCTAGCTTTTCCTATCTTTAATGGGAATAGAAAGAATATTTAGTTTCCATGACACACTTAGATAAGGAATTGAAAACACTGTGTAGATAAATGGAGTTGTTCCTATATTCACCAAATATCAACACTCATTGCTTTTACTTCCAAGTAGAGTTAGCATTTAGACCTCATCTGTGGCCTGTTCATTGCCCACAGTAAAGAGGCATCTCTTAGGGCCAGATGGCTGAATGAAAGGAAGCTCCTCAATTGCCCATCTACCTTTATAAATTTGTTGTTGTTGTTGTTGTTTATATATAATAGTGGAGCTGCAAAGGCAAACAAAGACAATGCACGGACCACTTGCTTCATCTTGGTGTGTGCAAAAAACCTCTTCAACCCATACAGCCAGATTTTCAGCAGCCCTTCAGCCGCCAAACAAATATATGACATTAACAGAGCCTTCCACAGTTTCTGCCTGAAAACATTTGGTCTGTATGGTGAAAATAGGGAGATGACCAAGGTATGATATGATTTCATGAATCACATGGTATCTGGTCAAAGAGAAACTTTTTTCTTAGGTTCATAATGCTTAAAGAGGGGGAGAATAACATGAAGAAACCTCACCTGGAATACACTGGATAGATGAGGTGCATTAACCACATAGGTATGGGCTCCAAACTTTATAAAGTCAAGTTACTCAATTAGAATAGAAGCAGACTTCTGGGGAAAGTGAAGTCTAATTAGTGGTTCAGGGTCAATAACTCATATGTGGTGTCTGATAAGGTCTGAAGTCATAGTCCTGAAGAGAAGGGGGAGTTCACTCCAAGTTCTCACATATGGGATCTGATAAGAGGTCACATTTTCAAAGGGAGGAAGGAATACACTCCAAGTTCTTATTACAGAAAAACATACATCATTCACGAAGCGATGTTAGTGTTTGGAATCATTTCATAGCTATGTAACAACACTCTAGCAAGAGAATCTCAAGCAGATAAATAAATGGTCTTTTGATTCATATAAACGATAGAGTAATGAATTTGATCTAGTTCTAGTATTAATATATTAAAATGCTAACAGTTTTATTTAAACTAGATTTTAGACAAGGTTCTTTCACTGCTTAAAAAATCAACAATTACTGTATGATTGAATTGCATAGTTAGGAAATGGGCAGGGTTCTTCTAGCGGCACATCGAGTACAGAATTAAGTGACAAGGAGACTTGAGGGTCACTCAGGGACTAAAACTCTCATTCACTTACACAATGGGCAGTCCTTTCTTGGACAGGATGTAGGTTTGTGGGAGGTGATCCAGAACATAAGTGTGAGTTAACAGTAGTCCCTTTAATTCTATTCCCCCACATTCCTAATTAATACCACTCTATTGAACTATTGCCTTATTTTATGTTCCTTTATTCACTTATGCCATAAAACCCCAATTTAGTCACCATTGATGTTCTCTCAGTGTACACCTTCCATTTATTTCCATACCCAGCCTCCAGTCAGGACCAGTGCAATTTTTTTGGTAGCAATGTATTCTTTGCCTTTCAATTTCAACCCATCAGAAATCCTCGACAAATGTCCCCATATAATAATTGAAACAATTCCTGAAGAAGCATTTTTAAGAATTCATTGAATCAATGCATTGTCCTTTTTTAGAAATTCCGAGATTTCTGAAGAATAGTGCCACTATCAGGTGTCCCTAAATGCAAGCATGTAAGCATTATTGCTTACTGAGATGCCTCCTGGAATGATGGCGAGCTCACTTAGAGGCAAAAAATAGAATAAAATCCGATTTGCAGGCTGCTTGGGATCAGAAAACCCCATTAGGATGATTTCACTTAGTGCTTGCCATAAACTTTGTTGTTGTCTTTAATATGTTGCATATCGTGATGTGTATTTTATGTCTGGTGAGCAGGTGTCTGTATCCACCAGTGTAGGGGCTGTTGGACAGAGAAGGGTATGTGAGGGATGGCTGTGGATGGTATGGAAAAATGGGTAAAGCCAAGTGCAGTCATTAAGCTCCCCCATCTGACTTGTCTCTCTTCTTCCTTTTCTATTGTTGTAAGTTACACATGATTGCTAACATTGTGATATTTCTTTCCTGGCAGCGAGGGGGAAAGGATGCTATGCTGTCATGTATTTATTCAACAAATGCTTATTGAATTCTTATTATGTGTAATTACTGCATTGGGGCTAAGGAAAATGCAATCCTTGCCCTACACACACCTAATTATAATTCAGAGTATCTTGTACTCTGAATTATGTGAGTGGATGGCACACGCGTGGGTTCAAAAAAGAACAAAGAATATGCTGAGGTGATCAGGGAAGGTGACATATGACTTTAGGGTTGGAGAAGGCAGGTGAGGAGAAGGGATTCAGGTGTGTAGAGTAGCTGGAGGAAAGGTGTGAGGGGGAGACAGGAAACCCAACAGAGAGTTGGTGGATGGACTGAATCTAAATATATACAAGAAGGTGGACAGAGGTGATAATAAAAGACAGGATGAAGGAATCAAACTGAGTGCTTTGAGAACTAAATTATGAAACTGGACCTTCACCTACCTATAGAAGATAATGGATCCATTTTACAAGTTAAAGACTGAGCACTTAAGTAGCAGACATTATAATAGACACTGGAGATATTTGAGGATAAATAAGACCCTGACATTTAACCTCAAATAAAAGTAGAGAAGACCTGGCAGAATTTTAACAGAATTGATGTTTTCTGGAGGTTAGCCCCACACATTATTCATGGTGGACTGCAATGGAGAAAAGCGGAAGGCAGGCAATCCTAACTCCCAGAGGTGTGTGGGCAGGTGGAAGCGAAATGGAAGAAACAGACAAGGTAGGACGGTGCCTGCTTCACTTCCAGGGCTGAGAGCTGTGTATGAGGCTGCCTCATTCCCCTCATCCCAAGCCTTTCTTCTAAGTCACTCCTCTAACAGATAAGTCCAGACGTGAGTAAGCTGCTGATTCTCAGCTTACTTTTTTGGGGGAGTTATTTAGTTACTTGCAATTTTTTTCATTTCTCTTTAGGCTCCAAAAAATAGAAAAACATCTTCTTATCTTCAAATACCTTGCTTGTAAATTGTCCTTTGAAAACTTTATGACCATGTCTGATTCTCTCAGGTAGTGCTTAAGCACCTCCAGCACTGTGCTTTTGATCTCTTCGGTAATTCCCACAGCATATGGTTCCCCCATACACCTTTGTTGCCTGATAGATTTCCTAATGAGATAAAAGATTCTGAACTTATTACCAGACACAAACAAACCTCAGTAACAACTAAATACAAATTTACTTATTTTGTGGAAATGTAAACTATGACCTGTCTCTTTGTGTACATTTTCCCATCTTTTCTCAGCAGTCATTGCTGAATCCATGATTTCATGGTACAAATGCTTGTGATATGGAAAGTACTCAGCGGCTTCATGGCCTTTAATATGATCCTAAAGCCGTGGCACCCTTTTTCTTTCCAACTTGCTAACAACACAGCTGTTCAGGTCATAGACTCAGGATGGGAGTGTCTTCTTGATAAAACCTAACGGATGTGTGGTTGTCCTGTTAGTTTCTGAGCTTATTTCTGGTTTCTAAGCATTCTCTAAGAGGCTGCATGGGTCAGCTGCCCCACCCAGGGCCGTCCTCAGCTCTTCCTGGCATGCTGTAACCGTGTATGGCTCCATTTTCTCCAGGCCCATGCAGTCTTATCCATGCAGTGTGAGACAAATTTAAGAGGACTTTGGAGAAATGCATTTGGAGGGCAAAGGGGAGGGGGCGGCACGAGGCAAGCTGGCGAGAGCAGCTGGTTTAATAGAAGCGCTGGGACACTGGGACGGTAGGACAGTGGGACGGTGAGACGCTGGAAAGCAGGAGCCCATCCAAGGGCGGGGCAATGCTGGCACTCGCGAGACTCAGGGCAAGCCCACGAGAGTTAGCAAGCCCTCCCTGTGCACTGCCCCGGCCCACCCGCTGCCTCGTCAGTGTTGCAGTCTTCAACCCTCTCCTTCGTTTTTAAAACAGCACTCCTATTGAATACTTGTATTCTTCTTAAAAAATTGATTTATTCTATCTGTTTTATGCCACATGAGTGATTTTTCATTTAATGTAAGCTAGCGCGCTATTTCTCATTTTGATGGGGATTTGTCTTCAGAATTAATTTCAATCATTTCTTCTCTTCATATCTTTAGCTACAGACGGAACTTTGAAAGACAATTTAGATGATTCATTAGATCTTTAAAAATATTTCTTCCTGTTCCATAATTATTTTACTTAAAATTTATGAAGTTATATTTTTTCTTATTTGGAAGTGAACATAAAAATGTTATTCTGTTTATGTGTCAAATTCAGAGTAAAAAATTGCCAGGATTAGTTTGTTGTGTCTACATGTTTCGGTGAGTTTTCTTCAGTCTTTGCAAATGCCAAGAGCAATACTATTATTATTCTTTTACTTTGAACCTATCCGAGAAAAGATAGAGCCCCAAGTAGTTTTTCAATTAGCTTAGCCTTTTTACAAAAAAGGTTGTAACGAGAGGGTTGCCTGAAAGCCTTCTCCTTTCGTGTTGAAGAGATAAACCATGTCTGGTACATTGCCCTGCTTTGTCATGCCATCTTTTTCTTCACAAGCATTCTGAAATGACTGGATGGATGAACTGTCTTAAAAGGACAGCCTACTGTGATTCATAATCCTAGTACTGCAGCAGTGGTCATAGCTGCGTAAAACAAAAAAGCTTTTTTTCCAGCTTTGTGTGAATCTTTACTCAAGCGTTTAAAAACATGGAGTCTGTTCTTTCAGTGGGAAGAACTCCCATTAATGTTAATGAAAGTCACACACTTACCTCAAAGCCAGAAAAGATGCCTCAGTCTTTCCCCAGGAATCCTACATTATTTTTTTAAGAATGAAAAGAGTGTCTGGCCTTCTTTACTTTTTGTAGTTGGGCGGGATGGAAAAATGGAGCTGAGGCAGAACCTGGCAACATTTAAAATAAAGCTCTCCATTTGTTGACACTAGAAAAATACCTTATTGTCAGAGCATAAATGCAAATGTCTCCATCTGTGCTTGATACTTTTCAGATTTCTCTCTCTTTTTCACTTTGAAGGGAAAGTAAAAGTCATTTTGACTTTAAAAAGATAAAACAGATTTTAAAAATATTTTACATACACTATCCACTACTTTTCTCACTAATTCAAATCAAGAATCCTTATAGGATAGAATCTGAGGAACGAGAGGAGATGAAACACAATAGATGAAAGACACTGAAATAGTAGCAGCATAATGGTCCTGTTCCTCATCTCTTAAGGCAGCCTATTCTATCATTCTTATTGAGCTAAACTGTCTCTGATGTTGGTGGGCTGAGTGCACAGAAAATGCTTCATTTTCAAAGTATTAGCGATATCAATTACTAAATCCTTACAACCAAGAGTAATAGAAAGCGTCTGACAATAGGGAAGTATCATGGAACATTGCTCTTATAAGAATTATCATTTTATGTTTTAATGTTTTATGTCAATCCACCTGGTAAATCCCATTCACTTTGAGAATTTTGGGGTAGTTTAACATTTTGCTCAAATGGGGAGGCTGCACATGTAGCAGAAAGAGCATGGGTTTTGGGATTCAGAACACAGGCTCAAGTTTATTTTTTCAGCAAATATTTATGTGCTGTGAACTCAAGTGTTCAGCTTCCTTGTGGCTATGGAATTTTGTGTTTGGAACTTAGCAAGATTGTTAATATCTTACCTTGTGGCCAGGTGTGATGGCTCACACCTGTAATGCCAGTGCTGTGGGAGGCTGAGAGCTCCCATAGCAAGACTCTGTTTCTACAAAAATAAAAACAATTAGCTGGGCATGGTGGCACATGCTTATAGTTCAAGCTATTTGGGAGTCTGAGATGGGAGGATCACTCGAGCCCAGAAGTTCAAGGCTGCAGTGAGTTATGATTATGCCACTGCACTCCAGCCTAGGTGACAGAGTGAGACCTTATCTCTAAAATGTGTGTATTTGTCTTAGTCTGCTTTGTGTTGCCAGAACAGAGTGCCACAGAATGGTTAGTTTATAAAAAAAAGAAATTTAGTTTTCATGGTTCTGGAGCCTGGGAAGTCCAATATCAAGGGGTCAGCATCTGGCTAGGGCCTTCATGCTGCATTATCCTATGGAAGAAGGCAGAGGGGCAAGAGATTGTGACAGCTTGAGAGCAAGAGGGGGCCAAACTTGCTTTTATAATGAGCTCACTCCCAGGATAACTAATGCACTTTTGTGATAACAACACTAATTCCTTCATGAAGGCAGAACCCTTATGGCCTATTCATCTCTTAAATATCCCACCTTTTAATACCACCACCATGGCAATTACATTTCAATGTGGATTTTGGAGGGGATATTTGAATCATAGAGTACCTCCTTCATGATATGGCTCAGGCAAGGCAATCTAAATACTCTATATACATAGTGGCCAAGTGGCCATAGTGATTAGTTTGGGATGGGCACATGACCCAAACTAGGCAAATCCAGGAATTTTGCTGAAGCTTCCTGAAATGAGGAGTTAGCAAGGATCTTGGTTGGGATAATGAAAACCACCTTCTACCAATATAATAATACATCAACATATATATACATATATATGTTGTGTGTATATATGTGTGTGTATGTATATCTAACCTTCAAATTTTCTTCTGATACAGTTATCATGTCCGCATATATTTAACTCAACCCAGTTTTATTCATTCACTTGTCCCTAGAAAATAGAACCCATGAGCGTGATAATTTCTTGAATCCACATTTTAAACTGTGTATATTTGAATATGAATGGAGTCTCCAATTTTATATCACTTTTGAGAAAATAGTATCATACAGAGAGTAAGGGGAGCAAGAAAAAATGCAATACATACACGTATACATATATAAATGTAAATAATCTGCCTCAGTAATATAAATGTATCCAAAGTTATGACTGTTTCAGAAAGAATTCATATCATCAGGACCTTAACAAACCATACTGTTTGAAAAAAGACTAAGAGTGAACATAAAATTAACCAAAATGTAGGGAAACTATCTTTTCTTGGTGTTCTATTTCTGTATTTCTCCTTTCCAGAATGTGCATTCTTCAAAATTAAGGGAGCAGCAAAAATATCATGTATCTCAAATTGAACTCCCTTCTAGAATAGTAAGCGTCAATTTAATATGTTATTAAGAAATAAAAACACTTCATGAAAGGTAAGCATGAAAGCTAGGTGAATTATTGGCTGAGGTGGTTAAAAGCATGAAAATAAATAAATTTGGCAAAATGGGAGGGGAGATTTTATAGACGGCCTCAGGATCCATGACAGAGGCATCCACCAATGCAGAGACAGCAAGACAGATAAGAATATTGTGCGCTTAGCATTGCCCCCTGCTCATTGCCAGGTTGCCACATTAAATGCACTAGGTTGCTTCCCCTCATACTACCAGAAAGATGTTGCTTGGAATAATGAAAAATAACCCTCTACCAACATAATGCATCGGCTGATTTAACTAAAGTTTAAATCTTTGCTTTAGGGCTTGTGTTGAGCTTGGCTTCAACCTGTTTTACTCATCCTAGCATTGCGTGGAGAATGTAGTGTTCAAAAAGCAAGTGGTACGTTCAGTAGAAAAAGTGCAAGTTTTTGATCCAAACAGATTAATCTGAGTCCTTGCTCTACCACTTAGCATTTGGAAATAAGCTTTATCTATTTTTATGTCTTTAGAAGACTTTTCTGAACTTATGCTACCAATTTCTGTAGGGTTATTGTTTTTCCATTTATTCTAGTCATCTTACACCCAAAGTCAAAAATTCTCTATTTTGCCATAACCTGATGGGAGGAGGGTGGGTCCACAGATTATTATAAAGGGTTCACAGAATCAGAGATATTTCAAATATTACCTATAAACTAACTAAATAATGCCATATATATATATACACACATTGTATGCTACATTATTTTTCAAATATGTATATATTTCTTTCTTTCAATAACTACATAAAAATTTCAATAACTAAATAAAACTCATTTATAAATATCTCACTTTTTTGCAGTTTTTTTAATCAATGGGTGATAAATATATAAATAATATCATGTAGATTTTTTTAAACTTCAAAAGATCTCTAAAAAGTTAATATTGTTAAAAGGATTTTTCCCTGTTTATTTGCTCTGATTATTTTAATATCTTTTTAAGTCCTTATTTTCTCTTTTTTCCTTCTCACCTTTCTTTCTAAGTGAGGTTCGCTATTTTGTATGTTCAAAGTCTCTATTAGTTAATACCAAAAAAAATAGACTGAAGAAAATAGTTGGCCATTGCCTCTTCCCATGGCTTCTTTTTTTTTTTTTTTTTTCAAAGAACTTTGTTCAGGTATATAAATTGTGTGAGTGCCTCCATCCCATGCTACTGAGATTTAAAAATAAATAAACTTGTATTCCTTCAGCTGAGGTTCTCCTTAGTGGTTCATATATCTCAGTATGCCATACATTTGTTATACATATATACGGATGTGTAAGAGCTTCGCCTCTACAGCTTCCAGGGTGCACAACACACAGCAATCCCTCCTGGCCACAGCTGGAGAGGTAGATCATATAAGGTCACATTTACTCAACTCAAATCCAGTCCTCATCCCACTATCCTGTCTTCGTTACCAGTTTAGACAAACTACTGAAAGTTGCTGCTAAGCTCTGTGTTTGAGCCCATTTTATTTTTTCTTTATTTTGAATAATAAATTTAATAGATTTAAAATTTACAGAAAGTTAAAATAATAATAATAGTAAATTAAGAACACTTATTTTTCCAACATGAAGAGTTAATGACTATAAAAAAATTGTCATATTTGTTTAACCTGTTGTTAAAGATGTGAAACGTAACAAAAAACTAAAGTCTTCTTTAACCGTTACCAGTTGCATCCCCCAATCCATTTTTCAGAGCCAACTCCTATAGTGTGCAGCTTTCCAGTTCATTTAAATGTATAGATATGTGAATACATATTATTGCTTTGTATGTTTTTATTCAATTATTTCTTATTATATTTGTCATTTTATCTTGCCTTATTCACCCAATATTAGTTTTCAATATCTATATGTGTTACGCAGTATTTTATTTTATTTTAGATAAAGTTTGCTTTTTTATTTATATTTATATTTTTTATTTTTCCATAAGTTATTGGGGTACAGGTGGTATTTGGTTACACGAGTAAGTTCTTTAGTGGTGACTGGTGAAATTTTCATGCATCCATCACCCAAGCAGCATACACTGCAGCATATGAGTAGTCTTCTATCCCTCGCCCCCCTCCCACTCTTCCCCCCAAGTTTCTAAAGTCCATTACATCATTCTTATGCCTTTGCATTCTCATAGCTTAGCTCCCACTTATCAGTGAGAACATATGATGTTCGGCTTTCCATTCCTGAGTTACTTTACTTAGAATAATGGTCTCCAGCTCATCCAGGTTACTGCAAATGCTGTTAATTCATTCCTTTTTATGGCTGCACAGTATTCCCTCATATATATATATATACCACAGTTCCTTTATCCACTTGTTGATTGATGGACATTTGGGTTGCTTCCATGATTTTGCAATTGTGAATCGTGCTGCTATAAACATGCATGTGCAAATATCTTTTCTGAATAATTACTTCTTTTCCTCTGGGTAGACACCTGGTAGTGGGATTGCTGGATCAAATGGTAGTTGTACTTTTGGTTCTTTAAGGAATCTCCACACTGTTTTCCATAGCAGTTGTACTAGTTTACATTCCCACCAGCAGTGTAGAAGTGCTCCCTGTTCACTGCATCCACACCAGCATCTACTGGTTTTTGATTTTTTGATTATGGCCATTCTGCAGGAGTGACGTGGTATTGCATTGTGGTTTTGATTTGCAATTTCCTGATCATTAGTGATGTTGAGCATTTTTTCATATGTTTGTTGGTCATTTGTATATCTTCTTTAGGGAATTGTCTATTTATGTCCTTAGCCCACTTTTTGATGGAATTGTTTTTTTTCTTACTGATTTGTTTGAGTTTGTTGTAGATTCCGGATATTAGTTTTTTGTCGGATGTGTAGATTGTGAAGACTTTCTCCCACTGTGTGGGTTCTCTGTTTACTCTGCTGACTGCCCCTTTTGCTGTGCAAAAGCTCTTTAGTTTAATTAGGTCCCAGCTATTTTTCTTTGTTTTAATTGCATGTGGGTTCTTGGTCATGAAATCCTTGCCTAAGCCAATGTCTAGAAGGGTTTTTCAAATGTTATCTTCTAGAATTTTTATACTTTCAGGTCTTAGGTTTAAGTCCTTAATCCATCTTGAGTTGATTTTTGTACAAGGTGAGAGATGAGGATCCAATTTCATTCTCCTACATGTGGCTTATCAGTGATCCCAGCACCATTTTTGAAAAGGGTGTCCTTTCCCCACTTTATGTTTTGTTTGCTTTGTCGAAGATCAGTTGGCTGTAAGTATTTGGGTTTATTTCTGGGTTCTTTATTCTGTTTCATCGGTCTATGTGCCTATTTTTGTGCCAGTACCAGGCTGTTTTGGTGACTATGGCCTTATAGCATAGTTTGAAATCAGGTAGTGTGATGCCTCCAGATTTATTCTTTTTGCTTAGTCTTGCTTTGGCTATGTGGGCTCTGTTTTGGTTCCATATGAATTTTAGAATTTTTTTTTTCTAATTCTGTGAAGAAGGATGGTGGTATTTTGATGGGGATTGCATTGAATTTGTAGATTGCTTTTGGCCGTATGGTCATTTCCACAATATTCATTCTACCCACCCATGAACAAGGGATGTGTTTCCATTTGTTTGTGTCGTTTATGATTTCTTTTAGCAGTGTTTTGTAGGTTTCCTTGTAGAGGTCTTTCACCTCCTTGGTTAGGTATATTCCTAAGTATTTTATTTTACTTCTTTGCAGCTATTGTAAAAGGTGTTGAGTTATTTATTTGATTCTCTGCTTGGTCGCTGTTGGTGTATAGAAGGGCCACTGATTTATGTACATTAATCTTGTATCTGGAAACTTTGTTGAATTCTTTTTTTTTAATTTAATTTAATTTTATTATTATTATACTTTAAGTTTTAGGGTACATGTGCACAATGTGCAGGTTAGTTACATATGTATACATGTGCCATGCTGGTGTGCTGCACCCATTAACTAGTCATTTAGCATTAGGTATATCTCCTAATGATATCCCTCCCCCCTCCCCCCACCCCACAACAGTCCCCAGAGTGTGATGTTCCCCTTCCTGTGTCCATGTGTTCTCATTGTTCAATTTCCACCTATGAGTAAGAATATGCGGTGTTTGGTTTTTTTGTTCTTGCAATAGTTTACTGAGAATGATGATTTCCAATTTCATCCATGTCCCTACAAAGGACATAAACTCATCATTTTTTATGGCTGCATAGTATTCCATGGTATGTATGTGCCACATTTTCTTAATCCAGTCTATCGTTGTTGGACATTTGGGTTGGTTCCAAGTCTTTGCTATTGTGAATACTGCCACAATAAACATACGTGTGCATGTGTCTTTATAGCAGCGAGATTTATAGTCCTTTGGGTGTATACCCAGTAATGGGATGGCTGGGTCAAATGGTATTTCTAGTTCTAGATCCCTGAGGAATCGCCACACTGACTTCCACAATGGTTGAACTAGTTTACAGTCCCACCAGCAGTGTAAAACTGTTCCTATTTCTCCACATCCTCTCCAGCACCTGTTGTTTCCTGACTTTTTAAAGATTGCCATTCTAACTGGTGTGAGATGGTACCTCAGTGTGGTTTTGATTTGCATTTCTCTGATGGCCAGTGATGGTGAGCATTTTTTCATGTGTTTTTTGGCTGCATAAATGTCTTCTTTTGAGAAGTGTCTGCTCATGTCCTTCGCCCACTTTTTGATGGGGTTGTTTGTTTTTTTCTTGTAAATTTGTTTGAGTTCATTGTAGATTCTGGATATTAGCCCTTTGTCAGATGAGTAGGTTGCGAAAATTTTCTCCCATTTTGTAGGTTGCCTGTTCACTCTGATGGTAGTTTCTTTTTGCTGTGCAGAAGCTCTTTAGTTTAATTAGATCCCATTTGTCAATTTTGTCTTTTGTGGCCATTGCTTTTGGTGTTTTGGACATGAAGTCCTTGCCCATGCCTATGTCCTGAATGGTAATGCCTAGGTTTTCTTCTAGGGTTTTTATGGCTTTAGGTCTAATGTTTAAGTCTTTAATCCATCTTGAATTAATTTTTGTATAAGGTGTAAGGAAGGGATCCAGTTTCAGCTTTCTACATATGGCTAGCCAGTTTTCCCAGCACCATTTATTAAATAGGGAATCCTTTCCCCATTGCTTATTTTTCTCAGGTTTGTCAAAGATCAGATAGTTGTAGATATGCGGCGTTATTTCTGAGGGCTCTGTTCTGTCCCATTGATCTATATCTCTGTTTTGGTGCCAGTACCATGCTGTTTTGGTTACTGTAGCCCTGTAGTATAGTTTGAAGTCAGGTAGTGTGAGGCCTCCAGCTTTGTTCTTTTGGCTTAGGATTGACTTTGCAATGCAGGCTCTTTTTTGGTTCCATATGAACTTTAAAGTAGTTTTTTCCAATTCTGTGAAGAAAGTCATTGGTAGCTTGATGGGGATGGCATTGAATCTGTAAATTACCTTGGGCAGTATGGCCATTTTCATGATATTGATTCTTCCTACCCATGAGAATGGAATGTTCTTCCATTTCTTTGTATCCTCTTTTATTTCATTGAGCAGTGGTTTGTAGTTCTCCTTGAAGAGGTCCTTCATGTCCCTTGTAAGTTGGATTCCTAGGTATTTTATTCTCTTTGAAGCAATTGTGAATGGAGTTCACTCATGATTTGGCTCTCTGTCTGTTATTGGTGTATAAGAATGCTTGTGATTTTTGTACATTGATTTTGTATCCTGAGACTTTGCTGAAGTTGCTTATCAGCTTAAGGAGATTTTGGGCTGAGACAATGGGGTTTTCTAGATATACAATCATGTCATCTGCAAACAGGGACAATTTGACTTCCTCTTTTCCTAATTGAATACCCTTTATTTCCTTCTCCTGCCTAATTGCCCTGGCCAGAACTTCCAACACTATGTTGAATAGGAGTGGTGAGAGAGGGCATCCCTGTCTTGTGCCAGTTTTCAAAGGGAATGCTTCCAGTTTTTGCCCATTCAGTATGATATTGGCTGTGGGTTTGTCATAGATAACTCTTATTATTTTGAGATACGTCCCATCAATACCTAATTTATTGAGAGTTTTTAGCATGAAGCATTGTTGAATTTTGTCAAAGGCCTTTTCTGCGTGTATTGAGATAATCATGTGGTTTTTGTCTTTGGTTCTGTTTATATGCTGGATTCCATTTATTGATTTGGATATATTGAATCAGCCTTGCATCCCAGGGATGAAGCCCACTTGATCATGGTGGATAAGCTTTTCGATATGCTGCTGGATTTGGTTTGCCAGTATTTTATTGAGGATTTTTGCATCAATGTTCATCAAGGATATTGGTCTAAAATTCTCTTTTTTGGTTGTGTCTCTGCCAGGCTTTGGTATCAGGATGATGCAGGCCTCATAAAATGAGTTAGGGAGGATTCCCTCTTTTTCTATTGATTGGAATAGTTTCAGAAGGAATAGTACAATTCCTCCTTGTACCTCTGGTAGAATTCGGCTGTGAATCCATCTGGTCCTGGACTCTTTTTTATTAGTAAGCTATTGATTATTGCCACAATTTCAGAGCCTGTTATTGGTCTATTTAGAGATTCAACTTCTTCCTGGTTTAGTCTTGGGAGGGTGTATGTGTTGAGGAATTTATCCATTTCTTCTAGATTTTCTAGTTTATTTGCATAGAGGTGTTTGTAGTATTCTCTGATGGTAGTTTGTATTTCTGTGGGATCGGTGGTGATAGCCCCTTTATCATTTTTTACTGCATCTATTTGATTCTTCTCTCTATTCTTCTTTATTAGTCTTGTTAGCGGTCTATCAATTTTGTTGATCCTTTCAAAAAACCAGCTCCTGGATTCATTAATTTTTTGAAGGGTTTTTTGTGTCTCTATTTCCTTCAGTTCTGCTCTGATTTTAGTTATTTCTTGCCTTCTGCTAGCTTTTGAATGTGTCTGCTCTTGCTTTTCTAGTTCTTTTAATTGTGATGTTAAGGTGTCCTTTTTGGATCTTTCCTGCTTTCTCTTGTGGGCATTTAGTTCTATAAATTTCCCTCTACACACTGCTGTGAATGTGTCCCAGAGATTCTGGTATGTTGTGTGTTTGTTCTCGTTGGTTTCAAAGAACATCTTTATTTCTGCCTTCATTTCGTTATGTACCCAGTAGTCATTCAGGAGCAGGTTGTTCAGTTTCCATGTAGTTGAGCGGTTTTGAGTGAGTTTCTGAATCCTGAGTTCTAGTTTGATTGCACTGTGGTCTGAGAGACAGTTTGTTATAATTTCTGTTCTTTTACATTTGCTGAGGAGAGCTTTACTTCCAACTATGTGGTCAATTTTGGAATAGGTGTGGTGCAGTGCTGAAAAAAATGTATATTCTGTTGATTTTGGGTGGAGAGTTCTGTAGATGTCTATTAGGTCCACTTGGTACAGAGCTGAGTTCAATTCCTGGGTATCCTTGTTAACTTTCTGTCTCGTTGATCTGTCTAATGTTGACAGTGGGATGTTAAAATCTCCCATTATTATTGTGTGGGAGTCTAAGTCTCTTTGTAGGTCACTCAGGACTTGCTTTATGAAACTGGATACTCCTGTATTGGGTGCATATATATTTAGGATAGTTAGCTCTTCTTGTTGAATTGATCCCTTTACCATTATGTAATGGCCTTCTTTGTCTCTTTTGATCTTTGTTGGTTTAAAGTCTGTTTTATCAGAGACTAGGATGGCAACCCCTGCCTTTTTTTGTTTTCCATTTGCTTGGTAGATCTTCCTCCATCCTTTTATTTTGAGCCTATGTGTGTCTCTGCACGAGAGATGGGTTTCCTGAATGCAGCACACTGATGGGTCTTGACTCTTTATCCAATTTGCCAGTCTGTGTCTTTTAATTGGAGCATTTAGTCCATTTACATTTAAAGTTAATATTATTATGTGTGAATTTGAGCCTGTCATTTTGATGTTAGCTGGTTACTTTGCTCGCTAGTTGATGCAGTTTCTTCCTAGCCTCGACGGTCTTTACAATTTGGCATGATTTTGCAGTGGCTGGTACCGATTGTTCCTTTCCATGTTTAGTGCTTCCTTCAGGAGCTCTTTTAGGGCAGGCCTGGTGGTGACAAAATCTCTCAGCATTTGCTTGTCTGTAAAGGATTTTATTTCTCCTTCACTTCTGAAGCTTAGTTTGGCTGGATATGAAATTCTGGGTTGAAAATTCTTTTCTTTAAGAATGTTGAATATTGCCCCCCACTATCTTCTGGCTTGTAGAGTTTCTGCCGAGAGATCCGCTGTTAGTCTGACGGGCTTCCCTTTGTGGGTAACCTGACCTTTCTCTCTGGCTGCCCTTAACATTTTTTCCTTCATTTCAACTTTGGTGAATCTGACAATTATGTGTCTTGGTGTTGCTCTTCTCAAGGAGTATCTTTGTGGCATTCTCTGTATTTCCTGAATCTGAATGTTGGCCTGCCTTGCTAGATTGGGGAAGTTCTCCTGGATAATATCCTGCAGAGTGTTTTCCAACTTGGTTCCACTCTCCCCGTCACTTTCAGGTACACCAATCAGACGTAGATTTGGTCTTTTCACATAGTCCCATATTTCTTGGAGGCTTTGTTCATTTCTTTTTATTCTTTTTTCTCTAAACTTCCCTTCTCGCTTCATTTCATTCATTTCATCTTCCATCACTGATACCCTTTCTTCCAGTTGATTGCATCGGCTCCTGAGGCTTCTGCATTCTTCACATAGTTCTCAAGCCTTGGCTTTCAGCTCTATCAGCTCCTTTAAGCACTTCTCTGTATTGGTTATTCTAGTTATATATTCTTCTAAATTTTTTTCAAAGTTTTCAACTTCTTTGCCTTTGGTTTGAATTTCCTCCCGTAGCTCAGAGTAGTTTGATCGTCTGAAGCCTTCTTCTTTGAACTTGTCAAAGTCATTCTCCGTCCAGCTTTGTTCCGTTGCTGTTGAGGAACTGCATCCCTTTGGAGGAGGAGAGGCGCTGTGCTTTTTAGAGTTTCCAGTTTTTCTGCTCTGTTTTTTCCGCATCTTTGTGGTTTTATCTACTTTTGGTCTTTGATGATGGTGATGTACAGATGGGTTTTTGGTGTGGATGTCCTTTCTGTTTGTTAGTTTTCCTTCTAACAGACAGGACCTTCAGCTGCAGGTCTGTTGGAGTTTGCTACAGGTCCACTCCAGACCCTGTTTGCCTGGGTAACAGCAGCGGTGGCTGCAGAACAGCGGATTTTCATGAACCGCGAATGCTGCTGTCTGATCTTTCCTCTAGAAATTTTGTCTCAGAGGAGTACCCGGCCATGTGAGTTGTCAGTCTGCCCCTACTGGGGGGTGCCTCCCAGTTAGGCTGCTCGGGAGTCAGGGGTCAGGGACCCACTTGAGGAGGCAGTCTGCCCGTTCTCAGATCTCCAGCTGTGTGCTGGGAGAACCATTGCTCTCTTCAAAGCTGTCAGACAGGGACATTTAAGTCTGCAGAGGTTACTGCTGTCTTTTTGTTTGTCTGTGCCCTGCCCCCAGAGGTGGAGCCTACAGAGGCAGGCAGGCCTCCTTGAGCTGTGGTGGGCTCCACCCAGTTTGAGCTTCCTGGCTGCTTTGTTTACCTAAGCAAGCCTGGGCAATGGCGGGCGCCCCTCCCCCAGTCTCACTGCTGCCTTGCAGTTTGATCTCAGACTGCTGTGCTAGCAATAAGGGAGACTCCGTGGGCGTAGGACCCTCTGAGCCAGGTGTGGGATATAGTCTCCTGGTGCGACGTTTTTTAAGCCCATTGGAAAAGCACAGTATTAGGCGGGGAGTGAGCTGATTTTCCAGGTGCCGTCTGTCACCCCTTTCTTTGACTAGGAAAGGGAACTCCCTGACCCCTTGTGCTTCCCAAGTGAGGCAATGCCTCGCCCTGCTTCGGCTTGTGCACAGTCTGCTGCACCCACTGTCCTGCACCCACTGTCTGGCACTCCCTAGTGAGATGAACCCAGTACCTCAGATGGAAATGCAGAAGTCACCTGTCTTCTGCATCACTCTTGCTGGGAGCTGTAGACCAGAGCTGTTCGTATTCAGCCATCTTGGCTGCTTCCTCCTGTTGAATTCTTTTATCACTTCTAGGAGCTTTCTTGGGGACTCCTTAGGGTTTTTAAGGTAAACAATCATATCATCAGCAAACAGTGACAATTTGACTTCTTTTTTACCGATTTGGATGCCCTTTATTTCTTTCTCTTGTCTGATTGCTCTCACTGGGACTTCCAGTACTATGGTGACGAAGAATGGGCATCTTTGTCTCATTCCAGTTCTCAGAGGGACTGCTTTCAACTTTTCCCCATTCAGTATTATGTTGGCTATGGGTTCGTCATAGATGGCTTTTATTACATTAAGGTATGTCCCTTGTAGGCTGATTTTGTGAGAGTTTTAATCATAAAGCGATGCTGGATTTTGTTGAGTGCTTTTTCTGCATCTATTGAAATGATCATGTGACTTTTGTTTTTCATTCTGTTTATGTGGTGTATCACATTTATTGACTTGCCTGTGTTAAACCATCCCTGCATCCCTGGTATGAAACCCACTTGATCATGGTGGATTATCTTTTTGATATGTTGTTGGATTTGGTTAGCTAGTATTTTGTTAAGGATTTTAGCATCTATATTCATCAAGGACATCAGTCTGTAATTTTATTTTCTGGTTACGTCCTTTCCTGGTTTTGGTATTAGGGTGATGCTGGCTTCGTAGAATGAATTAGGGAGGGTTATTTCTCTATCTTGTGGAACAGTGTCAAAAGGATTGGTACCAGTTCTTTGAATGTCTGGTAGAATTCTGCTGTGAATCTGCCTGGTCCTGGACTTTTTTGGTTGGTAATTTTTTAATTACCATTTCAATCTCACTGCTTGTTACTGGCCTGTTCAGGGTATCTAATTCTTCCTGATTTAAGCTAGGAGGGTTGTATTTTTCCAGGAATTTATCAATCTCTGCTAGGTTTTCTAGTTTGTGTGTGTAAAGGTTTTCATAGTAGCCTTGAATGATCTTTTGTATTTTAGTGGTGTCAATTGTAATATCTCCTGTTTTGTTTCTTAGTGAGGTTATTTGGATTTTCGCTCATCTTTTCTTGGTCAATCTTGCCAATGGTCTATCAACTGTATCTTTTCAAAGAACCAGCTTTTTGTTTCATTTGTCTTTTGTATTTTTTGTTTGTTTATTTCAATTTCATTTAGTTCTGCTCTGATCTTGATTCTTTCCTTTTTTCTGCTGGGTTTGGGTTTGGTTTGTTCTTATTTCTCTAGTTCCTTGACGTGTGACCTTAGAATGTCAGTTTGTGCTCTTTCAGTCTTTTTGATATAGGCATTTAGGGCAATAAACTTTCCTCTTAGCACTGCGTTTGCTTTATCCCAGAGGTTTGTGATAGGTTGTGTTACTGTTGTCATCAAGTTCGAAGAATTTTTAAATTTCCATCTTGATTTCATTTTTGACCCAGAGCTCATTCAGGGGCAGGTTATTTAATTTCCATGTATTTGCATGGTTTTGAAGGTTCTTTTTGGAGTTGATTTCCAATTTTATTCCACTGTGGTCTGAGAGAGTGCTTGACATAATTTCAATTTTCTTAAATTTATTGTGTGTTTTATGGCTTATCATATCTCCATTTCTTGGAGATATGCTGTTGAACAGAATGTGTATTCTGCAGTTGTTGGGTGAAATGTTCTGTATGTATCTGTTAAGTCCATTTGTTCCAAGGTATATTTTAAATCCATTGAATCTTTGTTGACTTCCTGTCTTGATGACTTCCTGTCTTGATGACTTCCTGTCTTGATGACTTGTCTAGTGCTGTCAGTGGAATATTGAAGTCCCCCACTATTAGTGTGTTGCTATCTATCTCATTTCTTAGGTCTACTAGTAATTGTTTTATAAATTTGGGAGCTCCAGTGTTAGGTGCATATATGTTTGGAATTGTGATATTTTCCTGTTGGACAAGGCTTTTACCATTATATACTGTCCCTCTTTGTCTCTTTTAACTGCTTTTGCTTCAAAGTTTGTTTTGTTTGATATAAGAATAGCTACCCCTGCTTGCTTTTGGTGTCCATTTGCATGAATGCCTTTTCCCACACCTTTACTTTAAGTTTATGTGAGTCCTTATGTTCTAGGTGAGTCTCCTGAAGGCAGAAGATAGTTGGTTGGTGAGTTCTTATCCATTCTGTGATTCTGTATCTTTTAAGTGGAGCATTCAGGCCATTTACATTCAATGTTAGTATTGAAATGTGAGGTACTATTGCTTTCATTGTGCTCTTTGTTGCCTGGGTAGTTTGGTTCTGTTTTTTGTTTTTGCTTTTTAACTTGTATTTTTGTTTTTTGGCTCCTGTGTGATTTATACTTTAAAGACGTTCTGTTTTGACATGTTTCCAGGATTTGTTTCAAGATTTAGAGTTCCTTTTAGCAGTTCTTATAGTGGTGGTTTGGTAATGGCAAATTCTCTCAGCATTTGTCTGAAAAAGACTGTATCTTCCCTTCATATATGATGCTTTGTTTTTCTGGATACAAAATTCTTGGCTAATAAATTGTTTTGTTTGAGAAGCCTGAAGATAAGACACCAATCCCTTCTAGCTTGTAGGGTTTCTGCTGAGAAATCTGTTATTAATCTGATAGGTTTCCTTTACATGTTTCCTGGTGTTTCTGTCTCACAGCTCTTAAGATCCTTTCCTTTGTCTTAACTTTGGATAATCTGATGACAATGTGGTTGATGACGTGGTTTGTGATGAATTTCCTGGGTGTTCTTTGTGCTTCTTGTATTTGTATTTGCATGTCTAGGTCTCTAGCAAGGCCAGGAAGTTTTCCTTGATCATTCGTCCAAATATGATTTCTAAACTTTTAGAATTTGCTCCTTCCTCGGGAACACCGATTATTTTTAGGCTTGGTCATTTAACATAATCCCAGACTTCTTGGAGGCTTTGTTCATATTTTCTTATTCTTTTTTCTTTGTCTTTGTTGGATTGGGTTGAAGACCTTGTCTTTGAGCTCTGAATTTCTTTCTTCTACTTGTTCAATCCTATTGCTGAGACTTTCCAGAGCATTTGCATTTCTAAAAGTGTGTCCAAAGTTTCCTGAATTATTGTTTTTTCTTTAAGCTATCTATTTCCTTTAATATTTCTCCCATCACTTCCTGTATAATATTTTGGATTTCCTTGCATTGGGCATCTCCTTTCTCTGGTCCCTCCCTGATTAGCTTAATAACTAACCTCCTGAATTCTTTTTCAGGTAAATTGGGGATTTCTTCTTGGTTTGGATCTATTGCTGGTGAACTCGTGTGATTTTTGGGGGGTACTGAAGAGCCTTGTTTTAGCCTATTACTAGGGTTGATTTTCTGGGTCCTTCTCATTTGGGTAGGCTCTGTCAGAGGGAAGGTCTAGGGTTGAAGGCTGTTGTTCAGATTATTTTTTCCCACAGAGTGTTCCCTCTTATATAGTACTCTCCCCCTTTTCCTATGGATGTGGCTTCTTGTGAGCCGAACTGTAGTGATTGTTGTCTCTCTTCTGGGTCTAGCCACCCAGCAAGTCTACCCGGCTCTGGGCTGGTACTGGGGGTTGTCTGCACAGTCTTGTGATGTGAACCATCTATGGGTCTCTCAGTCATGGATACCAGCACTTGTTCTGGTGGAGGTGATGGGGGTGGTGGGGGGAGGGCAATGGACTCCATGAAGGTACTTAGCTTTGTTGGTTTGGTGGTTTAATATTCTGTTTTTGTGCTGGTGCTGGCTGGCCTCCTGCCAGGAGGTGACGCTTTCCAGAAAGCATCAGTTGTGTTAGCTTAGGGAGGAACTGGTGGTGGGCGGGGCCCTAGAACTCCCAGGATTATATGCCCTTTTTCTTCTGCTACCAGGGTGGATAGGGAAGGACCATCAGGTGGGGGTGGGGCTAGATGTGTCTGAGCGCTTCTTGGGCGGGTCCTGCTGTGGCTGCTGTGGGGGATGGGAGTGAGATTCCCAGGCCACTGGAGTTGTGTACCTAGGAGGATTATGGCTGCCTCTGCTGGGTCATGCAGGGAAGTGGGGGAAAGCTGGCAGTCACAGGCCTCAACCAGCTCTCATGCAAACAGAAGGGCTGGTCTCACTCTCACTGTGCCCCTCCCAACAGCCCCCAGACCGTTTCCAGGTGGAGAGTGATATGGCCTTGAAAACCTGCCCCAGGCTACCCACCTCCCAGCTGTGAAAGAAAAGGGCTTGGTTCTTCCCCCGCCTATGGAGTCTGTGGAGTTCTGGCTAGGAGGCTTCTTAACCTGTTCAAATTGTTACAGTGTTCAGCTATAGATTTCCTTCTTACTGTGGAGTTTCACCCCCAGCTCCTCTCCTCTTAGATCTGTGTGGTACCAAGCAGGAATGGTCTGCTAGGGGACCCAGTGAGCTCCCAGCGAGCTTTCTGCTGCTTTCTTTACCCCTGTATTTAGCTCAGCTCTCCAAATTGACTCAGCTCCAGGTAAAGTCGGAAACTTCTCCCACAAACAGACCTTCAGCTTCTCCAGTGGGGGTGTGTGTTCGGGAAAGGAGGGTCTCCCTTTCCCACTTCCTCAGTTGGGGCACTCACAGTTTTGGGGGTGCCTCCTGGGTCCTGTAGGAGCAGTCTGCTTCCTTCAGAGAATCTCAGTATTTTATTGCCACAATTTGTTTATTCCTTAATTGAGGTCATTTACATTGCCTCCATCCAAACATGTCATGATATACATCTTTGCCCTTGTATGAAAATTTTCCTACCATATACAGTATTTCAAAATTTTGTATTATAGGAAAGATTATGACACAATGTTAAAATTTTAGAATTCCTTACAAAAAATTAGCCGGGCGTAGTGGCGGGCGCCTGTAGTCCCAGCTACTTGGGAGGCTGAGGCAGGAGAATGGCGTGAACCCGGGAGGCGGAGCTTGCAGTGAGCCGAGATCCCGCCACTGCACTCCAGCCTGGGCGACAGAGCGAGACTCCGTCTCAAAAAAAAAAAAAAAAAAAAAATTTTAGAATTCCTTCTGTGGTAGTGTTATATTGATGCTAAAATTCTCTTCAGTGTTTTGGCATTGATGGTGTTTTGTTTTGCTAAGTTTTCAAAGTTTCTTTTGCGGTCTTTCCCCTCAATTCCCCCTACTCTTCCATGTGTCCCCCAACCCCTCCCACAATGGGTCTACTCATAGCTCACATCCCATTCCATTACAGCCTTCACCGGAATGGTTATTCAGAAGATACACATACATATTGCTTTCCTGTGACGCTTTCCTCAAAAATAGCAGAAATAAATCTGATGGAAAAAATCACAGAGAAAGATCTATTCTTTAAAATGTCAACTATCAGGCTGATATGAATGACTTTGATTCAAGAAGTGACAAGTAATGTATTGTCATTTGGAAACAGAATTGCTAATCTTTAACACCTGACCATCCAGACCATGGCAGATAAGATTTCCTAATTACTTCCTAAATGGGGACAGCAGGCAGCCTACTGCATACAACACACATTCATTCCACCATGTGTCAGACCTCTCATTGAATATTTTATGATGGTAGCCAGGTAGTTAAGCAAATATTTGAAGGAGCAAAAGGGGTAATAGTGACGAGTGACAGGGTAGGGAGGGGGGAGAAAGCCTTGGATGCCTCAGTTTTTGTCATAGAATTTGATTGGATTAAAACTCTCAGACACAAATAAGCAAGGTATTTATATTTGTATCTCTACTTAACTTTTAAATTTCAGTGCTCTGTCTATATCTAGTGTGTGAAGAGGAAACTGAGTTATGCATGAGTCCACACAGATCTCACCAGTAGCAAGATGGTATTTCAGTGCATGTGAGCTGCTCTCCCCATTGTATGACTCTGAGGGTCAATCATCAGTCAATGAAGTAGGTGAGGCAGTGAAAACAAAGAATTTACTTTTCTATTCCTGTTGTAGGTGCTAAATGTCATTGCAATGACATTTAGGGTGGTCAGTATAGGCAGTATAGTGGCTTGAAGGATTTGAACTTGCAGTCAGAATCACAATGGCCTCTCATTAGTTATGAGACTTTGGCCAAGTACCCCTATGTTCCTATCAGTAAAGTTAGCTATTATTATACACATATGAAATCTGCAGGGAAATCCTCACATTTTGCCACAGTCAAACATCAATTTCCTTTTTTCTATCTCTTTTTCCTTCCAGAACTTCAACAGGTAGCAAATACACTGATTGAAGTTTCAGACATAAAAGTTAATGCTATTTAGAAAGGCAGTGGTTGGGTGAACGAACACAAAGCCTTCTACTAGGATATTTGAAAAGAAAGTCAGACATATTAATTCCAAAGAATACATTTGCACAAATAACAGTGTACTGTTAATATCTCTTGAAGAGATGCTTTGCTAAAATGAAAACAATTATTTGTGGCTATTACAGTCTTGGAAAGAAATACTTGTTGGTATATGCTGTTTAAATAGTTTTAAACATAGAGAACACTTGCACTATTAATTACTAAGAAAACATTAGAAAAAGATATTGCAATACTTCCACTTCTGCCAACAAAGGAAGAAATGCTTTGGAAATGGCTTTCCTTCCATAAAACCTAGAAAACCTAGGGAATGTGATCTCTGAGAGAAACAAAACAATGGAGTGGGCAGTATAATTGCCCCAGTTTACCACTGAGAGGCAGTTTCCACTTTGCTGCACAGGGAGAATCCAAATGGAGTCAGTGGGTTTGTGACTTGTAGAGACAGAAGTTGTAGTTTGGGGAGGCAGAAGCAGTCACTATTTGTGGCCAGAGTACCAGAGGGGAGGGACAGACAGTTGCAGAGACAGAAAGTTCTAGATATCTGCAGATGGTCCCCTTTTAGTCTTTGGCTAAATATTCATCTGCACACACAGGGGATAAACCTTTTCAGGCTAGGGGAAACACTACTACAAAGTAGCAAGCCAAACAATTCCCAGAACTCACATAGTGAAATGTGACAGCGTGCTGGCAGCCCTCGCAGTCCTCGCAGCCCTGGCTGGCTCTCGGCACCTCCTCGGCCTTGGCGCCCACTCTTGCCATGCTTGAGGAGCCCTTCAGCCCACCGCTGCACTGTGGGAGCCCCTTTCTGGGCTGGCCAAGGCTGGAGCTGGCTCCCTCAGCTTGTGGGGAGGTGTGGAGGGAGAGGTGCACGCGGGAACTGGGGCTGCATGGGGCGCTTGCAGGCCAGTGCGAGTTCCGGGTGGGCGTGGGCTCTGCGGGCCAGCACTCAGAGCAGCCAGGTGGCGGCAAGCCCCGGGCAGTGAGGGGCTTAGCACCTGGGCCAGCAGCAGCTGAGCTTGATTTCTCACCAGGCCTTAGCAGCCCCCCGTGTACCCCTGCCCTCCCCCGCACCCCCCTTCCCCCCTCCTCTGTCCCCTCCTCCCTGATCTCCCTTACCCTCCCACCCTGTCCCCCCCCTTGGGCTCCTGCGCAGCCCGAGCCTCCCCGACAAGTGCCGCCTCCTGCTCCACGGTGTCCAGTCCCATTGACCACCCAAGGGCTGAGGAGTGCGGGCGCATGGCCTGGGACTGGAAGGCAGCTCCACCTCTGGCCCTGGTGTGGGATCCACTGGGTGAAGCCAGCTGGGCGCCTGAGTCTGGTGGGGACTTGGAGAATCTTTATGTCTAGCTAAGGGACTGTAAATACACCAATTGGCACTCTGTATCTAGCTCAAGGTTTGTAAACACACCAATCAGCACCCTGTGTGTAGCTCAGCGTTTGTGAATGCACCAATCAGCACTCTGTATCTAGTTAATCTGCTGGGGACTTGGAGAATCTTTATGTCTAGCTAAGGGATTGTGAATGCACCAATCGGCACTCTGTGTCTAGCTCAAGATTTGTAAATGCACCAATCAGCACTCTGTGTCTAGCTTCGGGTTTATAAATACACCAATTGACACTCTGTATCTAGCTAATCTAGTGGGGACATGGAGAACTTTTGTGTCTAGCTCAGGGATTATAAATGCACCAATCAGCACCCTGTCAAAACGGACCAATCAGCTCTCTGTAAAACAGACCAATCGGCTCTCTGTAAAATGGACCAATCAGCAGGATGTGGGTGGGGCCAGATAAGAGAATAAAAGCAGGCTGCCCGAGCCAGCAGTGGCAACTCTCTTGGGTACGTTTCCACACTGTGGAATCTTTGTTGTTTCGCTCTTTGCAATAAAGCTTGCTGCTGTTCACTCTTTGGGTCCACACTGCTTTTATGAGCTGTAACACTCACTGCAAAGGTCTGCAGCTTCACTCCTGAAGCCAGCGAGACCACCAACCACCTGGGAGGAACGATCAACTCCAGACATGCCACCTTAAGAGCTGTAACACTCACCGCTAAGATCTGCAGCTTCACTCTTGAGCCAGTGAGACCACGAACCCACCAGAAGAAAGAAACTGCGAACACATCTGAACATCAGAAGGAACAAACTCTGGACACACCGCCTTTGAGAACTGTGACACTCACTGTGGGGGTCCGCGGCTTCATTCTTGAAGTCAGTGAGACTAAGAACCCACCAATTCTGGACACAATAAGACTGGGGATGGTTAACATTCTTGCTATACCGAGTGGAGAAATCTAGTGCTATGTGGGCTATCTACAGGACTAAGTTAGCCCTAGACTGAAGTTGGCTTTGGACCTACTCTGATAAAGCTTAACGGTAAGCCTTGAATGGGTCAATATGATGTGCTAGTAAAAGTGCCATAACAATGCCAAATACACATTAAAAGTGAACAACTGAGCTTTACACTTAATCACATAAAATTCACAAAGGCCAATAAATGATAAAAATAACTCTGCTTGCAAATAAGAAGGAAAATTTTCTCAATGATCAGGATGAAAGTCGAATCATATAAAAGAACCAGAAAAGGCCAGGTGCAGTGACTCATGCTTGTAATCTCAACACTTTGGGAGTCCAAGGCGGGTGGATCACCTGAGGTTAGGAGTTCAAGACCAGCCTGGTCAACATGGTGAAACCCCGTCTCTGCTAAAAATACAAAAAAATAGCTGGGTGTGGTGGTGTGGGCCTGTAGTCCCAGCTACAGCTACTTGGGAGGCTGAGGCAGGAGAATCGCTTGAACCCAGGAGGCGGAAGCTGCAGTGAGCCGAGATGGCGCCATTGCGCTCCAGCCTGGGTGACAGAGTGAGACTCTGTCTCAAAAAAAAAAAAAAAAAAAGAGCCAGAAAAGACAGAGATGAAGGAATTAAGGAGACAAGGATCCTAAAATAACAAATATGTTGAAGGATATGAAAGAAAACATGGACATGATAAGAAAAATGCTAGACCTGATAAAGAACCAAATGCAACATTGAGAGATGAAAAATGCAACATCCACAAAGGAAAATGAACTGAATAAGATTAACAGACACAACAGAATAAAAGAGCAATGAACTTGAAGACAAAATAATAGAAATTATTCCAAATGAAGTGCATAGAGGTAAAAAGTAAGAAAAGTGAACAAAATCTCTGTGATTTATAGTATAATGTCAAGCAGTCTAACATATATTTAATAAGAGTCTCAGAGTTAGAGGAGAAAGAGTGAGTTGTACAGAAAAAAATATTTTAAGATCCAAGAAAATCAACAAAATCACCAAGAGAAATAAGAATAAAGAAAAGCAAAGTATTTCAGTCAGGGTCCAGTTAAAAGAAGAAGCCACACCACAATTTGACCAGGAAAATTTAACACAAAGAATTATTCATTGTAACGGGGAATTGGTTAGTAAGAAGTGAAGAGAACTCTACAGACAACAGGAAGCTGTAAGTAGCTATTTCCCAAAAAGAAGAAACACAGTCCCAGTAGTCATTGTATCCAATGCTGACCACATTAATTCCTCCTCAAATTCAGTCACAGACCCATTGAATATTTTGTTACCTAAAGGTAAAAGTTAAAGTTAACTTCTAATAATTTCTATATGAAATAAAAATGGGAAGAAAAAGGAAGGTGGCTAGGTTATACCAACAAGCATATGATGCACATAACAAAGAGAAAATATGCCAAGCTAATACAGTCCTCATCTCTGTAATGGATCATGAGGTTGTAGTTAATATCTGTGACATCCTTCTTCAAGTGCTTGTCCTAAATATTTTCCTTGCTTTCATTCAGAACCTCAGTTACTTTAGGCTCTTTACCTGGGGAAGGTTACTAAGCATTCATTCCTGAATGGTGTGAGACCTCAGTCATTTTGCATTTTATTGTAATTTTAAAATAACTTTTACTATTGGGCGTGGAATATTAGTATGGAAGTGCTAAAGGGCATTACCAAGGGTCCCCTGGATACTACAGTTCTCTTTGTCTCCATTTTATAGTAGCAATCCAGTTTTGTCTGGTAATTGGGATCAATCACTCCGGCCAACAGACTAAAACTTTAAAGAAAATCTATTGGTTCAGAGGCTTAAGAAGACCAGAATGACTAGGTGGAAATTTCAGTGACATCTTATTGTGTCCCTTGATGAAAGCATTGTCCCCTTAAGAACCAGTGCTAAACTCTATACCTAGCAAAACATTTTTCAAAAATAATGGCAAAATGAAGACTTTTTCAGACCAATAAAAGCGAGATGAGAGTCTTTATTTTTTTGTGTCATTTAAAGTAAACCTAACCTTTATTCACTGATTCTCTTTAAAATTGTACATTTAAAAAAATTTACTGCAGTTTCACTATAAGTGTGTATTTCTTTTTACATTTTTCTGCTCAGTATTCATTAGGTTTCACAAATATAGAAATTGATATCCTTCATCATTTCTAGAAAATGTTTAGCCATTGTTTATCCTAATATTGCCTCTGTTTCATTCTCTTTGTTCTCTCCTTCTGGGTTTCTAATTAAGCATGTGATAGACCTTCTTACTGTATATATGTTCTATATTTAAACAAATTGTTATCTTTTTGGTTCTCCATGTTTTATTCAGCTAATTTCTTCTAACGTGTCTTCTGGTTCATTAACTCTCTTTTCAGCTGGGTATAATCTGCTAAACCCTTTCACTGAGTTTTTAATATTAGTTATTGAATTTTTTTAGTTGTATAATTTCTATTTGGATCTTCTCCAAATCATGTATTTCACTTCTTAATAGTTTCTATCTCACTGCTGATAATTTTAAGCTTGGTTTTTATTTCCTCAAATATAATAGTTGTTCCACAGGCTGTTCAATAATTTCACCATCTAGAATTCCTGTGGGTTTATTTCTGTTTTCTGTTATTTCTCCAAATCCTTGTTCATAAGATCTTGTTTCCTTGTGTGCTTGGTTATCTCTGACCCTGTTGGACATTGAAATTATAGGAATAATCTGAGACTGCAGATGATATAATCCTCTCTTGAATAGCTTTATGCCTTCTAATAAAATACTGTAGAATCTATGTGAGTTGATTAGTGAGCTACAAATTAATGAGATTCTATTGTATTGTTGAGAAATCTATGTGTAGATTGCCTTAATCTATCTATTTATATCATCACATTCCTTAACTTGGGGAAGCTAACTTGTTCTAATAGCTACCTTAAAACAAAACATTAATATTTCTGTTTTTTGCATATTTGATTAAAATGGATTTAATTAACATTCTGGTTTCTCTTTTAAGCTCCTTGTATACTGCAAACACTTTAAAAATATTCCATATTTAACACTCTGAGTCACATGGCTTTTAGTTTTAATTAGTTAGTAAATGTATCTATATGTCTGAGTTTAAAAACCATGTCTTTTTTAAAAAAGTTTATATGTGATTTTTATTTGTTCCCACTACTTTAGAAGATAATTGACAGTGAAACTAATGGGACAGTAATAATAATTTTGCAAAATACGGCCATACAGATATTACTCTGTAATTTGTCCTGATTATATCGATGGAATCTTATAGAATTAGAGAGATTTTGATCACAGTGATGTAGTCCCCTAGAGAATCTCTCCAATATCTGCCTGCCTGATACCATGGAAAGCTCTAGATAAAAGAAATAACTTTTGGAAGTTACTTTGAAATAATTTAAGTTTATTAATCATCAAGCATTGAACTCATACCTTTTCTAAGAGCTGCTGGTAATTGCTCCTTCTTAAATTCAATATTCATTCCAATAAAAAGATAAAGCCGAATTGAAGTAAGTCATAAAAATTCCTCTTTCCTTCTCACTCCCATTTCTTGCCAGTCTAGCATCCTATTCTATTCTAACTCTTTCTTCAGCTTTATTACATCTAACCATGAGCATTTTAGAGTTATGCTTCTGATTGTAACCTCATTCCTTTGGGGAAAAAGAGGCTTTGAATTTTGCTATTTTTCCAAGTGCTTCCAGAATTAGAAATATAATATTACACAAATCAGTAGTATATATATGAGTTTACTTAAAATTTATTTGTTTTGAAACATAAGAACAAATATTGTGTCTTTATAAATGGATCATCAGATATATTTCTCTTTTTTCCACAGGGGACAAAATCATATCCAAGCTTTAAATATAAGAGCAGAGTATATATACATGAGGGAATTAAAATTATTTTGAATCTATTATCTTCCTTTCTACTCCATACCTCTTTATCATACCAGCTCCTCCTCATAATGACTCTGTATTGAAACAAAATAAAACAAAAAGGAAAGAGTAGATGTAGGAATGTTTTTTTCCTTCATGCATACATTAAAATGCCCTGTATTTTGGCCTACTTTGGGGAGAAAGTAATTTAGCTTTCCTTTGATTGTATTTTCTTGTTGGTAGAACAGAGTAGTAATTTCTCACTTCGGTGTTTTTTGGAAACAGAAATAGTCATTATTTTTATTAGTGTTCTCAAAAATTTAAAGAGTTTTTGTCTTCTGTAAAGTTTTTATTTCAGATCATTTTAATACTTTTGTCTTTTCATGAAACAAGAATCCCTGGAAAGGTCACAGGGGTATAAAAAAGAGGAGGAATGAAAGAAGGAGGTATCTGTCTAAGCCATCTAACCAGGGGGCTGTGATTATACTTCATTACGCCTCGGAAGCTCTCTGACTCCCTAAGGTCCAGTGAAGTTTCCAGCTAGAGCCAGATCTAGAGCCTTGGGTCCGGATTCCAGATGCTATGTCAGGCAGCTGAGCCTTAACACCATGAGAAACTCAACTCCTGGGTTCATGATCTGTTCCTCACTTACAAATTCTATAACTCACAAACTTGAAACTCTTTTGAGTACTTTAGCCGGACTATTAGCCAACTATATAAGATACAAAAGATCCTCATCCATTGGCTTAGATTTTATTATTGTATCTATAGCAATGAAACACAAGATAGTATTTTTTTTTATTATACTTTAAGTTTTAGGGTACAGGTGCACACGTGCAGGTTTGTTACATATGTATACATGTGCCATGTTGGTGTGCTGCACCCATTAACTCATCATTTAGCATTAGGTATACCTCCTAATGCTATCCCTCCCCCCTCCCCCCACCCCACAATAGAGCCAAGTTCCTTCTCTATGTGGAAGGAATAATATTAGTCCTTTGTTTTCCTTCTGACTTGATTAACCTTCCTGTATCCTACCTATTATCTATACATGTCAATGTGTATTCATCATATTGGTACTGAAAGAATTTGGGATCCTTTAATTATATCTGTTCCCCTCAGTTTTTTCATAAACACATCACTAATTTCTCACTTAGTGCCATTAGAGCTTTTGTTGTATAACATTTGCCTTTGTAGGATCCATTGTTATTGTCACTGTAATGCCTTTGGTACTTAAGTCTGGACAAAGTATTCCTTCTTTCTAGTGTGTTAGACAATAGTTAACAGGCAGGAGATGCACAGGCTTCAACACTTCCTTGGCCAAAGAACTCCATTGCCCAATCCTAGTCCCAGTCAGCATAGCATAGATACAGTGGGCCATCTGTGGTCCATTTACTAATGTGGCTCTGAGGATGGAGGAAGCAGGCCACAGTCAAGGAATGGGGGTGCATTCTCGAAGCTGGGAAAGGCAAGGCAGTGGATTCTACTCTGGAACTTCCAGAAAGGAATGCAGCCCAGCTGACACCTCGATTTCAGCCCAGTGATACCCTTTTGGACTTGTGAATTACAGAACTGTAAGATAATGCATTTGCTTGTTTTAAGCCGCTAAGTTTGTGGTCATTCGTTGCAGCAGAAATGGAAGAGAGAACTAATACAAACATCCTCCATTAATCTCTCCCTTCATTCAGCTGGATCATGAAGCCAATGCTGACAAAGTAGATAAAGTATTTGTTTAAAATTATTTTAAGTTTATTTATATCTATTTTCAGAAAGACAGCATGTACTATGCGGGATCCTGGAACTGCAATTGCTGACACAGACATTTTAAGTGACACCAGAAGCCCTTAGTGGCATTTCAAGATTTTAATACAATTTGGGAAATTTCTGCCTCTGGAGTACTCCAGAATCATTCAGATAAAATATTTTTTTAAGTTTAAAAATAATTTCTAACTACACAAGTTTTAAAAACAGGAGTAAGACTACAGTCACTGAAGTGCTGGAGTCTGCTTGTATGGCTTGGAAAAGACAGTTGTTAAAATTTTAGGTATTTTATGAGCCATTAAATCATCTACAGTTGGTGTATTTACTCCCCAGAAATCAGCAGACACAGCCAAGGGAGAGCAGGTGGCTAAAGCTTTATCAGCACCCTTAGGCTGGGTTCTTCTCGGACTAGAATGCTCATCCAGCCCTGCCACTCCCAAGATTTACCATCAAGCTGGTGTGCATCTCCTATATTACTTCCTGTGTATTACATTTATTTTGGGGTTCCCAATAAAACATATAACATTGTTAGCAATTTTTTCTGTTTATTTTTTAAAGTGTCACCATAAACTTGTTGATTTATAGCTTGCTTTTTTACTCCCTCAGCAACATCTTAGAGATCTATGTTAGCTCGTATCTGCCTCACTTTAAAAACTATAATATTCTATATTTCATACATATGGTGTACATATACTATCATATAGGTTAATTTGTGTAACAATTGCTCTATTCATGAATGTGTGCATAGTTTTAAATTTTTTGCCACTACAAACAATGCAGCAGTGAATGTTTCTGTACCTGCCTTCTTGCCACTGTGCATCGAAAGTAAATAATGATATTGATATTAGGAATTTCTGGGTCTGAGCGTATAAGCATTTATAATTTTAATATATACTGTCAAATTGCTTTCCAAAGAGGCTGTAATAATTTACAGCTCTACCAGCAGTGCAGTTTCTCTAATTTTGACCTCGATGTAGTCAATTTACATTTGCTAACATGATGGATACAAGGTGGTCATTTAAATTTTGTTTCCTTGATCACTGCTGAGGCTTACTATAATTTTATGTTTACTGGATATTTGTATTTATGTCAGCCTGTCCCAGTGCTTTTCCCACTTTTCTATTTTTTCTGGTCTTTTTTCTAGTCAATTTGTAGGCTACATTCTGGACACAAATCATTTGCCTATTATGTTGCAAATATTTTCTCCCAGATTATCACTTGATATTATTGTTTTTTTCCAACTTGAAATCATCATTTCATTTTAAAATAGTGCTTGGTTTACAGAAAAGCTGTAAAGGTAGTACAGAGAGTTCCTACACACCCCTCACCCAGTTTCTCCTATTGTTAACATTTTTCATTATTGTGGTCCCTTCGTCACAATAAATGAACCAATATCAATACTACATTATTATTAATGAAAGTTCATGCTTAATTACATTTTATGAACTTTTTCCAGCATCCTTTTTCTGTTCCAGAATTTCATTCAGAATATCAAGTTACATTTAGTCATCAAGTTTCCTTAGCCTCCTCTCAACTGTGACATGTTCTTAGACTTTTTTTCTTTTATCATTGTTCAGTATTTATTTATATCCTCATATATATTAGGGAGATGACATAGAGCATACCACAGGAATGAATAAGTCAAGTGTCCTACATGCATATGATAAATTATTATTTATCATATATTAAATTATTATAATATATAATGGCAATATATCAATACTTTTCACCTACCTGCTTTAAAAACTTATTAAATAAAATAATTATCTTAATTTTCAAGTGAAGGTAAAGAAATGCTCAAAAGCTTACAAGTTATGGTTCAGGAACTTTATAACTTCTTAAGTCTTAATCACTTTTATATCAATTTTGGTTTTTACTACTAAAAAAGCCATATAAATACCTGGTAATGCTAGTTCCCTACATCACTTCTTACCCATTTTTGAGGCCACTGCCACTTTACTTTCATTTTTTTTTAACCTCTATGTCTGCATCTATGTGGGTGCTTTTTAAAAAAAGTTTTAGCAATTTCTAATAATTACCCCCCTGAAAAGATTAGGATTTAGCTCTCTGTTACTACTCCTTGCCACTGCCCAACAAGTACCTTCTCACACTCTTAGTACTGGTATATTGTAATTTCAGTTATGCCAATAGTCAGTATTTCTAAATAATTCAAATATGTCAAAGATAATGGCAGTTGAGTCTTATATTGTACCAACATTACTATCCTTTCTTATGCAACTTCCTCCCCACACCATTGAGGGGATAATTGCCTTTTGTTTTGTTTGCTTAGTTTTCTACATACTTATCACTAATTCAACTTTGAATTCTTTGTCAGTTATCTAAAAACCTTCATTTATCAAGAACTTTATTATTGTCATCTTCCTCAAGAAGAATCTTTAGAAACCATCTGTTACATACGCTGCCTTCTTTGCTAGTTGTCCTGGACTTTGCCTTTACTCCATTGCTATATTGGATCCCTTGTTTCTTTCCTGCTACGTTTCTCTTTCTCTTGGCTTCCTTTCTCTTTTTGGAGGAATGTATCCTCCAGGACCATCCTGAGAAAACCTTCATGAGAAGTATTTCTTAAGTTTTGCATATCTTAAGATACGCAAAAGGTAAACATCTGTATTCTACCTTCAAATCTGATCAATAGTTTGGGATATATGTAAAATTCTAAGAAAAAATAACTATTTTCTAAAAAGAAGTTTGAAGACAATGTTCCATGTTTCACAGCCTCCAGTGTTGTTTTTGAGAAGTCTAATGTCATTCTGATCCTTTGTGACATGACTTTCTTTCTCCATTTCTGGAAGCTTGTAAGGTCTTCTCCCTGACTCCTGGGGTGTTTATTCCATTGACCTTTAATGTAATTATTGATGTGACCACACCTATTTTCAGTTTGTTCCCTCTGGTTTTTGTTCCTTTGTTTCAACCTTATTACCTTCTTTTTCAATAGTTGAGTGTGTTTTGAAATTCCATTTTAATTTATCTATTAGCTTTTTAGCTATACCTTGTGGTTTTATTTTTAAACAATTGTTCTAAGAATTAAAATATCAATTCTTAACTTTTCATATTATAATATTTTACCACTTATAAAATGTAAGAACTTCAGTATATATATGTTCATTTACATTTATTGTTCTTCATGTTATAGTTGTCATATTATATTGTAAATTTTCCATGACAATATTATAATTATGCTTCAAACAATGTTGCAATTTTTAAATCAAATGAACCAGTCTTTTATGTATACTTACACATTTCTATCACATTCAGTGCTCTTTTCAATTCCTAAAGATCTGAATTTTCCCTGGTATTATTTCCCTTCATCAGAAAGAATCTCCTTTAGCATATTTTGTAGTGCAAGACTGGTGGTGCATATTCTTAGCTTTTCTTTATATGAATATGTTTTAAATGCACTTTCATTCTTGAAGGTTATCATCATTGAATATACACTTCTGGGTTGACAGGTTTTTAAAAAAAATCTTTCTTTCGTTTAGCACTAAACAGATGTTCCACAGTCTTGAGCCTCCACGATTTCTCATAAAAGTATGTAGTTTTCCAAATTATTGTTCCTCTGTAATGTATCTTTTTCTCTGGTTATTTTCATGACTAAATCTTTTTTTTTAACCAATTTGAATATAATGTGCTCAGGCATCCATTTCTCCAAATTTATCCTGTTTGTAGGTTGCTGAGGTTGTTGAATCTATAAATCTGTCAATACGTATCTTCCAACTAATTTGAGAGGTTTCTGTCATTATTTCTTGAATTATTTTCTCCTTCATTATCTTACTCCTCTTCATCTGGGTCTCCATTTACTTATGTGTTGGACATTTTGAAATTGTCTCACATGTTCTAAGGCTTTCTTCATTAAAAAAAATCTTTTTTCTCTCTCTTTTTCAGATTGAATGATTTTTATTGTTTTCATTCTGCTATTTAGCTCATTCAGTACACTTTCTAGTTCTGGAATTCTGTTTTCAGTTGTAAAATGTGCATTTGGTTCTTCTTCATAGTTTCTATTTTTGTTCTGAGATTCTCTATCTCTTAATTTATTACAAACAAATTACCTTATGTCTCTTTGAGCATAGCTATAATAGGGGCTTTAAAATAGTTGCCTAATAACTCCAACATCTGGGTTTGCATGATGGTATTAATGTTTGAGAACTGTTGGGAAATTTGTAGGTCATAATCTACAATTAAAGCTCTGCAAATTGGGGGGTAACTCAGCATTCTGAAAATCACAGATTCAGCTGAGCCAAACTCTTTTTTCCTCTTCTTCAATGTTGTTTATGATGCTGTCATATTCCTCATCACTGGTCTGGTTACCATCCATCTGAGATAAAATTCTTTAGGCCTTCTGAGTCTGTCTTTTCTGAATAAGCCATTGAGGATTTTCAGGCAAAAAGAGACAGCCAAAAAACTGTATAACTGCTGGAATTGCTTCAAGTTCCAACATGTACCTATCACACCTGATTACATAATATATAACTTTGTATTCAGCATATCACCTAGTAAAGTATCTTGTACACAGTAGGCATTTGGTAAATGTTTTAAGAAATAATACAGAAGCACCTGTGTATCTAAATTTTCTGTATTAACTAAACAGAAAATAGCTGTGCTTTATACTCATATAGCCTTATTTTTTGCAGCCTCTCTTCTGGATCCTTTAGCGCTGCAAAATTACTTGCACAATAATTCCTTCCAACCAAAGCATTCATTATTCTAGATATAACCAGAGCTCTTCTGGAACAGTCTTCAGATGAGAGTTAGAGATCAGATTTTCCTTGTTTTTAGTGACCTTGACAATTTTGAGGAGTACTGGTCAGGTGTTTCATATAATGTCCCTCAATTTGACTTTGTCTAATGTTTTCCTTATGGTTTGGCTGGGCTTGTGGTTTGAGGAAGATCACAGAGATGAAGTGCCATTCTCACCATATCATATAATAGGTACATGCTGTCATCATAAGTCATGATGATATTAACCTTAATCTTAACCTTCATTTCTAGAAGAAGGGAGTGTTTGAAATAGGCTGTGTTAGGTAAATCTTAGATTTGCAATCATATATTTGCTTTTTATTTTTCTTCTGTAGAAATTGACTAATACTTTAACAAAAGCTGATTGGCACAAAAGGAAAAATTGGAATATAGATAATAGAATTTATTTAATAATCCTGAGTAATTGCATGTTAAATATTTATAAAGTCTGTTGTTTTTATGAGTTTATTTATGAAAGATGGATTTTTTCCCAGGGGGCTTAAACTGATTAAACTTTTTCTGAGGCTATTTGATAAGAAAGGAATAGTTTCCTATATTTTGTTCACAAATAGTAATATTAATAAGTAATATGACAGGAGATAAACAGAATAAACCATGTTACAGCACATATTGCATTTATAATAGTATACATTTGCAATTATGTGTAATGACCAGCATTAAATACAGTGTATTAAATTATTCAAATTGCTCTTCAGTATAAATTATGCCATTGATTAGATTTATGGTGGTAGCTGTGAGATGTAAACTAAATATTGTGACATTCTTTAATTGAAATAAATGCTTGTACTTCAATTAATGGTAATTTTTTAGTTCATTAACTCTAGAAATTTGTTTTTATAGTCTATTTGGGATTTTACAGTCAAATGAATTGAGATATAGGCTATATAGGGTTTATTAAGAACAAATCAATGGTCATATAAACCTGATAATTTTTTTTGATACAATGATAAGGTAGCACATAAGATGTGAAATGTAATGAAACAAAATGTCTATGTCTGTCCCTCTTAAATGTTGTTATATTAAACATGTCCACTTCTCAAAGCATGGTTTGTGGGCAAATAATACCTTAAGGTGTGTGAATTTTGCTCTTCTAAGCTCATCCCAGAATTCTTCATTAGCCTTAGTGAAATGTAGCCACATTCATACCTAGCCTAAAGAGTAAGCAAAGTTAGTGTGGTTTGACCAGAGAGAGATAGTGAGTAGATGTCTTCTGGAGGGATGGCAGTATCTTTATAAATATTTAATGAGACTTTACCAAAACCTTATAACCTCACTTTAGCAGTCTTTAATGGGTAAAATATTTGAAGGAATTGAACAATATCAATGTCTAAATGATATTTCTCGAAGTATGGTTCAAGGAGTACACATTAAAATTGTAGACCCCCTGAATCAGATGCTTAGGAATTTGGGTGGCAACTGCATGTTTACCATCTTTTAGATGTCCTTATGCAAAATGAAGTTTGAAGTCTACTGGTGTGAAGGGTACTGTTTCGTTCATAATATGTAAAGGAGAATAAGAATAAATACATGAAGTTCTCTATTAGAAAGCTCTTCCTACCAAATCAGAGGTCTGTGAGAAGCTGTTCCATGTTTCTGAGGGTGTCGTGTTCCATATAGATGGTCTTCTCTTTGTTCATTTTAACACTTTGTGGTTATTGCCTGTGTTACACTCAGCCTTGTAGTTATGATAGATCTGCAGAGTAGATCATGATCTCCTTGAGGGCAGGAATCATGTGACTTCATTTCTACATCCTTATAATCCTATTTAGATTTGGGGGACATACATATTTCATAATCTGAATTAGGAAAACATTAGCTAATTAGATCAAAACAAAGTGTAACTGCCATCTATTTTTGTTATTGTCATGCCTAACAATACATTATGATAAGTGATACTGAAAACAACCAGCATAGCTTCTGCTCACTAGGAATGAATACAATTAGTTCTCCAGATTCTTTCCTAACATTTTCCATGCAAGCATATACCAGGATAAACCTCTTTCATTACTTTGCTTTTCATTACATTTATATAGCAATTTCTCCCCGCCCTTGAGGGACATTTTTTCTGAGGTGCATATAATGTTTGTTAGGCGATGTTTGGATTAAATATATAATGGCCCTCATAAGTATTATTTATGATTTTTTAAATAATAATAAAGATAATACAGAAAAACATGTTAAAGATACTTAATTCATTCTTACCTAGTAATAACAGGTGAACAGGTTTGATTTGCACTTTCCACCTCTTTCTTGCTAGAAAATTATGAGATCTCCTTCCGTCTATTCCCTCAATGAACTCACATGTTTTTCCTATCCCTTGGAGAGTTGGGCAGGGAGAGCAAGACTGAATAGATACTGTGGTTGTATTTTTTCTGACTTCATTAATCTGGGCTACAGGACTGTCTCTGAATGGCAGGATAATAGCACCATTTTAAAGGTCACCTGCCTTCTGGAGATGTCATCACACATAGGAATTATTACTTTGCAAATGTAGTGCTTTACAGAAAAATTGAAGAATTGCCTCCTGTAGGCTCAGCTCTGTGCGGTCCTGTATGGCCGCTGCAGGTCACGTTAGGGAGTGTATTCAAACTCAGTCCCTCCCAACAGGGTTGCACTAGCCTTAGTGTCCTGCTCTGGGTCTCAGTATCTGGTGTTTGAGGTGAGTCTTTCTTGCTAGCTCTCTGTGTGTGCTCTGTCCCTAGCATTGGTTCTGGTGTGTGCTCTAGCTCTCTGGTGGATGGGAGTCTTTCCATGAACTCCAGCTCTCTTGGATGGGACCCTGGGGCCTACCACTTTCCAAGTTCAACTTCTAGCGCATGGGTCAACAGTGACTGTTGACTGCTTTTATCAAACAAGAGAGAGGTCATTTCTGGTTTCTCCACTTTTGCCTGCCACTCCAAATTGTGAAGCAAGCCTCAGGCAACAATTTTATCCATCGGTTTCTCAGAAGACTTGTGCCACTTTAGGATTAAAAACAAAGTTACAATTTTGAAAATCTGCAATAAGAAAGCCAAGATATTTAAAGCGTACACAGAAAGGATTTTAAGTGGAGTTACATGGTACATAGCTCACCAGTGCTTCATATCCAAGACCAGTTGAAGAGGTGCAGGCTAAGGCAGATGGGTGACCATGACTTGAGTAGGGGGCAATTGACATTCTTTCTGGTTACCTAGCATACATTACCCCTTCTCTCTCTCTCTTTCTTTTTTTTTTTTTCTGTCACACAGGCTGGAAGGCTGGAGTGCAATGGCGCGATCTCGACTCACTGCAACCTCTGCCTCCCGGGTTCAAGCGATTCTCCTGCCTCAGCCTCCCGAATAGCTGGGATTACAGATGCCCGCCACAGATGCTAATTTTTGAATGTTTAGTAGAGACGGGGTTTCACCATGTTGGTCAGGCTGGTCTCGAACTCCTGACCTCAGGTGATCCGTCCGCCTCGGCCTCCCAAAGTGCTGGGATTACACACGTGAGCCTCCTCGCGCGGCCGCATTACCCCTTCTCTATCCAATTTCTCTTTGGAGAAATACTTCTCCACAGTGCCGCGTCTGAGTGGGATGGTAAATTCAAGGGCCAGCTCAGCTGTGAGGGGAGCTGGAGGGATCCCCGAATCTCCTTCCGCCATCTTGAGCAAGGCTCCGAGGAGCTGCTTCTTGACTTTTCCAAGCTGGCTCTTCAGTCTTCCCTCCAAACTTGGGAGATTTCCCAGATTTTTCTAATATATTACCCTATGCTTTATCTAGCCAGAGTTCAGCTTTTGTTTCTTGAAATTGAAGACGCCTCCATCTATAAGAAAGGTAAGTGGTGGAGGGTGATGCATTGTCTTAGAAATGCTGTCAGTTAATCTGTTTTGTTCCAGAGGGGGCAACGGATATTTTCATCTTTATCACAGTATTGTTAGTTTCAACCAATTGTTAAGTTTAGGGTTCTAGCCCATGAATCAGAAAAATATGTTCACTTTGACCTTCTTTACATCCTAAAGAATTTACAAAGGAAAAATTTACACAGCAGTAATTCCTGTGGATGATGATGTCTCTGGGAGCCAGTTGACCCATCAAATGTTGTCATTAGCATCACATTCTGCAGATAGTCATGTGTCACATCTTTTAAACTTTACATTAATCAAAATCATTAAAGAAATTAGCCACACAAGCCAGCCTCATTAGATCTAATTCATTCTATGATGTGTAATAAAACACAAAGAACACGTGGCCTGTTATCAGGAGGCAGGATGTTCTCAGTGGCTCATGTCACTGGGATTAAATGGATATTTCTTCTCACCCAATTCACAGGTTTTGATTGCTACATAAGCTTAATTTAATTCATAATTGACCCCTTAGCCTTTCCATTCCAGAAAGCTGTCATTGCTTACTGATTTATTTAATTTAGGGTCGGGAAAAAACAAAAAAGGGTCTTTGTAGGATTTGCAATTTTGAAGCAAAGCACTAAAGACCACAAACATCAGTTAGAAAATGTCACCTTTTGGGAGGCTGAGGCAGGTGGATCACGAGGTCAGAAGATCTAGACCATCCTGGCCAACATGGTGAAACCCCGTCTCTACTAAAAATACAAAAATTAGCTGGGCATGGTGGCAGGCACCTGTAGTCCCAGTTACTCGGAAGGCTGAGGCAGGAGAATCGCTTGAACCCAGGAGGCGGAGGTTGCAGTGAGCCGAGATCATGCCACCGCACTCCAGCCTGGGCGACAGAGCGAGACTCCATCTAAAAAAAAAAAAGAAAAAAAAAGTAAATGTCACCTTTCAGCTTCTGAACCTCAAACTGTCACAATCGAACAGCTTTTATGAAACTTTAATTTCCATTACAAAGAAATCCAAGCAACGCATTAATAACTTGTTTGTGTTTGTGGAAGTTTGCAAAGAGGTATCATATGAGACTTTGTCTTTCAGAAGCTGATTTGTAAGTTCTCTTTACTTTTCACTTCCAGATTTACACCAGTGGTAGAAAAGAGTGGGAAGCAAGTCTTGTGGCGAGATGGTGCCATCCCGTATTAAGAACTTTCGCAGCAGAATGCCCAAAATATGTGGCAGGGTTGCGGTAAAGTCTTCAAAGCAGGCTGTTTCTCAGTCGCTGCGTGTGTTCAGTCATGGGACTGTTTCCTTGGTAAGTGTCATTCCTGCGGAATGGGGCTGAACAAGGAACCTTCAGTTATGTCAAAAACTGATGATTCCCACTGTCGCCACCAGAGGATGTTCTAGGCACGTTTTTGTCAGCGCAGCTCACGTTGACTAAAATAGCCAATCCTTCCAACAGAAGTAGCATAACGGCTCTGAGGATGTGGAAAATCTCAATGTCAACAGCAGCTCGTAAAATGGAAAAGAACATGGCATCAGCTATGTGTTTAGAAAAGTCTGAGGCATTTAGCCTAACTGTTCTTGAATCATTACCATGATACTGACAAGCAAAGTATTTCTGAGGAACCTGTCGTATTTAGGCCTTGACTGCATGGCTAATAGAGAAAATAGCTTAGGCTACCCACACACCACAGTTCTTTTCAAGGTTTGGAAAGCAGCCATTTTGGTTGATACATTTTTAAAAATTATTATTTTATTGCCTTAATTCTTGTGCTGAGACTTGGGTAGGTAGAGACAAAGAAGAGAAAAAAGGATTTTTTTTTAAAAGGGGAATTTAGTCTAGTGTTCCTTAGATAGGGAAATCCTAGGAAGGATTGAGAAACATGCCTTACATTCATCCAAAAAATAAACTATAAAACACTATCAAAAGGGTAGCAAGATCACCTGTTATAGATAAGAGCTTTAAAAACCGATATGTAATAGCAAGGTCTGTCATCAAATGTCAAGTGTCAGGCACTACTTAGAGGCTGAATCTCACATTGGTGCCAAGGAATATACATTGAAGCTGAAAAGCAACCTGACTCCCATCAGTTTGCCTCATTATAGAAATGATATTCTTTTTGCATGCTGCAAGAACACTGAAGGATATGTAATATATATTAAAATGAGTAACTGTAATATGTTGTTGAAGGCAGATCATTTGCATCTGTGTGCATGTGTGTGTGCATGCAAAGACTAAAAGCACAAACTATAGTTTTCAGGTTTAACGGCATGTTTTTTAATATCATACCTATTTTATGGAATATTCTCTGCTTTTACTAAAAAAGGTGTATTTTACATTTATTTTATTGTGGTAAGAACACTTAAGATGAGAGCTACTCTCTTAACAGATTTTTCAGTGTGCAATAAAGTGTTCTAAAGATATGGTGTTACACAGCAGATCTTTCTTAAGGCCGAATAATATTTGTGTGTGTGTGTTTGTGTGTGATATTTTCTTTCTTCATTTGTCTATCAACGGACATTTAGATTGTTCTCACATCGCAGCTATTAGGACTAGTGCTGCAATGTATTTATTTTTATAAGGTTCTCATTTTTATTAAGTTCCCTTACTAAAATAATTAAATAATAGTGTAAATTTTAGTGACAGCTGCAGTTCTTATGACAAAAAGAATTGACAAGTGGATGTCTACAGGCAGGGAGAGCAGCAGGCAAGTGGACTTCAGGTATGGATCGATCCTGCTTGCTGTTCTATGGGGCTTGAGGAGCATGGCAAATACCTTCTTCCCCAGAAATGCTGGGAGACAGGCAGTGCATAACATAACATCTGGAGTTCTGCTGCTACAATACTTACCTCTTGCCCATTTTTTACTATTATGGAAATTCAAGCCATCTAGGCAACAAGAGACTGGAGTAGCTCACAGGATTATTGTAAAAATGACCAGAAATACTAAGTGTAAACTGAGTAGCCAATGCCTGGACTGCCGTGGGCATTCAATAAATACCAGCTATCATTATTTCATTATTTTTTATTTGTTGTCAGCCATAGTTATACTGTGAAAAGGCCACACTCCATTGCCTTTGTGGGGCAGGGTAGTGGAAACTCTGATCTTCAGAAAGTTTGAAGTATCACCTGAATTATTAGAAAAGAAAATCCCATGAAAGGCCCTTCCAGGCCCCTACCTAGAGTGCACCTCACCATAATCATATCGTTAAACTTTCACCACCCTGATGGTTCAAGATGGGCTGATTTTTATCAAAGGGCTGAGGGTGACACAGGCAGCAGTGAATCTTGGTGTCCTGAGGCTAGCAAGGAAAACCCGAGGTAAAGCAGGCCTGCGCTGGACTCACTGGAAGGCACTGGTGGCAGGCATCGGGGCTTCAGGAGAGCCTGTGCCAAAGGCCTGCCCCTCGGTGGGCATGAAGGGAGGGGCTGCAGGGGAGGGAGAGATGACAGAGAAAAGCTTCTTTCTGCTCACTGTGAGTCCGGTATCCAAGCGAGACCATGATGTTGATATTTACCATTACTGAACAACATAGTTTTCTTTAAATTATTTTAAAAGCCATCTGGAGAAAAAGATCTGAACCTCATCACTACTTATCAGAAACAAATGCATTTATCAAGTCTTTCCCTTCACACCCCTCTTCAATCTATTTTTTAATATTATGCTAGTTACTTCAAAATAACTATGACCAAGGTTGTTAGATTTTATCAGAACCAGAAGGCCAAGTTTCCCATCAAAATGCGATGTTAAAGAGAATTTGGGCCTCAAATTAAGGATAGACTTTACCTTGTTTAAGTGTATTTTGTAGAGAGTTAAATTTAAAATCTGATTTTGAACATACATACATAAATTTGAAGGGAATTTGGTACATGACTTCTTGATATATGTATGCAAACATATGAAAAGCAACTTCAATTTACCTTCTCTCTACTCCATCGTTTCTCTTTAACTTCCTCCAGTAATACCTGTATCTTCCTTAAATTTTATTTTTAAGTCTGGGCATTCTTCTTTGATGAGCCTGGTATTCTTATTTCTATTTTCTTTTCTTTCTTTTTCTTTTTGAGACACAGTCTCACTCTGTTATCCAGGGTGAAGTGCAGTGGTGCAATCTCAGCTCACTGCAACCTCTACCTCCTGGATTAAAGCGATTCTCGTGTCTCAGTCACCCGAGTAACTGCTATTATAGGCGGGTGCCACCATGCCGGATTAATTTTTGTATTTTTAGTAGAGATGGGGTTATACCATGTTGCCCAAGCTGGTCCCGAACTCCTGACCTCAAGTGGTCCGCTCACCTCGGCCTCCCAAAGTGCTGGGATTACAAGCATGAACCACTGCACCCGGCCTTGTCTCCCATTTTGTTGAATCAAATCTCTCTTCCTCCTCTACAGTCTCTCCTTCTTCATTGGTTTCTTTCCCTCAGCCATCAGTGATTCTCAAGCGGGTCACCTAATCTCCTAAAATGCCTTCTTTTGAGTTTATGGCTTTTTTCCTAGCTGTCACTCTTCAAAATGTTAGAAAAGTATATAACACGTGCCTACACTTCTGAACCATGGAGCACTAAAGCTACAAAACTAGTAAGGCACAGTCTCTGCCCTCAAGAAGTTTAGAGTCCGGTATGGTGAGACAGATGTGTAAATGCTTTGGGACACTAAGTGCTGTCAGTGTAAGCTGTCTGGGAATGGTTATCATGTCCCAGGAGTCAAGAGCACTTTCTCAGAGTAGGTGAGATTTGAATAAATGCCAGAGATGAGTTGGTAGTTACCAGTTAGATAGTAGTGGGGGTGAGAAGGACATTCCAGGCACACGTACAAGTGAGATCCAAGCTGGAAGAAATAAGAAATAATAGACACACAAGGGAAACCTTACAAGTGATTCTGTATCATTGGAGTATAATATGCAGAGGACAGTGCTTGGTAATAAGTGAGGTTGAGAGGCTTGACCAACTGCATTCTTTTTCCAGGCATCTAATGGATCTTCAGGAGGTTTCTCATCTCAGCAATTCCCCTTGCATTTACCTGTTTAGGGATGCATTGACTAGGCAGACTTTCTGTAAATTGGGCTTTTCACTACATTTCTCATTCCCAACACATTATACCTTTGGCTATGGGACTAATTACATGAGAGGCCACTAATCAGGAAATGTTAATGTATGTTGATGGTTTCTGGGTCAGGAACTATCAGGTGTCCACCAGGACCATTCTCACTGTTTCCAGTAATAGGATGGCAGGGTATAGGTGTACCGACAAAAGACTCCATTTCCCAGCCTCTCTTGTAGGTTGGTGTGTTCCGGGCAGTGTGGCATAAGGAGAAGTGATGCTGCCATATCTCCAGTTCATGCCTCCAAAAAGGTATGTGCTCACACATCTCTGGCATTTCCCACTCTTTGGGTGAGCAAGACCTGGAGCAGCTGCTGTGGACTCAGAGATAGAAACCATGTGATGAACATGGCAGGGGCACCCAAACAGCTCAAGAACACATTTTCCTGGTCAGTTATATAAGAGAGAAGCAAAGTTCTGTTTGTGTCATGTCTGGGTCTCTTTGTTATAGCTGCATAGCCTATTTTGTAACAAATACAGTCACAGAGTGTTATAATAAATTTTAAAGCATTGACTCAAGATAATATAAATGACTTAATAGGAATGTTCAATAAAGAATGTCTTAAATTAAAGCAGTTATCCAGATGTTGGGCATCCCAGATGCATGAGTATACTGACAAGGCAGCTCTATTCAGGCAATGGGGTCCTATGGTACTCCTCAAACTACACCTCAAAAATAGCAAAGCCATCCTAAAAATAATGTCTGTATGCTCCCAAAATACCAAGGGCAAGAAACACAAAGCAAGTGAGAGGAACTATTTCAGATTAAAGGAAACTAAAGAGACATGACAACTAAATGCAACGTATGGTCACAGACAAGGAAAAAAGAGCTGTAAGGACATTATGAGAACAACTGATAAAATTTGAACATGGACTGTCAATTAGATAATATCAATTCTAAAAATCTTGATTTTGATAACTGTCTGGTAGTTACATAAGAAAATATTCCTGTTCTTAGAATAATTATTTAAGGTTAAAGTACTGTGATGTCTGCAACTTATTCTCAAATGGTTCTGAAAGAATATGCTAATACACACACACACACACACACACACACACACACACACACACAGAACTACACATAAACACAGAATGCTAAAGCAAATGGAGTGAAATATAAGCAATTGGTGAATCAAGGTGGTAAGGGGTAGTGTATAAATCAGCAACTTTTCTGCAAGTTGAAATTATGTCAAAATAAAAACTTAAAAGAAAAACAGATAGGAGCACAATTTTCTCTTCTTTGAAAATCACCAACAGCATCAACAGTCACACACTTGAATTTGAATATGGCTTGCCAATTAGATCATTGCTATTGGCAAAACATTTGGCAGGGCACCCCTGCATGCGCTCTTCCTTTTGGGCCCATTTCCAGCACTCTAACTTTCCTCTGAAGCAAATTTGTCAAAATAATTGTTGAATAAACTCACTTTTTAGAAGTTGTCAAAACAGAACTAGTCCTCATCTTTGATCCAAGGACAGATGTGATCTTTGGGTATGAATTTGAGGTAGAATTTCAGGCTGATTTTTTACCATGGACTGAAATTCAATTAGTGTGATTTTATTCAATTTAGTGATATATTCTATTCATTCCAAATTGAGGGACATTCCACAAAATAACTGCATGTACATTTCAAAAATATCAAGGGTAAGAAACACAAAGCAAGGCTGAGAAATTGCTACTATTCAAGCAATACAACTCTAAAATTTTCCTAAAAACATTCCTTTTTTCCATTCTCTGTGTTTCTACCTACTGTAGTCTCCCCACAATTATAGTTATTTTAAAAAAACCTAACAAGCAAGGTGTTCCAAGATGGCTGAATAGGAGCAGCTCCGGTCTGCAGCTCCCAGCATGATTGATGCAGAAGACGGGTGATTTCTGCATTTCCAACTCAGGTACCTGGTTCATCTCATGGGGACTGGTTGGACAGAGGGTGTAGCCCACAGAGGGTGAGCTGAAGCAGGGTGGGGCATTGCCTCACCCGGGAAGTGCAAGGGGTTGAAGGATTTCCTTTTCCTAGCCAAGGGAAGCTGTGACAAATTATCTGGAGAAACGGGACACTCCCCGCCCAAATATTGAGCTTTTCCCAAGGTCTTAGTGACCAGCAGACAAGGTGATCCTCTCTCGTGCCTTGCTCAGCAGGTCCCATGCCCATGGAGCCTTGCTCACTGCTAGCACAGCAGTCTGAGATTGATCTGCGAGGAGGCAGCCTGGCTGGGGGAGGGGCATCCACCATTGCTGAGGCTTGAGTAGGTAAACAAAGCAGCCAGGAAGCTTGAACTGGGTGGAGCCCACTGCAGCTCAACAAGGCCTACTGCCTCTAGACTCCACCTCTGTGGGCAGGGCATAGCTGAACAAAAGGCAGCAGACAACTTCTGCAGACTTAAACGCCCCTGTCTGACAGCTCTCAAGAGAGCAGTGGTTCTTCCAACATGGCGTTTGTGCTCTGAAAATGGACAGACTGCCTTCTCAAGTGGGTCCCTGAACCCCGTGTAGCCTAACTGGGAGACATCTCCCAGTAGGGCTGGCAGACACCTCATATAGGTGGCTGCCCCTCTGGGATGAACCTTCCAGAGGAAGGATCAGGCAGCAATATTTGCTGTTCCACAACCTCCGCTGGTGATACCCAGGCAAACAGGCTCTGGAGTGGCACTCCAGCAAACTCCAAGACCTGCAGCAGAGGAACCTGACTGTTAGAAGGAAAATGAACAAACAGAAAGGAATAGCATCAACGTCAACAAAAAGGTCTACACCAAAACCCCATCTGTAGGTCACCAACATCAAAGACCAAAGGTAGATAAAACCACAAAGATAGGGAGAAACCAGAGCAGAAAACCTGAAAATTCTAAAAATCAGAATGCCTCTTCTCCTCCAAAAGGTTGCAGCTCCTTGCCAGCAATGGAATGAAGCTGGATGGAGAATGAATTTGACAAGTTGACAGAAGTAGGCGTCAGAAGCTTGGTAATAACAGTTTTTCTCCAAGCTAAAGGAGGATGTTTGAACCCATCGCAAGGAAGCTAAAAACCTTGAAAAAAATTAGATGAATGGCTAACTAGAATAAACAGTGTAGAGAAGAAGTTAAAGGACCTGATGGAGCTGAAAACCATGGCACGAGAACTTTATGAAGCATGCACAAGTTTCAATAGCCAATTCGATCAAGTGGAAGAAAGGATATCAGTGATTGAAGATCAAATTAATGAAATAAAGTGAGAAGACAAGGTCAGAGGGAAAAGAGCAAAAAGAAATGAACAAAGCCTCCAAAAAATATGGGACTATGTGAAAAGACCAAATCTACATTTGATTGCTATACCTGACAGTGATGGGGAGAATGGAACCAAGTTAGAAAACATTCTTCAGGATATTATCCAGGAGAACATCCCCAACCTAGCAAGGCAGGCCAACGTTCAAATTCAGGAAACAGAGAACACCACAAAAATACTCCTCGAGAAGAGCAACTCCAAGCACGTAATTGTCAGATTCACCAAGGCTGAAATGAAGGAAAAAGTGTTAACGGCAGCCAGAGAGAAAGGTCGAGTTACCCACAAAGGGAAGCCCATCAGACTAACAGCTGATCTCTTGGCAGAAACCCTACAAGCCAGAAGAGAGTGGGGGCCAATATTCAACATTCTTAAAGAAAAGAATTTTCAACCCAGAATTTCATATCCAGCCAAACTAAGCTTCATAAGTGAAGGAGAAATAAAATTCTTTACAGACAAGCAAATGCTGAGAGATTTTGTCATCACCAGGCCTGCCTTACAAGAGCTCCTGAAAGAAGCAAGAAAAATAGAAAGAAACAAATGGTACAAGCCACTACAAAAATAGGCCAAATTGTAAAGACCATCGATGCTAGGAAGAAACTGCATCAATTAACAGGCAAAATAACCAGCTAACATCATAATGACAGGATCAAATTCACACATAACAATATTAACCTTAAATGTAAATGGGCTAAATGCCCCAATTAAAAGACACAGACTGGCAAATTCGATAAAGAGTCAAGACACATTAGTGTGCTGTATCCAGGAGACCCATCTCACTTGCAAAGATGCACATAGGCTCAAAATAAAGGGATGGAGGAAGACCTACCAAGTAAATGGAAAGCAAAAAAAAGCAGAAGTGTGCAATCCTAGTCTCTGATAAAACAGACTTTAAACCAGCAAAGATCAAAAGAGACAAAGAAGGCCATTACATAATGGTAAAGGGATCAATTCAACAAGAAGAGCTAACTATCCTAAATATATATGCACCCAATACAGGAGCACCCAGATTCATAAAGTAAGTCCTTAGAGACCTACAAAGAAACTTAGACTCCCACACAATAATAATGGGAGATTTTAACACCCCACTGTCAATATTAGACAGATCAACGAGACAGAAGGTTAACAAGGATATCCAGGACCTGAACTCAGCTCTGCAACAAGCAGACCTAATAGACATCTACAGAACTCTCCACCCAAAATCAACAGAATATACATTCTCCTCAGCACCACATCACACTTATTCTAAAATTGACCACATAGTTGGAAGTAAAGCACTCCTCAGCAAATGTAAAAGAACAGAAATCACAACAAACTGTCTCTCAGACCACAGTGCAGTCAATTAGAATTCAGGATTAAGAAACTCACTCAAAACCACACAACTACATGGAAACTGAACAACCTGCTCCTGAAGGACTACTGGGTAAATAATGAAATAAAGGCTGAAATAAAGATATTCTTTGAAACTAATGAGAACAAAGACACAACGTACTAGAATCTCTGGGACATATTTAAAACAGTGTGTAGAGGGAAATTTATAGCACTAAATGCCCACAATAGAAAGCAGGAAAGATCTAAAATTGATACCCTAACATCACAATTAAAGGAACTAGAGAAGCAAGAGCAAACAAATTCAAAAGTTAGCAGAAGGCAAGAAATAGCTAAGATCAGAGCAGAACTGAAAGAGATAGAGACACAAAAAACCCTTCAAGAAATCAATGAATCCAGGAGCTGGTTTTTTGAAAAGATCAACAAAATTGATAGGTCACTAGCAAGACTAATAAAGAAGAAAACAGAGAAGAATCAAACAGATGCAATAAAAAATGATAAAGGGGATATCACCACTGATCTCACAGTAATACAAACCACCATCGGAGCATACTATAAACACCTCTATGCAAATAAACTAGTAAATCCAGAAGAAATGGATAAATTCTAGAAGAAATGGATACACCCTCCCAAGACTAAACCAGGAAGAAGTTGAATCTCTGAATAGACCAATAACAGGCTCTGAAATTGAGGCAATAATTAATAGCTTACCAACCAAAAAAAGTTCAGGACCAGACAGACTCACAGCTGAATTCTACCAGAGGTACAAAGAGGAGCTGGTACCATTTCTTCTGAAACTATTCCAATCAATAGAAAAAGAGGGAATCCTCCCTAACTAATTTTATGAGGCCAACATCATCCTGATACCAAAGACTGGCAGAGACACAACAAAAAAAAAGAGAAATTTAGACCAATATCCCTGATGATCATTGATGTGAAAATCCTCAATAAAATACTGGCAAAACGAATCCAGCAGCACATCAGAAAGCTTATCCACCACGATCAAGTTGGCTTCATCCCTGGGACATAAGGCTTGTTCAACATGCACAAATCAATAAACATAATCCATCACATAAACAGAAAGAACAACAAAAACCACATGATTATTTCAATAGATGCAGAAAAGGCTTTTGACAAAATTCAGCAGCCCTTCATGCTAAAAACTCTCAATAAACTATTTATCTCAAAATAATAAGAGCTATTTATGACAAACCCACAGCCAATATCATACTGAATGAGCAAAAACTGGAAGCATTCCCTTTGAAAACTGGCACAAGACAAGGATGCCCTCTCTCACCACTACCATTCAACATAGTGTTGGAAGTTCTGGCCAGGGCAATCAGGCAAGAGAAAGAAATAAAGGGTATTCAATTAGGAAATGAGGAAGCCAAATTATCCCTGCTTGCAGATGACACGATTGTATATTTAGAAAACCCCATCATCTCAACCCAAAATCTCCTTAAGCTGATAAGCAACTTCAGCAAAGTCTCAGGATACAAAATCAATGTGCAAAAATCACAAGCATTCCTATACAGCATTAACAGACAAACAGAGCCAAATCATGAGTGAACTCCTACTCACAATTGCTGCAAAGAGAATAAAATACCTAGGAATCCAACTTACAAGGGATGTGAAGGACTTCTTCAAGGAGAACTACAAACCACTGCTCAACGGAATGAAAGAGGACACAAACAAATGGAAGAATATTCCATGCTCATGGATAGGAAGAATCAATATCATGAAAATAGCCATACTGCCCAAAGTTATTTACACATTCAATGCCATCCCTATCAAGCTACCAGTGTCTTTCTTTACAGAATTGGAAAAATGTACTTTAAAGTTCACATGGAACCAAAAAAGAGCCCGCATTGCCGAGACAATCCTAAGCAAAAAGAAAAAAGCTGGAGGCATCAGGCTACCTGACTTCAAACTATACTACAAGGCTACAGTAACCAAAACAGCATGATACTGGTACCAAAACAGATATATAGACCAATAGAACAGGGCAGAGGCCTCAGAAATAACACCACACATCTACAACCATCTGATCTTAGACAAACCTGACTAAAACAAGAAATGGGGAAAGGATTCCCTATTTAATAAATGGTGCTGGGAAAACTGGCTAGCCATATGTAGAAAGCTGGAACTGGATCCCTTCCTTACACCTTTTACAAAAATTAATTCAAGACAGATTAAAGACTTAAATGTTAGACCTAAAATCATAAAAACCCTAGAAGAAAACCTAGGCAATACCATTCAGGGCATAGGCATGGGCAAAGACTTCATGACTAAAACACCAAAAGCAATGGCAACAAAAGCCAAAATAGACAAATGGGATCTAATTAAACTAAAGAGCTTCTGCACGGCAGAAGAAACTACCATCAGAGTGAACAGGCAACCTACAGAATGGGAGAAAATTTTTGCAATTTACCCATCTGACAAAGGTCTAATATCCAGAATCTACAAAGAACTTAAACAAATTTACAAGAAAAAAAGAAACAATCCCATCAAACAGTGGGCAAAAGATATGAACAGACACTTCTCTAAAGAAGACATCTATGCAGCCAAGAGACACATGAAAAAATGCTCATCATCACTGGTCATTAGAGAAACGCAAATCAAAACCGCAATGAGATACCATCTCATGCCAGTTAGAATGGCGATCATTAAAAAGTCAGGAAACAACAGATGCTGTAGAGGATATGGAGAAATCGGAATGCTTTTACACTGTTGGTGGGAGTGTAAATTAGTTCAACGATTGTGGAAGACAGTGTGGTGATTCCTGAAGGATCTAGAACTAGAAATACCATTTGACCCAGCAATCCCATTCCTGGGTATGTACCCAAAGGGTTATAAATCATGCTACTATAAAGACACATGCACATGTATGTTTATTGTGGCACTGTTCACAATAGCAAAGACTTGGAACCAATCCAAATGTCCATCAGTGATAGACTGGATTAGGAAAATGTGGCACATATACACCATGGAATACTATGCAGCCATAAAAAAGGATGGGTTCATGTCCTTTGCAGGGACATGGATGAAGCTGGAAACCATCATTCTCAGCAAACTATCACAAGGACAGAAAACCAAACACTGCATGTTCTCACTCATAGGTGGGAATTGAACAATGAGATCACTTGGACAGAGGTCAGGGAACATCACACACCAGGGCCTGTCAGGGTTGGGCGGCTGGGGGAGGGATAGCATTAGGAGAAATACCTAATGTAAATGATGAGTTGATGGGGGCAGCAAACCAACACGACACATGTTTACCTATGTATCAAACCTGTACGTTATGCACATGTACCTTAGAACTTAGAGCATAATAAAAATAAAAATCCCTAACAACCAAAATGGCTGCTTTTCCAAGAATCAAAAAGAATTATAATGTGAATATTACAGTATTGTTCACTCCTTGAAATTACCTTAATAATAATAATTTAATTATATCATATTAATTTAAATAATTTTAAGTTAACAGTAAATAATATAATTAAATAAATAACATTTGTTACGAACTATAACATTAATGTAACATTTAACATTACTATTTAACATAATATTAAATAATACCATATATGCTTATATAAATATATGTAGAGAGAGAGGAGTACTAGTTGGAGTGTGCATTAAGGCCACCTATATCACAAATGCTATCCTATGTCAGAAATACCTTGCAATCCAGTAAAATCGTCTTACCTATATTGAAAAGACATTCCACAGATGCATTCACATATCAAACACCTCAGTGACTACTTCTTAGTTTATCAATAAATTCTAAAGGATCGTTAAATTACTCAGGCATGGATGCTGGGTAGCATTTTAGCCAATTTTCTTCAAACCCTGGTTGGAAATTTATTCATCATTCATTCAAAAAGTGCCTTTGCGCACTGCTAAGTGGCAGCCACTGAATTAAGTACAAAATTACAGTTTGCCTTCCAAGTGCCCATAGTTAAGAGATAGAAGGAGTGAGAGGTAGGGTTAGGGGAGAACCTTCGTCATGTAAGAATTCATTCATGTTGTGTCATGCAATACTATTGTCATTTTCTGGCATTTCCTCTTAAGATACATAGGTTAAGGAAAGGCATATACAAATATTGTTTACAAATGTAACATATGGAAATCACGTACATTTCCACCTAAAGTCAAAGAGAAATTCAAATAGTAATTTTATAATAACACAAATAAATATAAACAGATTTACTTTCTGGTTAAATATTATGTTAAAATCTCAAGGTGGGATTTTGGTGAGCTTATTACTCATTCCTCTTTCCGTCATGGCTTCATACAAAGAGATTTACATATAGCAATTCTTAGTAAAACACCAACGTATTAATAGCTGGTAATTATCCTGTCATCTCCAATGCAGTCCTGTTTGGTAATACCTGTGCAGGAGAGCACGGCTCAGTCTTAAAGCTTTTCCTCTGAATTCACAAAACTGTATCTGAGAAATCTGTTTACCACATGGAGGCAGGAAATGAAAAATGGCCACACAGCCTGGGTCTTGGCCCCTCCAGTTGATAAAGCCCAGTAAAGGTCCCACATTTTGTCTAATAACAACCTCTCTTCATTTGAGGACAGGAGGTGTAGAAAAGGACATTGGGATGGGGACAAATGCTCCCTTTTTCAACATTGTATAGTGTATTTATGAAAGAGGTATTTATTAAAGATTGGGTGGATTTTAAGTCTCTGTATGATTGTAAGCTTCTTGAGAGCAGAAGCCACATCTTAACACATTTTTGTATTGTCTCTAGCTATAACAATAAAGACTAATACATTTTTGCTGATGGACTGACTTTAATTGTTTATGTTTAGGTATTATTTTGTAAAAGGCATTTTGAGATCTCCAGGTGCCTTCAGGACATGATTATAAAAGTCAGTTTCCATTGTATTTTACATGTGCACAAGTCTTGGCTAATAGATATTTATGAATAAAATAGCTTCTACGTGACTGTAGTATGCAATATTAATAGTTTTACAGTATCTGTGTCAGTATGGCACAACATTATTCAATAGCATAAAGCTGACAGTAATTGCCCAAAATGAAGTACAGTGCTAGCTGCTTTTGAACTGTCTTAATATGAGGTTGACACTGCAGGACTGAGCAAAGGGAAAATTATTCCACATGAAGGGCAACTTTCTGGAGATTGTGTTTCATACAATTAATTTTTTTCTCTTGGGGATCTTATTAAGCATTAACTTTATTATTACATAGTTACTTGTCCCAAAGGTCAAACATTTACCAAGAGGCTTCTGGAAAATGTTCTGAAGGTATTTTGTCCAACTCTTAGCTTAAAATTCTATCCATTCATGATCAATTAGTAAGTTTCTTGTGAGTATGTGCTGTGTCATATATGTTCATATCCCTCGCATGTCTATTGTCTTGTATGTAATAAACATGTAGCACATATTTATTAAATGGATTCATTGCCTTATGTTGAAGAATTGGCTAAAAAGCAAGTTTACACAAATATCTGAGGCAATTCATTCTGTCAACAGCTTTCTAGTTGTCCTTGGGGTCAATGTATTAATCTCAATAACGATAAATTGTGGAGAATAAGATCGGGTCATATAGACTCCAAATTTCTGACAACTTGAAAACACCTAATAGAATCACGCTGCATTCTGTTAAATGGCCAACAGCTGAACACCATGGACATAATCATAGCTTGGAAAAGCTCAGTGAGCACATCTATGTTCAGTGCCAAGAACCAAAAGATAATTATATTATTGACGTATTGCAAAGTGGTGAATGGATTTACTGCTAACTATAGTTAGAAATTAATTCCCTCAGCCCGGCGTGGTGGCTCACGCCTGTAATCCTAGCACTTTGGAAGGCCGAGATGGGCGGCTCACGAGGTCAGGAGATCGAGACCATCTTGGCTAACACGGTGAAACCCCGTCTCTACTAAAAATACAACAACAACAACAAAAATTAGCCGGGCATAGTGGCCGGTGCCTGTAGTTCCAGCTACTCGCCACTGCACTCCAGCCTGGGCGACACAGTGAGTCTCCAGCTCAAAAAAAAAAAAAAAAAAAAAAGAGAAAAAAGAAAGAAATTAATTCCCTCTTTGACTTGCTAATTTATCTAGACAAAAATTATTGCTATTTATTTATTTATTTTTTTATTTTTTTTCGAGACGGAGTCTCGCTCATTCGCCCAGGCCGGAGTGCAGTGGCGCTATCTCGGCTCACTACAAGCTCCGCCTCCTGGGTTCACGCCATTCTCCTGCCTCAGTCTCCTGAGTAGCTGGGACTACAGGAGCCCGCCACCGCGCCCGGCTAATTTTTTGTATTTTTAGTAGAGACGGGGTTTCACCATGTTAGCCAGGATGGTCTCGATTTCCTGACCTCGTGATCCGCCCGCCTCGGCCTCCCAAAGTGCTGGGATTACAGGCGTGAGCCACCGCGCCCGGCCTGCTATTTAATTGTCTTTGTGATAACTGAGGAGGATAATTTGGTGATGAGTTTGTATTCTACAGACACATCTAAAGTAAAGCCATTTCGCCAAACCATGTAATTGACCAAACATTTGGCTTCTGGAGTAGTGTTTTTTTGAAGTGGAGTTCATGATTTTCTTCTCCAAGTTTCAATACTCCTCTAAGAAAATGTCTTATTTTGTGTTTGCACTTAAAAAATACTTAAAAATGGTATCATCAGCAAAGACTGTACTATTAGGATTCTCTGGATCTCTCAGGTGATATTTTTGATTGAGTTTTGCCATGTATTTTTGCTGTCTGTGATTCTGTTTACTTTTGAGACAACAACAAACTTCACACTGATATCTTTGCTTCTCTGGAAGTCTAAAGACATACACAGGTTGAATATTCATTATCTAAAATGCTGGGGACTGGAAGTGTTTTAGATTTTGGATTTTTACAAAAGATTTTGGGATATTTCCATATACATGATGAAGTATCTTGAGCATGGGACCTAAGTCTAGACATGAACTTTTTTTGTTTCATATATACCTTATATCCATAGTATAAAGACGATTTTATACAATTATTTGACGTATTTTGTGCATGAACAAAGTTTTGACTCTGTTTTGACTACGACTCATTATGCTTAAGTAATCAGATGTGGAATCTTCCACTTGCAGCCTCACATTAGTGCTCAAAATATTTTGGATTTTGGAGCATTTCAAATTTCAGATTTTAAAATTAGGGATGCTTAACATGTATTCCTGGGTCCTAGATATCTAAATTTGAAAAATACCACACAAGAGAATAGAGCACTTGCAAAGAGCTCCACTTTTCTTAGGTCAGAGAACCAGTATCCACTCCTTACTCTGCTAGAAAATAGATTAATTAAAATAGATACATACTGTTAATGCCATTGATACTGTGAGATACTGCCATGGAAATTAACTGGAGGAGAATGGCCCTAGTGTTGTTGAAGAAAGTAATCACATCTTCCATAGAAATCCTGAAAGATTTTGTCATTGACTCAGCCACTGAGATTCCATACATATCAAAAAGAACTTAACCACAGTAAGGGGCCTGGAGATTACTATGTGTGATATAGGGGAACCATGGAATTTGTTATTTGAGTGCCTATTTTAGATCCTACAACAGGTAAACTTTAAAACATTCTTTTTGAGTAGTTTAATTTTAAAGTGATCTCTAATAAATTTTTCCTCAAGCACATTTATTCTAGATTTTTCCCCCTTGTAGACATTGAATCTGCATGCCTCTGATTTATTTACACCAGACTCATCAGAATGTGTTTTTAAAGTGTTTGATGTCCAGGGAAACGAAATAACATTTTAAAAATGTTGAAGTCTGGAAATCATGTTTGCCAGCATAAAACACTCACTCCTTGGATAGAGGCAAACTTGGGTATAAAAGCAAGAAACCTATATTCTCTTCCTGCCTCTACGCTGAAGAAACAATGGAGTGCTATATTTAAAAGTGAAATGTTTTATTTGCAATTAAATTCAAACAGCTGTTTCACTTAAGGGAAAATAATCATCTAGTAGCATTATTATCAGTAGTGAGAATATGACAGATTTGGAAACTTTAACTAATTGAAAAGAATATGAGAATTCCCTGAATTTTGGAGAAACTAAGTTTAGGCTAACGCCGGAGCATCTCTCATCTTGCTTTGATCTGAAACAGATGTGTCTTCTTCACTTGGCAAATGTACCACCAGTGCAGTTCATTTAAGATGTTTGAAGCTGCCCTTTGCAAACAAGGAAGATTTTTCTGACCCATCAATTTGGGGTTATTCACTGAACTGCAGAGATGGGCATGCCTCATGTGTCTGTGTGGCCTCACCAGTTCCTCCTCATCATCTCACCACAGATGCGAGAGATAGCCTTGGGCTGCAGCCAAGTCAGAGCCAAGGAGCAGGGTGCATGTAACCGGCTCAGACAGCAACCCTATCCATGACTGTGGTTGGAAGAAGCTCAGTCAATGGGCCACAGCACATGCTGGGAGTGAGCGAGGAACAGCCGGCAGGCATGAGACGCGGGAGGCTGATGAGCTACTTCAAGAAGGTTAATGGTAAAGGCAAAGAAAAATACAACCTGCACTGCCCAGTACAGTACCCGTAGGGCCCTTACTTAAAATTAAAATTAATTAAAATAAACTTGAAAATACATAAAATAAAAAACTCAGTTTCTCAGTCACAATAGCCACATATTAAGTGCTCAATAGCCTCATGTGGCTGGTACCTACCATTTGGACAACATGAACAGAGCATTTACATCATCACAGATATGAACTATCTGTGCTATATTTCCCAATGTGACAAACTTTACTCCAGAGTAAAAGCAGTCTCACTTTTGCCCAATGAAGCATGGTCATACTAGCTGTTTTGACTGAATGTGATGAACGAAGGAGAGATGTTACTTCTAGGAGTCACTGCCAAATTAGTTAGAGACCAGTGTTTCAAGAATGGAATGCAAGGCTGATTTCTGATCTTTCCCTGAGATAAGGCATCTCTTGGGAGTCTCAAAATCTCCAAGTATCCTAAATGCCCTCTTCACATAATTACTTAAAAATACCATGTTTATATATCAAGTTATTCAAAAGATACTTACTGAACATTTAATAGTTTTCAGACTATGCAAGATAAGGGATTCAAAGTCATAATGCATTTTGAATGAATCTAGCTTTTCAGTGTGGCCTGCCATGACCCACATGATATGGCCTCTGTCTTTTCCCACCTTCATCTCATATACCTCCTCTCATTTACCATGCTTGAGACACACTGGGAACTCTTCTGTCTTCTGAATACAACAAGCTAGTTTTTGTACCAGACACATTGCAATTGTTGTTTCCTCTGTCTGAAACATTCTTCCCTTAGATCTTTGCATGGCTGGTGCATGTGCCCTGACACCTCAGCCTTCAGGTGTTAGGTCAAATGTCATCCTTGTGGCTGGCCTTCTTTGACCACCCTGTCTAGAGTACTTGCTTCCAGCTCTGTACTCCTATAGCTCCATGTGATTAATCTGTATTAGTCTCTTTACAGTACTTGCCACTTCTGGAAATTAATTACTTGTTCATTGTCTGTGAGCAGAGACTGTATACTCAGTGCCTAGGACAGGGCCTGTCAATAAGTATTTGTCTAAAGAAAGAATAAATGAATGCATGAAGCAGATATAGCCCTTCCTTTTGCAGTAGGTACTTACACTTTTTTCCTTTTTTTATAAAGGTAAGGTTTTACCATCATCTCTGAAGAGATGGGGTTTTGCCCAGGTTGGTCTCAAAGTCCTGGACTCAAGCAATCCACACGCATTGGCCTCCCAAAGTGCTGGTACTTACATTTCAGTGAAATATTAATAGCTGACAGGTGAGCATGTACTATGTAGAAACCAACTTCCCATGATTTATCTAACTTACTAATATACCAACCTGATAAAAATACTCTTATTTCACCAGCTAGGCCAACATGGTGAAACCCCCGCCTCTACTAAAAATACAAAAATCAGTTGGGTGTGGTGGTGGGCTTCTGTAGTCCCAGCTACTCAGGAGGCTGAGGCAGGACAATCCCTTCAACCTGGGAGGCGGAGGTTGCAGTGAGTCGAGATGGCGCCACTGCTCTCCAGCCTGGGTGACAGAGGGAGACTTCTTCTAAAAAACAAACAAACAAACAAACAAAACTCTTATTTTCCCTGTGTTACAGATTAAAAATTTGGGGTCTTAGATGAGTTAAGTAACTTGTGCAAGATTAAAGAGGTAGTAATGAGTAAAGGCAAAACTGAACACAGGCAGCGTTGCCTCAGAACTATGCCTTAATCAGGGGCCATCTCTCTTTCTCTCTCTCCTCTCTATGTACACTTTTAAATTAATTTCCTCAATTGGTTCTATGAGTCTTTGATGCTTGAATCTTACTTTGAATGAATAACAATAATAATAATCTACAATATTTATAAAATTCTTTTTTATATGGTGGATGCACATGCTATCTCTTTGTAGTTTTCATAACTGTCCTGTGAGCTAAGCAGAAAAGATATTATTATCAACAAAATTACCCAGTGAAGAAGATATTCAGCATAAAGAAAGAAATCATTATTTTTGCATGTGAGAAAAACAATGTCACCCTGATTTTAAATGTCACCCCAATTTTGAAAATAGCCTCTGGCTTCTCCGTGAAATCACTGGAATGAATGGTAGAAGACAAGAAGCACTACTCTGCATGAATAAACCATGAAATATATTTGACAATAAAATTTTCAATTAATGTGGAAATATTTGCTCTGAAATCTTGGCTCTTGAGAATTTAAGTCTCGGCCAAATATTAAAAACATGTTTTATTTCATTTTACAAAGTACATTGCAGACTTTTAGATGCCTGCAAAACGGAAAACTACTGTTTTTGAAAATTCTGAATATAGATTAGGCTGATGGATTGATTGTGTTGGGTGAATTGGATTTGCCCCAACACTTAAAAGGAGGCTTTACCCTTGCGTGGTGCAGCTCTGTTAGGAAAATAGACGCTTTTATCCTGAACAACTTTTAGGTGGCGGTTTTCCTGGGCCTTTTGCTACTCATTAGTATATTTGTGGAATCCTTTTCAATTCAGTAAATGTAGAGAGAAAGACAGAGATTGATCAAGATTTTTGACCAAAGCATTTATTTAGAATTGTGTACTTTAAAAAAAGATCTGTCAGATGTCTCAGACAAATATACAATAATACATTTGAATTAAAAAACATTTCCATGCAGTGATTTTACTCATCATCTTAGTATATCTCTAATTTTAAGAGTTCTGCTTTGCTAAGACTTGGCATTTGCTAGTGATCTATACCCAGGTTTGTTTATTTAAAGTTCTATTTGATGCATGTAGAGTATCTTCTATGTGTAAGTCATTATATGCTAAATGCTAACACACAGCCCTGTACCCAATAATATGAGACAGGAGAAAGGAATAAAAAAGGAGAATGAGGGTGGGGTGGGGTGGGGTGGGGTGGTGGAGGAGGTAGGTAGTGGGTGAAGGAGATAAAATAGACAAGACACATGGCACCTTCACCCACCAGAAGGCTAACTCTGCCATCCCTCAGGGCTTCCTTCAGGTGCATAAGTGCTGCAAAAGACCTTTGGCTTCGCAAGGTAAACCACATAAACATTCTCCTTGAGGAACTGGAGAATGCAGAGCACTTGGTTTTTCTGCATAAACAGTTTCTTGCTTTGTGTTCATTTCAAACAGGTGCAGTTTGTAAAACCATACAATACATGAGAACAGGAATTTGCAGATCAGAAAGTGTAGTTAGGGGGTCATGTCATTAAAACCACGTATTGAAATGGACATTGTCAGATTATTTTTTAAGTAAAAAGGATTCTAAAGTAAGTAACAGGTTATACATTCATGGCATCATTTCATAGCAAGAGCAGCTCTTGCAACACACACTTTTGCAAACCTGGGTTGCTGGGAATTGGACCAAACAGATGACCAATTGCTTTAATCCAGACTCACCTGTTTTCATCATGCCACTCTCATGCATTTGTTTTTCCATTAAACAAATATTTATCATGTGTGTATGTGATGGGGATTCGTTATCCAATAAGAAAATTTCAGATCCCAGATGTAGAGAAAGATGCAGACAAACAACCAGATCCTCACAGAATAATGAGATCAATGTCCCATCGTGGATGCATTTCATGAAGAGCAAGGGAGGGAGGCTTGATGTGGATATCGGTAGTAAATAATAGATGTAGAGCTCCGATGGCCTCTGAAACGGAACTGTAGGAGTAGTGGATGTGGCCACTATAAACATCAGAAATTGATTGAAAAAGTAAATTGTAAATGAAGGGTGACAAAAATAATGCAATACATTTATCTCTACTATAAAAAAAAAGTTGACTAGGGACAATTATGACAAAGGCAGAAGTTGGTATTGAGTTGATGCAAAACAAAAACAAAAACAAAAAGTCTTCTAACTAATCCAACAAAAAAGCTCTTGATTTTGAAGAATGCCATTTGTTTAAGGTCCCCTTCACCTAGGCCTCACTGTCTCTATAGCACAAATGGTTCTTCCAAGGCTAAAAGTAAGTAAAACTCAGGTGATCATGATCAGGTGAGGGAATTAAAAAATGCCTTGTAAGGATAGTGACCTTTGAGCTGGACCTTAACCAACATGTAGGCTTTTAACGGATGAAGATCAAATGAGGCCAGGAGAGACTCTTCAAATGGAGGACAACCTGAGCAAGGAGAGAGGGCAAAGGCCGAAGTTGGATTTAGGAAACATCAGGAAGCCTGATTGTCCGTAGCAGAGAATTCAAGATGGCAAATGTTGGATATTAAGGTTGGAAAAGGAGGTTTCTAACATATTTGGGCCATCTTAAATTTACTAGAAATTAGGGCCACCGAGGACAGTATAAATGCGTAAATATATGCATATTTCAAAAAAAATTCTTTTAATAATGGTGAAAGTTTCATTCAATAAATTTAAATAGAAAAATTTTGTCCAAAATTATTATTCACATTCTCCTTAATAAACCCTCCAAATATTACTGATGCTGAGGTATACCTTTTTTTAGTGTTTTTCTGCACCTATATAACACTGCAGATTGTAAACATTCTGTGGATGTTTATGCTGCTTTTTTTTGAACTCAAATAAGACTTTGCCAATGCCTTTTTATTTTTAATGTGTCTTCTTGTTATACAAGCATCATAATTATTGGATAAATAAAACAGTTTCCTTATTATTCTGTTGTTGACTATTTAGGCTCTTGTTTTTTTTACTTTTAGTACTATACACAACTTTTAAATGAATGTTTTGTGTCTACTGTTCCCCTCATCTTGTTTCCTTGTGTGATTGTTAGGTACAAGATTTTACTTATTCTACTCTATTCCTCTTTTCTAGCCACACAAGTACCTCAGGCCTTTGCGCTCTTTATATAATACACATTTTCTCCAAGTCTATAATATTTGTTAAAAATAATTTTGGTCAGTTAACTTTTGCCCTTCTAAAAGGTACAAAAGAACAATTATATTTTGTGGGAGTTATTTGTTATTAGAGAATTTGAAAATACCATTTTCCATAGGCTAGAAGCCTTTTACAGATTATCTTAATAATTGTATTAATTTATATCTTAATTTTCATTTATTCAGTCTATTTTTAGTACATTTTAATAATTTATATGGTAGTGTAGACTCTAGAATCAAAGAGCCCTCTATTTGAAAGTAAAATCTGCTTTGTGCTAGATATATGACCTTGGGAAATTTATTTAACCCCATTAAGCCTAAATGTTTTAGTCTATAGATTAGACTACTATTACCTAACTCACAATATGATTGTGAAAATTAGATGATATCCGAATATAAAGATTAGTTATTAGTAGTAATGTTTAATTTGCATTTTCTAAATCTGTTTGCAATTTATAATCAAAATCACTAATTCAATAAGTATTTATTGATTATATGTCATGTATTGTTATGTAAGCTGCTGAGACATAAGTTAGATCGCATGTTAGTGAAGACCAACAGACCAACTTGTACACAAACAGTGGGTGACCTCAATTTATGGCAATATGAAATATTAAAAGCATAAAAATCCTCCTGCTACAAAACACCTAGAAATCCTGAATTTATAGAAAAGTAAACCAAATCCATAGAAATCAAAATAAAGGGAGATCTAAGTGGATAACTATTTGCTGCTCTAACAGGGTGTTATCTCTCTTAGTAACCAGGACTTTGGGTTATAGGACCATTCATAGATAGGAGATGGGGCATTGGGCCTAAAGGAGGTAGGGTATTGGGATGAAACACCAACATAAGGTTGGGAATTCTTGTATGTTTTATTTCTCAGCTATAGGGTAGACCTGGCCTGGCAAGGTGGCTCGTGCCTGTAATCCCAACACTGGGATGCTGAGGCTGGTGGATCACCTGAGGTCAGGAGTTGGAGACCAGCCTCACCAACATAGTGAAACCCCGTCTCTACTAAAAATACAAAAATCAGCTGGGCGTGGTGGTGCATGCCTATAGTCCCAGATACTCAGGAGGCTGAGGCAGGAGAATTGCTTGAACTTGGGAAGCGATGGTTGCAGTGAGAGGAGGTCGTGCCACTGCACTCCAGCCTGGGTGACAGAGTGAGACTCTGTCTAAACAAACAAAAAATAGGCCTGAAAAATGATTGGCTACCACACCAGGCTGATGAAAACTGAGCTATTGGCCTGATCATGGAGATGAGGTAAGAAGAAATAAATTAGCCTATTTTAACTAAGATTTGGGTAAGACTTATACTATCTGTTTGATGTTAAAGATCTTGTGCTGAGAAGGACTTTTAAAAAGCACTTAAAAATATTCCAAGCTAAAAATAACCTTGGGACATGAGGTTGAAATAAAGGAAAATCTGTCTGGCACAAAATATCCTCAGCCTAGGACTATCTAAATATGAGTTTACAACACACAATTACAATTCTACAAGGAAGCAATACACCATGAGTGAGTGTCATCAAGCACAGTACACAATCAAATTCAGTCTGGAGGAACTGAGATAAAAGTTTAGATAGCATTTTAAAAATAATTGAAGGTATAAAAGATAAAGTCAAAAGATGAGAAAGTAACAAGACAAGCAAATTTCCCTAACATTTTATTATAAGAATTTTCAAGTGTAGAGAAAGTTACAAGATTTTATGTAGAATACCTAAAACTATGCTATAGTTAACATTTTGTTACATTAGCTTAAAAACATCTTAAAATGATAGACAAATTTATATATCAATTTATCTTATTTCGTGATGTTTTTAAATTGAGTTGCAGATATCAGTATGTTTCATGCCTAAACAATTCAACATATTATTATTAACTACATTTGTACATATTATTAACTACATTTGTTAACTGTATTGAAAGATTACATTAACTATACCCATTTTCATAAATAACATTAAATATATTATAAATAAAAATATTTGTTTATGATTTTTGAAGTAAAAATTACATATATTAGAATTAACAAATTTTAAGTGCATCATTTAATATGTTTGATAGATGCATACACCTGTGTAACTCAAACCCCTATCAAGATACAGAACATTTCTATGACTTCATACCCCTTCTAGCCAGTAATACCTTCTGACTCTACATCTAGCAACCACTGCTTTTTCCTTGTAGAAAAATTCTGCTTATTCCAAACATTCATAAAGATGGAATCTTTAGGTTTGTACTCCTTCATGTAGATTACTTTCACACAGCATAGTTTTGAGATTCATCTATTTTATATTAAAATACCAAGATTCATTTATCTACTCTCTTATTAATGGACATTGGGTTTTTTCCAGATTTTGGCTGCTATGAATATTCTTGTACAAGTCTTTTTGTGGATATAGATTTTCATTTTTTTCTGGGTAAATATGCAGGAGTAGAACAGCTAGGGCAAAGGGTTTGTTTAGTTTTGGAAGAAATTTCTAAGCCTTCTCCTCAATTAAGTTTCCCTAGAGTATATAGAGACATGATAAGGTGGATTAAAAAGTTTAAAATATATCTAGTACAGGTTACAGAGAGATTGGAGAGAATTAGTATTTAAGGCATGAATTTTTCCTATATTTCTGAACAACATGGGATTTTCACATTCAGGAAACCTAATGAGTCCTAAACAAGATAAGTAGAACTAAATCCACACAGTCAAATCATAGGAAAAATGTATAACATCAAAGGCAAAGACAAGACTTTTAAAAGCAAAGACAAAGAAACAACACAAACTGATATGTGACTTCTGAGCAGTGATAAGGGAAACCTGTAGAGAATGGAACATTGCTAAAGCACTGAGAGAAACTAATGGCCAAATTAGAATTGTACACTCAGGTAAACTTTCATCAAAAGATGAATATGAGGTAAAGACAATGAAGATATCTTCAGATTAACAAACATGAGCTAGAGAGAGAGAGAGAGAAGAGAGAGGGAGAGTTTATTACTCTCAGACTCTTGCAGAAAGTATTACTAGAAGACATTATTCAGGAAGAAGAAAACTGGAACAAGAAGAAAGGAACACTGAATAAATAACTTGACAGACTTGAGCAAAATCAAGCCTGTGTAGTATACTGTCATAAATATCGTGATGGTGAAGAGCATGGATTCTGATGCTAGACTGGGTTTGAATCCTGTTTCTGCCACTTACTAGCTGTGTTATGTAGTCAATTAACTTCTCCCATTCTAGGTTTTTCTCACTCGAATGAGGACTCAAGGAGTTAACATTTGTTATGTGTTTAGAACAGTATCTGGTACATAGTTAACGATATATAAATATTTGTTAAATAACACTTAAGGAGAAGTTTTACTAGTTAGCAACAATGTATTGTTTATTTAAAAGTAGCTAGAAGAAAGAACTTGAAATGTTCCCAACACATAGAAATGATAAACACTCAAGATAGTCATCACACATTCTATGCATGTAACACATACTCACATGTACTTCATAAACATGTAAAATATTATGTATCAATAAAGTAAAATTAAAAAAATAAATACCTGATGGGTAATAATATGATCTTTAAGAAGCATAATTATAGGCCGGGCGTGGTGGCTCACGCCTGTAATCCCAGCACTTTGGGAGGCCAAGGCGGGTGGATCACCTGAGGTTAGGAGTTCAAGACCAGCCTGGCCAACATGGTGAAACCCCGTCTCTACTAAAAATACAAAAATTAGCCAGGTGTGGTGGCATGCGCCTGTAGTCCCAGCTACTAGGAAGGCACGAGAATCGCTTGAACCTGGGAAGTGGAGGTTGCAGTGAGCCGTGATCATGCCACTGCACTCCCACTCCAGCCTGGGTAACAGAGTGAGACTACATCTAAAAAAAAAGCATAATTACAAAGCTTGATGTAATGAACATTCTCAAAAATCAGTGGTGAAAAAAAGAAACAGTATTATGTGTCATATGTAAATGCCAATTATATAGGACAATAGTTTTACAGATGAAGTTGGAGAGTCTTTTTAATACAAGTTAGAAATAAAATTTATAAAAATTGTAAGTGAAAATATTAACAAAACTTACCATATAAAAATTTAAAAAATTATGTCCATGAAGGCCACATAAGAAAAAAAAGTCAAAGACTGCCAGAAGATATTGACAGAATATATAAATTCATGGATTACTACCCGGGAAATAAAAAGGCCTCTTTCAAATCAGTAAGCAAAAATCAAACAACTACATTAAAAAGTTGGCAAAGGATAGAAAATAGGTTACTCACAGAATAGGAAATGCAATTGGCCAATAAACCAGTGAAAAGTTGCTCAGCCTTAATAATTCTTATAGAAATGAAAATAAAAATAACCATGAAATACAATTTCATATTCATCACTTTGAAAAAAAAAATCAGCTCTACAGTCCAAAGAACTGACAAGTATGTGAAGCAATGGGGAGTCTTATATACTGCTAGTGTACTGCTAGTGCACACTAAGCAAGATCTGATAATGCTCTGAGATTTAGTATGCAATCCAGGGGCACTCACAAAAGCAGACCCAAACATAAAAAGGTGTTATTTCAACATTCTTTGGAAGAATGAAATACTGGATCCAACCAAAATATCCATCAGTAGAAGAGAAAATACATTGTGCATAGTAATACAGTGGAACAGTAATTAAAGTGAGTGAAGCAGAACTACATCATGGATTATATGTCAAAACAAAATGCAGATTAAAAAGGAGCAAGATGTGGCCGGGCATGGTGGCTCACGCCTGTAATCCCAGCATTTTGGGAGGCCGAGGTGGGCGGATCACCTGAGATCAGGAGTTTGAGACCAGCATGACAAATATGATGAAACCCCGTCTCTACTTAAAAGAAAAAAAACAAAAATTAACTGGGCATGCTGGCATGTTCCTGTAATCCCAGCTACTTGGGAGGCTGGGACAGGAGAATCGCTTGAACCCGGGAGGCAGAGGTTGCAGTGAGCCGAGATCGCGCCATTGCACTCCAGTCTGGGCAACAAGAGTGAAATTCCGTTTCAAAAAAAAAAAAAAAAAGATTAAGATGCAAAAGTATCCATATAGTATACTGGTAATATGAAGGTACAAGCATGTAAACTTGCCTGATTATTTTATACGTGAGTATGAAGGCTAAAGTGTGAGGACACACACGGTAAAAGTAAACATCACCGTAGGACTTGGGGTCAGGGAGATGTACTCAGGAGGTCTCAGCTATATTTGTGAGTGGTAGCTTCCTGGGTTGTTGTTACTTATTTCCTTTACTTTTCAAAAAGCAAAAATATTTCATCATAAAACGACAGAAGCTCCTTTCTCTGAAATAGTTGCAACAGTTTGGTAATTGCTGTAACAGCGTTGTATACAGAAAGCAGGAAACCGCTGCTTAGCACTTCGAAGGTTTCTGAGAAGCGGACTGTGCAGCTGACCTGCAAGATGGATGAGGTTGTCTGGGCAGTGAGGGAATTCCAGCAGAAGAAGGCCACAGCCAAAGTAGCTGGAGCATGACAACACTTGATGTGAATGGAAACCAATGTCAGTAATTCAGTGTGGCTGGAGCACATACCAAGATCAAAACCATTTAAATACATGCAGGGTTGTGAGGTGCTTCAGAAGGCAGAATCTGCACCATCTGGATTCAAATCCTGGCTCTGCCTTTTATACCATCTAACCAGAAACTAGTTATTTAATCTCCCTGTGCCTCTGTTTCTTCATCTTTGAAATGGGGCTGCATAGACAATATTTATTGTTAGGTGACATTGTGGCTGTGATGATGATGAATGCTTGCAGCAATTCACCTGCTCCTACAGGCACACACTAAGTTTTGTGGATTCTCCATATGAATATTTCTAACATGACTCCCTTCCACTCCATGTCAAGTCCTCTGCTTCAATTCATTTGTCTTTCTCAGGATGATTTGCAGTGCCTACAAAATCAAGCAGGGAGTCTTCAGCACCCCATGGCAGGCCTTCCCTGCCCCAGGCTTGCTCTGCTGATCTGGGGTGCCATCGCAAGTGATATGTATGCATCCCATGACTCCACACTCTGGCACATATCATGTGCTTGGTGCAGCATAAAAATTTGGCACAGAGAAAGATAATAGAAAACAAAAGGGAAGTCTTTTATTTTTGTTTGCTTATATGCCTCTTCACTAGATTTAACTCTTTTCCTCTCTCTTCACCCTCTTGTTTTTGTACTTATTATTTCTAGTTTAGTGCAGTTTTCTTGCCCCATATCTGGAGTTGGTACTAAGAATTGGTATCTCTCCTTTCCCTGTCTCATCATTTTGACTTAGGAGGTAGAATGTGCATCAGCTATTAATGTCATTTTTTCATCTCCTCCCATTGACATTCTGCAACCCTTCCTTGACTCTGATGTAAGCTCATTGGATTGTCAACTTTCACTTGTATGCTTTCTTGGATATCAAAAGAGATCTGATCTGGATGAGGCATTTCTTTGAATTCGTTAATTCATCTGCATTCTAATCTAGAAGTTCCATTGAAGGCGTTGTTTTTTAAAAAGAAGTGACATAGTATGTACTCAGTTTAGTATGTGCTGGTAGAAATATGAATTATGGACAGAATGGAATAAAGCCAGAGACAGGGAAGGTAGCTGGCATTATTGGGAAGAATAGGCCAGGATTAAGGGCCTGAGCTAGATAGAGAGCAGAGCAATCATAGGGAAAGAATGAACACCAAATACATTTGTAGGGTAGAATCCACTGCACTGGAAACCAGGTGGATTTGGCTGGATCATGATGAACATTCAACAGATCAGTAAAAGGAATGGTCTCACATTTTTCACCTGGCTGACTGAGACACTAGTCTCTTTCCAGAGCTAGGAAACACGTGATGACACAAAGATGAGTTCAATTATGCACATGCTGAATTTAGGTGCCAGTAACATAAGTCCTCACCAAATATCATCCATAGGTTCTTGGAAACTGTGACTTCAGGTGGAATTACTATAATGAAATCAATTCTACCATAGACTAGTTGATATGAACAAGAGTTAAGTTCCTATGACATATTCCTAGTAACAAAACCATCACCAAACATGTAAATCAATACTCAAAACCCTTCTAACATTAACTTTTGAAATAACTGTGTATTATATATACATTTAAGAAAGATTAATAAAAACAAATAAGATAATGACTTATTCAATTTTTGGCAAATCAGTGAGTTATGGTGGTCATAGCAGTGGTGGGGTTAAATCAAGGAATAACAAGAGAAGGATATTGAACATTCCCAACATAAAAAATAGTAAGTGTTTGAGAAGATGGATATGCTAATTACTCTGGTCTAATCACTATACATTATATGTATTGAAACATCACTATATACCCCAAGAATATGTACGATTATTATTTTCAATTAAAAAATTAAAAAAGGAATAAATATTTTCGAGGAGAAAATTTTCAGGAGCACCTCCTCCCACCACACAGTTCAAAACCAATTCATCACAAACATGGCAGGCTCACTGAGTACTTTCCTCTTGCATTGTTTATTGTTATGCATCTGTATGATTCTCATAGACTTTAAGATTTTTATTTTATAATAATTTGTATTAATTCATTTTCCAACATGCTTATTCCAGTTCAGGGTGTCAGGTAGCTGGGGCCGATCCTGGCAGCTCAGGGCACAAGGCGGAACCAACCATGGACAGGAAGCTGTTCCATCACAGGATGCACTCAACACACACCCATATGTACTCACACCGGGACCATGCAGACAAATCAATGAACCTAATGGGCCCCCATATGCACTCATGCTGGGACCTTGCAGGCACACCAATAAACCTAATGGGCACAGCTTTGGGATGTGAGAGGAAACTGGAGGACCCAGAGAAAAATCCATGCAGAAGTGCAGAGAACATGCAAACTGCATTCAGACAGTGGCTCCGGACAGGAATTGGATTTTTTCCCCATCAAAATTATAATGAAAGCACATTGAATGAAACAATGTTATTCGAGAACCTGCTTCATACAGAATCTATCTACTTTAGTATATTTCTTTCATATTTCTGGAATGGGATTTCCTCTACTATTTGAGAATTCTTTAAATATAATTATAGATTACCCTAATTAATGTAATTATTCTCTTCAAGCAATCACTTGTGCATTTAAAAACATGTATTTTTGTTTATCCAAAGACCATAGTAATAATACAGTGGTAAAGGCACTATGGGCATTGATTTGTATACATTTAGGTGATATGCTATTTTTCATGTGCTCAGCCACTCCATTCTTTGGCGAGAACAAAGCTATTGGCAGTACTTTTTATTTGTGACCGTATGTCATGAAATAGTGAGCGATTCCTGCCAATGGGAAAATGAGACACTGCTAAATATTACCCAATGTGTTAGGTAGTTTTCAAGGAGGACCATCAACTTCTTCCCTCACTATGCTCTCCTGCTATTCCTCCAATCAAAGGTGGAATCTGTTTTCCCCTTCCCTTGAATTTGGAGTGCCCTTGTCACTTGCTTTGGCCAATACCACGTGGCAGATGTGAAGCTGTGCAGCTCCAGACCTAGCCCTTTAAGCGTTTGGAAAGTTCTGCTTTTGTTCTTCAGGAACCCAGCTGCCATGCTGTAGGAAGGCCCAGACGATGTTTCTGGAGAGAGAGTCCACTTGAAGAAGCTGTGGAGGGAAAGATGCCACATAGAGGGGACCCCAGTCTTCTTGGGCCTCGTAGCCCATGGGTGACAGCAGGCTACATCAAATGGAGCCAAAGATTCACCCAGCTCACAGAGAATCCAGTTAAATTGTCCACATGGTTTTAAGCCACTAAGCTTTGGGAAGATTTGTTACACAGCAATAGGTGACTGAGACACTCAGGTAGTTTGTATGCTCATCACTGAGAGACCAGAAAATGATAAACTGTGTGCAGACGTTTATAGGGATACTTTCTCTCACTTCTCTAACATTATCTTTATTCTACTTGTCTGCATCTATCAGGTTTTCATTTTTTTCACTTTCTTATATTTCTTTTTATTTATATATTTTAATTTTAATTGGTAAAATTATATATATTTACTGTGTAAAAGATGAGGTTTTGATATATGTATACGTTGTGGATTGGCTGACTCAAGCTAATTCACATATGCATTACCTCAGATACATACAGATCTTGTATTTTCTGATGAGAACACATAAAATCTACACTCTTAGTAATTTTCAATTTTAAAATATATTTTTATTAACCATAGTCAGCATTATGTACAATAGATCTTTTGAGCTTGTTTCTGATGTCTGAATGGAATTATCAAATTTTAATTTTATTCCACTTCCAAAGGTGTGTTCCCATATCTGGGTTTATTTTTGAATATATAAATTCCCACTTTTTAGTTTGAAATTATTCTGTTTCACGCCTGCTTGAATAAGTATGATCTTCAGGGGAAAAACTCTGCTCTGAGAGCCTAAGAACAATTGTATTGCTTGTAGATTCTAGCCATGTGATGTTTTTAGAGGTATATGCATGGCACTGAACTCATAGCATTCATTGGGATTAAAATTGTTAGGATTTAATGACGATCTCTTTAAAACATTTATTTGGTAAAATCTGCAGGTTTGGGGGACCAATATAATAGCAGAATAATTGCTAAGTCACTGTGAAGGCATTGCTCTATTTAATGTGTGCAATTTTGCACAAGCCAAGTGGAACTAATCAAAATATTGAAGGTAAGTTCTTGCTGCCAGCACTCCCTCAACATTTACCAGTCTAGCTGTTTACAAGGCCAAAAATATGACTTTATATACCATGAGTGAATTGGTTTTTTTTTTATAATAAACTGTGGCTGAAATTAAGCAATAATTCCTTCTAAAGCGAACTATTAGATAGTGATGTTTCAGCTCTTCAGTTCTTACTGCACCTGCCACTGGTCCATCAGGGGTAACACAGGCATAGGCTTAAGCCTCCCCACCATTTTTTAACCCATTTTCGATATCTTTGTTTTTACACACACACAGTCTCTCTGTGTGTATGTCAGAGCCTCTGTGTGAAGAGTGGTCTGGCTTCCTCTTTGCTGTCCCATCCCTGTGCCTGCTCCTCCTAGCTAGGGCTGACCCTGCACAGGTGCACAGCGACTCGAAGGGGTCACCCTCCTATTAATGCTAGTGCTTGCCAGCCTCGCCCTGCCCTGCCCCACTAAAGCTCATGTTCCAATGTTCTTCCTCAATCTGCCCTTTCTCTTCCAGGACACTATTGGCCCTCCCACCAAAACTCAGCTGTCCTTCAGAGCCTGGTTCTCTGACGGTGGGTGGTCCCCTGATCTAATTACCTGATCCAAGAAAATGGGTTAGCCTAGACGAGGGTTCCTAAGGATGGAATTTTTAGGAGTCTGTTTAGTCCACTGGAAAAATATTTTTTGACAACATGCTATTTTTCTTCTCTTAAAGCACAATTATTTGTGGTTTTGTAAACTGGGACTACCACAGTTTATAGACAGACTCATCTGGAGCTTTAGGAATTTCCTCAGCTATGTCTTGAACACAGTAGTGATCTCAGAGGTAAGAGCGAATGCTCAGCAACAGTGAGAAAAATCTGTCAAAATCATGTTGGTGGTTCTCATATATCAGGCCAGAATCACCATCACAGCCAGGGATGTAGATTCAGGCACAGGATGATGGTGTAGCTAGCAGCCATGAGTCCAGGTATCCACAGGGCAGAGTGGATTGAGTGAGGGGGATGGAAGAGGCAAGGCGGGATGGGCTTGAGCACGGGGCACGTCAGGTACAAACATGAATGGGGTCTCAGTTGCTTTACTATTAGAGACAGAGGTCCAGTTGTATTATTATCTATCGCCCCACATCCTCAGAAGAGAAGGGCTTGTATTTCAACACACTTTGTTGAAAATGATAACAAAGTGTAATATGTTTTTACAAAGATTTTATCTTAAGTGTTAACACTTAAACACACACACTTTGTTTTTACAGTAAGAGATAGAACTTGTGTTATTTAAAGAAGTTACTTACAAAGAACAGATCACTGCCTAAAACTGGACATGCCCATGTGCACCCCTTGTGCACTGCACAAGTGCACACACGTCAATCTATATTCTGACAAGGAAATATGTTTGCTGGATCTTGAGCATTTCGTTTGGAGCAGCTTCATTTCTCTTCCCATTTATCTTGGGGATTATACTACTTTGACTTCCAATTCACAGTTTCTAGTGACCGTTTAACCACTAGCTGCTACCTGTCTGTGCTTTTTGGTGTCCCTTTACCCTGTCCTTTAATCCTACGCCCCTCACACACAGACCACCTGGCTGGGTCCTCTGCCTCTCTGTCCAGATGTGTCAGTGGAAGGGGGCTGTCACTCCATATTATGATGGCCTAATTCAGTGGGATACAATGCACACTGGCACCTGCGGCCAGCTGGCCTGGGTGAGGCAGGGTGGAGGGGTACATGTGGAAGAAGGGGCAGCGGCCAAAACCAGCAAGAGCTGGAGCTGCAGGCACTGGATAAAGCCTTCAGGTAGCTAATAGCAAAAATTGGTGTTTTCAATTTTATGTCTTTATTTTTCCTCTTAAGAACAAAACAAACGTTCAGCATCATTAATATCATGTAAGGTAAAGGTTGAGTTAAAAGAGTCTGGAAGATGGGCAATAAATCTTATGTTCAGAATTGTTTTTTCAACCACTGATGTGGCTACGCACATTTAATAATGAACTGCTGGGAAAAGTGTTTTGATAATCTTAAACAGGAGAGTAATTATACTGCAATTATTGTGCATTTTTCTACAAATGATCATCTTGATTTGAAATATGCTACTAAGTGAAATTTACTGATGTATATTTCTTTGTATTATATCCCCGAGATACTTAGAGAAAAAAAATGACATTTTTAAAAGATTCTGGATTTTTGGAAATGTTGTCCATCATATCCTGTGGAGGGTTGGGGAGGAAGCCAGACCTATTGGATGGGGAGCCTGAACCCTCAGATAAGTTCATCAGGCAGCTCTGAGCACTGCCAGCTCAAGTTTAGTTTAGGATCCATCATTTTCTTGCCCTCATGAAAAGGCAATTTCGCCCAAAACCTATAGACTGCAAAATGGAAAGAAAAGTCAGTCAAAGGCTGAATTTTATTATTTAAAATTTTCTTAAGCCCCAACTTCCAAACAAAGTAAGGCTTTTAAAAACCTGCTATCTGGGACCTTTATCAAATGTGTTATTTTGCTTCCAAATAAAAAGCCAATAAAAATTTGGGTTTCTTACAGGTATTATTTCTTGTATTATAGAATTATAGCTATTAACATTAGCATCCATGAAAAAAAAATTGAGATTAATTTCCAGTGTGTGCCTGGAATTTTTCTCTTATCCTCAGCCCACTGCTGTTGGTTGGAGATATGAATTTTTTATACTCATATATTCTTGGTTGGAGCAATTCTATTTCTGATCACATCCCTTTGCTTCTTGGACAATGGGATGCCTTTCCTCCGAAGAGTGAATAAAACTGTGTTTACTTGCAAGTTGTATGAAATTATATAACTTTACTTTGAAGGTTATGTGTGTGTGAACCTCAAGTAACAGAGATCCTTTTAAAAGAATCTTTGTGGGAGAAATGTGATACCTGTTGGCTATCCGGGTTAGTTTCAATAATGTTTACCTAGTGCATTTGTCTTAGACTACTGCCTTTAGTTATTAAATTTTGTTTGTCTTATCTTAGTTTGTTTAACATTTTATTTTACATTCAACTGTTTTCATATACTATAATTTGTCTTTGTATTATTTTCTTCATCTTTATGGCTGTTAACTTTCATCATATTAATATATATGATTATTTTATAGTTTTGGACTTTTTCTCATTTTCAGCTTTAATTTTTACTGATTACATCCAATTTGTCTGTTTTAGTTAGGATTATGTTCAGGGACACAAAACAGAAAATCCCAGATAATAGGGGCAGAAAGAAGATTTAAGCTGAGCTGACTTCTCCCTCATATAAAAGACCCATAGGCAGCATTTGAGAGCTGGTCAGGCAATCCCACTGTCATCAAGGACCAGGGTCCAGTTTTTCTAATGTGCAGCATAATGTGTGCCTCCATATTCCCGGTCAACTAGGGTCCAAGGTGGCTGGACAACTTGGCTGGGCCTCAAGTGGTCCAGCCTGGAAAAGAAATGAAATTAGAAGGTTAAAAAGGTGCTCCTTACAGCAGATTACCCATTTTAAGTAGCCTTCCAGAAGTCCCACCCAGCTCTTAGCTGTACCTAGCTGTAAGGTGGCCTGGTAAATGTAGTCTTAGATTATGGAAGAAAGGGGACACAGTGCCCAGAGAAAATCAGGGGTCTGTCACTAAGTAGAAAACGGAGAAAAGATGTTGGTCTAGGTGTCTAATAGCATCTGTCACTTATTATCTTATTTGATGCTACTTATTTTTAAATTCACTAATCTTTATTTTAAACATTAAAGCACTTTACAATTTTGTTTTACTATTTAAAACTGTTAAATTACATTTAATAATTATTTTTATTGCAGTCTACTTTTTATTTCACTATTTTAACCATTTTGTTGCTGTTCGCACTACTTTAGAAATTTTTATTGATTGTAATTTCTTTCTTTTTTTGTTTTTGTTTTTGACCTGCTATGAAGTTTCTATTTTCCTAGTTTTGTAAGTTTCAGGAAGAACAGAAATAATGGGAATATCTATGTCAGGAACAATTCTGAGCAAAGGAAAAGGAATGGTTTTTCCTTTAGTGTGGCCTGAGCTGTCGTTTGCACACTCTGGAACATACCTATTGATAGGGTTTGGCTCTGTGTCTTCACTCAATCCCATGTTGAATTGTGATCCTGAGTGTTGAAGGTGGGATCTGGTGAGAGGTGACTGGACCACGGGGGCAGACTTTCCTGTTGCTATTCTCATGATAGTGAGTGAGTTCTCATGAGATCTGGTTGTTTAAAAGTGTGTAGCACCTCCCGCTTTACTCTCTCACTCTCCTGCCACCATGTGAAGATGTGCCTGCTTCCCCTTCTGCCTTGATTGTAAGTTTCCTGAGGCCTCCCCAGCCATGCCTTCTGTATAGCCTGTGGAACGGTGAGTCAATTAAACCTCTTTTCTTTATAAATTACCCAATCTCAGGTAATGCTTTATAGCAATGTAAGAATGAACTAATACAGAAAATTGGTACCAGAAGAGTGGAGCATTGCTATAAAGATACCTGAAAATGTGGAAGCGACTTTGGAACTGGGTAATGGGCAGAGGCTGGAAGAGTTTGGGGGGCTCAGAGAAAGACAGAAAGATGTGAAAAAGTTTGGAACTTCCTAGAGACTTGTTGAGTGGTTGTGATCAAAATGCTGACAGTGATATGGACAATCAAGTCCAGGCTGAGGTGATCCCAGATGGAGATGAGGAATTTATTAAGGACTAGAGTAAAGGTCACTCTTGCTATGCTTTAGCAAAGAGAGGGGCATTTTGCCCCTTCCCTAGAGATCTGTGGAACTTTGAACTTGAGAGAGATAATTTAGGATATCTGGCAGAAGAAATTTCCAAGCAGCAAAGCATTCAAAAGGTAACCTAGCTGTTTCTAAAAGTGTATGCTCGTATTCATGAACAAAAAGATTATCTGAAACTGAAACTTATATTGAAAAGGGAAGCAGAGCATAAAAGTTTGGAAAATTTGCAGCCCATCCATGTGGTAGAAAGGAAAACCTATTTTCTGAGGAGAAGTTAAAGCCAGGTGCAGAAATTTGCATAAGTAAAGAGAAGCCAAATGTTAATAGCCAAGACAATGGTGAAAATGTCTCCAGGCCATGTCAGAGACCTTTCCAGCAGCCCCTTCTAACACAGGCCCAGAAGCCTGAGAGGGAAAAATGTTTTTGTGGGCGGGGCCTAGGGCCCTGCTTCTCTTTGCAGCCTCAGGACATGGCACCCTGCACCTCAGCTGCTCCAGCTCCAGCTGTGGCTAAAAGCCATCAAAGTACAGCTCAGGCTGCTGCTTCAGAAGGTTCAAGCCCCAAGTTTGGTGGCTTCCATGTGGTGTTGGGCCTGTGGGTGCACAGAAAGCAAGATTTGAGGTTTGGGAATTTCTACCTAGATTTCAGAGGATGTATGGAAATTCCTGGATGTCCAGGCAGATGTTTGCTGCAGGAGTGGAGCCCTTATGGAGAAACTCTACTGGGGCAGTGCAGAGGGGAAATGTGGGAGTGGAGCCCCCACATAAAGTCCCCACTGGAACACTGTCTAGTGGAACTGTGAGAAGAGGGTCATCATCCTCCAGACACCAGAATGGTAGATCCACTAACAGCTTGCACTGTGTACCTGGAAAAGCTGCAGGTGCTCAACAGTAGCCCCTGAAAGCAGCCATGGGGGCTGTACCCTGAAGATCCACAGAGGTGGAGCTGCCCAAGGCCTTGGGATCCCACCCCTTATGACAGTGTGGCCTGGATGTGAGACATGGAGTCAAAATACATTATTTTGGAGCTTTGAGATCGAATGACTGCCCTGCTGGGTTTCAGACTTGTACAGGGCCTGTCGCCCCTTTGTTTTGGTCAATTTCTCCCTTTTGGAAGGAGAGGATTTACCCAATGCCTGTAGCTCCATTATATCTTGAAAGTAACTTACTTTTTTTTTTTTTTAAATTTTACAGGCTCATAGGCAGAAGGGACTTGCCTTGAATCAGATGAGACTTTGGACTTGGACTTTTGAGTTAATGCTGGAATGTTAAGACTTTGGGGGGACTGTTGGGAAGGCATGATCATGTTTTAAAATGTGAGAAGAACATGAGATTTGGGAGAGGCTAGGGGCAGAATGATGTGGTTTGTTTCTGTATCCCCACCTAATCTCATGTTGAATTGTGATCCCGAGTGTTGGAGGTGGAACCTGGTGGGAGGTGACTGGATCATGGGGACAGATATCCCCCTTGCTGTTCTCATGATAGTAAGTTAGTTCTCATGAGATCTGGTTGTTTAAAAGTCTGTAGCACTACCCCCTTCACTCTCTCTGTCTTGCCACCATGTGAAGATGTACCAGGTTCCCTTTCTGCCATGATTGTAAGTTTCCTGAGGCTCCCCCAGAGACGTCTACTGTACAGCCTGTGGAACTGTGAGTCAAATAAAACTCTTTTCTTTATAATTTATCCAGTCACAGGTACTTCTTTCTAGCAATGTGAGACTGGACTAATATACCTACTTTTTCTGTTAATGTTGAATCCTCTTACACTAAAGACTTTACCCTGAGTAACCCAGGAGACCCTCAGGACGAATGCTTCTCCTCAACATCTCCCAGGATTACTATAATTCTGTCTCCATTAATAATACATTTGAGCTTTTGAAGCAAAACTTTCCTTAGAAAGATCTATGGTCTGTGAATTTTGGAAAAGTAGAGAATGTACTCTTGAATGCACTACTGTCTTTGCTGATTACATTAACATTTGTTGTACACAAACATTTTTAATTGGACTAGTAATAAAAAACACGAGCATTGTTTTTCTGGCTTTATTGTAAAGCTATGAAAACTGTTACTCCAGATCATTCCTATGTAATTTAGTACAGAAACCAAAAATATCACTTGAGAATTAACTTGAGCAAATGCCAGCATGTGAGATATTGTTGTATATCTAATGTAATTTTTACAGAAATGGAGGGAACAATTTAGGTCTTTATCAAATGAAGTAAAATTTTGATTACTGATAGCTATCGACAGATAATCTTGATACCTGCTGGGTTTCAGTAAGCTTTACTAGCTGTGTTTGGTTATGTTAATGTCAATATAGTATATTTTATGTTATTTCTTTACCAACATAATAAAATACCATTAGAAAATAGGACCAATCTTAGTCAATTGTTTAGATTTTATATTGTTACAGGATGTGTTTTATATTTTAGTATATTTTAGACTATGAGAATATACTTGTAAAATATTTTTAAAAATTTCTACTAAGAGCTATTTAAATATTATTGAGAGTCTACTAAATATTTATATGGGAGATAAGATATATCCCTACCGCTCAAGTAACTAAAATTATACTTGGAAATTAATTCAAGTAAACAATATTTGAAAAGTGATAAAATAAGTATCTGCTCTAGTATAGAAGCTGCTAGAGGATCCCTTGGATTGTCCAAGAATGCTCTTCCAAGGAGGAAACATTTTTTACGGGGCCTGAAGAATAAGGAAAGAACAGCCAAGTGAAGGAAGTTGATATGGTTTGGTTCTGTGTTCCCAAGCAAATCTCACCTTGAATTGTAATAATACCCATGTGTCATGGGAGGGACCTGGTGGGAGGTAATTGAATCATGGGGGCGGGTTTTTCCCATGTTGTTCTTGTGATCGTGAATAAGTTTCATGAGATTTGATGGTTTTATAAAAGGGCATTCCCCTGCACATCCCCTCTTGCCTGCCACCATGTAAGATGTGACTTTGCTCCTCATTTGCCTTCCACCCCTATTGTGAGGCCTCCCCAGCCACATGGAACTGTGAGTCAATTAAACCTCTTTATAAATTACCTAGTCTTGGGCATGTCTTTATTAGCAGCGTGAGAACAGACTAATACAGAAGTGAAGTGGCAGTGAAATTGAGAGAAAGGAATAACAGGTAAATTAAATGAGCACCCAGAATGAAGGAAAAACTGCTAAGTTTAAGAGGAAGTGAGTGGTGAATATGCAGAGTGGTGAGAAATGAGGCTGGAGAACACAAGAGCAGGAGGCCTTTGTGGCATTGTTGCATGTTAAAAATGGTGCCCTGAAATAGCGCCCAAGGAGACATGGCTCATGGAGAAACAGGGCTTTAATTATGTTGTGCTTATTTATAAAAGAAACTGTTGTCATTCATTCATTCATTCATTCATTCAACAAATATTTATTAAATTCCTAGAACTTTGCTTAGTCCTAGAAATTTAGCAGAGATGGCTATTGGCACTGTCTTTGCTCTCACAGATTTACAGACTACTCAGGGAAACTAACATCAAACCCATATTATACAATGCTTAACATGAAAGTAGGATTCTGGATTTTCAGGTGGATGAGAGGATCATCGGAAGACAAAGAGTGGGGTTTTGTGTGTTTAAGGAGTACAGAGAGATTATTATGGCTGAGATAATGGAGCTGTGATAAGAGGGCCACCATCCTCCAGACCCCAGAATGGTAGATCCACTGACAGCTTGCACTGTGCACCTAGAAAAGCTGCAGGCACTCAATGCTAGCCGTAAAGGTGGGAAGGAAAGGAGGGGAGTGGGGGTCAAAAGGAATCAGGAAGAAATGGTAGAAAATGAGGCTGAGAGTATAACATGCAGGGACTTGGGGGTTGTGATAAATGTAGTTTCATCTGAAAAGCAATGGGAAATTTGTCTGAGATTTAAAGTAGGTTTTGATCTGATTTATCTTTTGAGAAGTTTCTGGGGCAGGGGGCTGGAGGATGGATGGCAAGAGTATATGTCAAGGCCTGTCTTTCACAAGTTAGATGATGCCATTGTTGTCAGTAGGGACAAACTCTGGGCTACTTTTATAATTGGTTGGTAGAGTCGTATCCACACCCTTTAGCCAGTCTTGCTTATGGCTAAAGATATGAATTTATGGGATATCTGTAGTCTGTGGCAAGACCAATGCAAGGCAAAATGGCATAAAAGAAATGAATCCTGCCATGTGGCCCTTATTAAAAGCCTAATCCATGCAACTGAGCCATTCAGAGATGGATGCACAGAATATCAGCTAACAGGTATGCATAATCAACTTTTGTGATGAAAGTGAAAGCAGATTTTATAATCAGGTGGGGCTACGGTTATATGTGCCTCTTGCACAAACACTATAGGTACCAATTACTATCAAAACTTATCAAAGAAACTTGGCTAAGTGTGCCATTTTCAAGTTCCTTTCAAAACTTGAAGACTTCATTTTTAATTATATTTCCTTTCATGTATGGAAACTGAAGTTTAAAATCTTAAACTATATCTCTCTTGCCTTGTACTTTAGAGATGGTTCCCCACAGGTAAGAAAAAAATTTTATCCTAAAGGATGGTGTGCAATTCATCCTGAAATTCTTACTTAGCTCTGGTCTCTTCCTTTCTACTTTTATCTGTTAAGAGTGTATATGTCATAATATCTTAAACCCCAGTTGGATCTCTGTCAACAAAAGTATCTCTTTTGAATTAACTAGAGTTTCTTAGAATTGCAAACAGATTTAGAAATATGGGCTTTATGCTCCATGGGTTGTTGTTGTATTTGTACTCATTTAATACCTCAAACACTGCATTATGATTAAGCTGAATAATTACGTCTCAAACTGAATATGTGCAAAATTATTCAAATATATGAACATGCATATATGTAGATCTATAAAGACAGTTGGATTAAACTGTGAACGCAACTCTAGGATTCTTAGCAGATAAACACATGTCAAAGGACATGTCTTATTCTCTTGAATGTAATATATTTTTGAATTATATATTTTATCTGAGATTTTCATTTTATAATTAATATTAATTTAATGACATTTTTGCAATTAAAGAATCCTGTCAGTTCTTTTATTCACTCAAGCAAACATTTATCAAGGGTCCGTCATGGGCAGAAGCTATGCTATTATTCTAGTCAAAGCACAATTATTCAAATATTACTTATCTAATTTTAAGATTAAACAGGTCTTTTATTCCTCATTCTTCGTTTTCTGCTTGCTTTTTGAACATGTAATTGTTCATTGTTCTTTAGCATCTCTGCCAGATGATGGACAGGAGAAATAAAATGAAATAAAAATCAGATCAAACAATTCTGCTACTTGTCTGCAAACTTGGTAGGAAAGGACATTGTAACTTTTTTTTTTTTTTTTGGTTTGCTCTGTCTTATGAGTTTTCAATAAGTTTGGTCTCTAAGTGACTAAATGTTTGAGTGACATTTAGATTTCTACTACTCTTTTTCCTGTGTCATCTAATGATTTGGTTTATTAAAATTTCACTAAATTCAGATTTACCTTTTAGATTTTAACAGGGTTATACTGTTTTAACCACTTACCTTGGGTGAAGTGTGGTGAGGCCAGATGCAGATCAAGAGAGAGAAATGAGAAAGATTCACACATTTTTAACATAGCACCCTATCCTAGGCAGGGACACAGGAGGAAGCCCCAGAGTTGGTCAAAAGACTGAAGGAGTCAGGAGAAAATGTGGGCTAGAGCCTTTGTTGTGTTTTTCGTTGGAAGAAATGGGTGAGGCAAGGTACACAGGTTTAGATGGCTGGTTTGAGTATTTTCAGCAGGATCTGGGCATAGAGGCTGCTCCTGGTTGTCTGGTACCTAGCCTTGGGGTGATTAGGATGGGTGTGTTGTGGCCCACGGTGTGAGAACCCAGTATGGGAGGTAGTTGAGGATGTGACCTTAATCAGTTGCTCAGTTAGGGAAATTGACTGATCTCTAGCCAGGGCCTTCAAACTGGTTCCAGGTAAAAGTTTGAAAACCATATTGCATATACCTATTAAAGTACTTTCAAATATTTCATGACAATGTCTGCTTACTGTCTGTCACCTCCCAGGTCCTTGTTACTGTAGCTCTGGCTTGAAGCACCGTGACCAACTTCTATCCAGTGTGTGGACCATTCATTCAGGACCCACTTGGGGCCATTTCTCCATAGCACAGCCAGACTGAGCTTTAAAAATGACAAGTCTTCTCTCCCCACCCTGACCCTAGCCGCAGTCCCACTGGAATGTTTCATGGATTCTCATTGCTCTTAGAATGAAAACACAGCTCTGATATGACCCTGCATGGCTGGATATATGTCCCTGCCTTTGTTGGTTCACTCCCCGAGGCCACGGCTCCATCTGGCTTGCCCGTCTCTCTTCATATACGCAACACTTTTTACACGCTCTTCCCCCATCGCCAAATATGGACTGACTGCATTTTATTAACTTTAATACACTATTAGTTGTAAAAAAAAATCTTATTTTCACATGAAAGGAAAAAAACCTGCCAATTAGACCATGACTCAATGTCTTACCAATAACCCCAAGTAATGCAAAATTAGACCTCCTTAGCCTATTTTTGCATTTGAACTTCTTTCTTGTATTTGAAGGGGTTGGCAGTGTTTCCTGCCCTCAGTCGCATTATGTAGTGTGTGATAAGCCAGCATTTTGCACATTGCTCAGTAACAAGACATCACAGCTCTGTCACTTGTGAGCACCTTCCTTTCTTATGTTGCAAAATGAATTTTGTAGTTGCTCTCAAAGAAAATATGGAATTGTAGTATTTCCTCCAATGACAAATATCTGCCTCACTAATACCAAACCTAGTCCTCCATTGTTTTCACATCTTGCCATATTCACAACAATCTTTCATTTCCTTGGCAAATTGACAACATCTTAAAATGTCTTGACACCTGTCAAAACAACAATGTATATAACTCAATTGAAGAGAGGACAATATGAACAGCAACAACAATATTCATGCACAAACAGGCAATAACAATAATGTCACAACAGGTTCTCTTCTGTTTTTTCATTGGAGCCCATCCTCTCAAAAGCCACTGTTTTATTATTTTGCTCTTTTATTCATGATAGTTAAACTCATTTGTCAATTTTCATGCCACAGTCTCTTCAGATTTAATTGATGCCAGGCAGCTTGTTATTTAGATGCCTGGAAGCTGAGCGCTGTCTGCAAATAGGAAGACTTCACTCTGAAGTTTCTTTTGAGTGATTTATAAAACTGTCCAATAAGATGATTGTAATTAATGCTTCTCTATACCAAGAAAGGTCTTCTTTTTACCATTGTCTCATTCAAATAAAGCATTCCCCATAATCCTATGTTAACTAATTTGAAACAGAACAATCAACTTTTTATGGAATAATTCTCTAGCTACTTAGAAATCTAAATAGATTATGAATATAAATTATTCCTTTTATATAATTAATAAACAGACAAGCTTTTCCTTTATTTAAAGAGACTATGTTGCCTCTCCCCCAAGGATATGATTACATCACCATCATCTTCAACTTTGGCATTTCTATGGCATTTTTCACTTTTGAAAGAATTTTTACATATATTATCACATTATATGCTCCATGTTTACACATTTTAGTTTCTACTACTTAGCCATGAGTATGCAATATATGTATCCTGTTGAATGAATAAATGAGTGATCAAAGAACGATCACCTTCATAATGTAACACCCATGATAATTTGGAGTCGCATTTGGTATGTCTCCTATTCAATAGTGTCTGTTTAGAACTGGCTTATTTTCTAGAACTTCTTCATCATAACTGGCAATGGGCTTTTAATCCAATGCAAATTGAACTCTGAATGAGTTATGATGGGAACATATATTTCTTCCAAGATTTTGTTTTAAAAGTAAGATATAGATGAATAGAACAGTGATAACAAGTAAGGTTTGAAAAAAACTGTCCTTAATCTTATATCAACTTTCAGTTATGTATATTTTTCATCTTGGTGTGGAGAGAGTTAACATTCACTAACTATCTAGTAGGTGCCAGGTGTCTGTAATAAATGCTTGAATACATGATTGCATCTGATCTGGTTATGTGTTGTTTTTCTCTTGCTAATGCTGTGGGTAGTATTTCTTTCAACGTCTCCTGCTTAGTTACAGAAAGAGTTCTTTTGCTGCTTTTCACAAAGGTTCTCTCATGGGTGCTATCAGTCTATTAAAAAAATGGCCTTAATGTACATTGATTCTTCATTTGTTTTCATCTTGGTTGGGTGACTTGCTTCCTATCTGAATTTGCTATTGTTCCAGCATCCCTTGAGTGAAGGGCTAAGGATCAGTATTTCAGCCTCTAAGCTCCCACTCACTCTAGGCCATTGGTTTCCCTGTCCTGTGAGACTTATCCAGCAAGCCTGAGAAGTCATGGCCTGGGTTGAGGTGGCATGTGCAATGAGCTCTACAACCCATCAGTTGCTCCATGGCTCTTTCTTTCTCTTTTGGTATCTGGGAAGCTATTTCTACAGACAGAGAAAAACAATGGGTCATTTGCCTAATGGACCTTCACCCTAGTTGATGTGAATGAGAACATCAGTTGAGAGTTTTCTCTTAGTTTATGTTTTTCTTCTATTTGGTGACTTTCACAGCCATAGGTATGCAGATGGCTTTATATAAAGACCCTGCATCCATCAAGTATCAGAGTGAGTGGCTACTGATTTCACAGTGCCAACTTTGCTGTTTGCTTCTAAGGTTTATACTTTTTGCTGACTGGCAAGCCAGGGAAGAGAATTCCAAAGAATACGTAAAATCACAAAACTTGAAATTAAAAAAAGAAGTTCTCCTAATCTTGGGCTAAATGAGCCACTTACTACATATTCATTGCTGACATAACTAAGAAAAAACATTTCATATGCTTTGTGGAATGTCAAGTACATTGAAAACTTTGTTTTTATTATGACATGCACATGGTAACCAAACACATTGTGTTACCAAGCCAGTTCCCTGAGATTTATACTACCATTTCTCAAATGTTTTCATAAAAAAAATATTAGTTTGAATATTGTTGACCAATACATACTGATTTACTGTGAGCTATAAAAAGTATTAGAGATGACATATTTAACATGTTGAGCTGCTAACACTAAGTCAGGATTTTTTCCTAGAAATTTCTTCTCTTTATAGAAGAAAAAAACAGTTTGAGAATAAATTAGAAATAAAGGTGAAAACAAGTAAAGCCAAGATTTTAAGTATTTCCATGGATAAGACCCTTGAGAGTTGTTAACCTGTACATTAAAATGGTATCCTTTTTGTTCTTTCCAAGTGCCTAAAATTGGGACTAGTCAGTAAATATTTTTTGTTGGAAATTTGATGTCCTACATTTCTCAAAGATCTGGATTTAGTTACTTTCACTTTGACTTTCTTCTGCTACTTAAATTTATTGCTGCAAATCCAGGAGATAACTTTTTCTTAACAGAAGAATTCAATTTTATAACCAAGCGATTTGGTTTACCTAAAGCTATATTTTACACAGCTTTATTGCATGTATTTACCTACTATATTTCTATTCCTATCCTCACTGTTCCTGATATTCATACATTTAGCTTGCTAGGAAATACTTCTATGCCTTTCCCCTTCATTTTTCTAAGTGTACAATTTAAGAAGCTACTCACAGGATTTCATTTATGCTATCCATACCAGATAGATTTTTACTTTCTACAGATAGGATTTTCAAAATAAATTCTTTATGTTCAATTGCCAAGAAAATAGCTTCCTTTGGCACCTCTATGATTTCATATATCTAGTGTTCTTGCACCTGTGCTTAATTAAAAAAATTTGCTAGAGAAATGGCAATTTTAAATAATCCTTACTTTGTCCTAATTAAAGATTTGAAGGTCCATCTAACATGGGAGTCCCTACAATTTGATTTTATTTGCCCCACAACCAATTCTCAGATGGTTCTTATGTTGAAGTGAATGTATTATATTATAATGACATCTTAAGAAGTGACTAGAGCTTTCCAGTGTGTTTATAGTGATGTCTGAGATCTCTATTTAACTACCATTGTGTTCCCTGCTGTTAGCTGGTGATGAGTTGGATATTCAAACCATTTCAGCATAGGCCCAGTAAAGTGGAATATTTGTAAAACCAAATGTAAAACATTTGTAAAGGTGAAGACTATACCTTCTAAATAACAGTGAAGAAGTTCTTGCAAATCATCTCTCTAGGGGGACTGTAAACATTGTCATTGTCTGATGATATAATAGTGGTAGTCAAATTGCTTTCCATAAATTTGCCAGGGTAGAAAATCTGGAATCATATTTTTCGTTATTTTGGAACCTTACCACAGCCAATTTCAAAATCTAGAAAAGCTCTGAAGCATGTTCTGTGTTGGAGATTTGAAGACAGAGGAGAGATTGTGACAGTTATCAAGGAGTGGAGAGGTTGCTAGCATATGGGAGAGTAACATGGGAAGGACAAAGAAGGAGGGAACATTTTATTTCCAAACATAAGATATTCACGTTGTTAACTACGGTAGACAAGAACAACTACCCACTAAGATAACTGGTCTTACTTTGAATATTTCTCAGTTTCTGCATTCAACTCTTCTGCTGGAGTTACATACATGAGATGATCTCAGGGGCCCCCAAAAGCCTTATAGTCAATGAGTTTATTGAGTGAATTGCAGGCCAAAGAGAATGGGAGAATAAGGCAATGGCAGACTGGCAGGGCTATATTTTGGCTGGTGGGTTTTGATATTTCTTCAGATCAGATCATACGAGTGGGCAGCAATTTTGCTACTGTAGGACTGGCCCGGCACAATGTAGCACGTTGGTAAAAAGTAATTGCAGCTTTTGCCAATTCCTGCAGTTACTTTTGCACTGACCTAATAATTTCATGAGTAGAAAGTGATTATAATATTTTTAAACCGCAGAGCATGGGAAATAAGTCCCATCGAAACTCTCAAGTCCCTTGAAACTTTGCTTGACTTAAGTTTTAAAACTTTTTTTTTCAGATGTTTGCCTCTTACTCCTTAATTCTAATTAACATTTGATTGCCATGAACATAATGTTTTGGTTAGCCAGGAAGTACCTCCTTCCAAGACATTGGTATTTGTATTCTATTAAACCGTCTTTTAAATAAGAAAAAAGTTTCTTTGTTGTATTCCCAAACTTCATCTCTTCATATTTCATTACAGCAATGATTTTCAATTCTACCTCCTCTGGGGAGAAATTTAGGTCCTTAGTTTCTATAATGTTTTTTGGTTCTTGGTGTCTGCACTATTTCAATTCCAATTTTGGTTTTAATTTAATGAGTTTATTGTCATAACAAAGTATGTGAATTTTGTCAAAGTCAATACGATGAGTTTCGGTATCTAACCTTTCAGTTTGGTCAATAGTAACAGAGCCTTTATTTTCTAAAGTCTCTATTTCCGATTCAGATCTGGGGATAGGCTGCCACATGGTGCAAAACCACTTTATTTATTGCTTTTTTCCTTCTCCAAAGGATGACAGGACTTTTTGGTTCCAATTCTTTTGTGTCACAAGTTATGCCATTTCAATGATTGAACAACTAGCTTCCTTAACATTTTCTTTATGGTGTTTTGTCACTCAAAAAGGAAATATTTTCTCATTATTTTCTTGCATCATTTTCAATAAGTTGGTCTCATATTTCTTGGAGTCTCATGTTTCAATTGGGGATCATGGAATTCATATTTGATCTGCCATGTATTTTCCATATTTGAAAGCGATAAGAAAATCAGTACTTCTGTAAAAGGGAGTTTTGTTCTAGCTCAGTTAACACTTTAAAGGAGGTAGTGTTAGTATATCTGCTTTAGGGCCTGGCACTAGCTGACGTTCAACAGGGTAAAGGGTCAGCACACTAGTAGAACTCAAGTGGAGCTTAGTATGATTATAATTAGCTCAAACATTTGATTTAAAATATAATCTTGCTAAGCAGGGTAAAATTTGTTTATTAATAAGTTGTGATGAATTGCCTCATCCTTTTCTTCCTTCCCTTTCATACAGTTAAAAGATTCTTTGTCATACCATTCCATCAAAAAATGGCACTCAAATGGGAAAAAATGTAAAGGCATGGATCCTAGCAAATGTTCGCTTACTGATAAAGATATTTTCCTTGATCGTGTTTTCATCACCAGAATGTGAAATTAGATCCACCTGTGTATTCCACCATTGCCTCAAAATACTCCTGGTTTAGGTTATTTTCTTTCTTTCCTAAGGTCTAATGGATTGCATTTATTTGTTCTTATTATTTTTACAAAGCATCTCAATATTACATTGTGTGATGGTTTTCAGAGAGGTTAAGTAACTTGGCCAAGCTTACAAAGGCAATATGTGGGAAGTGTTTTTTCAAATCTAGGTCTGGATTTCTGTTCTTTCTTCCATACAATACCACTTTGGTAGTGAGAACTAAAATTGTTTATACTCATGTACTTGTTGTCTATATTAACATGATTGTATTATTTGTTTGTCTTTACTAATTTTACTATTCCACTGTTTTCATCAACATGTCTTTACCATTCTAGGAGACTCTTGCCTAAGGAGATGAAAATAATATTATTGTTTATACCAGGGCCATTCTGCAAAAATCCACTTAAATGAGCATTGCAGAATACATAGCCTTAAGTTGCTGTTTACTCTCCAGTACTTCTTGTGCATCAAAGCTTTCTCATTGCTTTGTCCACTGATCCTAGACTATTGTACCATGATCTTTACTCAATCCCAGTTAAGCCCCAACACTGAAAAATGTCTTAGTGTCTGGACTCCAAAACCTTACAAATATCCCAACTTCACCTGTCCTTTCCAATGTGTTACTAAGACCACATCAAGGGAGAGTTCTGCCCTACTGTGATAAGTAATAATTTCTGCTCTGCATATATTCAAGTTGGTTTGCTGATATTTTCAGGGAGCCAGAATTTGAAAATGGTTAAGCCTTACATTTCTTTGATTCCATAGAGTTTCTAGGGCTTAAGTGCTACGTGCATATCTTTTAATTAATTGTGAAAGAAACAACACACTGTTCCCTTGTTTCCATTCCTAGATCTGTTTCTCATTGGTTGTGTGCACTGAGTAAAGTTAGGTATTTTCAGTTTTCTCCTCTGAGACATAATGATGTAGGATACAGGATTCTTTTCAGAATTAGAGATAGTATCTTTGAAAATGTGCTGTAGAGTGCTATCTAAAGACAGAATAATATTGTCATTGGTATTATTTATTCCATGTATTGGTGCTAATCATTCAACATCCAACAGAAGTCAGGTTTCTGGCTGGAGTCAATAAGTGTTGATGAGAGAGGCCTTGCAAAGGAGGATAAGCCTCAGGTTTCTGCACTGTGGGGCAGGATAGTTGTGTGCCATTTTCTCAGGTAGGGAAAACAAGACAAAGAGCAGAGGGGAGATTGGGGTTAGGGTGGGAAAATATGTGGGAGGACAGTGGATGAACCCCTTCCAATGACGTTAACTACACCTTGGCAACTAACTGTTTTTTTTCAGGCATGTGTGCTTGGTTCATTTTGCTTTTCTATTTTAAAGGACACTGCTAAAGGCTGAATATTTGTGTCCCTTCAGAACTCCTATGTTGAAACCTAATCTCCACTGTGATGGTATTAGGAGGTGGAGACTTTGGGGGATGATTAGGTCATGAGGGCTAAACCTTCAGGTATGGGATTAGTGCTCTTATAAGAGACTGCAGAGAGCTCTCTTGTCTCTCCACCACGTGAGGGCACAGTGAGAAGATGACCTTCTGCGAACCAGGAAGCAGGCCCTCACCAGAACTCAACTATATGGCACCCTGCAGTCTCCAGAACTGTGAGAAATAAATGTTTGTTGTTTAAACCACCCTGTCTATGATATATTTGTTATAGCAGCCCAATTGGACTAAGATAGATAATAATCCAAATTGATTAGCTGTATCTCAGATCTTGAGTTTGGTTTGAGTGCCATCCGTCCAACAGGAAATTTCCATCTAGATTTTCTACAGTTGCCACAACTTCAACCTGTCAATTACCGGACTAATTATCTCCCTTATCTTGGCTAACAGACCAGGATCCAGTAGGTTAACCAATTATCCTAACCTTTTCCCCTTCTTCCTCCCTTCATTCACTCATCAAATATTTACTGACCACTTTTTGTCTGGCTATTATTTTAGGCTCTGGAGGTACAACCAGAAAGTCAAACAGACACAGTCTTTGACCTCTTGAAGCTAACAGTCTTTTTAAAAACACATTTCTTATATTCTCTGCCCTTGCTTTCTAAGGCTTTTAAAGGCAGTATTTCTCAAAGTCTGCGCATGAGAATAGAGTCTTGGGTTGCCAACAGGTGATATATGAAAAACAAAACACAAAACCCAAAAAACTCCAGAAAGATTCTGAGGTCATATGAGTTGAGAGAAATAGGGTTAATACATCTAAAAATTTCTCTACTGCTGGATTTCTCTGAGGCTTTAATATGCCCTTGGGCCTCATGCATCTTGTAAGTGACATTGGACAGCACTAGTGAACTTACTTGACCACAAAGCCTTTTGTCTACAGACCACTTAGCTTGCACAATGTGCTTCAGAAAAATCTTTAAGCAATGCAGCTCTAAAAAGTAGTTCCACTAATCCTTTTATTTGACAATTATTGTGAGCCTACTATGTGTTTCGTGTTGCTACTCTTTGGTTAAAGATTGTAGAGATTAAACTACTGCCTCTGACGTGAAGGAATTTACCATTTCTTTTATTTCCACCTTTTCCTTCTGGTCCACTAGAATATTGTATTTCCTCAAGCATTTGAGCTCCTTTCTAATATTGGATGATGAACTTAACCCTGAAGAGGAATTCAAATTTCAATGCCCTTTCTCTCCATGCCTTAAATTCCCTTTTTGAATTTCTCTCCTCTCTGTGCCATCTCTTTACTTCTATTTTTGCTCTTGCTGAATATTTCCTAGCTGTTTCTTCTTGATTGTAAGCCCCATGGTGTGGGAACCATGTCAGGCTTTCCTTTGCATGGTTCCTAGCAAATGTGTCACCTCTGGAGGCTAATGAACTGCAAATAATGAAACTGATGCACAAAGATGTGCTTGCCAATGACCATGGCTATGTCTCTTTTTAATAGAGGGATTTCTGTGGTTGAGATGAAAATGGAAATCACTCTTGGGTATTGCTTAACAGATGGAATTTTGTTTGCTTTGTTCTGTGGCTATTAGGAAAATTACTGTATTTTGAAGAGCTGCCATTTGTAGTACAGCAAGTGCAATTTTTCTGTTGGTGTGCTATACCATCTTCTACAAATCTGTAGTATCACTGGACTCTGATTTTTCTCATATGTACTAGGATGAAGTAAATCATGTTGTTGAATAGAATCAACACTAGCTTTATTAGAAGCTGAGCATGTTTAGAGACCCCTTGCAAAAAATCAGTAAAAATTTCTTAAAGCTTCTGTTTAGAAAAAAATTATTTTCTTCCAAGATAATCTGAAATTCCTTAATGCAGTTATTGTGAAGCACAGAGAGAGATAAGTGTGCATCTCTGTGTGTATGAGAGAGGCTGTGTGAGCGTGTATAAGTGTATGCGATTGTAGTTTACTTTATGACTTATTTCTGGCAAAATATAGGTACAATTTTGTATCTTTTAATTTTTCCTGGATCACATATTGTCCACATAAATCACAAAGGAAAGTGATGTTAAGGCTAGGGCCGATTATTACAAGTTCATGAATTTCCAAAAGTGTGATGATCATTAGATGCAATATCAGTGAATATCAGCCTACAGCAGGTACACCAGAGAAACAAATGCATGAACCAAAGGCACTGGTACCTCGTGCTGAGATGACAGGAGACCTACTGGGTCTGTTTTAGTGTACATAGGGGAGCAGAGAGCACAAACAAGTATCATGGATAGACATCCCGGTGAAATAATTCCATAAAAAGCTTGTTTCAGTAAAAACTTTAGATTCAGTCATGTACACTTCATTCCAGTTAACTTCCGCTGAGGGTTGATGAAAATGGACTAAAAGGGCTCAAGTAAAACTGATGTATCTAAATATCAGCTGTTGGAAACCTTCACAGGAACTCATTTAATTTATTGATGGAAATGGGCTATTTATGTCTTGGTCTCTGATGAAGTCTTTTTTTGGTACTTTAATAGAAAAGTAATGCTGTGGTCTGAATGTTTGTCTCCCCAAAATTCATATGTTTAAAATGTAATCTCCAATGGGATAGTATAAGAGGTGGGGCCTTTGGGAGGCAATTAGGTCATGGGGGCTCCACCTTCCTGAATGGGATTGATGCCGTTATTAAAGAGGCTTGAAGCAGCTCACTTGCTGTTTTCTAATACGAGAGGGTGCCATCTTTGAAGCAGAGAGAAAGCCCTGACCAGACACTGAATCTGCTGGCATCTTGATTTTGTACTTCTCTGTCTCTAGAACTGTGAAAAATGCATTTCTCTTCTTTATAAATTATGAATCTACGGTATTTTATTATAGCAGCCCAAATGGACTAAGACAAGTAGTAGATTAGTGGACTGGAAGAAATTTGGAGGGAAAATTTAACAGGAGAGGGTACATGGTAGATGCTGGGGTCCTGAAAAGCAGGCCTGTGTGGGAAACATCAGTTTTTTGGTTATTCAGCCCCCATCCCTGCCTGTCTTTCTGCTTTTGAGGTCTGTGGTAACAGCAACACCCCTTCTTCTAGGAAATGTTCTCTTACACACTCCGCTTGTGGAAGTTGAATGGAGTGGCCATTTCATTGTTGACTCCAATCTGGCCACAGATGATTGGGATCCAAGAGTGGGCTTTCAAACCCGCCCAATCAGAATCCTTCCTTGGAGTTTGCAAACTGAAGAAGGAGAAAGAGATAGAGTCCCCAGACAATGGCCAAGCTGTGAGATATAAAATATAGAAGCAGAGACTGGGGTGGCTGGCAAGATGGCTGAGTAAGAAGAGCTCCAGGTCTGTAGCTCCCAGTGAGATCAACACAGAAGGAGGGTGATTTCTGCATTTCCAACTGAGATACCTGGCTCGTCTCATTGGGACTGGTTAGACAGTGGGTGCAGCCCACAGAGGGCAAGCAGAAGCAGGGTGGGGCGTTGCCTCATCTGGGAAGCACAGGGGGTCAGGGAACTCCCTCCCCTAGCCAAGGGAAGCTGTGAGGGACCATTCCATGAGGAACAGTGCATTCTGGCCCAGATACTATGCTTTTCCCATGGTCTTTGCAACCCACAGACCAGGTGATTCCTTCCAGTGCCTACACCACCAGGGCCCTGGGTTTCAAGCACAAAACTGGGTGGCTGTTTGGACAGACACCAAGCTAGCTGCAGGAGTTTTTCTTCATACCCCAGGGGCATCTGGAACACCAGTGAGACAGAACTGTTCACTGCCCTGGAAAGGGGACTGAAGCCAGGGAGCCAAGTGGTCTAGCTCAGCAGATCCCAACCCCATGGAGCCCAGCAAGCTAAGATCCAGTGGCTTGAAATTCTTGCTGCCAGCACAGCAGTCTGAAGTTGACCTGGGACGCTCCAGCTTGGTCGGGGGAGGGACATCCACCATTACTGAGGCTTGAGTAGGCCATTTTCCCCTCACAGTGTAAACAAAGCCTCCAGGAAGTTCAAACTGGGAGGAGCCCACCACAGCTCTGCAAAGCCACTGTAGCCAGACTGCCTCTCTAGATTCTTCCTCTCTGGGCAGGGCACCTCTGAAAGAAAGGCAGCAGCCCCAGTCAGGGGCTTATAGATAAAACTCCCATCTCCCTGGGACAGAGCACCTGGGCAAAGGGGCAGCTGTGGGTGCAGCTTCAGCAGACTTAAAGATTCCTGCTTGTGGCTCTGAAGAGAGCAGCAGATCTCCCAGCCTGGCACTCGAGCTCTGCTAAGGCACAGACTACCTCATCAAATGGGTCCCTGACCGCCATGCCTCCTGACTAGGAGACACCTCCCAGCAGGGGTCAACAGAAACCTCATACAGGAGAGCTCCAGCTGGCATCTGGTGGGTGCCCCTCTGGGACGAAGCTTCCAGAGGAAGGAACAGGCAGCAATCTTTCCTGTTCTGCAGCCTCTGTTAGTGATACCCAGGCAAACAGGGTCTAGAGTGGACCTCCAGCAAACTCCAACAGACCTGAAGCAGAGGGGACTGACTGTGAGAAGGAAAACTAACAAACAGAAAGGAATAGCATATCCACTCAAAGACCCCATCTGAAGGTCACCAACATCAAAGACCAAAGGTAGATAAATCCACAAAGATGGGGAGAAACCAGCACAAAAAGGCTGAAAATTCCAAAAACCAGAATGTCTCTTCTCCTCCAAAGGATCACAACTCCTCACCAGCAAAGGAACAAAATTGAATGGAGAATAAGTTTGATTAACTAACAGAAGTAGGCTTCAGAAGGCGAGTAATAACAAACTCCTCTGAGCTAAAGGAGCTTGTTCTAACCCAATGGAAGGAAGCTGAGAACTTTGAAAAAAGGTTAGACAAATTGCTAAACTAGAATAATCAGTGTAGAGAAGAACATAAATGACCTGATGGAGCTGAAAAACACAGCACGAGAACTTTGTGAGGCATACACAAGTATCAATAGCCAAAGCAATCAAGCAGAAGAAAGGATACCAGAGATTGAAGATCAACTTAATGAAACAAACCGTGAAGAAAAGGTTAGAGAAAAAAGAATGAAAAGGAATGAACAAAGCCTCCAAGATATATGGGAGTATGTGAAAAGACCAAACCTACATTTGATTGGTGTACCTGAAAGTGATGGGGAGACTGGAACCAAGTTGGAAAACACTCTTCGGTATATTATCCAGGAGAACGTCCCCAACCCAGCAAGGCAGGCCAACATTCAAATTCAGTAAAGACAGAGAACACCACAAAGATACTCCTTAAGAAGAGCAACCCCAAGACACATAATTGTCAGATTTACCAAGGTTGAAATGAAGGAAAAAATGTTAAGGGCAGCCAGAGAGAAAGATCGGGTTACCCACAAAAGGGAAGCCCATCAGACAAACAGTGGATCTCTCTGCAGAAACCTTACAAACCAGAAGAGAGTGGGGGCTCTGGTTGACAATACTCAACATTCTTAAAGAAAAGAACTTTCAACCCAGAATTTCATATCCAGCCAAACTAAGCTTCATAAGCGAAGGAGAAATGAATTCCTTTACAGACAAGCAAATGCTGAGAAACTTTGTCATCACCAGGCCTGCCTTACAAGAGCTCTTGAAGGAAACACTAAATATGGAAAGGAAAAATTGGTATCAGCCACTGCAAAAACATACCAAACTGTAAAGACCTTTGACACTATGGAGAAACTGCATCAACTAATGGGCAAAATAGCCAGCTAGCATCAAAATGACAGGATCAAATTCACACATAACAATATTAACCTTAAATGTAAATGGGCTAAATGCCCCAATTAAAAGACACAGACTGGCAAATTGGATAAAGAGTGAAGACCCCTCAGTGTGCTGTATCAGGAGACCCATCTTACATGCAAAGACACATACAGGCTCAAAATAAAGAGATGAAAGAAGATTTACCAAGCAAATGGAAAGCAAAAAAAAGAAAAAAAAAGAAGAAATAAAAAGACAAAAGAAAAAGCAGAGGTTGCAATCCTAGTCTCTGATAAAACAGACTTTAAACCAACAAAGATCAAAAAAGAAGGGCAAAAAAGAAGGGCATTACATAATGGTAAAGGCATCAATGCAACAAGAAGAGCTAATTATCCTAAATATATATGCACCCAATACAGGAGCACTTAGATTCATAAAGCAAGTTCTTAGACACCTACAAAGAGACTTAGACTCTCACACAATAATAGTGGGAGACTTTAACACCCCACTGTCAATATTAGACAGATCAACAAGACAGAAAATTAACAAGGGTATTCAGGACTTGAACTCAGCTCTGGACCAAGCAGACCTAATAGACATCTACAGAACTCTCCACCCAAATCATCATAATATACATTCTTCTCAGCACCACATCACACTTATTCTAAAATTGACCACATAATTGGAAGTAAAACATTCCTCAGCAAATGCAAAAGAACGGAAATCAAAACAAACAGTCTCTCAGACCACAGTGCAATCAAATTATAACTCAGGATTAAGAAACTCACTCAAAACCACACAGTTACATAGAAACTGAACAACCTGCTCCTGAATGACTACTGGATAAATAACAAAATTAAGGCAGAAATAAATAAGTTATTTGAAACCCATGAGAACAAAGACACAATGTACCAGATCTCTGGGACAGAGCTAAAGCAGTGTTTAGAGGGAAATTTGTAGCCCTAAATGCCCACCCACAGGAGAAAGTGGGAAAGATGTAAAACTGACATCCTAACATCACAATTAAAAGAACTAGAGAAGCAAGAGCAAACAAAATCAAAAGCTAGCTGAAGACAAGAAATAACTAAGATCAGAGCAGAATTGAAAGAGATAGAGACACAAAAAACCCTTCATAAAATCAATGAATCCAGGAGCTGGTTTTTTGAAAAGATCAACAAAATTGATAGATCACTAGCAAGACTAATAAATAAGAAAAGAGAGAAGAATCAAATAGACACAATAAAAATGATAACGAGGACATCATCACTGATTCCACGGAAATACAAACTACCATCAGAGAATACTATAAACACCTCTACACACATAAACTTGAAAGTCTAGAGAAGATGGATAAATTCATGGACACATACACCCTTGCAAGACTATGCCAGGAAGAAGTCGAATCCCTGAATAGACCAATAACAAGTTCTGAAATTTAGGCAGTAATTAATAGTCTACCAACCAAAAAAAGCCCAGGACCAGATAGATTGACAGCCAAATTCTACTGGAGGTACAAAGAGGACTTGTTACCATTCCTTCTGAAACTATTCCAAACAATAGGAAAAGAGGGACTCCTCCTTAACTTACTTTATGAGGCCAGCATCATCCTGATACCAAAACCTGGCATAGACAACAAAAAATTCCAGGCCAATATCCCCGATGAATATCAATGTGAAAATCCTCAATAAAATACTGGGAAACTGAATCCAGCAGCACATCAAAAAGCTTATTCACCACAAACAAGTCGGCTTCATCCCTGGGATGCAAGGCTGGTTCAATATACACAAATCAATAAACCTAATCCATCACATAAACAGAACCAACAACAAAAACCACATGATTATTTCAATAGATGCACAAAAGGCCTTCGATAAAATTCACACCCTTCATGCTAAAAACTCTTAATGAACTAGGTATTGATGGAACGTATATCAAAATAATAACAGCTATTTATGACAAACCTACAGCCAATATCATACTGAATGAGCAAAAGCTGGAAGCATTCCCTCAGAAAACTGGCACAAGACAAGGATGCCCTCTCTCACCACTCCTATTCAACATAGTATTGGAAGTTCTGGCAAGGGCAATCAGGCAAGAGAAAGAAATAAAGCATATTCAAATAGGAAGAGAGGAAGTCATATTGTCTCTGTTTGCAGCTGACATGATTGCATATTTAGAAAACCCCATTGTCTCAGCCCAAAATCTCCTTAAGCTGATAAGCAATTTCAGCAAAGTCTCAGGATACAAAATCAATGTGCAAAAATCACAAGCATTCCTATACACCAATAACAGACAAGCAGAGAGCCAAATCATGAGTGAACTCCCATTCACAATTGCTATAAAGAGAAGAAAACACCTAGGAATCCAGCTTACAAGGGATGTGAAGGACCTCTTCAAGGAGAACTACAAACCACTGCTCAAGGAAATAAGAGAAAACACAAACAAATGGAAAAACATTCCATGCTCATGGACAGGAAGAATCAATATCGTGAAATGGCCATACTGCTCAAAGTAATTTATAGATTCAATGCTATCTTCATCAAGCTACCATTGACTTCTTCACAGAATTAGAAAAAACTACTTTAAATTTCATATGAAACCAAAAAAGAGCTCATATAGCTAAGACAATACTAAACAAAAAGAACAAAGCTGGAGGCATCATGCTACCTGACTTCAAACTATACTACAAGGCTACAGTGACCAAAACAGCATGGTACTGCTACCAAAACAAATATATATTCCAATGGCACAGAACAGAGGCCTCAGAAATAACACCACACATCTACATCTATCTGATCTTAGACAGACCTGACAAAAATAAGCATTGGGGAAAGGATTCCCTATTTAATAGATGGTGTTGGGAAAACTGGCTGGCCATATGCAGAAAACTGAAACTGGACCCCTTCCTTACACCTTATACAAAAATTAACTCAAGATGGATAAAAGACTTAAATGGAAGAGCTAAAACCATAAAAATCTTAGAAGAAAACCTAGGCAATACCATTCAGCACATAGGCATGGGCAAAGACTTCATGACAAAAACACCAACAGTAATGACAACAAAAGCCAAAACTGACAAATGGGATCCAATTAAATGAAAGAGCTTCTGCACAGCAAAAGAAACTATCATCAGAGTGAACAAGCAACCTACAGAATGGGAGAAAATTTTTGCAGCTTATCCGTCTGACAAAGGGTTAATATCCAGAATCTACAAGGAACTTAAACAAATTTACAAGAAAAAAGCAAACAACCCCATCAAAAAGTGGACAAAAGATATGAATACACACTTCTCTAAAGAAGACATTTATGCAGCTGACAAACATGAAAAAAAGCTCATCATCACTGGTCATTAGAGAAATGCAAATCAAAACCACAATGAGATACCATCTCACACCAGTTAGAATAGTGATCATTAAAAAGTCAAGAAACAGTAGATGCTGGAAAGGATATGGAGAAATAGGAACACTTTTACACTTTTGGTGGGAGGGTACATTAGTTCAACCATTGTGGAAGACAGTGTGATGATTCCTCAAGGATCTAGAACCAGAAATACCATTTGACCCAGCAATCCCATTACTGGGTATATACCCAAAATATTATAAATCATTCTACTATAAAGACACATGTAAATGTATGTTTATTGCAGCACTATTCACAATAGCAAAGACTTGGAACCAACCCAAATGCCCATCAGTGATAGACTGGATAAAGAAAATGTGACACATACACACCATGGAATATTATACAGCCATAAAAAAGAATGAGTTCATGTCCTTTGCAGGGACATGGATGAAGCTGGAAACCATCATTCTCAGCAAACTAACACAGGAATAGAAAACCAAACACCACATGTTCTCACTCATAAGTGGGAGTTGAACAATGAGAACACATGGACACAGGGAGGAGAACAGCACACGGTGGGACCTGTCAGGGGGTGGAGGTCTAGAGGAGGAACAGCATTAGGAGAAATACCTAATGTAGATAATGGGTTGATGGGTGTAGCAAACCATCATGGCATGTATATACCTATGTAACAAACCTGTACATTCTGCACAGGTATCCCAGAACTTAAAGTATGCTAATAAAAATAAAGAAAATATAGAAGCAGCTGGTGGCCATATTTTTAACATCTGGAAGAAGCTGTTCATAAGGAACAACATACTGGGTAGAGAGAAGCATGGATAGGAGATAGAGAGTCTCAGAGATTACAAATTCTTCTTTTCAGTTGTAACTAAGATCTACTTAGGCCTTTTTATTTTTACATGTTCAGATTTGTAATAAATTCCTCTTTGCTCAAGCTAATTGCATTGGGTTTCTACTGCTTTCAAGTAAAAGAGTCTTGAATCATAGAACCTGAAAATTATAAACCAGGGAAAGTTGTTTAGGGAATAGCAAAAGCAAGTTGGTTCTGTTACGCTAAGGAAGCTGGCTTTACTAAAAAATATTTGTTCCCCCATTTGAGTGAGGTGCTACTCTATGAAGTATTAGATCCACAGCAAGACTGTGACTAAAACCTGATTAGTGTCTACATGAATCTGTTGTGTGGGACCAAGAAAAATATTAAATTAAAAAGCCTTCCATGTGTATAAGATGAATATTTTGATCATTTTAGCTTTCTCTCTTTCCTATTCTGCAACACGGAGCTCCTCCACTGGGATGAAACTCAAAGAATTTGTATGCAACCACTATGCTGCTCAAACCTTCATTTCATATCATAGTGGGATTCATACTACACAAAGCAGAGGAGAAGCAAAGGAGGTCTTTGCCAGGGGAAAATCCTAGATTGTCTGTATATATTTACTAATCAGTTAGAGAAGGGAATATTTATAATTTTTAAAATGTTTTTCATTGATAAGATAGCAACCTGAAGCCATTTGCAGCCCCTTGCCACTATGCACAGGATGTGAGTCAAAGTCCAGGAGCCTTATGAATTATGCATCACATCACATAATGCACGTTCCACTATGCCCCCACCTGCTCATTAGGACATGGAGGTTGCCTCCAATGTCCATTTCTAACATCTTTCTTTGCGCTGTGCTTTCTAGGTAGCTGTCACACTGTGGCAGAGAAGATTAAGTCCTAGACTATAAATCTGGAGATAACAAGGGCTTCGCCATTTACTTGTTTTAGAAACTTATATAAATTAATCTCTGGGCCTCTTTTCTTCAGTGGAATGAAGAAATAATACCAACCTTGTAACAAATTTTATTAGTCAATTAATGCAAAAATATTTATTAAATGGCTATTATGTGCAAGGCTCTTTTTTTGGGATTTAGCAGTGAACAAAACAAAACCCCAAAGCCCCACTTACCTAAATTTTATAGTCTAATTATAGAGACAGATTATAATGGGTGAGATATATACTATGTGAGAGAATGACAAGTGTTAAGGAAGGAAGTAAAGCAAAGAAATAGATTAGGAACTGCATAGGGGTGATTTAACTTTGCAAATGTGGCTCAGGAAGACCTCTCTGAGGAGGCTGTATTTGGGTAAAGATTGGTTGGAAAGAGAGGTCAAGCCATGCAGGTATCTGGGATTGGAGCTTCCTAGGTGGAGAGAACCATGTGAGATAAGGTTTTCAGGAGATACTATGCACAGTGTATTGGAAGAACAGAATGGACATCATTGTGGCTAGAGTGGAGTGAAGTGGAGGAAAGATCTTTCTAGGTCCCTGTAATGTCTTTGGCCTTTACTTTGAGTGAGATGGGAAGCTATTGGAAGTCCTGCATCAATTGCCTTCAACGTGCCTAGACTAGTTCTGGCACACAGCAGGTATTCAATAAATGCTTGTTGCTTGAACCAAGGGTTTGGTTTGTTTGTATCCTTCTGCTTCCACTTTCAGCAGCAGCATGAGAGTTAGGATTATGGCCACATTGTGTCATGGTCTTTGCAGAGTACAGGAAATCCCTCTGAATTTCTCAGGAATGCCTGCAGGAGCTTGCTGCTTTTTTTTTTTTTTTTTTTTTTTTTTTATCACTGTCATCATTTCCTTCAAAGAAGAAGTGGCCAAAGTTGGCTTAGAATCTGCAGGGCAGTCAATTGATATTTCTACCAATAATCCATTAGTATTGGTGTATATCCCAGGATCATTAACATATTTCCTCTCTGACATCTGATAGTTAACATATTTCCTCTCTATCAATATGGATAGAAGCTTGTTAAATATGTTTACCTAGTAGTTTTAGAGCCATTATGGAAGTTAATTATACAGTGCTCAAGAGAGCATAAAAATAGAAAAAACAAAGTGAGTTGATCGGAGAGAAAGAATCACACCTGCTGGTTTTGTTGCATGACCTTGATCTTGAGATAGAATTGTAATGGGAGGGAAGTTGGCTGATGATGTTGAAAGTGAAGTTTCCACTCCCTCTGTGTTCACAGATGTTCTGAACCAGATCCACTCATCCTTAAGAAAATCAGAAAATTAAGGTTAGAGATGTGCACAAATGAGCACTTGCTATTCAAAACAATAATTTAAAAAACTCCCTTGATAGAGTAAGCAAACGAAAAAAAAAAACAGCTGTGAAGTAAAATGTGGCATTCCCGTTTTTCCTTTTATTTGTTTAGGAAGGCATTTAACAAACACTTGTTAGTTCTGAGCCTTACTGGTTGATGAATGTTCCAGCGACTAAGCCAGAATTTAATTTAGTCCTCTATTTAAGAATGTGTCCGTTAATAGTCTATGTGTTAGTCAAGGTTCTCCAGAGAAACAGAACCAACAGGAGATATGCACTCACAGACACAACACATGCACACACACAGACACACACACACACACACACACACACACACACACGGTGAGAAATAAATTTCATTATATATGATATATTTCAAATATATGATATCATATAAGTGAGATTTATTATAAGGAGTTGGCTCATGGGATTGTGGAGGTTGAGAAGTCCTAGGATCTGCTGTCTGCAAGCTGGAGACCCAGGAAAGCCACTGGTGTAAATTCCAGTCTGAGTCCAAAGGCCTGAGAACCAAAAGCACCAATGATGTAAGTCCTAGTTCAAGTGCAGAAGAAGAGGGATGCTACAGCTCAAGCAGTCAGGCAGAGAGCGAATCCAACCTCCCTCTGCCCTTTTTTTCTATTCAAGCTCTCAATGGATTGGATGATACCCATCTACACTGGAGACAGCTCACTGCTTTACTCAGTCCACCAATTCAATTCTAATCTCTTCTGGAAACACTCTTACTGACACACCCAGAAATAATGTTTAATTAGATATCTGGGCATCCTATGGCCCAGCCAAGTTAACACATAAACTTAACCATCACACCTTATTACATTTTTAAAGCACATTTATTTCTGTCTTCATCTTCCTCACCTGCAAAACAGTAAGATCTATTGACTATTTGGTCACAACTATGTCACCAGATTTTTCAGACTGCAGAGTGTATTTAAAATGAAAAATCTGTAATTCAGTTGAAAAGGATAAATTTCACAGCTATAAACAATCTTTTTATGACATGACTTATGGTCGTGGTGGCAATTATAATATATTCATCAAATGTGTTTGCTACAAATGGGAGTAAACATCCCTGAAATCATGGTTTACTTTTTTGAAATAAACACATTTATTAGTAATGTCCATAAAATATCATATAGAATTTCTAATACAATGATGATTTTTAACATTTTCAAGGTAACTGTGAGAATGAGATTTGTTGAAATAGATTGATAAAAAAGAAAATTGAAGTCAATAAGATTAAGGACCAGGGAATATAGGAGAGTTATATTTTTCCAGACCAGATAATTATGATCTGACTCAGTTTAAATTGGACTCCATGAAAACTGGTCCTTTAAGGGTTGCCTAGGTGAGACCAATTTGTGTTCAATGAATTTTACATATTTTTTACTTTCCTTACTTTTTGTTAAAAGCCTGAGTAATTGGAAGGAAATAGACTTCAGCATATTGTATGAATATTTATTTTGATGAGCCAAAATTGGTAAGAATGTATTAGTCTATTTACATATATTATTAAGTAGGCCAGCAAACTTCCCAGCTTCTGGTAAGAGGACTCTCCTTCTAATTAGGAAAGTGCCCCTTCCTTCAATTCTTTGCCATGGAATTCAGTGGATATCACTATTTTTTTACAGGACTTTTTCTCCCTTGCCAAAGTGACTGGGTGAGGAGCAGGCAACATTCCAGGTTAGGACAGCCCTGTTATCCAATCCCGCAATAGGCATATATGGCCTAAACTGACCTAAATTAGTCTTCCTCCAATTTTTTTTCTTTATGGTGCTAGTAAAAAATAGCTGTCCGTCTTGGAAGTGAGGAGTTGTGGGAAACTGTGTGTCCTGTGTGGAAGAGGTAGGGTTGCATAAGAGATAAGGAGGTGAATAATCAGCAGAGCGGAGAAACAGAGTGAGTCCCGAACTTGAACTAGCACCAGGTTCCGGCTGTACTTGAGACATGATGCTATCCATGTTCTTTCGGGTAGTTGAAACTGGTGCTGTCCTTTTGGCTGAGATTAGGAATGAGTAAGGCAAATGTCCTTGATCTTTATCATATTGTATCTCTGACTGCAGAGGCCGGACAATATTTTCACATGTATTTAAAAATCTTGGAAAACTCAAAGATAAGTTTATCTTTTCAGGTTGAGTCTAATATTTAAATTGCATATTTGTGTTTATTAAAGAGGCTTTAAAATACCTTATTGATTTTTGTCTTTCACTTAGATGCAAACAAATGTCCTGCATATATAGTAGACATCTTAGAAGCTGAAATTACAAACAAACAGGCTGTGTGGAATGTAGCTTAAAATACAACCTTTAAACTTTTTAGTGTATATTTTTGTTTTGCTAGTTCTTATTCTATATAACTTTATCTTTATAAAGAGAATTTTCTGGGCTGATATCCAACAAGGACTTGGACTTGTCTCTGAGCACTTTTATTGTGCCACATATATTTGTTATCATGTAGTAACATAAAACACACACGCACACACAAACATGCCTGCAACGAAACCCATATCATGCAATTTGCCATTACTGAAACTAAGGCCATCTCTCTTCTGATCGCTGGCTCTTTGCAAAATATTCTAATGATAAAGGCAAGCTCACTGGTAAATTTTTAGAAAGTCAGTTTAGATTCTTTTGTCATAGAAAATCCAACTTTTGTTTTTATCATGCACTGGTTTTTATGTTGGCTATTTATGAAAACAGTTATTATCTGTGATCTGCCAAGAATCTGTTGAAGCATCCCACAGTCATCAATGTTGATATGTAGATAGACATATTGCCATCTTTGACATCAACAGATGTAGCATTTTCATACCATACAGGAAGTAATGGAGCCTGACATTTCTAGGTTGAAAGCCCCTCTTTGTTTCTTGCACAAATGGAAATAGACTTTGTGGCCTTGTTGTTCACTTGCTGATTGCATGTAAATGCTTTCATAAAAATAGGGAGGTTTTTCATCTTATTACTTCATGAAATTTGGGAAATAAAGGTAAAGGAAGAAAACAGCCAGACAAACCAAAGATGATTTTTAAAATAGTTTAAATTCTGCAAATCTTAAATAGAATTGCTATGCAAGTAGTAACATTTGCTGCTTTTGTAGGTGGTGAATTTGTATGACATTTCCATAAACGACTAATGGACAGAATACTTTTAAATAGAGGTATCAAAAGAGCTGAACTATACTGATTTCCTGGTATCATTTCATATTTAGGTGTTATTTTGTTGAGGTCTGAATGAAAGCTCAATTCCTTGATTCTGAAGAAAGGGGCCTCAGGATATCAACGGGGCAGTATTAGCATCCGGTGTTTTCTAGTCCCCTTGGATCAGTGATGCTTTGACCAGCTCCCATTTTCTAGTAAGAAATCCTAGCATGTAACCTGAATTTTTGACATGTTGGGGAATCACTTGCAACAGAAAGAATTAGCAGCTGAATATATAGTACAGTTATGAGTTGAGGTAGATAGTTTTTATGTACTGGAGAAAAAGCTACATTTTAATTTCTTAGATAACATTTGGGTGATATTCTCTCATATTGTGAAATCTTGAGGCTGATGGGCTATACTATCTGTACCCAGTGCAGTAGGATGGGGGTTACCTGAGGTAGTGGAAGCAGGTAGGTGAAGGTACTGATAAGATTTTTTAAGAAAAAGAGCCCAAACACTTTTATTGATATTTTTTCTGATCATAAGCCTTAACATGTATTTTTCATTCTTCAAGGTTTTAATATTTATTGTAAAGTTCTTTTAATATCGATATCAATACTTTAGCTTTATTTAAGGACACATGTTTGTGTAAAAATGTAGGGTACCTAGAAAAATAAAAATAGAAAAAAAATTGCTACTCATTATCTCATCATCCAGAAATAATGACTGTTAAAAGATTGGTGATATTTACTTTCAGTCATTTTTCTATGCAAAGCACACTAAAAATATCAGTCTCTTAATTATATATCTTATGGTGTTATTTCCTTTTCTGCTTTTTAAATATAAAATTATATGATAAATATTGCTCAACAAGACCTACAATGGCTACATGGTATTTTATCCTATCAATGTACAAAAGTTCATTTAATTTTGTTGTTTTGGGAAACATGTAGTTTACAGTTACTTGCTGTATAAAATGATGCTCCAGTTTATATTTTGGTAGCAATGTGGCAACATCTAATAGAGTTGAAGCTCTGTATGTTCTATAAACTTGCAGTGTAATTTGGGTTATATACTTGAGAGAAAGTCTTTCCTATATGTAGTGAAAGGAGAAGTGTACATTGATGCATTGTTTATAATGCATAGCTAGCTATTTTGCCCACAGGGCATTATATAGGAGACTGTGGTTTACTTATACCATGGAACAGTGTATAGACTTGTAGTGAGTACAGCACAAAGTAAGTATAGTAAATTGGATAGTATGAAAAGCAAACAGGTCCTGTTTTGCTAAAGAACAGATTAGTGAACCTAATCCACAGAAGCAGAATCTAAAAGGAAGCACACAGAGAAAAAAAGACGGAAAAAAATGGATTCTCAGGTACCTGTAGGATAATATTACGTGGTCTAACATATGTACAATTGGAGTTGCAAAAAAATAGAAAAAAGAGGTGGGCAGAGGAAATACTTGGGGAATATTCTTAGACATATACTTGGGGAGCTTCTTAGATACTTGGGGAGTATCTAAGAAGCTCAACAAATCCCAAGCAGGGCCCACATGCATGCTGACAGAAAACACATCAAGGCCAATCCTAATCAAATAGCTGACAATTAGGGATAAAGAGAAAAATACCAAAATTGGCCTAATTAAAATATACACACTTTGTACAGAGCAGGGTTTCTCGATCTCAGCAGATTGAGAATTTGGGCTGGGTAATTCTTTGTTTGTAGAATCTGTCCTGTTCATTGTAGGATGTTCAGCAGCATCCTTATTCTCTACCCACTAAATGGCTGTGACCACACCCCATCAAGTGACAATAAAAAGTGTCTATGGACACTGTCAAATGTCCCTTGGGGGGACAGTTGTCTCACACTGAGAATCACTGTGTATAGGAACAAAGGTGAAAATGATTGCAGACTTCTTACCAGAAATTTGCAAGCCAAAAGACAATGGCACTGAAAGAAAAAAAAAAAAAAAGAGAAAACCTGTCAAGCTAGAATTTTGTATTCTTAAAAAAAATCCGTTAAAAAACTGTTTTTATTTCAATAAAACCAAAGCTGAGAGAATTTGTTACCAAAAATCTTGCACTACAAGAAGTGTTAAAAGAATTCTTCTGGCTAAAGGAAAAGGATACCAAATGGAAACATACTTTTATAAAGAAGTAAAAAACACCAGAAATGGTCAACATGTAAGTAAATAGAAAATACTTTTTGCACTCACTATTTTCATTTTTAAAAATTGTTCTTGACTTTTTGAAGCAAAATAATAGTGTATTGTGATATTAATAAGAATAGGACAAAGGAAGGGAGGGACAGGTGGGTGTATGTATTAGACATGAAGTGGTATCCTGGGATAAGTTAACTGTGCATATTGAAAGCCATAGAGTGACAAGTAAAATAAGTAAACAAAGACATATTATTAATTCAAGTTAGAGAGTTCAATGAAACATGAAAAAATACTCAGTCAATCTAAAACCAGGAGGAAAACAGGAATAAGAGAACAAAGAAGAGAGGGGGCAAATAGAAAACTCACAGCAAAATAATAACTTTAAACCCAAATACATTGATAATTATGTTAAATATAAATGGTCCAAACACTCCAATTTAAAAATAGAACATATCAGACTGGGTAAAAAAGCAAGACTCAGCTATTTGTTATCTAAAGACACCAGCATTTCTCTCTTAAGAAATGAGGATTTTATCCTACCTACCCGTAATATGATTAGCACACTCAAAGATTTTTTTATTTGGTAACAATGACATTTTTTTAAAGCTCAAAGTAATTGTCTTATAAAATGTCCCATGGTTTAGATTTCTCTGATTGTGTTTCCTCCTGATAAAATTAAAATTTTGACAAGAATAATATATAAATGATCTTGTATAATTCTTATTGTATTCTATTAGAAGGTATATTATTAGGATAATGACCCTATCATTTATCACTCAAAATGGTATACTTTTGCGGGTGAAAGGGTGTACTGTTAATAAGTAAGTACTCTAAGACAACAGATGAAACCAGGGTATGACCCAGGTAAACTGGGACATGGCCACTTAATTATGGATGATACTAAGTTTTATAACTTGGTTAAGATGAAATCTATCAGAGCTCTTCAGTGTAAAAGTACTTTTTTCCTTTGTAATGATTAAGTTCAATGTGAGTAAACATATTGAGAACATGTGAATATCATATTTTACATAATGATTTTAGCACCCATTAATGAGCCTTGCCTAAATAAATGATTACTTTTTTTTTGAAAATGGCAGCTTTATTCTACCATTTTTTTCTGAGTGTATTAGTTTGCATTCTTCTGTAAAGAAGATCTTTCCTCAACCTCCTCGTTATCCTTTTAATACATTTATGGACTCATCCATTAGGGTCATTATTCTTTTTTATGTTCAAATCATTAGAAAAGGCAGCCAGGAGTAACCTTTGTAAGCTGATTTCCTTGCTGTTTTCATCTGTCTCATTTGTATTTAAGTATTTGCTTGTTTTATGTTACCAGGATGTTCCAGTTTTCACTTGTAACTTCCATTTCCTAATGGTTTGTCTATTGATATGACTGTACCATACTGTTTTAATTATTGATCTTTATAGTTTTATCTAGTAGTGGTTGTCCCCTATCATTACTCTTATTTAGGTAGATTTTCCTAGTCATTAAAAAGTGGGGGTTTCTTTTGCATATGCACTTCAGAATTAACTCATATAGCTACAGAAAAAACTAAGTTGTTGGGATTTTTCTTAAAATTGCATTAAATTGATATGCTAACTTGGATAAAATTGGCACAGTTATGATAATAAGTTGCCCTGTCCAAGGAGAAGGAAGATAATTGTATTTTTCTAGTCTTCTCTATTTTGGTGTCTTTCAGGAGAGTTTTAAAGTTTTCTTTTTAAAGTTTAAGTATCTTTTACTGTTGCTATTATAAGTGGGTTTTTCTCTTTCAATATATATTCTAACTGGTTATCAGCTGTGCTTATGAAGGCTATTTACTTTTGTAAGCTGATTTTATATTCAGATACGTTATTGAATTCCTTTACTGTTTGTGTCAGCTTTATCATGTTTTTTTTAGGTTTTGAAGGTCCACTATAATATAATCTGCAAAAGAGAGATAATTTTACTTCATTCCTGACACAATTTTTATGCTTTTAAGTGTTTTCCTTTATCAGATGGCCATGGCTCATGTCTCCAGTGAAGCTGTAAATAGTAGTGGTGGTAGAGGGCATTATTCCTGACTTAGTGTAAAGGCATCCAGTGATTTATTATGAAAGGCGTATATAATATATATTTAAAATGGGTATTGAATTTTGTTGAAGACCTATTAGCCCTTATAGAATTAATTATATACTTTTAAATTGGATTTATTAATGTTGTGAATTACATTAACATGATTTCTTATATTCCTGAAATAAATTTTACTTGGTCATAATGTATTATTATTTTTACATGTACTTTTGAATTTTATTTGCCAGTATTTTATTTAGGAATTTTTCACAGATATTTATAAGTGAAGTTGTTCTGTAGGTTTGTGTAGGTGTACTGTCTTTGGTAGGTTTAGCTGTATACTGTATGTTATTCTTATTTCACAGATAAGGTTTAGAAAACATCCTTCTTTTTCTATGCCTTGGACATTTTAAGAAGCATTGGTGTCGTCTGAATCATGAAGAATGGTAAAATTTGTCATTCAACTGTCTTGGTCTGGCATTGTTTATGGGGGGAGGACAAAGTTTCTTTGATGACTTTATTTTCTCTGGGGAAAGATTTCTCACTATGCTTTTCCTTTACTGGTGTCATTCTTTGAATTTTTTTTTGTAACAGAAAAAAGAATCTTTATTCTACTAGTTGAAATGGATGGTTTGGATAAGCTTATATGTTGAAAATTATTTATGCTGGAAAATAATTCTTAAGTGATGAATTATAATTGACTGCTGTCCAAGCTTTCTAATCTGATTGAGAGAAGCATTCTTGAGTAAGGATGTTAGACAGTGAATAAGAGAATGAACACTGGAGAGTGAAATTTGATTGTTGAGGGGAGGGGAGACCAATGAAGAAAGTAGTAAAGAAAGGAGGAAATCAAAGAAAGAAACTAGCAAAGAATGTGGCCATTTTGCCTTAAACTGATCCATTTCCATCTGAGAACTTGCTCTTACTTGAGGACTTAACTTGAATTTAACTATAGAAACTGTAAAATTAACTATAAAAGCCTTATGTATTAATTCTCACTGAATTTTGTTTGTGGATGCTTGTATGCTCTTTGTTGCCATCAAAAGATACTGTAATCTAATTTCATACACACACAGACACACATATATGATGCATGAAAATTTAGGTAATTTGAGTAACAATCGGGAAATTGAGTAAGAGTTAAAAAGCAACAATTTTGTTTGTATTATAACATATTAGTTTGTGTTCTAAGCATTGTATGGACTAACATTTAATCCTCACACTAACTCTATTAGATAGATGCCATTATACAACATGAATTTTACAGATACAAAGACCCCGGAGGCATAGAGAAATTCAGTGAGCCACCTGGAGTTACCTAGTAAGAGGTGAGTAGAGACAGATTGAAATTTAAGTGTCAACTTTAGAGCCCAGGATGCCTGAGAAAAGGCAAAATTTATTCTCTTAATATTCATTCATCCATTTCATTCCACAAATACCTCTAAGCTTTAGTCACTTTGCTGTCAGACAGAATCAACATCAGGCATTTTATGCCTTTGAGGAACTTGAACACTACAAGGAAGACAGTCCTGTCTCCACCCAGCAGGCCCCACAGTGAGGTGGGATTATGTGGCAGGTAGGGTGAGCTCAGTGTCCAAAACCTGCTGTCACCAGCAGGGAGAACTTGGGTCAACTTCTCAGCCATTCTAAACTCCAGTTACCCACTGAAAAACGGGATAACAATCCAACTAAATTCAGTTTTATGATGAGAATCAAGTAAGATCAACTATCTCAAGAGATGGAGCTCACCAGGTGCCTCTACTAATCCTTTCAGAACCTGAAGCGAGCATAGGCTCTACAGAGTCTAGGATTTTTTTACCTTAAAAAACAGAGAGACAAAGATGTGCTTAATAATGTAGACCTAAAAAGTGTGACTGTACTGCTTTTTCAGGGGAAAATGATGTGATTCTGTGCCTTAGGGTTAGTGAATGCTGGTTGAATACAGAGAAATAACCTGAGAACATTTCAGGATCCCAGATCTGATCCACTATTAAAGGGAAGGAGGGTTGGAAGCATGCTGCCTTTGAGGTGTTCCCCTCCTCACCTTCTTGGGAATCTCAGCCATGTGCCTACGGTAATGACATCCTGGTTTCCTCCAGTCTTGTGGGAAGAGATTGTAGAGAATTTCCTGCTGAGGGAAATGAAAAGCCTATAGCATTGAGATTCTTTCTCAGAAATCCAGAAAAGAAAAAAGAGAAACTCATACATGATGGTGGACTTTGAGCCCAGATGGCTTGGATTTGAATCCCAGCTTGGACACTTACTAGCTGTGCAATGAAGAAGTGAAAACTCATGGGCCTAACATCTTCCTGTGTAAGGTAAAGATAATACTAAAACTCACATGATAATACTGTTGTACTTAATCAGTTAGTATATATAAAGTAGTTGGTGTGTTTGTATAGAGTAAATAATATAAAAGTGCTAGTATAAAACAATAAAAGCTAGCAGCTAAGGGTTTAGCTTTTCTGTTGATGGGAAGGATAAAGAACTCTAAGGTCCTTGTAAGATTAACCCCTGGAGTGTAGCTGTGATGAGGGAGTTCCTGAAAGTCTAGGTGCAGAGAGGACCTGGTGGCTGGGATTTTTCTTTTTTTTTTTTTTTTACATCCCACTGGCTGTAATTTGGGAGATCTCAGTAAAGGGTGCCCTGTGTGAGTGAATGGTGGTGGAGATCTCTGGGGAGGAGTGTTTAGATGAATGTGAAAGGCAGTTCAACTTTCACAGCCAAGAGGAACCCTGTGAGCCTGGATGTCATGAGTCCTCCTTGCAAATGAAGGCATCTGGTGCATCCCTGTTTTGAGAAGTTCTACAGGTGGTGGTACATTCTCTTTGAGGCATAATTCTCCTAGAAGCAGTGTGACTCATTATCAGTCAGTATCTCTTGGGAGAAACTCATCTAGGAGGTTACTCACTCCAAAGTAGGTTTTGAGGTGTGAAAGCACCAGGGTGTTTAGAGGAGCTAAGTGGTTGAGTGGCTTCTGTTTGTGAGAGGAGCCATCAAGGAGGGTTTCTAGGCAACCCACCCCCTGTCCACATGGAAGTACTCCTGATATCACCTTGACTCATGGTCATGGAAGTTGACACATGGTCTTAGTCTTCTCTGGCTGCTACAACAAAATACCATATACTGGATGCTTCAAACAACAGAAACATATTTTCTCACAATTCTAGAGGCTGGAAGTCCAAAATCAGGGTGCCAGCATGGTTGAGTTCATGCCTCTTCCCGGCATGAAATAGCTGTCTTTTCACTTTATCCTCACATAGCAGAGAGAATGAGAGAGTGAGTGAGCTTCTAAGAACCTAATCCCATCATGAGGGCCACACCCTCCTGACATCATCTAAACCAGATTATCTCCCAAAGGCATCATATCCAGATACCATCACAACAGGGGTGACTACACCAACATAGAAATTTGGAGGGAGACATAATTCACTCCTTAGCACACACTTTCTTGGACCATGGCTAATATTTGAGCTGTATTACAGACTCAAGTCTTCAATCATTTCAATGATAATGCATAGTGCAGAGATTTGGAGGTAGCTATTTTTAAGACATCTAGTTAAGACGAGGGGATTCATTTGGGCTACAGCATGTAGTGGTGAGATAAAAGAAGATAATATTCTCTCTCAGTACTCAAGCCAAATGCAATGCTGTGATAGGTTTACTGTCTTAGTCTAATATATTTTTCATTTTACTTTGCATTTGGCTCCTGACACACTTACCCATTGCCCAAGGAGGTCCAAGATTTTCTTATTTTTATGGGCTCTTGACATCCTGATTTTCTCTATTTTCCTCAAAGTATCAAAAAATCAACACATTTTGGAGTTTGCAATGCTCTTTCATGTTTGATGAAATTCTGATATTATAAATATGTTATATAACAAAGAAAAAGTTGAAAAATAATTTAAGACAACATGAGTGGGTGTTTTCATCAGGTGGTTCATGTAATTGCCAGGGAATCACAGGTTAAGAAGCCCTAATGTTGTTTAAACAGAGAAGTAGGTTCTGTGCTTCCCCAGGATTCCAGTGGGGAGCCTAGAACATTTGCCCAAGCCCATTGAATACTTCCTGATATGTCACTGGAGGAGTCACTGAGCTCTGAGTTTTTCACTTGCAAGATGGTGTAAACAATGAATGTTTCCCTCAGAGGTGGTTATTGCAACCTGCATAAACTTAATATCTACTACTTGTTATCTGTTATCTGATGTTCCATTAATTAGAGCATTGAACTGCTTCTTTTCCTTGTTATGAGTGTCCACCCTAAGTCACAAGTGGATTCCGATGTGCTTTTTGAATCACCAAAACAAGATTAAATGATGTTCATTAAATATGAATTAAGGATTCTCAACTGGGAGTGATTCTACCCCCTAGGGGATGTTGGGCGATGTCAAGAGACATTTCTGGTGTTCCCAAAACTGAGGGTTACAACTGGCATCTAGTGGTAGAAGCTGGGGATGTTGCTAACCACCCTACAGTGCATAGGACAGCCTAAATGTCAGTAGTTTTAAAGCTGAGAAAGCCTGGTCTAGAATATTTGAATATATTATAATTTTTTGAATTATGAATGGTTTTGTATATACCCAGAAACTGTCTACCACACGCAATACTTTATTAACCAGAAATCCTTTTCTGCAACCTTACTGGAGAATAAGTTTAATACCTGTTATTGAGGTTTACACCTTAGGAATATCTTATTGATTACAAAGTTTGAGATGACCTGGAATAAATAAATGATTGAAAAAGGATATAGGACACTTTTCTAGAGTGCTAAGAAAGGGGATGTCTCTCTCTGTCCAGGAGGCCCATGGCATAGTCTGAGCTAGAGGGAACAGGGGATGTTAAATGTTTTTGATGTTTACTTTTTGTTATTACTTCCAGTCTTAGGATCCTACTTTCACATGAACACCTGAAATGGCACTGAGCACCCTGGGACATACATGGTTCCTCTGGAAACAACACAAAAATACCACTTCCCTGAAGCCAACCTTGTCCTGATACAGCCAACTTGGTCACCTCTTACTTTAACTTTCTTCATAAAAACCCTAGTGAGTGTAAAAATGAGCTCTGCCTTAATTTTTATCTCCCTTCTCAACATTCTCTTCTTTTCCTGCACACAGGCCTAAGAGAAGGTTTGTGGCAGTCTGGGGAAGTTTTACTAAAAGTGTCCAGGGCATACATTTATAAAAATAATTTTGATTAATTGCCTGAGCTCTGAACTCCCAGAAGAATGGCTTTGAGTCCAGGTGGGTAGGTACAGTCTTGTTACTTGGGAGAAGTCAGTTACTCAGAAAATAAGGTTTATGGGTAGAGGTCAGTGCCTGTGCCAAGCATATAGTAGGTGCTCAATAAGTGTTAATAATAGTTATGATATAATTAATTACAACCTGTCTTGATAACCTTTATTTGTCTCATTTCATGATACCCAGTGCTTGGACTCACTGGAACAGATGGCTGGTGCTGTAACGGTTGGTGCTCTATTAATTTGCTCTTTCTACTCTTCTGGGAACACCCACTCATGTGCCTGTCAGAAGCTGGGTCACCCTTCTGGGCTGAGTTCATATGACATGTGCCCTGGAACCTTCCAATCTGTGCTCCTGTGGCATTTTGGACTTTGCTCACTAAAGTGCTGGTTACAAGGTTTTGCAATTAACCAGATATGGACCCTGAGCTCTATAAGAGCCCACATCTCCATGTGATTTGTTGTATGCTCCGTGACTTTCTCTTGAAGGAATGAATTGGATTTTGCTTTGGTTTGAGCAAGTAGGGAAGTCAAGAAGGAATGGACTTAAAACTTCAGAAGGGCCCAGACTGAGAAAACATTTGACAGTGGAGAGCTTACTTCCGGTTTATACTGAAGTAAGTAGCAGAATGGGAAGAGAAAAAAGAGCAGGATATTTCTAGGAAAGCTTTTTAAAATCCTTCTGTTCCTTATATCATAGATTTTTTCCCACAGACTTAGCAAATATTCACCATGTGCCCACAACGAGCCAGGGACTGTGGAAGGTTCTGGAAATGCATTGATGAACAAGATAGCCAAGATCCCTGACCATATTCAATCAGTCTTTTGCCCTGCTCTACACATAGATGTATTGTATCCTCTTGTAATCTGGTTCGACGCTAGGCATATTTCTCCAGATTTAAGTAAATAAAACTGCAACATGACTGAATCTTTCATTTGGTCTTTGGCGCCTGCAGCAGAATCTCTTGGTGGCATTAGCCCAAAGGGTCAGCTAATCTGAGTTTTTCATGTCACCAGGTTGGGAATCATTATGGTTTGATAGATGTTAACTTGTCCACATTATTCTCTTCCAAAATAGAAGCAGAGTAAGAAATAATTACTTTCTCTTTGAAAACCATGGAAGCTTGAGAACTAACATGCCCATTAAAATAATTGTAGAATACTTGCTTCTATTATCTAGTAGTTATTTGTTTGCAGCTTGGCATCCTGGGTTTGTGTTCTTCAGAGATTCAGGATGTTCTTTAATGATTAGGACTCACTGTGTTTATGATACATATTCACTCACATTTTTCAAAATTGATGTGGGCATGAATTGGGCTGGATTTAGTCTCCTTTTTCTTTCCAGGTGAGCTTAAAAATCCAAAGCGGGGGGAAACCTCTTAACAGAGCAGAAGCCTTGGATGCATTGTCCCTGCTCCCCCCACCCCACCCGTATTCATTTCTAACTAACGCTTTTCATCTCAGAGGGTACATGAATATGTAAGTGCAAGTGCGGCTTATTGTGAACTCCGAACAAAGAGTAGTGCTGTAGATTTCAATGTGTTTGGACCATAATGTGCTGCTTTCTTGATAATGGGCTCTCTTGGCATTGAAATGAAAAGCAAACATATCATTAAGAAGGCGCTCCATAAAAACTGTCTGTCATATATCTTAAGCTTCATTAGTTTAGATTAATGACTTACTTGATATACATGACAATAGGTGAAGCAAATCTTTGTTTATTTATTGACAATTAAATGTGGCTCTGACACGCATAAACAGGCTTCTCTCTGATTAGTTCCATGTTTTAAAGTAACTTTGTGTTATAAAACTTGTTAACTACAGTATCATTTTATTGAGCTCTGCTCGGTGAATGATGTGATCTACATTGAAAGGCATCAATATTGCAGCCATTCCTGGCAGTCACTGGAGCATTGTGCTCACAGATTGGAGTTGATATCTCATTGTACAAATTCAGGGACCCAGAAAATGTCCAGTTATTGAGCCTCTGCCCTGCGAGGACAATGTTCTATTCATGGAATCTGGGTCCAAGGTCACAGACTGAAACCTGAACGAAGGGTAAGATTCAAATTCGTTTCATGATTTTGCCGAGGACCTCCCTGAAATTCAGTGTTTTGAAAGCATGAAGCTTTTCCCAGAGTATCCTGTTAATGCAATGCAAAGAAGCATATACATAAATATAGTGCGTTCTAATTAGGAGGCCGCTAGAGGACCAAACAAGCTTACCTTTAAAAATAGATCTTGATAGGTCTGATATTATATTGATTCAGATGACATAAGAAAACTTCCAAGAACACTTCATAATAAACACACCATTTTAGAAGAGGCTGGGAAACCAGGGAGAGGAAAAGAGGAGGAAAAGGGTAGAAGGGCAATGTGGCATTAAATGTATCTGCATGCTTGGCTCACTGAAATATTCGTGGTTTGCCTTTCCAGGAATTCAAAGTTGGAGGCTGTCAGGGATAATCAGTCCTTCCCATCACAGACACCCCATGGTTCTCCTTAATAGCTCCCTTTTATGTGCCGTCAGTCCTCAAAAATATATTTAGAAAAGACTTATTTAGAAGGAGGCATAAAATAAAATCCATGTTGCAGTTGAATATTACAAATGATACTGGGGCTCCATTCTGTGCTATTAGGCTCCCTGTAGAATTTCCATACAAAGTAAAAAATAAACTCCTAGCCAGGTCGAAGGAGAACTCTTTGGTAAAAGAAACCATCTTCTTCTACACAACCACTCACGACATCGTGGGAAGGCAGATCTCCCCAGACACTGGAATTCAGTAAAACATCTTTGCTTTCCTTAGGAAATATTAGGGAAAAAAATGCACACCTACTTATCTTTTCTATGGAATATCCTGGGACAAAGTTTGAATGCAAAGAAAAGGATAATGTTAATATAAGCATTATCCAATTTTACCTACAGCCCTTGAGGTAGCCTGTCCCTAGAAGATGACTTTGCAATGATTTTGCTCTTAATTGTGGTGTTAGCACTTCATTTGGTTAATATGGAAAAATCCATCGTTATACTATTGAAGAGTAACCACTCTGCTCCTTAAATTACTTTCTCCCTTCTTTTCATTATGAGCCATTCTTCCCCTTCTCACACCACCCCCTCTCCCTTAGCCTCAGTCCAGATTACAGCCTCATCAACAGCCACCTTAGCCTGGGACCATTGGTCTGGTGTGTGCAAAACCAGAGGACAGGGTCTTCAGAGGGCAGTGTGGGGCAGCAATAAAAAAAGTTGCTCTCATTTCATACTCTTCTACAAAATTTGCCCTTTTGAATTGTGCTAACCCCTCCCAGAGGAGGAAGGCAAACACACTGAGGCCTGGGGACAGGGTAGCTTCTGGAGGGACCAGGACTGAATGGGGAACTGGGGATTAAACGGTACCATCTTTACCTGCTCCCTGGTTGCTGACTCTTTTTTCTTCTCAATGGTCAAAAACCAGCAAAAGCATGAATGTGCTGAGTTTTGGGCTTCCCAGGCACTTCGATGCTCAGCTTTTCAATGGTTCAGCTCTCATTCTTGCCCCGGGATCCTTTGGCAGGTTGTTAAAGTTCTCACATAATAATCGCTCTCATCAGTTAACAAGGAAGAGCACCTGGGTGACCAGCTACCAGTTCCATTTCACGGTGGGTCATACACTTCCTTTTCAAATGGTACCCTTCTAGCATAGCCTGTTTATATTCGGAAAGAGGAAAACATATACAGAATTTTCTTAATCAAGAAAAATGTGTGCTATCATCATAAAATTTGGGGGAGCTCATTTACCTACAAATTGATATATTTTATTCTTTGTGATTTTGGAAACATATTTTGAAGTTTTGTTTTTATATCATATTATTATCTCATGAAGAAACAGCAGTCTTTATAGGTTTATCCCATGTTTATGAATAAGTTTTTAAAAATAATTGGGAGCTATTGGATTGTAATATATATCTGAAATGATGTGAGCAACTTGATTTGAAAGATAAATTGATGAAGTCATATTTTATTATTGGATAATGATGTTGAAAATAACACAGAATTAAATAAAGCAAGTTAATGTGATAAAGTTTTGTACTAGCACCAGTGGCTGGATAGCACTCACAAACCAAAATCCTGACCAAACTAAGATCCTTATCAAAGCACAAAATTAAATGTAAAACATCTGCAACTTCAAGACCATAAACTTTTTTTTTCCCAAAAGAAGCAAATGAACAGGTTAGACTTGCCTAGCTCCAGATTACACTGCAGCTTTAGATTTTTTTTTCTATGAGGACCTTTGTTATAATTGTCCATCTTTAAAACTCTGTATCATTAAGCTTGATTTATCTATTAGAATGAGATTTTCATATGCTAACCAGGAGCTCCTAAAGCACTAATTCGTTCCCTAAAATACTTTGGCTATTTTATTTTGCTCTCCTTTGTTCACAAGCCTCAGCTTTTCTTTCAAAATTGCACTCTCTTTTCTCTGTGGCAGTGTTCTGAGGATTAGAATACAAATGATCATTTACAAATTGAAGGTTAACACAGAAATGCATTGTACTTGTGATTTGATGAGTAAAAACAAGTCACAAAATAAGAACAAATAGCAGCATTATTCCATGGGAAAGATCCTTCTGTATTGATCTATTATTTCCCAGCTTGAAATGTGGCCCTATTGTAGTTCCACTTGATTATGAGTCTTTTTTATCACTTCCCCTGGTTGATTCAACTTGAGTGCTTCTGACATTTGCAAAGTTCCTCACATATTCTGCTGAGCAGCAGGGGAAACCTTGCTAATGAAGAAATAACAAGCTGAAGATTTGAATAAATATTTAGCTGATTGAAAGGAGGTATACAGTTAATTTTTAAAAATGCTGACAACTGAGGAAACTCACTGACATGCTTTGCTTATCTTAGCTAAAATGGGTTCTAGTGGAGTTTTTACTGCACCACAGGGCACTTTCATTTCCTGATTCTATTATAAACTAAGTGGCCACCTGAACCTGCCAATGAACTTGTTCTATTGTGTTTTTCTATTTTTAATCCTGAAAGTAAACACATTTCTCATCAGATGTGTTACAGACTGCCATACATTGGAGAGATTTATGAAGGTGCCATTGGGTTATTACAGAACCATTCATTTATAAATAAGTGCCCATTCTGAAAGGAAACTATAAATGATAGCAGCATTTCCATCATTTCACAAATCTATATTATAAAAGTGTGTAGGCACTTTTTCAATATTACAGTGGCATGGAAACAATTTGGAATTTATGCCTTTTTAGGCTGTGTTTTCAGTCCTTATATATGATTAAAGTTCTGGTCTCATAAGCTAGAAGATGTTTTATGTGACTCCCAGCAGCAGCTGTAGGAAGGAACATAATGGCTCCTTTAGGATTCAAGGATTAATTATATGAGCGCTGTGAGCCTGTCTGGCTGCTTAAGGAATGGTTGTTGGTGGATCTGGAATGCCAGTGGAAATCCCTAAGTTTTCTTCCATCATGTCCTGGTAGGTTGTGTCCCCAGGGATAGCATCGCCTGTGTTTTACCAAGATGTGTACCTGTGCTTTCAGAGCATTTTAAGGCATGTGATCTAGTGTCGTGCACTGACAGTATTTAAAATGTCTTCCAAAAAATACCAAATACCAAAATCTTTGAAAAATACTCTTCCTCAAATAAATGTATGAAGAGTGAAAATGGGGAAGAAACAAGTACATTTGGACATGGATTTTACTTAGTACAGGCTTGGTGTCAGGAGAGGTAAATCCTAACACGTTAGGGTTGGAAGGGAAATGTAGCAGTCAGGTACTCTAACAACCCTCAGAGATGCTTGAATCCCCCTTCAAATACCCTGGAAAAAGCTCCAGTTAAATAAGTGATCCCAAGCACAAGGGCAGATATCTGATTGTCAAAGAAGCCTGCACAATCTTTGCACGGCCATATTTGTTGGAAAGTCCTTCTTCATGTCGAGCTAAAATTTGCCTCCTCTCACTTCTGCCGCAGTCCTGGTTCTGCCTTTTGGGCACGGTAAAACCAGGTATGCTCTGATTTTGTGCATTACCCCTCCTAACACTTGGAAGCAGTGGTGGTGCTCCTCATTTGCATGATCAATGTCTTCTAACTTTATCCTCATGAAAATCATTGGGGCAGAGTAAGATGCAGACGGTTTTTCCAGAGCATTAGATTCAGTAGATCCATGTTAGAGTTCAGAAATCTACCTATGTGCTACTCCCAGAAAATATAGATTTGGAAATCTTCCCATTTCCTACATTCGGGGACTGAATTCAATGTAATCTATTTTACAAATGAGGAAACAGACAGAGAGAAAGAGGAATGTGCCCACGGTCCCATTGCTAATAAGTGGCAGAGCTAGGATTTAAACTTCAGAACTTAACCAGTGGCTTTCACTGCTACCAGTATAAGAAGGGAAGTAAGACAGTGGTAAATAGTAATGTATATTGAATTATAGAATGACTTTGGACTGAATCTACCAGACGTGTGTGAATAGGAGTAATATCGTAACAGCAATTCTTTGCTCTACTGAATATTTGTGTCCATTGTAGTGCCTACTAAGGTAGCATTTACCAAACTTTAAAAATACACAAATTCCACAAGATTTTAATAATTTTTGATAAAGATAAATATAAAAACAAAGAGGGGGGTTAGTCTTTAAATACATTTATGGAATAGCAGGTTAAAAAAGTTAAACATTTTTCTTACTTGTGCCACTTATCAGAGCCTTCAATATACTAATATCAGTTTTTACACTCAAAGAAATAATATATTATGTGGGATTCTCAAACTTATTTGAAAACTGGGCCTTCCTTTCTTCTTTCCTCCCCTCTCTCCTTCCCTCCCACTTTCCTTCCTTCTTTCTTCCTTCCTTCCTTCCTTCCTTCCTTCCTTCCTTCCTTCCTTCCTTCCTTCCTTCCTCCTTCCCTCCCTCCTTCCCTTCCCTTCCCTCCCTTCCCCTCCCCTCCCTTCCCCTCCCCTCCCCTCCCTTCATCTCCAACAACCTCCCCTCCCCTCCAACAACCTCCCCTCCCCTCCAACAATCTCCTCTCCCCTCCAACAACCTCTTCTCCCCTCCAACAAGCAAAACACAAATGTTTATTGAGCACTTACCATGAGCACCAGTTCAGTATTTACTCTCCTTTTCCCCAAATTGGCAACATCTTAAGGATAAATTATTATTTGAACAAATGAAAGAAGATTTTCTCTATTTGAAAGGAGTTGGGGGAGTTCTACCTGATTTTCTCTTGACTCTGTGGCTTCTTATTTAGCTCTGAGAACTCTCTAGCATTTTTCTGAGTAAACTGTAAACGTTATTGATCATTCCAACCCAACATGTTGAGTATGAGGTAATGGCAAACCTTTCCAGTGTGAGATGTTTTGTTATGAGTTGTAAATAAACAAATTGAATGCCTAAAATGGTTCACGTGATCTTAAATGTGGAGCCACTTACTGGCTCTTCATGTAATGAATGTTACAATTCAATAAATACATTTCTTGAGAGATCCTTGTGTAGCAATGGTTTCAAGAACTGGCATTTTGATATTGACACTTGAGATATCTAATATTTTAAAAAACAAAACTCTCCTCCATATGATAAACAAAACTCCCCCAGTTTTGGTCAATTGACCAACTATTTCTCCATCCTCATCTAATGAAACAATCCCAGGCTGTAATACAGTGAAGGATATTTTGCCATGGGAGGAAGAAAAATCATCTGAGAAAAAAAATTGTATTATCTTTATGAAAGCTGAATTTTGAGAATTTGGGTTACAAGATTCTTATAAGAAAATTCTATTTATATAATTCACTTACTGAATTTCTAACTGTGTATTTGCTACATTAATGCATGAATAATAATATACACTCTTCCTGAAGAGTTTTATTAGGTGCCCCTTCCCCCTTTTTGTTTCTAACTCACTGAAAGCTCAGGAATAATGCAGCATATATCAGTTCCATTTGCAGAGTGTATGAATTTTATATGTAAATGAATTGTGTAGACTGCCTTAGAGGATGCAAGGCCTTGCTGTCTAGTTTTAATCTTGATGCTGGGAAATAAATTTGGAATTGTTGATGGGTACTGTTCTTGGGTTCAATTATTAGCAGACATTAACTGAAGTACAGAAGCATCATTTGGGTATAGCAACCTGTTAGCCATGGGGATTATCAGATTAAAAATGGAAGAGCACTAATTACTGAATCAACATTATGTGTCGATAGTGCTTTCTGGGTCATGCATAATAAGTAGAAATATTATCTTGGATGAAAAATTTCTGGCTTTTTGCAACACAAAATGTTGAGAACAAGTTTTGACTTTTGTTCTTAATCCTGTTCATAATCTTTTCAGCAAAAATAATGTTAGATCAGTGTTTTTCTGATTTTATTAAGAGGCAATGTTGCTGTAATTGAATGAAACTGAGTCAGTTCTTAAAATACAGATGTTTGTAGAACAGAGAAGGACAATTCATTAGCTCCAGTGGAAATATCCGTTGAGAATATCCAGCTTCCCTTCCTCCAAATTTGTGTTCGTAAAGCAACCTCTGCTTTATAATTTGTTTTCCTGGGGGATTTATGCACCATGATTGAGTTTGCCGATAGGCTCCATTCATGCACCAGGTAGGTCTTTCTGCACACTTGAATTTACATCTGGTTAAGTTATCTTTTGTAAGTTTACTTAGCCTTAGTTTTCCTTTTTAGCTTGCCAATACTGGGTGCCCTTAAAATTTGAGTTTTGGGCCCTGCAATCCTGAGGCCAGAGCCTGGAACTGTGCCCTTCTATGCAGAGTAAAATACCGTGGGCAGTAGAAGCCAGATGGTCCATTTTTATGACATTTTACAAGTTGTGTCAGTGCCATTTGTCTTGCCTATGATTTACTGATAAAAGAAGTATAGATTTATAATATTTTTAACGTAAATTGAACTAGGGAGTTTTCTGATTCCTTGTGCTTGCAGAGCTGTGAACCCTATGGTGGCCTGTCCATTGCTGGCCTTGTCTCCTGGAATTTAGGCTTGCATGCAGTTTTTTTCCACATCAGATGGCTGTGGCTGAGTCACTTGACTTGTTCTGGCCAATGGATTACTAGCAAGTGTGATTCATGCAGCAGATGCAGCAGCCTTATTAACAGTTGAACAACAGGGCTATCTTTCAGAAGTCAGTTGCCTGTATGGAATGTAGGGAAGCTAGTGCTAGATTTCAATAGTGATAGGACACATGGAGGAAGGGCCCTAGAGCATGAGAGGCCATTCTGGAAATTCCAGCCCTAGTCCCAGCTGAACATAGATACATGGGAGACTCCATCTCCATCCTGTGAAGTAGAAGATAAATGCAGAAGAATGGCTCATCTGAGTGTAATGAACTCATGGAACTGTGATAAATAATAAAACATTATTATTTTACACTAGTATGTTTTGATGGGTGGTTTGTTACACAGCAGTTGGTAAATGAAATGATTCTTTTGCCATAGTTATGGATTCCTTTACAAATGTATTCAATAGAAAAATGTTAGATACAAGATGTATTGAATATCAAAAGGAAATAATATCTGATTTCAGGGGCTAGCATAGTGAGTAGTACTTATCCAAGGTCCCTTGCGCCCATTTTATTGTGTTTGTTCTATACAAGAGTGGTATTACACTGCCATCTGGTGGTAAAGACTAAATGTTCTGGACGTTTCCTGGAATCTGGTGCATTTATCCAGTAGCATTTGTGAAATTGTTAAAATACAAAAACGCACACATGAGCACAAAAGACTCCAGAGAACCTAAACTAACAAGAAAAAACCTTTCATGTAACCTTTCATGAGGTGAAAATGATGAAATTTGCTCAAGTATATGCACGGCACAAGCATTCTTTGCTGTGGTCAGTTGCTCTTACTTCCTAATCACTCTGGAACATATTGTGGACTCTAGAGAAATATTGTGCTAGGGAAAGCCCGTTGTGTTTCTTCTCCTCCTTTCTACTTGTCTCCTTCTTTCAACTAAGAGAGGACATGATACTCAGAAGTGAAAATTTTCTTCCTTCTTCTTTCTTCAGCAAATGAGTATGACTTTGTGAGATGTTCCTCAGTACCACACTGAGACGTGATTAACCTTTTTGATGTGGACAGAGACTGCTGTGAGTGGGGTGGGAAGTGGGTAGGCGGTGGAAAATGAGAGTTTTCAGGTGTTGATTTCATTTGGTATTGCCATTGTTCTTTTATAGTCATTAGCAGGAAACTGTACTATCAGGAAACAAGGCAAGGACAGTTGCAGCTAAATGACTCAGCAAGCATGACCACCTGGCCTGGCTTCCCGACGCTGTTATGAGCTCCATCCAGTAGTAACAGAGCTCATTGAGGTTTAGATCTAGGGCTCTGCCATTGGGAATACCCTTTCTTCTTCAAGATAGATTAAAGGAGAAACTCACATACTGTTTAGGCTCAAAAACATGTACTGTATAAGAACCACAAATTTTTTCCTAGAGATAATGTTGTGTCAAAGAAAAATAAATATATTTTTGTTGTATATTTACCACTAAGATACATGAGCACAACACTTATTATCATAAGTAATGGGTACATATATGTGTTCATGTTAAGTCTAGAAAAGAAAAAAAAAACTTTCTTCCAAGTAAAATGATTTTATCTGAACTTATGATGTTGAAGGAAACACAGTACTCATTTTCTCTTTTCAAGTTGAAGTAAATTTCTCTTAACATAATATGTATTGCAATAATAGCATCTAGTTAAGATTTCATTATGACATTTCAGTTCAATATAATACACAATCTCTGCCATGTTTTTATAAAACATTACTCGGTATGAGATATTCACATTAACTACAATTGCTGAAATGACTGATGTTTAAATCTAATGACAGTTTCTATCATTATTAAACTTCATTATAAAATAAAGTCTGTGGGTGGAATTGTGGCTTGATGCTTTTGTAATTTGCTCTCTACCTTTTCAATGTACTTTTCAGTTACATCAACTGAATCATTTCATCTTATAGATGCAAAGATGAAGGAAAAGAACAAAAACATGGCCATTAACGGAAGCAGTGCAAATGTGCATAGTTAATGGAAACCATTTTGACATTTTGTATTTGATTCCATGGTGTACCTACTCAAACAATTTCAATGGTGTATTAGAACAAAATGCTACATTGTGCTCTTCACTAAGAATGCGAGTAATAGACTTCAAAAATTACCTTTTCACTGAAAGTATTATCTGCTGGAAATGAAGAAATGTTTTACATTATGAGAGGCTAATAGCAGCAAGAAGGAGCGAGGGGCTGGCAGGATAATTCAGGCAGGGGAGGGACTTGACTCTTTACTCTCCAAAATGCATTCTTCCAGTGTGCAAAGCACAATAACAATATTCCCCTTCAATATTTTGGGTTCTAATAATACAGACTCTAGTTTTCTACATCTTCTGACTGCGTTGTTACTAATCCGAGTGCAGGCTTATATCCTAGTTATGAAGGAATCAAGATCTCTATTTATCACGGGATCAAAGTGTAAGGCATAATAACTGCTTTTGAATATGTTATTTTTGATTATGGGAGAAAAAATTTCCTCTCTAAAAATACATGAAGAGTTAAAAAAAATCTGAACATAGGAAAAATAACTACTTGGTCCCCATTGCCCATGCTAATAGGCAGCTCATTTATTGGGGGAGTAAATGCAGGTCCCATGGATTCTGCTAAAGATGTGGTTGATTAGGAGCACTCTGATGTAGGTCAGGAAAGAGGATGCCTACGCATTTGAGGAAGTAGTCCCACTGGTGGGAGGTGTATGCACCTTCTATACCATTCATTAAAGTACTTTCACATAGAAATTTCTTATTTGATTGTCATAACAACTCTGTGAAGCAAGCATTATTTCCTTCATTTTTCTCACATGAAAACTGAGGCTCAAAGACATTATGTAATTTGCACAAGTTCACACGTCCAATAAGATACATAACCAGGAAATGAACCCCGCTCTTGATTCTGTTCGGGGAAAATGTGGAGGTGGGGAGAAAAAAGGGAAAACAAATCAGTTTTACAAGACAGAGTGTAAGAAAACTTTTGCTGGGACTGAGCAGGTTTAATTGTGTAGGTTGACACTGACTCAAAGGCAGAAGCAAGGATGATAGAAGAGAAGACAATGAATGATACAACCTGAAGTTGATTTTGTTTGCAGCAGTCTAAATACTATAAATTAACCAGGTAATAAGTGACTTGGTATTTGATAGCATGTTCTAACAGAAAGAAATATCAAGATCTGGCCTCCCTTGCACCCGCTCCTCAGCTGACTGCACTGGTGTGATCAAGTCACTTCCCACCATGGGCAAAAGCCCAATGCTCACCTCAGGGAGTCTCTGCCCTGATGCCTTGGTAATCTCATGGAGAAGAGGCAAGCAGAATCTGAGTCAGAGCTACCGGAAACCCAAAGACTTACTTCTGTAAAAGAGGAAAGGATGATATGCTTTGCGGAGAAAAGACAAAGGAGGGAAACCCCATGGCAACATCTTTTTTACTACTTTCTATGTTTTTTCTTGCAATTCAGCTGCAGCCCAAATTTCCGGTCCTTGGTCCATTGTGAGTGCCAAATGGACACCAGCAGTTCAGTGTGTCTCACAGTTGTGTAGCTCAAGATGGGGCCTACTGTGAACATGCACCCTTTTCATTGCTTGTCTTGTAGTTATAGATTGTTTGGAAGCTGACAAGTGATGCAGGGGAAAATAAGAGGTCTGAATACTAAAAAAATCAATTTTTGTGTTATCTGAGAGAAGCAAAATGATAAATGTCTACAAAAGCCTTAGGTGCCAGAAAAACAGTTTTATATGAAAATAAAAATGAGTCAATTCACTGGTTGTATCTCTCTTAAACATAAAGCAAAGAAGCAATAGTATTAGCTTGTTTTAAAGTCCAAATCTTATTGTCCCGGCCGATTCTTAGGAGGACTGAAACATTGTTATGCATGTGCTGTGTGTGTGTGTGTGTTGTGGGGAAGAGGTGTATAGTGTGAAACTTTTTCTTTTACACTGGCTTCTTTCTTAGTATGGCAAACTTTAGAGCAGTCATCTGCCCCCTTAACATTGGTGACCAGCACACGATAGTAAGAATTTTTTGTACTCAGAATTTTTTATACAACACTGGTTGTATACACCAACCAGTGAGATTCCTTTTTTATCTTCATTTTAGATTAAATATATCAACAACGGGTATGCTTCTGTTAACTTAGATGACATAGTGTTATTTCCTGAGCTGTAACTCATCTCTGCAGATTCTGCTTTTAAATGGGACATTCCTTCAATCCTGAAGTAAAGCCACATCTGCAGAGAGAGCAGGCTCTAGTTTCTCTGTGAAGAAGCAATCGCTGTAGTCTCTGATTGAGAAATTGTAAAGGACAATTCCCAATTAAGGGCATCTGCGGTCAGCTGAAGGGCCAGTGCTCCAGGGCAAGTTAGAGACCTGTCATTAACCTATTGAACAAGTGGCCTGTCACAGAAGGCATTGTGGAGTCTGGCACTTAGTTGGAACAGTACAGTGGTCCCGTCCTAGGAGAGTCAGCAAGTTACAAAGGACTGTGAGAGTTGTGACTTCATATGACCCATGTTAGCAAGGATATGTTGGGTGGGACGTGGAAATCTCATGCTCACGGTGGCCTTCAGAAGCTCAGTCCTGAGCACACTGCATAGAAGGTGAGGAGGCACAAATCAACACTAGACCCATGTGTTTAGTGAAGACTGAAGTCAGGCTTCCAGGATACTCAGGGGCTTGGCTCTTGTTGGCTTATGGTCAGAAAAACACTAAACCTCAAGCACCCCAATGGGGTTGGGGCAAGAAAAAGCTTGTGAAGTTCCTCAAGGACAACAGACTATGGGCAGTCAAAGCAGTTGATCCTTTTATAAAATGGGAGCCATGGAGATATAGAAGGCTCATGTGCCCCTGCAATTCTATCTTGAGAGTAGAGGATTGGTTGAGACAGTTTTTTCTGGAAGATTTTGTTTTTGTTGGGCACTGCTCACAAAGACAACAACCAGGTCTGCAGAGTGCTCTCTGCAGGAGCAATGTGGGTGCTGGCTCAGGTGTCCTAGGTAGAGGGCACAAGCTTTGCTCTCGATTATGTGTGGGCCATGGTGCCAGGTGAACAGGTGGGGAGGCTGAAACAAGTGTCCTATGTAAGCATTTGCTTCTTTGTGGAAGCAGACAATAATAGTTTTCATTATAATTGCTATTCAATAAATGTAAAAACATATATGCTTGCTCACATAAATACATTAGTGCAAAGAATGTGTGCCATTGTTCACCTACTACTTACATTTGGATATTTACCTATTAAGAAACTTCAGAGTTACCTAAAATGTAAAGCAGCATTTGTGAGCAACTTGAGTAAAATGTACTCTAAACAAAACGGCCATTGGATTTCAGGGAAGATTTCTGTCTAAAACTGCTTAGTTTTCACCAAATAGTACTTTAAAACATATACTGTTATTTAAGCCACTAAACCATGCCTTAAGTTCTAGGCATTTCCATTGGCAACTATATGCAATGAAGAAAAAAACCGCAAAAATGATCACCTGATGTGTGAATAGTGAAGGTAGACAATGGTGCCAGGTGGTGCCTGCGCGCATAATCACGAGAACAGTGTGTCAAAGCACAGCAATCAATAACAAAGAAAAATCAACACATATTCAGCATCGTCCTGATAGCGTTAAGCTGATTATCCACTTCAAGTAATTGAGGCAGGAAGATGAATGTGTTGAGCAGCCTTTATTTCTCTTTTGGAATTCAGAGCTAGGTATAAAGGTTAACTGGTGTCTTATATTGCTCATCATTCTCTACCTCAGCCACAGATTTCCAAAAAGAGAGAGATCTTTTCCAACGACTGACTAATGCCCACACAGTTTCTATCATCTTTAAACTATGCTGTCAGTGGAAAATGAGTAGTTTATGATTTTTTTCAATTGCATACACGTATGCATAAATACATACATAAACATACAGAAACATAGAGACACACGTACATATACACAAGTACATACCACTTATATCAATTAATGGCTTCAGGTGCATGGACTTCAGTTACATTAAACTTCAAACAGATCCTCTTAAAACAGACTCTCCTGTTTTACAGCTTATGCCTCTAAAGAGGAAGCCTGGTCTATGTGAACTGAGGGAACACTTCACCCATCCAGCTAAGAAATGGGCTTGCATGACTCCACAATGAGGAACTCTTCTAGGTCTCCATGGGAATTAGAGAATGCTTGTTCCCCTCAGCCTTTGAAGATGCATGGCCATCTTCCTTGGTGAAACATGCTCTTACTGAGTGCATCACTCCCATCATCATTGTGAAAGCTTGAAATCTCTCATGTTAGCTTAGGACCATTGCTGTTTCTTACCCTGTGGGTGAGCAGCCTTCGTGGACAGATCATTATAATTTCACTGTTGCAGCTTCCTCTGCATTAAATCTGAAGTCCTCAGCACATTTGACATCCCATAGAAACCTTACTCTTAAAGATTTTAATCTGACTCTTCTCTAATCCTCCATACCTATGTTAAGCTTCCACACCTTTGTACTCTACCCCTCTTTCAAGGGCCATTTTCAGTTCTACCTCTTCAATAGACCATTGCTCTAAGGAACACCAATGTCTTGTTGCTTTGAACCTCTCATAGTAATTCTTCTTCAGTACATGTTGGGCACAGTTTGTAAGGTTATAGTGTAGCCTCCAGAGTTAAGGGACTTGGGTTTGACTCCTTGTTCTTTCGCTGTCTTTGGGTGAGTTGTTTAATATGTCTAAGCTATGTTTCTCACCTCTGCAGGTCAGAGCAGTCATATTATCTCTCATCTAGGGAATATGTGGGAATTGAAGAATCAAATTCAGATAAAGTACCAAGTCCGGGTACATAATATGTGCTCCATAAAAACTAGCTTCTGTTTTTACTACATACACATCACAATTCTGTATCACATATATTTCCTTATACATATGTGCTTTATCCAGTGTGTGTCCTCAAGGAGGAGCCCAGATGTACACATGTTATGAGGTCAGACATGACCAGGCTTATTTAGAGGGATTTGGGGGCAGCACCCCAAACGTCTATTTTCATGAGGATTCTAAGAGACTTAAGGAAAGAAATGTGCTTTTGAGGGGTGAAAGTCCAGGGGAAAAACCTGGCCAAAAAGGCATATTGAAATACAGCTTTTTGTATTTTTCTCAAATGTTTCTTTGGCCTAGATCCCCAAGGTTTTTTCTGAAGACTTGAGATAAATGGGTTCCAAAGTTTAGCTTATAAAATACTAGGCAATTCAAACTGAAATCAAATGTCTACCTGATTTTGTGCTTAGGCTGCAGACTGATACTATTCCACCTATTTTACTGAAGTAACTACTGAGGCATTCATGGCATGGGTAGAGCAAAGAGGATTCCCCATGGCATATAGTCATCCATAAGAAGAGGGGAAGTCTGCGGTCATCTCTGTGACCCAGGTACTTTTATGCTGGGCTGAAATTTCTACACTGTGGCAACAGCAGACCTTAGAGAATCGAATGGAATTCATGTGGCTGTAGTGAGCACAAATGGGAAGCATACCACATGGTGTGCAGAATAGCTAGATTTGCCAGCACACTTTTGATGCTACAGCAGAACCCGAGCATTTCCTTAATTAGTTGCACAAGTCTAAGTCAGGCGGGGATTGCCGTGCTCTGCAGAAGGAGGTTCATCTGGCACAGGGCTGCTATCGTATTGTTGCTGGATGGCCTGGCCTGGGCTTATGAGGCTTGAGGCAAAGTGGATTACACATTTTTCTCACAACTAGGTTTTGAATCCCTTGAGGACAGAGACTCACCCATCACTATTAGTCTGCTTGGGCTACCATAACAGAATACCACAGACCAAATGGCCTAAGAAACAGAAATGTATTTTGTCACAGTTCTGGAGGCTGGGAGCCCGAGATCAATATGTCAGCAGGTTAGGTTTATTGTGACACCTTTCTCCTTGGCTTGCGGACAGCTGCCTCCGCCCTGCGTCCTCACATGGCCTCTTCTCTGTGCATGCACTCTTGCTGTCTCCTCCTCTTCTTAGAAGCACACTAGTGCTACTGAATAAGGGCCCCACTCTTATGACATAATTTAACCTTAATTAAAGATCTTTAAAGATTTTATCTCCAAATACAGTCACACTGGGGTAAGGGTTTCAACATACAGATTTCAGGAGGACACAATTTGGTCCATAACATCATTTTCACCTTATTAAGCACAGGCTCACTACAGGGATAAAACTTTATTAAGAAATCTGGATTGTTAGAGCAGACCATGAGGGCAATAGGTTGGGTACTGAACGTTGGAAGTGTGAAGATTAAATTGGCTCGAAATAATAAAGTGCCTGGCATATCAGAACTTCGTCAGATCTCATCTGAAAAGCCATCCCAATTTAGCCATGCCTAAAGAAACTTTAATAGGGTGTTTATTAAGTCCCTAGAAGATGAAATACTGGAAACCTTTTATTCTTTAAGTGAACTGATTGAGAAAAGCATTAGAAAGGAACAAAAGTAAGGTCTCTGTGACTGATGGCTGAGAGTATGAGGAAGTGTAGACCCCACAAGACCCAGGAGGGTTCCATTGTTCACATGGCTCTAATGCTGAGTATATCACATCAGCCACTAAAAAACTGAAACAAAGAGTGGTGTGACATGTAAGTAGGTGCCCACTGCTTTTAATACCACTTGTTATATTCTAGAAATGTTAATTCTACTTGGGGAATACATTCTGGGGCAATAATTCAAAGATGTTCACTACAGCATTATTTATAAAGCAGAAAAACTAACAGAGACCATGTCTTTAATGTTTCACATTTGGTTCAGTAAAATTACAATATAATCACATTATAAACAATTACACAATTTTAAAAAGTGATAATTACAAAGTATTTGCGCTAATGTACAAAGCGCTTATTCCTTCCTATGAAAAGAGGCTATCCAGAAGTCAATACACACACACGTGCGCATGCGCGCACACAGACACACACACACACAGAGTTGTATAGTATAGCAACTACATAAAAGGTACATTAAAGAGGCTAGAAGAATGTATGTCAAAATGTAAAAATGATTATCTTTAGCTGGTGGCACTACTTTTCAACATTGTAATGAACATGAAGTATTAGTATCATAAAAATGAAGTAAAAATATACGTATATTTCAATTAATGTTCACTGCTAAATTACCCTATCAAATAGTTGTATCTATTCTGTTCTTGCCATCGGTGTGTGAGAGCCCCTCCCCACCCCTTCAGTGACACGGATCCTGTTCTACTCCCTTCTGCATTCCTTCTCGTGTAGCAAATTGGATGTCACCTGCCTTCTTATTGAATGAATGAATGAATGCTCTAAGAGATTTTCTGTAGTTGTCTTTCCTTTCATTCCCACTCCCCTTCTTCTCCTGCTCCTGGCCCACAGTTTTGGAAAGGCCCAACTAATCTCCCTGCAACTCATTTCCTTTCTTCCTACTGCCCTGGCAACTTGCTTTGTTTCCTGAGTAAGTAATGGAAACTTATTGAATCTCAGTTCTTAGTTTTTTTTTTTTTGAATGAAAAAATTGTAAAGTGCTTGAAAAACATTAGGCAGCAGAGGGGAGAGCAAAGAGGTTTGACTGACTTCTCTGTGAAACAATATTCCCCTCCCCCAGTGCCATGCAGATATGTCTTCTGTGAAAGCTGTGGAAGATTGAAAATAAAAGGGGAAGAAAATGAATCATTTCCATGCCTATGGGACAGGAAAGAATTTAAAGATAAGTAAAGATAGTCTCTGCAGAAAAGAAATAAAATCAAGATTAAAACTGTGCTTTTCTCTCATTCTCCACAGAATACATTCTTGGTTCCTTTATCCTGCAATAATGTGGCACAGATGCTCTGGAATACTATGAGATAGGAGACAAGAATATGAACAATGAGCTGCATTTTTTTCTTGGCTCTTCTAAAATTGGTCTTCAGCAAAGTGAAAAGGAAGGTTTGATTGCTACATCAAAGTATCTCTCCAGAATTCAAACCAAGACTTAATTTCCCTCTAACAAAACTAACCTGAAATACACATACAAACACACACACACACACACACACACACACACACACACACACACACACAGCTTTCATAAGAACCTTTTACTCATTTTAAAAAATATTATTATAATCTGGTTCATTGAAACTGGATGTGAACTAGGCTAAGCATTCATTCTAAACAGATAACAAATATTAGGGACTTAAATTTCCTGGAATGTTAACCTCCGCTCCCACCCCATGTTGGATAGATTCTGAGAGTAGGAATGATTACAAGTTTGCTTTGGAGACTCTGGTGTGGTTGCTATGACAACAAAACTTTAGGGCATTGTTGTCAAAAAGGGATCACAAAATGACAGATGGCCCATTATGGAACTGTACATATTTGAAGATGAAAAGAAAATACATCTCTCTAAAGTCCATTCGTTGTGCTATTGCAGAAAAGTTGGGATACAATAACCGAGTAGGGTGAGAATAAGCAACCAGAAAGGAAAGGTTAAAATAAAAATTTCTTCACCTTGAAAGCTTGTCAACCTACTTAAAGACTGCTTATAGATCACTGTCTCTTCCCATCCATAGAGAGGATTCTATCCCATCAGGTATTTATTTGGCACTGCTTAGTGCAAATTAGAAACTTCCTTTATTATCACTACAGTTATGAGGTCAAAGTAAAACTGATTAAGAGCAAGAGGGTAGAAGTCTTACATAAGTACTAATGGGAAGGTGTAGTTTCCTTTCCCATTCTTGGGGTGGTTTTGGCATGTGCTAGAAGGTGCAGATGATGAAGCAACCAGAAAGGCTGAGTGTGTTTCCCTGTAGTTCTGTCCAGGATAGACCAGTTTGGATTACAGGTCAAAATAAGATCAAACTTCAAACACATGTGAAGTGAAGTTCTAAGCTAGGTCCTTAAAGCCATCACTGTGGATTCAGACAATAAGTTTAGCAGAAACTATTGCAACAAGCTTAGCAAGGCTGGGAATGTGACTCACGCCTGTACTTCCGGCACTTTGGGATGCTGAAGTGGGAAGATTGCTTGAGCCCAGGAGTTCGAGACCAGACTGGGCAACATAGACAGACCTCAACTCTATAAAAAACACAAAAATTAGCTGAGCATGGTGGTGTGCCCCTGTACTCGCAGCTGCTTGGGAGGCTGAGGTGGGAGGATTGCTTGAGCCCAGGAGGTCGAGGCTGCAGTGAGCTGTGATTGTTCCACTGCACTATAGCCTGGGCGACAGAGCAAGACCATGTCAAAAAACAAAACAAAACAAAACAAAACAAAACAAAACGCTTAGCAATTTTGGCTAAGCTGGTGAGCTTGGCATGGGTAAATGTGATATATCTGCTAAATGACACTATTTGTTTTTAAAATCTTTATATTCACTATTTGTTCTTAAAATTGGTTGAGGAAAGTGATAGTCTTTTGTGACTCTGTGAACACTTTCAGTATGTCTACTGAACATCTATTTCTGTCTATTCTATCTATTCATCTACCTATCATCTAACTACCTGTCTGTCCACCCCCATCCTTGCTATTCATTTATGAATAACAGAAAACCCCTGATAACAAGGGGATCTAAAGTCAGGTCATAGGCTATGTGTTAACGGGATCAGATAAATTTCACTTGTTTTCAAATATACCAAGGACAGTGATGCGGAAGAGACTTCTCTGTGGTCCCAAGATGAAATGTTTCAGTTCAAAATTTTGAAAACTTTCTAAAAGCCAGACTTTCTCAAAATAGCATGCTGCCTCTGAAGGCAGTGAATTCTCTCTCATTAGAAGTGGTCATGCATTAGCATTTGGCCTTGGGCAGGTATGTTGTCAGGAGAATTTAATCATCAGGTTGGAACCTTGGCTAGATGGCCACAAGCTCTCTTCCAAGTTTGGAATCTACCATTCTATGTGGGCATAAGGTGCTCATCAGATTCCTGAACCATGACACTCCTGCATTCTTCAGGCCCACAAATCTGGGCCTAAAGATTCTATGGTAGAGTCGACAAATCATTCACAAAAAATTGGATAGTGCAATTGAGAATGAGTGAATATTAAGGACAAGGCCGGTATGACTGCATTTATTCTTTTTGATGGCTACTAGGTATATTTTTAACCTTGGCCTCTAAGAATGTAAAGTCAATACATTAACCCTGATGACACTACCTCTTTTCCAAAGATTTCCATTTAATTAATGGAAACATAAGCCTTGTCAAAATGAGGAAATGAGGCCATTTCTCCTTTCCAAAGAGCTCTGCAGTAAATCAAAACACTATGTTGAAGAATGCTTTCTCACATTTTAGTACCATAACATTTATTGAGAAATAGTCTTGCTGGTTAGAATTTTTGTTGAATGCCATAAAATGTTATTTTAAAAATCTCTAATCTTGGGAGATATCTGTATGTGGTACTGCTAGCACACACACACACATGCACACATGCACACACACAAATGTGTAAGTACTATTCATTTCTCCCATGTTGGCATGTTGTAAAATTCTGTTTTCTTTTCATTCCTAGATGTTGTAAATAAACTGGATCTGTACAGTAGGTTTTTGTCAGACTCCCAGAAAGACAATTTTATTTTATAGCACATCCAAGAGTGACAGCCAGAAACTGTTCTGCTCCACCTCAGCACAAACAAAATTAGCTTTTCACAATATTTTTGCAGATGTTAAAGGTCATTAATAGAATGAAACCAGATGACTAAAGCAATACATTCAGAATGATTGGGTTTTATTTTTCTCCCTAGCTTAAAGACACAGAGTCCCCTTTTCTCTCCTTCTTGGCTACATTTCAATTTTTTTTTCAGTTATTTAAGAGTTCCCAAAATCATAAAACTGGTAGGATATGTATTTCTTGGCATATGCCACGTTTCTTGTTTGACAGAGTTGGAATTTTATTAGGATGAACATAATATTAACTGTTCAAAAAACCACACTGCTTAACAATTGCACAAGCTTTCCGTTTTTACCGAGGTCAAGCTTTATTATGAATCACATGACATCATTTTTTGAATTAAAAAGAAGAGAAGAAATGCTACTGGATTCCTCTTTCAGAATGGAAAGGAAAAAGCTAAAATACGGTGTTTCTCATTGATTAAAAGATGTCATGAGCTTTGTTAGGACAGAATGCATATGATGGCCGTCCATACCTGTTCCTGACGCATAGGTAAAGAAACTGTAGTTAATACTTGCAAACGGATATGTTTATGTTTGCAATATTTACAGATCTGTTTGCAATTAGTATACTTTCTAGAATAATCCTGCCTTTATTATTCACTAGAGGATTTGGAAAATAATTTTCATCACATAGGTAACAAAACAAAACAAACAAAACATGATTCACTTCATTTCTTAGTGAAAATGAAACAGCAACACAAATCTGATCTTGCTTGTGGATATGTGGTACATGTGAAGGAGTTATGTGTTGCCCTCCTATCAGGGATGCAGCAGCTCCACACTCACTAGCAAACCACAGAGTAAGGCTAATTCTTCTGCAGAAGTGAGCAAACAGTGGAAGGTGTGAATATATAGTTCTCATGAGTCAGGGTTATTGCCATTACATAGGATATCTCCTTTGAAGGAAAGAGAAAAGGTTGGAAGTATAAGGGTGAGGAAATGAGAAATTAAAATGTGGGAGTTTTTAGATGTTATTTCTTTTTATCTTGGGGTTCCAGACACAGTGGGCTGTGAAAGCCTGAGAGAGAGTAAGTGGTACAATTATTATCTAAGGTATTTATTGTGATGCTACTGCATGCCAGGGACTCTTTGGGTTGCTGAGAATACCATGAAGAATATAAAGGCATACCTCAGAGATACTGTAGATTTGGTTTCAGAGCACAATAAAGCAAATATCTCAATAAAGCCAGTCACATGAATTTCTTGGTTTCTCAGTGCATGTAAAAGTTATGTTTACACTATACTGCAGTCTATTAAGTGTGCTGTAGCATTGTTATGTCTAAAAAATCTGAGTCTTGTCATCCTTTTTCTGGTGGACGGTTTTGCCTTGATGGTGATGGCTGCTGGCTGATCAGAGTCGTGTTTGCTGAAGATTGGGGTGGCTTTGGCAATTTCTTAAAATAAAACAACAATGAAGTTTGCTGTATTGATTGACTCTTCCTTTCATGAAATATTTCTCTGTAGCATGTGGTGCTGTTTGATAGAATTTTATCCACAGTAGAATTTCTTCCAAAATTGGAGTCAATTCTCTCAAATTCTGCTGCTGCTTTATCAACTGAGTTTATGTAATATTCTTAATCCTTTATTGTCATTTCAGCAATGTTTATGGCATCTTCACTGGGAATAGATTTCTATCTCCAGAAATCATGTTTTTGCTTGTTCATAAGAAGCAGCAACTTAGTCACATGTTCAGGTTCCATTTCTATTTCTAGTTATTTTGCTATTTCCACCACATCTGCATTTACTTCCTCCACTGAAATCTTGCACCCCTCAAAGTCATCCATGAGGGTTAGAATCAACTTCTTCCAAACTCCTGTTAATGTGGATATTTTGATCTTTTCCCATGAGTCACACATGCTGTTACTGCCATCTAAAATGGCGAACACTTTCAAGAAAGTTTTCAATCTACTTTGTCCATATCTATCAGAAGAATCACTATCTATGACAGCCATAGCCTTATGAAATGTATTCCTTAAATAATAAGACTTGAAAGTAAAATATTCTTTCTGATCTATGGACTGCAGAATGGATGTTGTGTTAGAAGACATGAAAACAACATTAATCTTCTTGTACATTTCTATCAGAGCTCTTGGGTGAACAGGTGCATTGTCAATGAGCAGTAATATTTTATTTTTTAAATTTAAAAAAAATTCTTAAATTTTTAGTTTTTGTGGATACATAGTAGGTGTGTATATTCATGGGGTCTCTGAGATGTTTGATATAGGCATGCAATGTAAAACAATCACATCATGGAGAATGGGTTATCAATCCCCCAAGCATTTATCTTTTGTGTTATAAATAATTCAATTATACTTGTTTAGTTACTTTAAAATGTACAATTAAGTTATTATTGACTACAGTATCCTGTTTTGCTCTCAAATAGTAGGTCTTATTCATTATTTCTAACTACTTTTTAAATCCATTAACCTTCTTCATCTGCCCAGACCCCCCACTACCCTTCCCAGCCTCTGGTAATCATCCTACCTTCTATGTCCATGAGTTCGATTGTTTTGATTTTTAGATCCCACAAATAAGTGAGAACATGTGACATTTGTCTTTCTCTGTCTGGCTTATTTCACTTAAGATAATGATCTACATTTCCATCCATGTTGTTGAAAATAACTATGTCTCATTCTTTTTTATGGCTGAATAGTACTCCATTGTGTATATGTACCACATTTTCTTTATCCATTCATCTGTTGATAGACATTTAGGTTGCTTCCAAATCGTGGCTATTGTGAACAGTGCTGCAACAAACAGAGGAGTGCAGATATCTCTTTGATATACTGATTTCCTTTCTTTTGGGTATATACCCAGCAGTGGGATTGCTGGATCATATGGTAGCTCTATTTTTAGTTTTTTGAGGAAACTTCAAACTGTTCTTCATAATGGTTGTAATAATTTACATTCCCACCAGTACAAGGGTTCCCTTTTTTCCACATCTTCTCAAGCCTTTGTTATTGCCTGTACTTTGAATCTAAGCCATTTCAACTAGGGTGAGATAATATGTCACTGTAGTTTTGATTTGCATTTCTCTGATAATCAATTATGTTCATTTGCCTATTTGCTGTTTGTATATCTTCCTTTGAGAAATGTCTATTCAAATATTTTGCCCATTTTTTGATCAGATTAGATTCTCTATTAATCAGCAGTAATATTTTAGAAGGAATTCTTTTTTCTGAGCAGTCTCAACAGTAGACTTAAAATGTTCAGTAAACAATGCTACAAAAAGATATACTGTTATCCATTTTTGTTGTTCCATTTTTAGAGTACACACAGAGTATATTTAGCATAACTCTTAAGGGATCTAGGATTTTCAGAAAGATATACAAGCATTGGCTTCAACTTAAAGTCACTAGCTGCATTGGCCCCTAACAAGAGAATCAGCCTGTCCTTTGAAGCTTTGAAGCCAAGCATTGACTTCTCCTGTCTAGCTATGAAAGTCCTAGATGGCATCTTCTTCCAATATAAGGCAGTTTTGTCTACACTGAAAATCTGTTGTTTGGTGTAGCCACCTCCATCAATGATCTTAGCTAGGTCTTCTGGATAACTGGTTGCAGCTTCTACATCAGCACTGCTTCACCTTGTACTTTTATGTTATGAAGATGGTTTTTTTCCTGAAATCTCAGGAACCACTCTCTGCTAGCTGCCAACTTTTCTTCTGTAGCTTCTTCACCTTCCTCAGCCTTCACAGAATTGAAGAGAGTTAGAGCCTTGCTCTGGATTAGGCTTCGGCTTAAGAGAATGTGTCCAGTTTCATCTATCCAGACAATTAAAACTTTCTTTTCTGAAAAATAAGGCTGTTTTGCTTTCTTATCATCTGTGTGTTCATTGGAGTAGCAAATTCCTGCAAGAACTTTTCCTTTGCATGAGCAATTTGGCTATTTGGCACAAGACGTCAAGCTTTCAGTCTTTCTTGGCTTTCAACATATCTTCCTCATGAAGCTTAATGATTTCTAGCTTTTGATTCAAAGTGAAAGGTGTGAGACTCTTCACTTGAACACTTAGAAGCCACTGTAGGGTTAATTGGCATAATTTCAATATTTTTTATGTCTCAGGGAATAGAGAGGCCCAAGGAGAGGGAAAGAGATGAAGGAACAGTCAGTCAGTGGAGCAGTCAGAACACATAACATTTATCAATTATATTCACTGTTTAATATGAGTATGGTTCATGTTGTCCCCCAAAAAATTACGACAATGTCCAAAATGTAACATCTGAGATCACTGATCACAGATCACCATAACAGATATAATAATAATGAAAAAGTTTGAAATATTGCAAAAATTACCAAAATGTGACAGAGACACAAAGTGAGAACATGCTGTGGGACAAATGGGGCCTATAGACTTGTTCAGTGCAGGGTTGCCACAAACTTAAATTTGTAACAGAGGCAGTATGTGTGAAGCACAATAAAACAAGGTGAATTAAAATGAGGTATGTCTATATCAGACAAATATTGCTTTCGAGGGTCTTATATTTTAGGAAGAAAGATAGACAATAAACAGGTAAAACAAAAACATCAATACTCCAGGCAGAGGGAAAAGAGCAAGTACAAAGTTCTCACCATAGGGTAGAGAACAAGCTTGCTAGTTCAAGGAACAGAAAAAAGTTCCGCTTTTTGTGGCTGTTGAGGGACACAGTGATAGAAGGTGGGGTCAGATCTGGTGGTGGGGGCCAGTTCACCTAGGATTGTGGGGACTACAGTAATGTGTTTACAGTTTTTGGATTCTAAGAACAATGGAAGGTCTTTGCAGAATTTTCAGCAAGGGCATAAGAGACTTGATTCAGGTTTCAAAAGCCCACTTAGCCTGCTGTGAGGACCAGTTAGGAGACTAGAGCAGAGGCTCAGACAAGGTATTCATGGTGCCACAAAAAGGTTGTGGCAGTGAAGAAAATGATACGTGGACCAATTTGGGATATGTTTTGAGGTACAGAGTTAAGAAGGATTTGTTGATAAGCTAGATGTGAATAGAGAAGGAGAAAGAGGAATCAAAGATGACTGGATGGTTGCCATTGCCTTTTCCTGACATGAACTTGGACATTTTGGGCATGGCATAACAATACCAACTAAGAAAGTAGATATTTGAGTTTGATACTCCAGCCTAGAGATTTAACCTTGTGGGTCATCCATATATAGATACCATTTAAAGCCACAGGCTAGATTTGAGAATCTAGATTGGTGACCTTGCTCAGAGCAATTTTAGTGGAGGAAAGGGTATTAAAGCTAAATTATGAGATGAAAGTGATTGACTCTAAATTTGAACAACTTGAGGAGCAAATGCTAACTTAGGAGGTCAATTTATTGAGTTTAGGTAGCTGTGAAGGGAACCAGAGAAATAAATCATAGCTGGAGGGAGATATGGGATCAAGTGATGTTTTTATTTTGTTTTTAAAGAGCTTGTTGTATAGTAAATAGAATTATGTCTTGGTAGCAGAAAAACTGATAATGGGATAAAGGGAGAGATAAAGAGAAGGAGGTAGGTAAGGAGAGAGAAAATCTTTGAGAAAGTGACAGAGACTAGGACTGAAACACAAGTGGAGGGCTGGACTGTTTTGTAGAAGTGGTGCCTCTGTTGTAGCAGAGGGAAAACTGAGAGTGAATAGGCAGTTTGGTAAGTGTGAATGTGAGGGCATCTGAGTAAGGTTGCTTAGAGTAATGGTACTGGATTTATTTTCCCTTTGCTATCTCCCAAGACAAATAAAGCCTTTCCTGATATTTAAAATATTAGTTATAATATTGTGTACTTGGTTGAACCAGTGTGAAGAAGCGACATGCCTCCCACTAGCAGGTTGGTAGTTGAAGTAAACTCTAAAAAAAGAAATACATTTCTAGGAAACAATTGGGCTTGTGGTCTGTGCACCCTCCTTCATCTGAATTTTGGCGGATTCTAACCATTGCAGATTCTGTTGTGAACATTTGAAAATATGTTTTTGCCTCCTATTCTTTTTCTGATGTTGTTAAAAATCTAGGACCAGAAATACCATTTGACTCAGCAATCCCATTACATGGTATATACCCAAAGGATTATAAATCATTCTACTATAAAGACACATGCACACGTATGTTCATGTGTCACAATAGCAAAGACTTGGAACCAACCCAAATGCCCATCAATGATAGACTGGATAAAGAAAACGTGGCACATATACACCATGGAATACTAGGCAGCCATAAAAACGGATGAGTTCATGTCGTTTGCGGGGACATGGTTGAAGCTGGAAACCATCATTCTCAGCAAACTAACACAAGAACAGAAAACCAAACACTGCATGTTCTCACTCATAAGTGGTAGTTGAGCAATGAGAACACACGGACACAGGGAGGGGAACATCACACACTGGGGCCTGTCGTGGGGTGTGGGGGGCTGGGGAGGAATAGCACTAGGAGAAATACCTAATGTAGATGACAGGTTGATGGGTGCAGCAAACCACCATGGCACATATATACTTATGTAACAAACAAACAAGTGTTCTGCACATGTATCCCAGAACTTAAAGTATAATAAAAAAAAGAAAAAAAATGACATTAAATATAAAGCTAAATTTCCCTTTCACCACTATCTCTCTGTCTTTTCTTTGGCAGCCATAATTACAAGTTGACATGTATTCTTAATGTATGCTTTAATATATTGATATACAAATATATATAAAGTAAAAGGTAAAATTGCTTACGTGTATGTGTAAAAAATCTGCATGAACTTTATTTTGTAAATATTGAATGTTTTTCTGCAAACAGATCAATTTGTCCAAAATAGTTCTTACCTTTATAATGATGATACATATTTTCCTATATTTTCTTTTAAATTATTCCAATGTTTTCTTCTCATCTTTAACTTGTTGTTGAGATATTAAATGTGTTTGATGTGAAATAAAATCTACTTTCATACTATTTCATAGAAAAACCAGTTGTCCCATTTATCAAAGAAATAATCCCCACTATTTAAATGCTATCATATCTCAAGTTCACAAATACATAGGGAACTTCTTTCGTCTTTATATTTCATTTCTTTAGCCAGTACTCTCTGTTTTATTACTGTATCTCTGTTATGTATTTTAATTCCTGGTACCTTTCTTATTATATCTAAAAATTATGTTGGTTATTCTTCTGCCTTGATGCTTCTTTACACATTTTATATTCAGTATTTCAGGTTCCATAAAATCTTATTGGCATTTTGAATGGAAATGAATTGAACTGACAGACTAATGTGGACAAATTCAACATCTTTAAAATAATGGCCATGTCTACTCATTTATTTACTCAATTCTTTTATGTTTATAATTAAAATTGTATACTTTTTAACATAGATTTGCTTATATATATATTACACTACTATGCAAATTAAGCCAGATATCATTTTAGGTAATTTGCATGTTTCATTTAATCTGCACATCAATCCTCTGATAAAAGTGCCAATTATTATTCTTATTTTTCAGAAGAGAAAATCAAAGTCCCAGAGAGATTAAGTAATTTGACCAATGTCACAAGGCTACTAATTGGAGGGGCTGAAGTGACACCCAATTAATCTGACTCCATGGCTTCTAATCATTATGTAATGGCAATTTCTGGCATCATCAGTACTTTGTAGCTTGTATTGTTATTTTAAACAAAATATTTTAATTGCATTTTATTTGGGTAGAACTAGTATGTAGAAATGTTATTAATTTTTTGTGTGTTGGTTTGTGTCTAGCAATTTCTCTGGGCTTTCAAACTAGTTTTAAAAGTTGCCTGTTGATTCTTTTGGGTGTCTGTGTAAGCAAACATCTTGTATGCAAATAATAGCAATTTTGACCTTTTTTTTAGGTTTCTACCTATATAAGGTAGATTCTCTTTACTGAGCTATTGAAGTTCCCTTCTAGAACTTGACTACCAGTAGTTTCTTTGTAATAATGATTGGATATTAAATTTTATTAAATGCCTTTTTTCTCTTTAACTGAAATTAACACAAATAAATTACCTGATGTTAAATTAGTCTTGAATTCTTGTGATGCACGCTACTTGGTCACAATATCTTATATTTTAATACACTGTTGGATAGGATTCACAAAAATTTTCCTTCTATTTCTTCCATTCCCATTCTCTGGAACATTTTGTACAAGTTAGAAATTTTTGTTTACTTAAAGTTTCAGTACATTTTAAAATCATCAAAGCATAAGGACTTTTGTGAAGGGAGATTTTTCTTTAAGCCTTATTAGCTCTTTGGGTTTTTGATTTTCTTCTTGATTAAATTTTTGAATTTTTTAATTTTCAAGAGAATTGTCAATTTTAGCTGTCTTTTATTTATTGAAATGTTATTAATTACATTCCATTTTGAATAAAAATATTAAATGTCTGCAGTTATGTCTTTTCTTCTATTCCTAATATTGTTACTTTCTTCATAATTAGTCTTGCCAAAAGTTTACCTTTTCTATTTTTTCAAATATCTAGATTTCTGTTTTGCTGCTCATATATAGTGTTTTGAGTACATATGTGTATATGTTTATTTTATATTTAATAAACATTTTGCTTTAATCTTTACTTCTTTCTTTTTCTTTGGGATGATTTCATTGTTTATTTTCTAGCTTCTTTAACTGAATGCTTAGCTAATTTATTTTCAAATATTATTGTACTTCAATATGAGAATTTAAAAGTATAAATTTTATCCTAAATATTTTTTATCTGTATCATGCAAACTTCAAAATATACTTTTTAATGTTCTAAATTAGTGTAAATTAGGGCAAAATTAAGCTAAAATTTTCAATTATATTCCTTTGTGTCTGTTGCATAGAAAGCAATTTTCAACACAAAGTTAAATTTTAGTATCATTAAGCACTGTTTGATTTTATATTAATTTGATTTCACTGAACTCTATGTTTGGGTACTTGTGGACAAATCATGGTTGTATAAAATTTGTGTTCGTGTTTAACTTTGAATATCAACTGTTGCAATGAAGTGCATTTGAATGTTTCCTTTAATACCTGGGCACAATAAAAGTTAAATAGGTACTCCTCCAACTCCTACTCTGAAGTGCAAATTAGCACTTCCTTTTTCAGGTACAATATGGTGCTAAATAAAGTTTGTCTTGAATGTGTGTTTCCCCTTTTTCAGGTACAATATTGTGCTAAATAAAGTTTGTCTTGAATGTGTGTTTCCCCTTTTTGAAAAGCTAAAAGATTTTTAAAGTGTTTGTTTGGAATGTGTCAAGAGTAGTTCTGATGTGATATATCTAAGGTCACATGCAGAATCACTGAAATATTAAATGCCAAATGGTTTGCAAATAAACATGCAGATAATTATTTTTCTTCCCTAAATTTCAAGTTGGCACTAGCCAGCACTCTTGCCAAATGTTCCATCTATTTTCTTCCATTCTCAGCATCTTGCATGCTACCGTCCACGCTTCTCATAGTGATGCCTCATTACTGATAAGTTGTAATATCACTTGGTTGCCTATGACATTGAATCCAAGCTACTCTGTAGACTTTTTAAGCCCTTCCCAGTCTGGGCCTACATAGCCTGTCTTCACTTCCTAAATCTCCCCAGCCTGCAGCCTCTATTCCTCTGAGTCTAAACTCCTACTTGAAGTCTCCCTACCCCATCTCTTCATGACATTCAACTTGCAGATCTCTTCTTCTCTATCCTCCAGACATTCTTCTGCTTATCTAAGTTTTATTCATCTAAGCACTGCTCAGCTGACATAGATTTGCCTGCTTCCTTGTAGATATCTTCTACTTCATTCATCGCTCATTGATCTGCTGTTTCCCAGTGATGCTTTATCATTTGATTCCTACCTCATAGATTAATAGGTTTGCAGAATACTAAGCTCAGCTTTTTAATGTTTATACATGAGGAAATTGAGTATCAAGGAATTTGGTGTCATTAATCAAGATGGCGCATATGATATCAATATAGTGTTTTGAAGGAAAGACATTGAGCTTCTCTTGGAATGTGGAACTTGTTTTACCTGTTGAGTACCTAAGTTGAAGGTTATTGGCTGTACAGATCTGCTGCTTACAAGGCATGTGTAGACAAGAGATCCTGTCTTGGAGTCCACTACTGTATAAGTGACAGCAGAAGCCAGGAGAATGGTTGAGAGAGCCCAGATAGTATTTGGAACTAGACAACGACAAGGACTGGACCTTGGGGATTTGCTGGGATTCTCATGTACTAGAATACAGCAGAAATCATGCTATTGCTAAAGTGAAACCAAAATCAGGTTTCTGGGGAAGCTAGGGGAGGAGAAGGAACAAAGGTGAATGAGAACGCTGGCGGGCAGAGAGGTGGAGGCAGGTGAGGGTGCTGTCCTGCAGTAGGCAGCCCATAGAGTGCACTCTCACAGAGACCCTGAAATGTCGCACGGAAAAGAGCGCATGCTCTGTATGCCACCATGTGCTACTCGGCTTTGATGTCTGTGTGTATGCTCTTGAATATGCATATTTAAAACGGTTCCTCTCTATTGCTATTCAGCTGTGATAACCATGCATGCATGGTTTTAATAAGACTTGGCCATAGTTTTTCAGTTGCAAAGGTATAGACGGAATCCATGTAAATATCTTGTTCTATCTCCAAATGATAAATTGGGTAACGATATGAAATTCGCTTTAAACATTGCAAGTAAAAGGAGTATGTGATTTAAAAAGTCATGCTTTGGAGGTACCGTATGAGCAAAATTCCTATAATCAATCATCCACAGCAAACTATTATTTAGAAATGATTTGAAAATAGATAAGCTGAAAATATCATATTTTAAGAACAAGAGAAAAGTGATGATGTATCAAAAATTACTTCTCTATAGCAACATATTGGGTTTGGGGTTAAATTTAGTGTTGTTTATAGAATCATAGGAAGTAAGAACTTCAAAATATCTCAGGAAGAAAATAAATATTGGTGAAAACACATCTTACTTAAATTTCTCTGAAACCACTTTAATTTCACTCAAACTTAATGTATTATCAGTTTAAAGTCAAACAAAAATATTTTTAACATTGTAAAGGTTTGGATTATTGCTTTAGAATGTTTAAAAATAAATTTTAGTTGGCTCAAACTTTTTTATTGCACTCCACACACACTGTACATACAAATATACACATAATATTATAATGTCAATATACAGGCTATATGGAAGAATATATTAGAGGTCTGAAATTCTCATATAGTGCTGGGTGAATCTGAAATATATAAATATTGAAAGGCTTATAATCTTAGAAGTTAATATCTGGAAGGGAAATTAAAGGTTATGCTCACTACAGACAAGTGAGAAACTGAAGCCCAGAGATTTGTTCAAGGGAGTAAAGATTTAGAAAGCAGTGCTAATAATAACATAACAACAATAGTAACAACAACGATAATAACTACTTCTATTGAGTGATTACTATGTGCCAGATAATGTCCTAAATATGGTAATATGTTATCCTACTCAGGACTTACAGGTAAGATTATTTTTCCCAATTAACAGGTAAAAAACACGAGGCAAAGAGAGTTAAAGAATTCCTATGTTCCAACTTAATAAAACAAATATAAATTTCATGACCTGCTTTTATGAGATTTGAAATCCAGAACTGATAATTATTATAATTAAAAATAATTCCAGAAAACGGGAAAATGCGTCTTTATTTTCAAACTGCACTACCTTCTCTCCCAACACCCTCTCCAGTCCCAACTCAAGAGTCACTGCTCTAAAGTGAACCATTATTTGTCCAGGTGTGGTGACTCATGCCTATAATCCCAGCACTTTGGGAGGCCAAGGCGGGCGGATCACCTGAGGTCCGGATATCAAGACCAGCCTGATCAACATGTTGAAACCTCGTCTCTACTCAAAATACAAAAATTAGCCGGTGTGGTGGTGCACATCTGTAATCCCAGGTACTCAGGAGGCTGAGGCAGGAGAATCGCTTGAACCTGGGAGGCGGAGGTTGCAGAGAGCCAAGATCATGCCACCACACTCCAGCCTGGGAGACAGAGGGAGACCCTGTCTCAAAATATTAAATTAATTAAAAAAATAAAGTGAACCATTATTTATGTATCCATTCTTAGGAATGTCATCTTGAGAAGCTTGTTCTTCCAATCTAGGAAAATTTGCTGATCATGCAGGCATCTTGGTAAGTATTGTAAAAGAACAAAAATGAAAAGACATGACCCCATTCTTAGGAAGAATGTAGTCCGACAGAGCACAGAGATAGAAATCAAAGGCCTGGGTTTGGGGAGGACGTAAGGGCAGGGCAATCTCATAAGCAAAGGTTCTGAGATAGGAGAGCCAGGGTGGGTTGGGGGACCTGAGGTTTCCTATCAGCTAAGATGCAGAGAACATCTAAAGGGTAATGTGCTAGACAGAGAGAAATGCCTCCCCTTTGTACACACACACAGCACTCTCTCTTATTGTATAACATTTCATTTGGTCTTCACAACATCTTTATGAGGTTGGAGTTCAACCTAAGGGCCCATTTTCTCATTTCTAGCCCTCCATCTTCCACTGAAAAAAAGACAAAACGTCTCTCCTTTATTCTATGCTCCCCACGTCTCCTTCTAACATACTGACAAATTCATGATGTCAAGCACCAATTAATTTTGCTCAGCCTCAATTATACAGTACTCTTGCCCAATAAGCATCAATTTACCAAATTTATTTGATTTCATAAGATCATTTGAAATGAAGGAAAATCCTTAGTAATTTTTAGTTTTCTTAAAATGCAGCAGAACGAAAGCAGAACATAGAAAGAAAGGTTAATGGCTTCCGAGTCACACCAGTCTAAGTTTGAGTACTGGCTGTGCCTCTTGCTGGCAGTATTACTGTGGACAAGTTTCTTAAGGTCTTTGAACTTCAGCTTTTCTATATATTAAATGAAATAGTAATGTTTCTTAGGGTCATGGTGAGAATTAAATGAAATAATGTGTAAATCTTTTTGGCAAATGGTGTCTAAATGTTTCTTGGATTAGTGGATGAAATGAGTTGAACTGAAACAACATCAGAGGCCATACAAGATGGAGAATTAGGTGGAGAGACTGACTGTAGAAGGGTAGACCAGAACCAGGCATGATTATAATACTCTTAGACGTTCCCAGGGAGAGGAGTCGCAGCTCCTGCGAATGCCGAATATCTTGCAGTTGCAAAAGCCTCAGCTGTACCATCAAGCTTAATTTAGTCACAGATCAAATGCCATCATGCATTTGCCTCTTCCAGCTGCTTTTGCTGTGGGCTGGGAAAAGTTATAGCTGTTGTACACAAATCCCCTGCTGACAAACTGTGAAGCATGGGGGCGGCTTTGTGAGTTACTTTATCTAAGCTTAAGCTAATGAGGATGTTTAGCACAGTCCTTAGCAATTTGTCAACACCTTGACATTCTAGAACCATTTCCCAGGGCACTGAGTAAACATTTAAATGTTAGAGACAAAACAAGCTTCTCGTTAAGAATAATGTTATATGTTCTCTGTGTGCTTTATCCTGCTATTTCTGAAGTGAAGAAGCATTTCTTTTCAGCTGGTGATTTAGTAGACATTCACAGGACATTTTTAGAAGAGTTTTGAAAGCTTTCTTACTGGAGATTTTCAGTAGTCTTCTAGACATCTCTGATGGGAAAATCTTTTGCACATCTACCTACACAAGTCCTTCAACAAACGTGTTATTCACAGAGAAAGGATTTCTAAGATGACGCTATATGAAAGAAAACAGAGAGGAAGTGAAACAATTTTAGGACATTCTGTTCATGTTACCATCTATTCTGGGTCAATGACATAAACACATGACCATGAAATTCATAGATGTCTTGGTATTTTATAACTATTCATTTGTTTAAAAAGTATTTATTGAACCTTATTTTCCTAGTTTTGACAACTGTACCATGGCTACGTAAGCTGTTATCATTAGGGGAAGCTGCATATAAGATATACGGGAACTCGATGTACTATTTTTAACTTTTCTCTGAGTCTAAAATTATGCTAAAAACTTGAAAAAATTTAAGAAAACATTAAAAATATATGCAGATGTGGTAAACTGAGACATCTAGGCTTAACCTTGTCGTCTATAGCTTTACATAATCTTATAAAGTGCAAAATAGGAAAAAAGTATTTATTGAACACCTATACTATGCTGTCTTAGGCACTTGGGATACATCATTACGCAAAACAGGCAAAAATCCCTGCTCTATGGCACTGATATTAATGTGGCAGAGAAGACTGACAATAAAGAGTAAGCCTAAAGAATAAAAGAATGAATGATTGAGTGAATAAATGAAGTTAGAGCATGGTAAGTGCTATGAAAAAAAAAATACCAAGAAACCAACAAGTCCAGCGCTGGGTAGAGTGAAGAGTGATGAGGGGTGTGAGGCAGGAAGAAGCAGGGTGTGTGTGGCCATTTTACACAGCGTGTCCTTGGTGAGATGGTGACATTTCAGCCACGGCCTGTAAGAGGTGCGATATGTGTGGATGTTGGGAAGGAAATGTGTTCCTGGAAGAAGAGAAACCAGTCTAAAGTCCCTGAGGTGGACACGTGCTATAAGGAGGAAGAGCAAGGTGGCTGGAGCAGAGGGAGGAGGATGCAGAGTGGGAGGAGATGGAATTTCCAGTCTTTATAAATTTTGTTCCATTTACTTTACTCTAACTCATGGTAAACACATTTGGCTTATGTGGAAGGAGAGAGAAATAACATTTATCAGATACTTATTATGTGCCAGAATTTTATGAGGTTCATTTCACTTATCCCTCACAAATAAACCCATGAAGTGGGAATAACTATCCCCAGTTTATAGGTGAAAAAGCTGAGGCTCAGAGAGATTAAATAGCTTCCCTGGAGTCACACTGTGAATAGGTAGCAGAGTCACGGCTCTAACATCTCTCTGTATGGAGCCCATGACATGTCCATATATCCACTCCACTCTGCTGCCTCCCTTGTGTCATGCAGATTAAGCATGGCAGCATTTCATTTATTTAATCCCTGAGGTATTGCTACTGATTATGGAATATTGAGGAACATAGCATGTGGCTTTATAAATTACTTTCCTTTTATTTTCAAACATCTACTGAACCTGAGGCATTCCGATGGGTAAATGTGATATTTTGCTCCCCAACTGCTAACTCATTCTACATATGAGATTTCATTTTTTGACAAATATACTGAGAGTTTTGGCCTATAATATTTAATGCACATTACAATATGTGAGAGAATAGGGAGTAACTGCTATTTTCTAATTTAAGGATCTTCAATTTTTAAAAAAGTATGAGTTTGGGGTTGTCATTTAAAGAGAAATTATTGCCCAAGGCTTAATAGAACTGAGGAGTGATTTGGACTTGAGAAACACCTTTCAGGTTAGATTTTTATTATTTTATTTTATTTTATTTTTTACTTTAAGTTCTAGGATACAAGTGCAGAACATGTAGGTTTGTTACATGGGTATACGTGTACCATGGTGGTTTGCTGCACCTATCAACCCGTCATCTGGGTTTTAAGCCCTGCATGCATTAGCTATTTGTCCTAATGCTCTCCCTCCCCTTGCCTGCCACCCACAAACTGGCCCCAGTGTTCATTGTTCCCCTTCCTGTGTCCATGTGTTTTCATTGTTCAACTCCTACTTATGAGTGAGAACATGCAGTATTTGGTTCTCTGTTCCTGTGTTAGTTTGCTGAGGGTGATGACTTCCAGCTTCATCCATGTCCCTGCAAAGGACATGATCTCATTCCTTTTTATGGCTGCATAGTATTCTATGGTGTATATGTTACACATTTTCTTCATTCAGTCTACCATTGATGGGCATTTGGATCAGTTTCATCCCTGGGATGTAAGATTATTTCAACATATGCAAATAAATCAATGTAATCCATCACATAAACAGAACCAATGACAAAAACCACCTGATTATCTCAATAGATGCAGAAAAGGCCTTCAACAAAATTCAAAATCTCTTCATGTTAAAAACTCTCAATAAACTAGGATTGATGGAACATATCTTGAAGTAATAAGAGCTGTTTATGACAAACCAACTGCCAATATTATACTGAATGGGCAAAAGCTGGAAGCATTCCCCTTGAAAACCAGCAGAAGACAACGATGCCGTCTCTTACCACTCCTATTCAACATAGTATTGGAAGTTCTGGCTAGGGCAATCAGGCAAGAGAAGGAAATAAAGGGTATTCAAATAGGAAGAGAAGTAGTCAAACTGTCTCTGTTGGCAGATGACATGATTCTATATTTAGAAAACCCCATCATCTCAGTCCCAAAACTCCTTAAGCTGATAAGCAACTTCAGCAAAGTCTCAGGATATGAAATCAATGTGCAAAAATCACAAGCATTCCTATACATCAACAATAGACAAGAACAGAGCCAAATCATGAATGATCTCCTATTCACAACTGCTACAAAGAGAATAAAATACCTAGGAATACAGCTAACAAGAGATGTGAAGGAACTCTTCAAGGAGAACTACAAACCACTGCTTGAGGAAATAAGAGAGGACACAAACAAATGGAAAAAACTTTCCATCTTCAGGGATAGGAAGAACTAATATTGTGAAAATGGCCATACTGACCAAAGTAATTTATAGATTCAATGCTATTCCCATCAAACTACCATTGACATTCTTCACATAATTAGAAAAAGCTACTTTAAATTTCACGTGGAGCCAAAAAAGAGCCCTTATAGCCAAGACAATCCTAAGCAAAAAGAACAAAGCTGGAGACATCACGCTACCTGACTTCAGATTAGATTTTTATAGGACAACACTTTGTTTACATGGGAGATTTAGTCTTACTTGGAAGGAACCCACAGGACCTAATAACACACTTATTTCATTCACATTTAATATTTTAGTTGCTGAGTAGAAAAAAAATGGTTACAATTTGGCAACAATGGTGTGGGACAAAGCAATGTCTGACAATTTAAAGATAAAATAACAGTATCAACAATAAAATCAATACATAAAGAATGAATTTGCTTAATCATGAAAAAATAAGGGGACTATAAGACAATAATATTGTCCTTTGGATAAGGTCAGAAAGAAAATCTCTCAGAGAACATTAGATGTGACCCAAACTAAATTGATGTATAAATATTGGAAGGGTCAGGGATTGGTGTAGTTAGGATTAAAAATTTATTTAAAAAATCAAGTATTTGCAGATGGTTTAAAATTTTTATATGAGTAGTTTTTCTTGTAAAGTTGTGCCTACACTCATAAGAGATTACTGTTGGAAATACCCAGAATAAATATTATTGGTGCTTTTTATGACAGTTTCAGATTTGTGGTTTGATAGGGTGGAAGATTCTGTGCTTCTTTCTTGCAGGTATCATTATTAGTAGCAGAAAGTGGAGATCTTATTATACAAAATGCTAGCATAGGGAATGGAGTCCATCTTGTCAGTGGGAGGAAATTATTGAGAGGTAAAGGTGCCTTCTTTTTCTCTTTCCCTTTCTCCCAATTTTCAGTAGAGTTGTTAATTCAATTTGTATTTTGGACATTGTTCATTGTTTTGTCTACTTAGTTCAGACAATCACAATTCTGATTTAATGTCTTTCAATCCTTTTTTTTGTTGTTTCTTTGTGGCCAGCTCTATCATCTCATCTCTCAGTACCCGATGAGTAATGGCAAAAAAAAAAAAAAAAGGCTCTGTTACAATTTTCTGTTCCAATATTATACTTAAGGCATAGGTGGTTGCTTCACCCTCTCCGTGCACCCTTCTGTGTGCCTAGAAGAGAGGAACGAGTCTGAGCTCTGTCGATATGAACACTGTGTCCTTGAGCCTCTCCAATGTCTTTCTACCCTCCTATTTGGGGCAAGAACCTTAGTTCTGATGAAGCTGCATAGCAAAACAGTTGATCCAAAGGTTAGTCTATTTTAGCATTTCTCAGTAGGATTCACCAAACTTGATGAGTCAGCTGATCTTCAGCTGGGCTGTTGCTGCTTTAGCATTATTTAGAAATATTTTTAGCGGTTTGTCATCTGTTTCTGATAACTTGAGCTAAGGTAGCCTGCTAAAAATCACTCGGGAACATGGAGCCTGCTCAGGACCATGATTCTGAACATATGCAGAGAGATGCAGTACAAGTGCAAATTCTCAGCATGGTCAATTGCTTTTCTTTCCATAGTTCGCTTCAGAGTGGATATTATTAAGGAAATTGTATGTATATTTAACATTTTATTCTGGTGAAAGCAGTGTCATCAAGGGACTTAGATTTATAGTATTAGGCTCAAATTCTACTTCTTTTGTTACCTTTCTTAAATTCTGTTTGTAGTTACAATATTTTCTGAATCCAGTTCAGCATTTCATAAAGTGGTTAGGTTTGATTGCTAATTTATGTTAGCAAAATAATTTGTACTTAGGTATTTAAAAATAATCACTATGTTCATTAATGAGAATGACTTTCTCTTATTTTTTTTTGAAAGTCACAATTGAAGACTTTGAATTCAAAGCCCTGTATTTTGAAAAAGAAAAAATAAGAAAACAAATTCTTCATTATGTCCATGATTGGAGAATATTTTCTATTGTGTAAAAACAGTTCCTTAGAAAAACAATGTTACTACATCCATCTCCATTTTTTGTTTGTTTTATACACAGCAACAGATGTTTGTATTCTATGCTTGAGAACTTTCTCAGTGACTGTCTATCATTTTCCCTTCTTTGTGAAACATAAATCATGTAGTCACAAACTAATAGAAAAATTCATCCACAGATGCATAGTATGATGCCGATGAAGACTGTAAGATAATATCCTCCATTTTAAGAGTACACCTACTTTTTGCAAACATGAAAAAAAGTTCAACATCGCTGGTCATTAGAGAAATGCAAATCAAAACACAATGAGACACTATCTGACACCAATCAGAATGGCGATTATTAAAAAGTCAAGGAACCACAGATGCTGGCGAGGCTGTGGAGAAATAGCAACAGTTTTATACTGTCGGTGGGAACGTACATTAATTCAACCATTGTGGAAGACTGTATGGCGATTCCTCAAAGATCTAGAACCACAAATACCATTTGACCCAGGAATCCCATTACTGAGTATATACTCAAAGGAATATAAATCATTCTATTATAAAAGACATAAAAGATACATGCACATGTATGTTCATTGCAGCACTATTCACAATAGCAAAGACATGGAATCAACCCAAATACCCATCGAATATAGACTGGATAAAAAAATGTATATATACACCATGGAATACTATTAAGCCATAAAACAGGAACAAGATCATATCCTTTGCAGGGATGGATGGAGCTGGAAACCATTATCCTCAGCAAAACAACATAGGAATGGAAAAACCAAACACCACATGTTCTCACTTATAAGTGGGAGCTGAACAATGAGAACACATGGACACAGAGAGGGGAATAACACATACTGGGGCTTGTTGAGGGGTGGGGGAGGTGGAGGGAAGGAGAGCATCAGGAAAAATAGCTACTGCATGCTGAGATTAATACCTAGGTGATGGGTTGATAGGTGCAGCAAATGATCATGGCACACATTTACCTATGTAACAAACCTGCACATCCTGCATATTTACCCCAGAAATTAAAATAAAATAAAAATAATAATATATAGCCACATTATGGCAATTACCACCTTGATGACTATTGTCACTTGCCTTCTGACACTTTCTTGTCTCTGGCTCTTGACTGAGGTGCACCTCTGAAATGGGTAAACCATAAACCACCACCCAGTAGTTCATGCTTCTGCCTCCTGTGTGGTCTTGGCTTTCAGGCCCATCCTCAGGGTCAGAGCTCCCATTCTTCCTCTCCCACGTTCAGGGAGTCTCTCTGTTTCCTGAAGTGTGGGGGCAGGTTGCACGCAGCAAGATTTTGGCAGCATCCTTCTGTAATTTTATGTTGTATTGCTTACAAAGAGATTGCTTTGTTGACACACATTAGCCATATGGGAACGATTCGGATGGTGGTGTTGACAGTCATGTTTACATTGCTGTTTGTGTCTTTTTTCCCCTTAGTTCCAAAACAATCCAGGGCTGGGATATTCTAACCACAGTGCAATAAGCATCATTTTCTTTTTTTCTTTTTTTATCCCCTTCCCCTTTCAAACACAACTTGCTCTTTATTTGCATATGCAGGCAAATTGTTGAGGTGTGTATCAGAATTGATGATGATGAGTGTGCTTCAGAATTTTCTATTTTAAGGGAAAATATTAAGTTTCCACTGGTATAACTGTGATTTAAAAAAAACCCACAAAAAAACCAAGCATGAAATACAGGCTAATAAGATGAGTTATGAGGAGAATGTTTCAAAGTTTAAGAAACGGATTATTACAAATATGAAGACACGGAAATGGTATGAGTGTTCTTATGGGTTTTGGGGATAAGTCAGACTAAAAAAGCCTATTAAAATTTTAATAAAAAACACAGCACTATCACATATTTAGACAGATCACAAATGCTTACTATAAATATTTCTTCTGGCTGAGAAGTAGAGATTTTGATTAAATTTTGGAAAGGAAGGGGGAGAAAAACTCTTTAGATGATTTACAGCCTATAAATAATGTTGGGCAACCTACTAAATTTGGTGGATGATGTTCTCCAAGAAAGGCATTTGCAGAAAATGGACTAGAGTCTCAGGAAACAAATCTGAAAGAAAGAATTATCCAATGTATTTATATTCAACAGCTTCCATGTCATGAAAAATCCTTATTCTAACCACAGAGATGGAATAAGGGGCAAGATTTAATTAATTTTTATGTGAAAAAAATGTACGGTATGATTCCATTAATAGGAAGTACTAAAACAGGCACATCTAACCTGTATTTATTAAAACCAGATCTGTGGTTGCCTGTAGCAGGGGATGAGGAAGATTCACTGAAAACGGACCATAGGGAATTTTTTGGAGTGATAGAAACCTCAGTCTTGATTGGGATGGTAGCTAAACAGATGTGTAGATTTTTCAAAACTTACTGAACTGTACCTTTAAACTATATGTGTATTTTATATACACTAATTATAGCTTAATAAAGTTAATTGAAAAACTGAATTTTTACCTGAGACACAGAAGAGAACATAAATGTTAATTAGGAAAACTATTGAGAGTGAAAGATAATTACTACAGTTATAAAATATGAACATGAGTAGATACCAAATGTCTTCTCAGAAAATTGGAGCACATGATCCCATGAAAATATTATCTTTAGTCAGTTGTTGATTAAAGCTGGCCAGTTTTAAACCAATAATTGCTTGTTTGTTTCTTGCAACTATCATTCATTTAATTGAATGCTGGAATTGAGTCAAAATTTTTAGAATTCAGATTGCTAAGGATTTCTTTACAGGCCTTGACCACATAATGGCACAATCTTTTGGTAAAGAGAAAAAAACAATCCAGACATTCATTTAGATGTAAGCAAACATCCAGAGACTCTTGGCCTCACATTTTAATTTCCTCAGTAAAATACGTATCTTGGTACAAAATTATACATTTGTGAATGTTACAGTCTTTCTCTGGTATTCCTCTGCAGCCTGATTTCTCCTTTTAAATAGAAGGGTACTGTGCAGAAGCAGGTTAAAGCAAGTAAACCTCTGTGATCTTGGGTGATATATATGTGGCAATGTGCTGTCCCATGCAAACAGGTGCTGCCATTGAATCATGTAATTCCCAGAAAAACCCTAACATCAATTAAAGGGGAGACACAGGTAAGTCCCACCCTCTAGGCAAAGAAGGTCACCAGGAGTAAGCTACTGTGTCTAACAGAGGAACTTGAACACATGAGGTGCTTAAACATTCTTAAAGTTTAGAAGTTATGCACTGCCTTTAACAGTCCATTATGTTGTCCAATTGAAACACTACAGTGGTAAGGCGTTGCAACTAGTTATGCTGCTCACCTTCCTAATGCTCTGAATTTCTTTATGAGTTAGAACTTTATTGGACATCTTATGACAGTGTACAGTGCTAATTAATTATTCCACATAAATGACAATAAAATGGGAGCTTCCTCTGCAAGCATTTCTTATCACGATGAATCATTCAGTTATCAAAAGGTTGCAGTGTATTACTCAGCGATCATGGAATTCTACATAGGATAAAAATTAAAATTTATCCTGGCTAGAGAAAAGCTTTTCACATTAATCTAACCCAGCCATAATATTCACTATGATTTGGGCATCTAATTTGGCTTCATTTGTTCTGCTTCAGGTAATGCCAATTTAATGATCCATTTATGTAACCGTAGAATAATAATAAGAATGCCTAATAATTTTAAGACTCAGTGTGTTGTAAAACGTTTCTCATGGAAACCTAATACATCATAGGGTGATCTGAGAGGAAAACAGGAGAATTTTATGTCAAGTAAGTTTGGGAAACACTTCATAATGTTGCAGTTTCACTGTGCTCCATTTAACAAATGAGGGTCTTATGGAAATATTGCAGTGAAGAATTATGGTGAATTTCATTTAAACCAGCATGTCTCAATCATCCATGACACACTTCTGATGTCTTAAGGAACACTAGACTTGGAAAAAACACAGTTTAAGAAATGCTTTTTTATGAAAACAAAATATGTATCTCCCTTAATTCCCAAAACTTAAATTACTTCCCAGAGTAGTAATAGAAAATCAAATTCAGTTGTACTTTAATGTCATCCATCCATCCATTCATACATTCCTCCATCCATCCATATCCATCCACCTTCTTCTCAACAAAATATATGCTTGACTCTGTACTAAGTTTGTTAACTATGGACTAAACCAAGCAAAGGTGGTTGCTGTTCTCATGTGGGAGGGGGAGACATCTGATAAATAAGATGTTTTCATGCAGGGGTCCAATGATGTAACAGGGAGAGACTGGCATGGGGCTGGATTGGAGTACTTCAGACGTGGTGGTCCTCTCAGGGGATGTAAAACCTCTTTTGAGACCTAAAGATGGAGAAGCTCTTCTCACATTCTTACTTTAGCTGGAAGGCAGGCTAATTTTTAATTAATTTCCCACATTTTAAATTTAGATGAAGGACCCCAGCATGTGGTTAAGAGCCTAAGTCTAGAGTCATGTTACCTTCGCGTGAAACACAGTTTTTAATGTTTAGGTAACCTTGGGCAAGGAACTTACCAACTCTGTGCCTCAGTTTCCAGATCTGTAAAATGATTATAGCATTATATATTATATATAATAATACTAATATATAATACTATTATACTGTATAAGATATATGATATATTATATAAACATATCAATATATTATAATTAATTAACTTATTAATTATATTAATTAATATATTAATATACTATACATTATATTAACATATTAATATAATATATAACACTGTTTATGTTATATATAATATATTAATACAGTATATAATATATAATACTATTTATCATTTTATAATATATACTAAATCATATATTATATATAATATCATGCCTCATTCCCCAGACTCCCTGGACTCCATGCCTCCATGCCTCATCTCCCCAGACTCCATATTATATATATAAAATATATTATATAGTATATATTATAAAATGATAAATGGTATTATTACTATTTACATCAGAAGGTGTTGTAGGAAGATCAAATGAGTTAAATAATGTTAATGTATTATTATATTAGTTAAATATTAATAAAATTAATATATTATATAGTATATATTATATATGAGTTAAATAATATTAATATCTAGTATATATTATAATATTTATATATAAGGAGTTAAATAATATTAACGTATTACATAGTATATATTATAAACTGTTAAATAGTATTAATACTATTTACCTTAGAAGGTGTTGTAGAAAGATCAAATGAGTTAATACGTGTCAGAAACTTAAGACACCACCTGACACAGCACTCAATAAATGCTAGTGTTGCCATTACTATTTCCTCATGATTTCTCATATTTGCATTCTACTGGACAGTTGGGGTCAGCCAGGCTGGTGAGCTGGCTCTTGGGACCACATGAGGATTGTAAGGTCTATGGAGTCTGGGGAAATGAGGCATGATACTATCCTCCTTTTATAACTGTGAAGGTGATGATCTTAAAAATGTACCATGATATAACTTATGAGCCCTTTAAGACTTTTTTGGACACTTGAATTTGTCCAACATGGGCATCAGTGTGCTCTGTAGGTGGCTTAAGTTGCTGCTTGAGTGGCAGATCCATTCCCTGGCTGGGTTGAGCAGGTCAGGGGACAACACTACTAATCCCCATATCATTCATGGGGGTTGGGATCAGTACCATCAGAACTGAAGAAGGCCAATCCCACAGCCCCCAGCCTCATCTGGCATCTGTAAGAGCTGAGGGCTCTATGTTTTAGGTAACCTGTTACCCCTTTGTGGCACATGTTGAAGATCTTGGTTTAGTGGTTCTCTGGGAGTAATTAATATCCTGAGGTATTGTGGGGACACTTCTTCATGGGAACCCAAAAGATCTGACAAAGACCTTGAAGTCTGAGAAGGTCATGACACTGGTGCTTGAGTCCAGCAAGTACCCTTTCTCTCTAATTGCAGGCTTCAGGGCCACAGACTGACTTGGCCCTGGAAGGATCGTTAGGAAAGGAGCCATAACCACACTCAATTCAGAGTGCTCCAGATGTAGTGTTACATCTCCCTGCCCCTCTTACCATTCATTGTCATCGTTCCTGTTACCCCATTTGAAACTGTTTTCTTCAACATTTCATATTTACCACTTAAAAATAGTAAAAGCCCACAATCTGACTGGATGGTTTGTGAAGAAAGATTTAATGGGCCAGGGAAAGGTGTGTTATTCTTTATCAATACAAAATCTCTTCATCCATAGCTTGCTTTGTTTTTCTTAAGCATAAGAAGGGCCCAGCTTCAGTAATAAGATTTCGTGGTTTTATTTTTCCTGAAAAAAGAAATGAAAGACAAATAAAACACAACACATTAATAGGTTTTTCAAAATATTATTCTAATAAGGGCACATGGTTAACTAAGCTTGGTCATCTTAGTGAAAATAAAGAAATCACTACTCTGGAGAATTTAGTATTTATAGAATGCTCTCTGGTGAATTTTCCCCATGTCCCCTCAGTAATCTCTTCCCCCAAAATATTGATTAGCTTTGGATTTATATAGTTAGGCTATATGATAATTTCTGCATTAAATTTTTTGTTAATTCATTCATTTATTTATTCAACAAACATTGACTGAGAACCTAGTAATGTCCCTCACACTCTAGTAGATGTTGGATGATAAAAGAATGAGTAAGTTCAATTTCTCTCACTTTAAAGAATTACTATTTGAGTGAGACAAATGTGTAAACAGACAAATTAGGACAGATTATGAAACTTACCAAGGTAAAGGGATGAGCAGAGTCCCGTGGGAATACAGGTGTTCAGTGGCTAAGTCTTCCTGGAAAGGTTGAGAGGTTATCTGATGGGCAGATTCAAGGATTCCTGAGACAGAGGTGAGTGGAGTAGAAATGGAAATTAGGGAGAGCAGGAGTTACCAAGTCAAAGTTGTATTGCAGGTGGTGGTGACACATTTAGTGTCCCTGAAGGTAGGATGTGTGGGATAGAGGGCAAGAGATGAGCTTGGGCATGCAGAACACGGGATGGGCTTTTTTGTCAGGTAAGATTATTTACCTTCTGCTAGCTGGCAATAGAAAGTGAAATAGTTCTTCTGATATGGTTTGGCTCTGTGTCCCCACCCAAATCTCACCTCGAATTGTAATAATCCCCGCTTTTCCAGAGAGGGACCTGGTGGGAGGTAATTGAATCATTGGGGAGGTTTCCCCCATGCTGTTCTCATGATAGTGAGTGAGTTCTCATGAGATCTGATGGTTTTATAAGGGGCTTCCCCCTTGACTTCCCACTCATTCTCTCTCTACTACCCTGTAAAGATGTGCTTTCTTCCATGATTGTAAGTTTCCTGAGGCCTCCCCAGCCATGTGGAACTGTGAGTCAATTAAACCTTTTTTCTTTATAAATTACCCAGGTTATTTCTTCATAGCAGCGTGAGAACCAACTAATAAATCTTCATTTCATTTTTCTCTAGGACTTTATTTGGAGAAAATGTGGCAGTGTGACCAGAAAAAAGACTCTTCAAGATTCCTGCCAAGAAATGAGGATGACCTCAACTGAGAATTAGTGAGAAGGGAAGTGGATGGATTTGAAAGACATTTAGGAAGTAGAATGCATTGAATTTGGAAATATAAGAAAGAAAAGAAATGATGATGATGTCAAAATTTCTTGTTGAAAGTTTATTCAGAACAATAATTTTTGAGAATTTGTTCTATTTCAGGCACATAGTTAGATGTAGGGGTGTAGTGAAGTTTCTAGTCCTGTGGCCATGCATGTATATTTACGTATGCAGAAAATGGTGACAGAGTATGATATGTGCTACATTATGGATTAATTCAGAGATTGAAGGACACTGTTCAGTTCTAGTGTTGCTTAACAAACCACCCCAAATTCAGGGATATGAAACAATGGTTTCACCATGCTCGTGGATTCTCTTGGTGATGAATTCAGAAAGGAACTTTTGTGGCTAGTTCTCTTCTTCTTGATGTCTGATGCCTCACCTGGGAAAATGTGAATGACCCATTAGCTGTGGGCTAAAATCATACAAAGTCTTATTCACCCACATATCTGGCTTCTATATTGGAAAGACTCAAAGGCTACACCTGGGTGTCTTGACCTGGCTTGCTCACAGCAGGGAAACTTTAGAGGAGTTGGGCCCCTTATCTGGCAGCTCAAGGCTCTGAGCACAAGTCTTTCAATGTCCAAGGTGGCATCACCTTTTCTGATCTGGCATCAAATGACTCTGCCACATTTTATTAGTTACAAATGAGTCCCAAGTCCACCCAGATTCTAGAGGAGGGGACACAGGCTCCATCACTCATTGGGAGCATTGTCAAAATTGCATTGTCAAATGCATTTGACTTGGAAGTTATTGTTGTGGCCATCTTTGGAAAATAAAACCTGCCATAGATGCCCAACCAAACCTCAGGATAGGCTTTGAGGAGGAAGTAGTTTTAAAGTGTTCAGGTAGAGGAAACAGCATATATAAAGACCTTCGGAAGGAAAGTAAACATACTGCATAGATGGTAGATTTGAACTACAGGGATGGAGAGAACTCAGCTTATTAAGTAATTCAGAGCTTGATCACAAAGGGCCTTTCAACTCTTGCAAAATAACTTGAACCTTGTTCAGATGGTGCAGGGAATCCATGTAGGGTTTTGAGTGGTAGTGAGGGGGCATGTTTACATTTATGATTTAGGTAGATCATTCTTTCTGTTGGGTCTTGAGTGGTGAACCAGAGTTTTCAAAAGAGATTGGATAACAGAAAGAACAGGACAGATCATCCTAATACAGAGTGTCCTTTGAGCTGGACTGCAGAGTACAGAATGGATGGGGCCATGGTAAGATTAGAGGTAGGGTTGTCAGGGACAAGGTGATTGTAGCAATTTAGCTAAAACAGAATAGTGGCCTACACCAGGAAAATGGCAGTAGAGTTGGAAATAAATGAACATATTTGAGAAATAGAGCATGCAACAGACTGCACCTGATGATGCTTATGTGTGTGGGAGAAAGAGATGAAGAGGTAGGCATTCAATTACTTGAGGGAGAGAATACAGGAGGTGGAAGAGGTTGTAGTGGAAAGAAATGATGAGAAAAAGTTATGTATTTTCAATAATTCAGCATCTAATTGTGTGTGGTTGACATGTGAATTTTATTATAAACACTGAAACATGGTGGTATTTCTTAGAAGTGCTGTTGAACAGGTGAGAAAATTCTCTCTTGAAATAAAATACACATTTTCACATGAAATTGGTAAAATACATTCCTACTCATTTACTTTTGATTTGTCAGTCTTTGGCCACAAAAGCAATAAATGACTACAGAAATGACCCTATAGAATCTGAAAAAAATATTCCCTCCCACCGCAGGTATTTAGAATTTGGCCTGAGCTACGTGGGAAAAATTTCACTGGAAAATCTATGGTGAAAGAGGGACAGCTGGAGGTCACAATTGAAGCTTTGGCCTGTGGTTTTAAAAATCAGAAATTTCATCTAACTCCTTGGAAGATTCTGGAGACTTCAAATTGTAATTCCCACAAACTCAAATGAACAACCTCATTCATTTGCACTTGCACTTCCAGAAGGAAATACTATTCTTGGTTATGAAAATACAATTTCTCCCCTAATGGACTGCCCTTTCTTTGTGAGCATGCTTGCTTTTATTATTCTGAAAGGACAAATGTAGTCAGGCTACAGAATGAGAGCTGCACATTGATTTCAGCAGAGGAAAGAGAGCTTTGTTTCCTTATTATCTTTAGCTTATAGGCAATACACTCATTTTTCAAGCAAAATAAGAATACTATAAGACTTATTAAATAGGAAACTTGTGTAAATTTTTTCTAAATGGAAAGAAAGCCTGTGTATAAAAGTAATTTCTATAATTTTATGTGTGCATATGTTACAACACACACACACAGCCTTATGAAGTTATTCATTAAATAGGTACTAATTGAATGTCTACCAGGTGCAAAGTATCATTTTCTGTGCTTGGAGATACAGCAGTTAACACAGAAGACATAAATCCCTGTCCCAGGCACAAGATGAGCTTGGATGAAGACCGTCTTTGTAAGAATATTGGGAAAAAAATGAACTTCTCTAAATAATTACCATTTAAATGATCTTTCTAAATCTTCCATGAGTGGCTGAAACTATTGAGGTATTCAAAAACCACCTGAGCAATTTACTGAGGTGCAGATCCACACCTCTTTTCCAGAAATCCTAATGCACTTCATCTCAGGAGGGGTCTAGAAATCTGAGTTTTGAAGATCCATAGACTAAGGCACAAATGGTCTACTAGGTATGAGATATGATAAAATTTCCATGTGTTGTCTCTTATGCAAATTCTTTTTCTTATCATTGTCTTTAATATCTTGCTACACCAGAAGAAATCGCAGAGAACCCTGCATGTCCCAGGACTTGAGCATATGGTATTGTAATTATATGGCATTCTTAAAAACAATCAGACATTATTCATTTATAAAAATGAAAATTCTTAATTAGAATATTTCCAAGTACAGGTTGTTGGTCCTCAATCATGTGATTAACATGGCTGGTGTACATTCCTTTATAGCTGATATAAATATGTATGCATTTAGGTATGATTATTTTCCTTTCTTAAAAGTGTCTTTGTTTATTTTATTTAATTTTATTTATTTTTATTTGTTTTCTTTGAGATAGGGTCTTGCTCTGTCACCCAGGTTGGAGTGCAGTGGTGCTGTCATGGCTCACTGCAGCCTCGACCCCCTGGGCTCAAGCAATCGTCCAACCTCAGCATCCCAAATAGCTAGGATCACAGGTGCATGCCACCGTGCCTGGCTAATTTTTCTATTTTTTGTAGACGTGGGGCTTTCCCCACGTTGCTCAGGCTAGTCTCGAACTCCTGGGTTCAAGTGATTTGCCTGCCTAGGCCTCTCAAAGGGATTACAGACATGAGCCACTGCACTCAGCCAAAAGTGTCCTTGTTTATGCTTGCGAGTGCTTGTATGCTGAAAGGAAGAATTATATATTGATAATAAATGTAAACAGCAACTACAAATGGCTCATAATTTCTAAGATCCTCTTTTTAGAACTGCAGATTTTGAAATGCTTGGTCTTATGTTAAGCGCCAACTTTACCTCAGACACGGGTCATGGGTAACTAAGGGTTGGGCAGACAATCAAACTCTTCAATTTCTCTCTTATTGGTCTCTTTTCCTCCTCAGGTCCTCTTTCAAATTGCTGCAAAATTTTCTATTCCCAAACACACCCTTAGAACACACTCTGCTTAAAGGAGTATAAAGTCTCCATGTTGCCCTTGGATTTCACCAGCTCAGCGGTGAGGCCAATAGCACACAGTCCTCCCAGCCTTCCATCCCCACACTGTGCACTCTGTTCTTCAGCCAGAGGGAACTTTATGTGGGCTCTTTGATGCCAACAGGTTTGGGCATATTCTTTTCCTTTATTTTAAAATATACTCTCTTACCTATTTTATTTTAAATAACAGCTGTATTAAAATATAATTCACATACCATATAATTGACCTCTTTAAAGTGTACAATGCAGTGTTTTTAGTAAATTCACAGGGATATGTAAACATTACTGTGATCTAATTCTAGAACATTTTCTTCCCCCATAGAGAAATTTGTATCCACTAGTATTCACTCCTAGGCAAACACAAATCTATTTTTTGTTCCCTATAGATGTGCTTTTTCTGAACTTTTCATATAAATGGATTCATACAATATGTGGTCTTTTGTGATTGTTTTCTTCCACTTATCATAGTGTTTTCAAGGTTCATCCCTGCTGCATCATGGACTTCATTCCTTTTTATGGCTGAGTAATATTCCATTGTATGGTTATACTTCAATTTTATTTATCCATTTGTTAATTTATAAACATTTGAGTTTCTAGTTTTGGGTCATTTTGAATAACACTTCCAGAAATATTCATATATTTCCTGTCTTTTGTGTCTGGTTGTATCCTAGTCATTGTTCAAGATCCAACCCAAATGACAGCTGCTTTGTGGAATCTTCCTTGATCTTTCATGAAGTTACTTGCTTCTCCCACCTTCATTCCCATTGTGATCACTTTGTGCTTTCCTCAACATCTCTGTCCTCTCTCAACTGGGAGCTTCCCAAGGGCAAGGGCAGCATCTCCCCATTCTTTATATCTGCCCTGGTGACTGGCATAGTCCCTAGTCAACAGACACATAGATGTTATCTGTTGAAAGGAAGGAAGAAACAAGGTAAGGGCGAAAGGAAGAGAAAGAGGACGTAGAGTTTTAAAATAACCTTTGTTTTAACTGGATCATAGTGCTATATTATCTGGAATTCTTGCTGTCAATAGTTAAATGAACTGTTGAAGGAATGAGAGAAGGGGCTGTTTGGGACAGAAATAAGCTCATTATATTGTTAGCACAAAATTGGGAGACTTGAACAATTTTATCATGTTTCCAATTTTTATCAGGACAGAAATAAAATGTGAAACCAATGACAGCAGTGAGTCGGAAAATTAAATATACACTAGCTGTAAATAGACAACTTTATATTGTAGCAATTAGTCATAATAGCACTCTTTAACTTGTGTTTGAAAAAGATGCCTTTTTCAGTTCAGAACTTCCTTGGGTAGCTCTTTATCTTGCCTCATTTATTATATAGTTGGGAAAGCATTTATAATATATGAAACTTGTAGAATATATATATGGTTTCATATGGAGCATATATACGAGATTTGGCAAGGACTTTTTTAACCCTAATGAGGGAAAGGTCTTTTTAACCCTAATGAGAGAAAATATACATTAAAATATAGACATATAAGCATGTCTTTTAAAGTGAATGTGACAACTGTTCAGTTCCACAGACTTGGAATAGGCAGAGAAGAGTAAATCTGAGATGCTGGAATCTGTTGTCATATTGGAAGGACTCAGTGGAGCCCTTGTTTAGAGGGAATGGGGGCCTGGGATGAAGCCCCATCTTGGCTGCACCTTTATCTAGCTATTTAAGGGCTGCCAAGGGAGACACCTGTTGGAAGGGGAACATAGACAACTGTCAGTTTTCAGAAAAGATCTGCGTTTTTCATTATGTGTGGCTCCAAGAGAGACAATAGGGGTGATTTCAAAGCAACAAAGACGAATTTACTTACTCTTTACCTTCCCTGGGACACATTCTAAACTCTAACTGCATCATTTCCTTTCTGCTGTTGCTTTTGCCAGAGTACATGAGTTATGAACCTAGCTTGGTGAAAAATGCAATGCGATGCTGAGGGCAATAATCATTACTGATGGATTGAAAGCTAATAGATGTCTCCAGTAGTAAGAATAAGACCTACAAGTCACTGGAACCTGTCATGGGTAAGGGATTTTGCTAACTACTTTACATGTGCAGTCTCGATTCATAACTATTGCATTGCCCCAATAAAACAGGCATTTCTATCCCTATTTTTAAGGAAATAAATGAAGACTTTGAAAGATTAAGTCCATTTGTCTTTCCTCCATCCATTCATTTTATCTACTCTTTCAAAGATTTTTAAGCAGAGTATCTACATTTTAAGAGACACACGTTTGAGCTTTCAGTTTGTCCATATCCAAACCAGCACTTTCTATGCTTTGGATGCTGCCCCCTTGCATCTTCTTAAAGCTTGCTCTGTCATTTATTTTGTCCACCTGTAGCATCAAAACATTTTCTATTTTCTTTTCTCACCATGTTAAAATCTTGCTAACCATTACAAAACGGCTTTTAAAAAGTTACATTTGTCCCTCTGTCTATCTCATCTATCTCTTTCCATTTGGAGGCAAACTTCTTAAAACGCTGCACACTCATTTCCACCTCACCACATATTCATCCCTCAACCCTCCATAACTCACTTTTTTTCTTTTTCTTTTTTTTAACTTTTATTTTAAGTTCAGGGGTACATGTGCAGCATGTGCAGATTTGTTACAAAGGGAAATTTGTGTCATGGGGGTTTGTCATACAGATTATTTCCTTACCCAGGTATTAAACCTAGTACCCATTAGTAATTTTTCCTGATCTTCTCCCTCCTCCCACTCCCTACCCTCTGACAGGTCCCGGTGTCTGTTGTTGTAACCATCTAACTTCTATACATCCATGTGTTCTCATTATTTAGCTCTCACTTATAAGTGAGAACATACAGTACTTGGTTTTCTGTCCCTGTTAGTTTGCTAAGGATAATGGCCTCCAGTTCTATCCATGTCCTGTAAAGGACATGGTATCATTCTTTTTTATGGCTGCATAGTATTCCATGGTGTATATGTACAGCATTTTCTTTATCCAGTCTATCATTGGTGGACATTTAGGTTGATTCCATGTCTTTGCTATTGTGAATAGTGCTGTAATGAACAAACATGTTCATGTGTCTTTATAATAGAATGATTTATATTCCTTTAGGTATATACGTGGTAATGGGATTGCTGGGTTGAATGGTATTTCTGTCTTTAGGTCTTCAAGGAATTGCCACACTGTCTTTCATAATGGTTGAACTAATTTACACTCTCACTGACAGTGTAAAAGCCTTCCTTTTTTTCACAACCTCTCCAGCATCTGTTATTTTTTGACTTTTTATTAATAGCCATTCTGACTGGTGTGAGATGGTTATCTCGTTATGATTTTAATTTGCATTTCTCTAATGATTAGTGATGTTGAGCTTTTTTTCATATAATTGCTGGCTGCATGTGTGTCTTCTTTTGAGAAGTGTCTGTTCATGTCATTTGCCTACTTTTTTATGGTCTTGTTTGTTTTTTTCTTGTAAATTTGTTTTAAGTTTCTTGTATACTCTGGATATTAGACCTTCATCAGATACAGGGTTTGCAAAAATTTTCTCCCATTTTGTGGGCTGTCTTTTTCTCTGTTGATAGTTTCTTTTGCTGTGCAGAAGCTCTTTAGTTTAATTAGATCCCTTTGTCAATTTTTGCTTTTGTTGCAATTTCTTGTGGCATCTGCATGTTGAAATCTTTGCCTGTGCCTATGTCCTGAATGGTATTGCCTAGGTTGCCTTCCAGGGTTTTTATTGTTTTGGGTTTTACATTTAAGTCTTTAATCTATCTTGAATTAATTTTTATATGTGGTGTAAGGAAGGGGTCCAGTTTCAATCTTCTGCATTGTATGGCTAGCCAGTTATCCCAGCACCATTTATTGAATAGAGAATCCTTTCCCCATTGCTTGTTTTTGTCAGGTTTGTTGAAGATCAGCTAGTTGTAGGTGCACAGTCTTATTTCTGAGCTCTCTATTCTGTTCCATTGGTCTATGTGTCTGTTTGGGTACAAGTACCATGTTGTTGCTTTTGTTGTTGTTGTTGTTTTTAGATGGAGTCTCACTCTATTGCCCAGACTGGAGTGCAGTAGCATGATCACGGTTCACTGCAAACTCCACCTCCCAGGTTCAAGCAATTCTTGTGCCTCAACCTCCCAAGTAGCTGGGATTACAGGCATGCACCACCACGCCCGGCTAATTTTTGTAATTTTGCTAGAGACAGGGTTTCGCTATGTTGGCCAGATTGGTCTTGAACTTCTGACCTCAGGTGATCCACCTGCCTCAGCCTCCCAAAGTGCTGGGAGCAAGCCACTGTGCCCAGCCCATGCTGTTTTTGTTACTGTATCCCTGTAGTATAGTTTGAAGTCGGGTAGTGTGATGCCTCCAGCTTTGTTCTTTTTGCTTAGGATTGCCCTAGTTATTTGGGCCTTTTTTTTTTTTTTTGGTTCCATATACATTTTAAAATAGTTTTCTCTAGTTCTGTGAAGAATGGCAATGGTAGTTTATTGGGAATATCATTGAATAGTAGTCAATGGGAATATCAATGAATCTATAAATTGCTTTGGGCAGTATGGCCATTTTAATGATATTGATTATTTCTATCCATGAGCATGGAATGTTTTTCCATTTGTTTGTGTCATCTCTGATTTCTTTGAGCAGTGGTTTGTAGTTCTTGTAGAGATCCTTTAGCTATATTCCTTGTTAGCTATATTCTTAGATATTTTATTATTTTTGTGGCAATTGTGAATGAGAGTTTGTTTGTGATTTGGCTCTTGGCTTGATGCTGTTGGTGTGTAGGAGTGCTAGCAATTTTTTGCACATTGACTTTGTATCCTGAAACTTCATTGAAGTTGCTTATCAGCTTAAGAAGCTTTAGGGTGAAGACGATGGAGTTTTCTAGATGCAGGATCATGTCATCTAAAAATAGGGATAGTTTGATTTCCTCTCTTCCTATTTGAATGCCCTTTATTTCTTTCTCTTGCCTGATTGCCCTGACCAGAACTTCCAATACTATGTTGAACAGGAGCAGTGAGAGAGGGCATCCTTGTCTTGTACTGGTCTTCTCTTCTCTTTTCCTTCCTTCCTTCCTTCTTCCCTTCCTTCCTTCCTTCTTTTCTTTCTTTTCTTTCTTTCTTTCTTTCTTTCTTTTCTTTCTCTCTTTCTCCCTTTCTTTCTTTCTTTCTTTCTTTCTTTCTTTCTTTCTTTCTTTCTTTCTTTCTTTCTTTCTTTCTTCTCTCTCTCTCTCTCATTCTTTCTTTCTTTCTCTCTTTCTGTCTCTCTTTCTCTCTTTCTTTCTGTTCTAGGGTACCTGTGCACAACATGCAGGTTTGATACATAGGTATACATGTGCCATGTTGGTTTGCTGTACCCATCAGCTCATCATTTACATTAGGTATTTCTCTTAATTCTATCCCTCCTCCAGCCCCCTAGCCCCTGAAAGGCCCCAGTGTGTGATGTTCCCTGCCTTGTGTCCAAGTGATCTCATTGTTCAATTCCCACCTATAAGTGAGAACATGTGGTGTTTGGTTTTCTGTCCTTGTGATAGTTTGCTGAGAATGATGGTTTCCAGCTTCATCCATGTCCCTGAAAAGGACATGAACTCATCCCTTTTTATGGCTGCATAGTATTCTATGGTGCATATGTGCCACATTTTCTTAATCCAGTCTATCATTGATGGACATTTGGGTTGGTTCCAAGTCGTTGCTATTGTGAATAGTGCCACAATAAACATACATGTGCATGTGTCTTTATAGTAGCATGATTTATAATCCTTTGGGTATATACCCAGTAATGGGATAGCTGGGTCAAATGGTATTTCTAGTTCTAGATCCTTGAGGGATTGCCACATTGTCTTCCATGGTGGTTGAACTAATTTGGGCTCTCACCAACAGTGTAAAAGTGTTCCTATTTTTCCACATCCTCTCCAGTATCTGTTGTTTCCTGACTTTTTAAAGATTGCCATTCTAATTGGCATGAGATGGTATCTCATTGTGGCTTTGATTTGCATTTCTCTGATGACCAGTGATGATGAGCATTTTTTCATGTGTCTGTTGGCTGCATAGATGTCTTCTTTAGAGAAGGGTTTGTTCATATCCTTTGCCCACTTTTTGACGGGGTTTTTTTTTTTGTAAATTTGTTTGAGTTCTTTGTGGATTCTGGTTATTAGTCCTTTGTCAGATGGGTAGATTGCAAAATTTTCTCCCATTCTGTAGGTTGCCTGTTCACTCTGGTGGTAGTTTCTTTTTCCATGCAGAAGCTCTTTAGTTTAATCAGATCCCATTTGTCTATTTTGGCTTTTGTTGCCATTGCTTTTTGTGTTTCAGTCATGAAGTACTTGCCCATGCCTATGTCCTGAATGGTATCGCCTAGGTTTTCTTCTAGGGTTTTTATGGTTTTAGGTCTAACATTTAAGTCTTTAATCCATAGCTTTTGCCCATTCAGTATGACATTGGCTGTGAGTTTGTCATACATGGCTCTTATTATTTTGAGGCATGTTCCCTCAATACTTAGTTTATTGAGAGTTTTTAACATGAAGGGATGTTGAATTTTATCATAGGCCTTTTCTGCATCTATTGGGATAATCATGTGGTTTTTTGTCTTTAGTTCTGTTTATGTTATGGATGACATTTATTGATTTGTGTATGTTGTCACAGGGATGAAGCCTGCTTGATTGTGCTGTATAAGCTTTGTGTTGTGTTACTGGATTCTGTTTGCCAGGATTTTGTTGAGGATTTTTACATCAGTGTTCATCAAGGATATTGGCCTGAAGTTTTTGTGTTTCTCTGCCAGGTTTTTGTACCACGATGATGATCATCTCATAGAACGAGTTAGAAACTCATGAGTTTCTGTGAGTTTCACAGAAAAAGTTGTTTCAACTTTTTGGAATATTTTCAGTAGAAATGGATTTACTGATCTTTTGGATGGTTTTTAATGTCTTTATCTCTTTCATTTCACCTCTGATATTGGTTATTTCTTGTCCTCTTCTAGCTTTGGGGTTTGTTTGCTCTTGGTTCTCTAGTTCTTTTAGTTGTGATGTTAGGTTGTTAACTTGAGATTCTGACTTTTTGATGTGGACATTTAGTGCTATAAATTTCCCTCTTAACAATTCTCTGGGTGTGCTCCAGAGATTTTGGTATGTTGTATCTTTGTTCTCACTAGTTTCAAAGAACTTTTTGATTTCTGCCTTAATTTCATTATTTACCCGGAAGTCATTCAAGGGCAGGTTGTTCAATTTCCATGTAGTTGTGTGGTTTAGAGTGAGTTTCTTAATCTTGATTTATAATTTGATTGCACTGTTTTCCAAGAGACTGTTGTGATTTGTTCTTTTGCATTAGCTGAGGAGAGTTTTACTTCTGACAATGTTATCAGTTGTAGAGGAAGTGCCCTGTGGTGATGAGAAGAATGTATATTCTGTTGGTTGGGGGTAGAAAGGTTTGTAAATATCTATCAGGTTCATTTGATCCAGAGCTGAGTTCAGGTCCTTAATATCTTTGTCACTTTTGTGTCGTGATGATTTGTCTAATATTGTCAGTATGGGGTTAAAATCTCCTACTATTATTGTGTGGGAGTCTAAGTCTCTGAAGGTCTCTAAGAGCTTGCTTTATGAATCTGGGTGTTTCTGCGTTGGTGCATATTTAGGAGTTATCTCTTCTTGTCAAATAAAACCTTTGCCATTATGTAATGCCTTTCTTTGTCTTTTTAAAAAATGTTTGTTTGTTTAAAATCTGTTTTATCAGAAACCAGGACTGCAACTCCTGCTTTTTTCGGTTTTCCATTTGCTTGGTAATTTTCCATTCAACCCTTTATTTTGAGCCATGTGTGTCATTGCATGTTAGATGGGTCTCTCAAAGACAGCATACCAATAGGTCTTGGTTGTTTATCCGGGTAGCCACTCTTTGTCTTTTAATTGAGGCATTTAGCCCACTTACATTTAAGGTTAGTATTGTTATGTGTGGATTTGATGCTGTCATTATGATAATAGCTGGCTATTTTGCAGAACTGTTTATGTGGTTGTTTTATAGTGTCACTGGTCTGTGTACTTCAGTGTGTTTTGCAGTGGCTGGTAATGGTTTCCTTTCCATATTTAGTTCTTTCTACAAGAGCTCTTGTAAAGCAGGTCTGGTGGTAACAAATTCCCTCAGCATTTGCTTATCTGAAACAGATCTTATTTCTCCTCTCCTTCACTTATGAAGTTTAGTTTGACTGGATATGAAATTCTGGGTTGGAAATTCCTTTATTTAAGAATATTGAATATTGGTCCCCAGTTGCTTCTGGCTTGTAGGATTTCTGCGGAGAGGTCCACTGTTATTCTGATGGGCTTGGTTTTGTAGGTGATCTGGCCTTTCTCTCTGGTTGCCCTTAACATTTTTTCATTTTGACCTTGGCAAGTCTGATGATTATGTGTCTTGGGCATGATCTTCTCATGGATTATCTTACTGGGGTTCTCTGCATTTCCAGAATTTGAATGTTGGCCCGTCTAGCTAAGGTGGGGAAGTTCTCATGGATGATATAATGAATTATGTTTCCCAAATTAGTCCCATTCTCCCCATCTCTTTTAGGTACCCTAATCCATTGTAGATTTGGTCTCTTTACATAATTCCATATTTCTTGTGGGTTTTGTTCATTCCTTTTCATTCTTTCTTCTCTATTCTTGTTTGCCAGTCTTATTTCAGAAAGACAGTCTTCAAGCTCTGAGATTCTTCCCTCCATTTGGCCTGTTCTGCTGTTGTTACTTGTGATTGCATTGTGAAGGTCTTGTAGTGCATTTTTCAGCTCTATTACATTGGTTATGTTCTTCTTTATACTGGTTACTTTGTCTGGCAGCTCCTGTAATGTTTTATCATGATTTTTAGCTTCCTTGCATTGAGTTACATAGTGCTTCTTTAGCTCAGTGAAGTTTGTTTTTATCTACATTCTGAAGCCTACTTCTGTTATTACAGCCATTTTAGCCTTAGCCCAGTTCCAAACTCCTGCTGGAGAGGTGTTGCTATCATCTGGAGGAACGAGGGCACTCTGGCTTTTTGAGTTTTCCACATTTTTGCCCTGATTCTTTCTCATCTTTGTAGGTTATCTACCTTAAATCTTTGAGGTTGCTGACCTTTGTATGGGCTTCTTTTTTTCTTTTAATTATTTTAACAGTCTGGCTACTTTTCCACAGGGCTACTGTGGTTTGCTGGAAGTCTGCTCCAGTCCCTACTTGCCTTGGATTTTCCAGTACCTTGAGGTATCACCAGTGAAAGTTGTGAAACAGCAAAGACGGCAGCCTACCCCTCCCTCTGGGAGCTCCATTCCAAAGTGGTACAGTCCTGTTGCTGGCCTGAACATACCTGCAGATGGTGGCTGGAGTCCCTGATTAGGAGAGCTCACCCAATCAGGAGGAACAGGATTGAGGATCCACTTAAAGGAGTAGTCTGCCCACACTTTTGTAGAGCAGCTGTGCTGTGCTGAGGTACCGCTTCTGTGTCTGGAATTGGTGGGTTCTTGGTCTCACTGACTTCAAAAATGAAGCCACGGACACTTGCAGTAAGTGTTACAGTTCTTAAAGGTGGTGTGTCCAGAGTTTGTTCATTCTGATGTTCGGACGTGTTCAGAGTTTCTTCCTTCTGGTGGGTTCATGGTCTCGCTGGCTTCAGGAGTGAAGCTGCAGACCTTTGTGGTGAGTGTTACAGCTCTTAAGGTGGCATGTCTGGAGTTGTTCATTGTTCCTCCTGTCTGGAGTTGTTCATTCCTCCCGGTGGGTTCGTGGTCTCGCTGGCCTCAGGAGTGAAGCTGCAGACCTTCACGGTGAGTGCTACAGCTCATAAAGTTTGTGCAGACCCAAAGAGTGAGCAGCAGCAAGATTTATTGCAAAGACCAAAAGAACAAAGCTGATACAGTGTGGAAGGGGACCCGAGCAGGTTGCCACTGCTGGCTCGGGCAACCTGCTTTTATTCGCTTATCTGGCCCTACCCACATCCTGCTGATTGGTCCATTTTACAGAGAGTTGATTATTCCATTTTACAGAGAGCTGATTGGTCCGTTTTGACAGGGTGCTGATTAGTGTGTTTACAATCCCTGAGCTAGACACAGAGTGCTGATTGGTGCATTCACAATCCTCTAGCTAGACATAAGAGTTCTCCAAGTCCCCATTAGATTAGCTAGACACAGAGCACTGATTGATGCATTTACCAACCTTGAGCTAGACACAGGGTACTGATTGGTGCCTTTACAAAACTTGAGCTAGACACAGAGTGCTGATTGGTACATTTACAATCCTCCAGCTAGACATAAAAGTTCTCCAAGTCCCCACCCGACTCAGGAGCCCAGCTGGCTTTGCCTAGTGGATCCCGCCAGTCCTGCACCTTGTGCCTGCACTCCTCAGCCCTTGGGCGGTTGATGGGACCGGGTTCCAAGGAGCAGGAGGCAGCGTCCATCAGAGAGGCTCAGGCCGCATGGGAGCCCATGGTGGGGAGGGGCTCGGGCATGGCAGGCTGCAGGTCCTGAGCCCTGCCCCACGGGGAGGCGACTGATGCCTGAAGAGAATTCAAGAGGAGTACGGGCGGGCCAACAGTGCTGGGGGACCTGGCGCACCCTCCGCAGCTGCTGGCCCAGGTGCTAAGCCCCTCACTGCCTGGGGTTGGCAGCACCAGCTGGCCACTCTGAGTGCAGGGCCCACTGAGCCCATGCCCACCTGGAACTCGTGCTGGCCTGCGAGCGCCATGTGCAGCCCTGGTTCCTGCCCGTGCCTCTCCCTCCATACCTCCCTTTAAGCAGAAGGAGCCAGCTCCAGCCTCGGCCAGCCCAGAGAGGGGCTCCCACAGTGCAGCGGCAGGCTGGAGGGCTGGAGGGCTCCTCAAGCACAGCCAGAGTGGACGCTGTGGCCTGAGGAGGTGCTGAGAGCAAGCGAGGGCTGCTAGCACGTTGTCACCTCTCACTTCCACCCTCAGTTGTCGTGGGCTCTCCAAAGCCTGGGGGCTGGAATGGCTAAGTTGCTGAAACAGCAAAAATGGTGGTCCAGTCTTCCCTCTAGGAGCTCTTTCCCAGGAAGTTTTCAAACCTCTGTCAGCCAAAGAACATGAGTGGGAGTGGCTGGAGGCCCTGGTTGGAAAGTCCCACACAGTGAGGAGGAATGGATCAGTGACCCACTTAAGGAAGCAGTCTGGCCACACTTTTGTAGAGCAGCTGTGTGGTGCTGGGGTACTGTTCCTGCCCCAGTCAGCTTGGACTCTCCAAAGCCTGCAGGCTGGAACAGCTGAGTCACTGAAGATGGCTGCCTGCCTCTCCCCCTGGGAAATCAAAACTCTCTTTGCCAGAGAATACAAGAGGGGGTGGCTGGAGGCCCTGGTTGGGAGGTCCTGCCCACTGAGGCAGAATGGATCAGGATCCCAGTTAAAAAAGCAGTCTATCCATGTTTTGGTAGAGCAGCTGTGCTGTGCTGTGCTGGGGGATCCCTTTGTGCCCCCAGTCTTAGGAAAGTCAGTTTTGACTCTCCTAAGCCCACAGGCTGGAACAGCTGAGTCATGCAAACAGCAAAGATGGCAGCCTGCCCCTCTCCCTGGGAACTACATCCCATCCCAGGTAGGTGCAACACCGTTGGTGGCTGGCTCAAATTCTGAGCCAGTGGGTCCTATCCTGTGAAGTGTCATGGTTGTGGGACCTGCAGATCCATGCTGCTCAGCCCCTTGGATTCAGCCCCCTTCCTAGGGGTATGTAGGAACCTCCTGCCTTGCCTGAGTTGCAATCAACTTTGTCAGGGATCCAAGAGCCAGAGCATATAAAGCTCCTGGGTCTCTATGCCCACCTGAGCAACTGCTCTGCTGAGACTCCACACGGCTCTGTGGCAGACTGAAGGCCCTGGTGGCTTGAGCTCACAAGAGGATCCCCTGATATGTAATTTGCAAAGAACTGTGGGAGAAGTGTGGTTTCCCAGGGTTGCACATTCACTCACCACTTCTCTGCATGGGGGGAGGTTCCCTTGGCTCTGTGTTGCTCCCAGGTGGGCCATTGCCTTGCCCTGCTTTTCTCTATTCTCTGTGAGTCGAGCTGTTTCTCTGATCAGTCCCAATGGAGTATCTGGAAGTTTCAGTTAAAAGTGTTGTATTTACTCACCCCTTTCACTCTTCTCTGTGAAAGCCACACACTGTAGCTGCTTCTAGTTGGCCATATTGGCCCCATCCTTCCTCATCTTTTTTTCACTACTCCATGGAAAGCGCTCTAATCAAAGTCATCATTAATGTCATGATTGTCAAGTAATGCCTAACCATTCTCAATATTTGACCCTGTGAACCATTCTTTCCTACTTTGAGTTGTCCCCTGCCCTGACTTCCATGTTTCTCTTATGTTCTAGTGTCTCACATTCAGTCTCCTTTGATGGTTTACCTTCTTAATCCAGCCCTGAAATATTAGTGTTTTTCAGAGTACAATCATTGGTCTTCTGCTTTTCTTACTCTATGTATTAACTATCTATTACCTTATCTAAACCTGACGACTCTCAAATTTGTATCCACTACTACAATTTCTTTTCTTAACTTTATAATCATATGCACAGCTCCTGGCTGATCATTCTCATTTGCTTGTTCTACAAACATCTCAAAATCTACATGTTAACACTGGACTCCATACCTTGCCCTCCACACCTACTCTTTATCTTACTTTATCAGCAATGCCACTATATCCAGTCACTTAAACCAGAAAACTGGAATCTGTCTAAGCCCCTTCATCCTCGAATTCTCTTCCCACCCTCATTGATCATCAGATCCTGTTGAATCTACTTGCTATATTTTATTTGGAGAACATCTCCTCTCCATTTCTGCCTGTTACTACTTTAGTTTATTCCTTTATCTCTTCTTGCTGTGACGACTGTAATAACCTTCTGAAAGTTCTCCCTGCTTTTAGAGATTTTTCCTCTGCAATTCATCTTTCCCAGGGATATTAAATGCAAATCAAATCATGGCATCCCCATAATTAAATTCTGTCAATGGGCTTCCATAGCCTTCAGGAAAGTCTAAATTGCTGAGCTTGGCAAACAAGGCGTTTCATAATCAGGCTCATGTCTTTTTTTCTAACTTTATCTGTCATTCTCTCCCATAGGCAAGGCTCACTCCAGACAACTTAAAGTGCAGACTGCTGGCTTTTAAAGGCACTAGGAAGTGATCCTCTCAGCATGGGCAACTTTGTTCTTTCCTCCCTTGTAACTGTGTTTCCCCACCTTTCCATTATTTAAAAACTCCTTCGGATTTGTGACAGCTTGACCTGACCTCTCCTTTAATCTGAGCTATATTATTTTCCCTCTTCTTTGATCCAATGGTCCATAAATTGTTTCTTATTTATCCTTTAACATAATATTTGCCACACTTCATTCAAAGTTTTGGTAAGCTTTTTTTCTCTCAGAAATACATTGTTAATTCACTGATTTGTTGATAATCTTTAATCTTTGTCTCCAGCAAACAGCAAGGGTTCAGTTAATACAGATAGCGTTATCAAATGACTAAATGGATGGATCTGAGTCTGTTCTTTAAGCGCCCTAGTGGAATCATCTTAGTTTTCTTCCCAATGTTGTAGCAGAAGGCTCTTTTATTTCCAAGAAATATGGAGGAATTAGAGGATTTCATATACCTTACACATCTTTATTCACTGATTTTATCTTTGATTTTCTTCAGTAATAGTATTGCCTATTCCACTCTATTTCTGATTAAAGTAGACTTTGGGTGATAGAGAGCTGAGGTAAAGTTTTTAGGAAAATCAGCCATAGGAGAATTCTCATTATTTGGTAAATTACAGATTGCCCTAAAGCAAGTCCAGTTTGTGAGATGCCCTCAGCCTGCTTGAGATCTGAGAATTCTGATGCTGTAGAATGCTTGTTTGTTTCCTGTCATTTATTTCCAAATATCTAGTGTGAGGGAGAAAACATTTTTTAGGAGATAGCTTTCTTTATGTGTGTGTGAATATTTCTGGGGAAATAATTTAGATTTAGAGATCTTTAGATAAAATCTTACATTATGTGGTTAACAGAAATGATGCTTACACATGTGCTAACTATGCATCATATTGGTAAAATCAGTGAGAACATCACAGTGGAAGCTAGCCCATTACCTTTGGATTGGAGGCTTTCCTTTCTTCATAAAGTGAAGGATGATGGGCATTTCTTTGTACTAGCCATCTAATTTCTCTGTTCCCTCTTATTTAATGTCCCATGATTGTGTGGTGCTCTACTGTTTTTATTCCCTTATTTCTCCCCTCAAAATTCCAATTTAATATTCCCAACCTCTTCCCCTTGAGAGAGTCTGGAGCAATGTTTTCTGAGGAAAATGAAAAGCTTTATTCTCCATGCTCAGCCTAATGGACATTTTTATTTCTCTAACATGGTCATACCTGGTTCATTCCAATCTGTCTTAGAAATCAATATCAATTTTGTTTTTCTCATTTTTTGCTTTGAAGACAAATATTCACTTGCTCATAATTTTCCAGTGGCTTTTCTTATTTATGTACAAAATGTGTAAAAGAGCTGTGAGGCCCTACATTTATCAATTTATTTAATACGTACTTATCGAGCACCTACTATGTACCAGTCACTTGGAATGCATCAGCAAACAAAACAGAGATCACTTCCCTGTGACCTTACATTCTAGTGAGGGAGTCAGACAATATATAACATGCACAATAAATATGATTCCTTACTATCTTAATGCTAAGAAGTGTCATGAAACATAAATAGGACAGGAATGTGAGGTGGAAAGAAGATTGGGATTTGAAATAGAAGACTTAGAGTAAGCATAACTCAAAAGATTAAATATGGGCAAAGACTGGAGTTAGTAAGGAAAATAAGCCCAGATATCTGGAAATTGGCATTTCTGACAGAGAAAACAGCAAGTTGTGTGGTCCTGGAGTACTGATGTGCAAGGCATGTGTGGGCAGCAGCAATGAACCATTGTAGGTGAGGAGGAGTATCAGAGAGGCAGGGTGAGAGAAATGAGAGGAGGCAGCTCATTAGGACCTAAGACTTTGCCTTTTATTCTGAGTAGGATTAGAAGCTATTAAAAATTTGTAAATAGATCTGTGATATAATAGGACAAATAGTTAAGAATCTCACTCTGCATGCCATTTTTCAGTAGTTTGTGGAAGGTAAAGTAGAGATAGGAAGAGCTTTAGGAGTGCCCTGTAGAATCCAGGTGGGAGACCATGGCAGCTTGGAACAGGATGGCAGACATGGAGACAGGGACAATTAATTAGGCTACAGATAACTGTAAAAAATTGAGCCTAATAGGACTTCCTTATAATTAAATGTGGCGTTTCAGAGGAAGAAAGAAATCAAAGATGACTCTAAGATTTTTGTTCTCAGTAACCAGAAAGATGGAGTTGCCACTGAGATAGGGAAAAGTCAGTGGAGTTGTATGGGAGGGAAAATCAAAAGTTCAGTTTTGGAAACATGAATTTAAGATGTCAAAAATCCAAGTGAAGATGTTGAGTAGGTTGTTGGGTTGATAAAACTGGAGTTCCCAAGACATATATGGGCTAGAGATTTAAATTTGAGAATTGTTTTCAACATACAGAGGACATTTGAAGCCATGAGCCTGGATGAGTTCAATAAGAGAGTGCAGGTATGTAGATAAATAAACCAAGACTCTGCTTTAACATTACATGGTCTAGAAAAAGAAGAAGAAAGACACAGAGAAGGAAAATAAGGAGGGAAATTCCTTGTGAGGTGGCAAGAAAACCAAAGATTGTGGTGCCCTGGAAGTTAATAGAAGAAAGAATGTCATGGAGAGAGGGGTAGATCAATATTAACTAAAGCTGCAGATGAGTCAAACAAGATACGGTTGAAGATCATTGGAAGATAAACAGAAAGTTCATCATTAGTGACCTTGACAAGTGAACAGTGTTTGGGGAGTGGTGAGGAAAAAGCCTTATTTAGAGAGTTTTTAAGAGAGCATGAGAGGAGAAGAAGTGGAGGCAAGAAGTACAGACAACTTTTTCCAGAAATTGTATTGCAAAGAATAGTGGTAAAAATACATCATTAGCTGTGGTGGGAAATAGGGTCAATGTAATGTATTTTTTTCAATAGAATATGTAATGTTTATTTGGATGCTGTTGGTGAAGGTGAAAATGTTAATGATGTGGAGACATGAAAGAATTCTTAGAAAATTTTAAGAACTCTGCCATGTTTTTGGAGGTGACAGGAAGGGATGAAATCTAGTGCATGATTGAGAGGCTGGCCTTATCAGTAGTGTTTGGTAGGAAGACAGAGATGAGTGTAGTTGCTGGTAAGTTAATTGGCATGGTGGAAGGAAGCTTGAACATTCTCTACTGATTGATTTATATTCTGTGATAAAAATTTTTTTATTACTAAGAATAACCCACAGAAAAGTACACCAAATATCCGTGTATGGCTCAATGAGTTGTCATCGTAAGAAGACAGTGCAGCCCTCATCTCGGTCAAACTATAGAATATTGTAGGCACCCCAGAAATCCCTCATATGTTCCTTCCTAATCCCCATGCACTTTGTCCTCCATCAAACTAATCACTATCCTGAATTATTACACCACACTTTCGTTTTGAACTTTAAATCAATGTAATAATTCAATATGTAATGTTTTATATTTCTGTCAACTGTTATGTTTACAAAATTCACTTTATTGCATATAACTGTAGTATATTTATTTTTATTTCTGTAGAGTATTCCATTGTAACATGGTACAATTTAATTTTCCATTCTACAGTTGATGGGCATTTGGGTTGTTTCTACTTTTGAGCTTTTAGCCTGATATGAACTTTACTATACAAACATGGGAGGGGGCATTTTTGTTAAACACATATCTAGGGATGGAATTTCTGAGTCAATGGGTATCCACATGTTCAATTTCAAGAGATAAAGACAATCATTATCATTTCTTTGTAGCATTTGCACTTCCATTGGCAGTGTGTGAGTGCTCCAACTGTCCCAAATTCTCTTTAACACTTGTAATTGCTATGTTTTAAATTTCAAGCTTTCTAGTGAGCATGGATTTTATTTTATATTTCTCTAGAAACAAGTGAAGTTGAGCATATATTCATATGCTTATTGGCCATTTGGATATGTTTTTCTGTGAACAATCTACTCAAGTTTCTTGATCATTTATCAATTAGGCTGTCTACCTATTTTCTATCAAAAGATGTTCTTTATATATTGTGGATATGAGTACTTGGCTAGTGATATACAATCCATCTCACATTCTGTCATTTGCCTTTTAATTCTATTAATGACACTTTTGAGGAGTTGAGGTTCTTAACTTTACTATAGTCCTATTTACCAGTTTTTGCCTATATGCTTAATGTTTCCTATATACTCTAAGAAAATGTTCAAAACCCTTTTAAAAAGATGTTAGTTATCTTCTGAAATCAATGTTGATGGTTTTCACATTTAGAGCTATAATTGACCTGGAATTAACATGAGATAGACTCAAAAGCAATTTTTTTTCATAAGGAAATCCAATTTTCTCCACATCACTTACTAAAAAGACCATTTACGTCCCACATCTCTGAAGTGTCAGATTAGCCAGAAAATAAATATCTATACATGATTTTATAGGTTTCTGGGTCTATATTCCATTTATTGGTTTATGCATTTCTTTTTTCATCATTACCACATCTTGATTAATGTTGCGCTTTAATCAGTTTAAAATTGTAGTAGAGTAAATCCTCCTACCATAGGACTTGTTCTTTAAATGTCTTGGCTATACCTAGCCCTTTGCATTTAGTTATAAATTTTGAAAGCAGTTCTTTAACTTCAGGAACGTAGGATTTTAGTGGGTATTAAATTGACTATGTTGGTCAATTTGGGGAACAATTGGTATCTTTACAGATAGCGTCTTCCAAAATATGAAAATGATATATTCCTTCATTAATTAGGTTTTCTTTAATTTCTCTCAGAATGTTTCACATTTTTCTGTATAAGAATCTTACAGATCTTTCATTAGATTTATTCTTAGGCACCTCATTTTTTATGTTATTATCAATAACATGTTTTACAATTTTCATTTTCTGATAGTCTGTTTTCATTATATTAAAATAAATGTATTTCTGTACCAAACCCAATTCATAATCCTAGTAATTTAAATGTAGATTATTTTAGACTATTTTTGCATACACAAACTTATATTGTGATAAATAACAGTTTTATTTGTTTGCAATGATTATTCCTTCTAACTTTTTCCTATCTTATTGTACTGGTTAGATTCTCCAGCAAAATATTAAATATAGATGATGATAATAAACAGTCTATTTTTATGCCAGACATCAGGGAAAGTTTCAAACTTTTCACCAATACTTATGATGTTGGCTATAGGTTTTACTTTAATCAATTAAGGAAGTTCTCATCTAGTCATAGTTTGCTGAGACTTTTAATCTTAAGTGGATGTTGAATTTTATTAAACAAATTGTCTTCCATTTTGAAATAATCAAATGATTTTTCTCTTTTATTCTGTTCACATTGTGAGTTACTTTGATTTGTTCTTAAAGGTTAAATTAACTTTGCATTTCTGGAATGAACTCCACTTAGTTGTGATTGTATTAACATTTTTCCATATTGCTATGTTAGATTTGCCATTATTTAAAGGAACTTTGCATCGATATTGACAAGTAATTTTGACCTGTGATTTTTCTTTCTTTTAATGTTCTTGTCATTTGATATCAAGATTACAGTGGTTGTCAATCATGAGTTTTGAAGTATTTTCTTTTTTATGTTCTCCAAAGTAATTTCTGTAATATTTCATTTTTTTTCTGAAATGTTTGATAGAATATAGGTGCAGCCATCTAGTATTGAAGTTCTTTTTAAGGGAGGGCTGGTGATTATAAATTCAACTTTATTAATAATTTTAGGACTATTCAGATTTTTTTATTTATTCTTGTGTCTGCTTAGGTACGATTCATTAACATTTTTCAAATTAAGTTATAAAATTATTTATTGTATAATCTTTTAAGTTTTATAGGATTCATAATATTGTCACTTTTTCATTCTTCATATTGTATCTTGCTGCTTTATTATTTTTTGACCAGTCTCACCAAAGAAATAGCAGTTTTATTAATTTTTTTCAGAAAACAACTTAGGGCTTTGTTGATTTTTCTCTATTTGTTTTTCTATTTTATTGTTTTCTGGATTTCTTTTCTTCTACTTTCATTAAGTTTAATTTACTATGTTCTCTCTAGCATCTCACATTTGATACTTAATTCAGTTACTTTTTGTCTTCTTTTCTAATACATGCATAACTTATCTCTAAGCATGGCTTTGCATAATACAAATTTTGATATATTGCATTTTTATTATCATTTAGTTCAAAATAATTTCCTATATTGTAATTTCTTCTTTGATCCAAGGGCTACTTTTAGAAATAGAACTCTTAATTTCCAAATTTATGGGAATTTTCCTTTCTGCAGTTTATTTGTAGTGTATGTGTCCTAGAATAAGATAATATACTCTGTGTGATTTTGACACTATGTAATTTATTAATGTATCTCAATGTCAGCAAGATGTTAGAATAGGCTTTTCAAGGGCCTGTCCCTCCTCAGAAATAGAACATCTCTCCATAAATAAAAATGTCTTCATAAGAGCTAAGGAAACCAGATGAGAGATTATAGCACCTGGGTATAGCACAGAAATAAGAAAAAGCACCTCGAAAGGGGCAGAAGGGACAATTTTACATTACCTGTATCCCCCGTTTCCCAATCTTAGGGAGCACAACATGGAGAGAGATAACATCCCCTTAGGGAAAGGAGAGAAAAGTGAATACCAGACTTTGCCTCAAACCCCAAAACCAGGCCCACCACAGTAAAACTCAGTGTGGGGCAGGCCTCCGTGGCCCAAGACTCAGGCCTTCCCCAGCACCAGGAAGGATCCTGCAGCCCCAGGTTCTGGGTCTTCCTGGTGGACTCAGACTTTAGGCCTACTGATTTGCTGGTCTGACCTCCCTGGCTTTGGGCCTGCTCCAGTGCCAGGCTGGCCCCCACAGACTCAGGCTCCAAGCCGACCCCAGCATGAGGGCAACCACCAAAGCCCAATTTATCAGGCCAGTGCTCATAGATTCAGCCTCCAGGCTAGCCCTGATAGATACAGGCACCAGACTTTCTCAGTGCCAGCCCTGTCACTGTTGTCCCACCCTTCAGCCTGACCCCCATAGTCCCATATTTCAGCATATCCAGCTTCTAGGCCATCCCAATGGACCCCAGTGCTGGATCAGCCTCAGGACTGTAGACTCGTGTTTCTTTCTAGTGGTCTCTGTGGCCTCAGGACTTAGGGCAGCCCTTGCAAACAGCCTCTAGGCCAGCTCAAACAGACCCAGGCTCCTGGCTGGTTCCTATATCCTCAGGCTCCAGGCCAGCACCTGTGACAAATGTCCAGGTTAGCTCCCATGGCCCCAGGCTCCAGAGGACCCAGGGTCCAGCCTTGTTCCAGCAGATTTAGGGGTCAGGCTCACCTAAGCAGACCTGGTACCAGGTCAGTATCTCGCATTCCCAGACTGAAGCTCTAGGACCACCCCTGCAGATGTAAAACCCAGGCCTGCCTCTACAGACTTAGGTACCAGGCCTGCACCAGTGCCATACTAGCCACTGTGGACTCAGATTCCAGGCATACCTCAATGGACCCAGGCTTTAAACCCATACCAGCGCCTGGTCAGCTCCTGTAGACTCAGGCTCAAGGCCTACCCCAGTGCCAGGTCAGCCCCTATGGACCCGGGCTCCAGGCCTGCCCTCGTGGACCCAGGCTGCAGGCCCAACCCCATAAATCCAATGAATCTGTCCACTCCAGTGGATTCAGGTGCCAGGCCTGCCCACCGGTTGACCCAGGCACTAGACCAGCCAGCCCAAATATTCCAGCAGCAGTTCTGCCATTGGACCACACTAAATGGCCTGCCCAGAATCTCTGGTCATGCTGACTGGTGAAGGGCTTTCCCAGTGGAAAAGACAAACACGGTCTGCAAAGACTTGAATAAGTCCATACTTCTTCAAATGCTCAGACATTAGAATAAGGAAACAAGAAACATGAAAAACCGAGGAGATATAATACCATCAAAAGAACACAATTATCTTTCAGTAGCTGACTCCAAAGAAATTGAGATGTATAAACTGACTGACAAATATTTGAAATAATGATTTTAAGGAAGCACAGCAAACTTCAAGAAAATATAGATAAACAATTCAATGCTATCAGGAAATAATAAATGGCCAAAATAAGAAATGTAAGAGAGACTTAAATTATAAAGAGAAACCAAACAGAAATTCTACAGCTGAAAAATACCATAAATTAAATAAAAAGTACAATAGGGAGTATAAATAGCAGAATTGATGAAGCAGAAGAAAGTATCTGTGAACTTGAAGACAGGTTATTTGAAAATATACATCCAGAGGAGAAAAAGATGTAAAAAAGAATGAAGAAAGCTCACAGAATTTATGAGACAGCAGTAAGAGGGCAAATATTTATTATAGGAATTAGTGAAGGAGAAGAGAAAGACAAAGGGCCTAGAAAGCTTATTTAAAGAAATAATAGTGAAAACCTTTCCAAATTTGGAGAAAGATGTAACTTTCCAGATACAGGAAGGTTAAAGGTCTCCAATCAGTTTCAATCCAAACAAGACTTCACCAAGATATATTATAATCAGACTGTGAAAAATCAAGGACAAAGAAAGGATCCTGAAAGTAGCAAGAGAAAAGAAGCAAATAACATATAAGAGAGTCCAATGAGAATAGCAGTGGATTGCTCAGTAGATACCTTAAAGGCCAGGAGAGAAAGGGATGATATATTAAAAGTGCTGAGAGAAGTTAAATGCCAATCAAGAATACTCTACTTTGGGAGGCTAAGGTGGGAGGATTGTTTGAGCCTGGAAGTTGGAGACCAGCCTGTGCAATGCAGTGAGACCCTGTCTCTACAAATAAAACAAAACAACAAAACAACAACAACAAAAATCCTTAGCTGGGCATGGTGGCACATGATCACAGTCCTAGCTACTCAGGAGGCTGAGGCAGGAGGATGGCTTTAACCCATGAGTTTGATGCTATAGTGACCTATGATTGTGCCACTACACTCTAGCCTGGGTGACAGAACGAGACCCTGCCTCTAAAATAAATAAATAACTAAATAAGAATAAAAAATACTGTACCCGGCAAAACTGTCCTTTAGAAATGAAGGAAAGATAAAGACTTTCTCAAGAAAAAACAGGGAATTTGTCACCACCAGACTTGTCTTACAAGAAACACTAGAGTGAGTTCTTCAAGCTGAAAGAAAAGGATGTTAATAGTAACATGGAGAAAAATGAAACTATAAAACTCATAAAAGTAAGTACATAGTCAAATTTAAAATATTTTAATAATGTAATGGCAGTGTGTAAGTCACCTATGTCCTTAGTATGAAGGTTAAGAGACAAACATTAAAAATAATGGCAACAATAATTTGTTAGGGGATAGATAATATAAAAAAGATTTAAATTTTAACATCAAAAACATAAAATGTGGGAAAAAGTAAAGAAACTTGTTTTTTTTTTTAGTACAATCAAAATGAAATTGTTGTCTGTTAAAAATAGCCTGTTATAACTATAAGATGTTTTAGGTAAGATTCATGGTAATTGCAAAGCAAAAACCTATAGTAGATACATAAAAGATAAAAAGTAATAAACCAAAACACGTCACTAGAGAAAATTACCTAATCACAAAGGAAAACATTTAGAGAGAAAGAAACAAACAACCTACAAAATAAGCAGAAAACAATTAACAAAATAGAAATAATGTCTTTACCTGTTTATAATTACGTTGAATGTAAATGTTTTAAAATCTGCAATAAAATGACATAGAGTGGCTCAATGGATTAAAAGAGAGTTAACTATAAGCTGTCTACTAGAGTATAAGAGACTCACCTCACCTTTATGGACACAAGCAGACTAAAAGTGAAATGATGGAAAAAGATATTCCATGCAAATGGAAACCAAAAGAGAATGGGGATAGCTATATTTATATTAGATGAATAGATTTCAAGTCTAATACTGTATAATAAGACAAAGAAGGCCGTTATATAATGATAAAGGAATCAATTCATGTCTTTGATTTTCAAGAAGATATAACAGTTATAAATATATATGCTCACAACCTCAGAGGAACTAAATATATAAAGCAAATATTAATAGACCTGAGAAGGGACACAGACTGCAATAAAATAATAGTAGGGAATTTCAATATCCCACTTACAACAACGGACAGATCATCCAAGCATAAAATCAATAAGGAAACATTAAACTTGAGCTACACTTTAGACCAAATAGACCTGACAGGTATATACAGAACATTCCATTCAGCAGCAGAATATGCATTTTCTCAAGAGCACCAGAAACATTCTACAAGATGGATTATGTATTAGGCCACAAGACAAGTCTTAACAAAGTTAAGAAGACTGAAATCATATAAAGTATCTTTTCCAACCACAATAGTATAAAACTAGAAATCAATAACAGGAAGAATTTCAGAAAATTCCTGAATGAATACGTGGAAATTAAACAAGATGCTCCTAAACTAGCGATGGTTCAAAGAAAAAGAAAAAAATAAACAAAAGTATCCTGAGATGAAAGATAATGGACACGCAACATACTGAAACTCATAGGATGCAGCAAAAGCAGTTTTAAGGGGAAAGTTAATAGTAATAAATGTCTACATAAAAAAGAATAAAGATCCTAAATAAACAATCTTATGTTACATCTTAAGAAACTAAGAAAAGGAACAAACGAAGTTAGTAGAAAGAAGGAAACAATAAGAATCAGAGGAGAAATTAATAAAATAATAGAAAAACAAGAAAAAATATTAATATATCAGTTGGCTTTTTAAAACAGATAAAGATAACCAACAAACATTACCTAAACTAAGAAAAAAAAGAGAAGACTCAAAATCAGAAATAAAAGAGGAGACATTACAACTGATGTCACAGAAATACAAAGTGCCATAAAAATTACTATGAACAATTATATCCCAACAAATTAGATAACCTAGAAGAAATAGATAAATTTCTAGACCCATACAACCTACCAAGACTAAATCAGTAGGAAATAGAAAATCTAAACTGATCAAGAATAAGTAAAGAGATTGAATTGGTAATAAAAATTCTCCCACCAATGAAAAGTCCAGGACCTGTTAATTTCACTGAAGAATTCTACCAAATATTTAAAGAATAATACCAGTTCTTCTCAAACACTTTCAAAAAATTGAAAAGCAAAAAGTACTTCTAAGTTCATTTTACAAGGCTACATTACCCTGATACCAAAGCCAAGCAAGAATACTATAAGAAAGGAAAATTACATGCCAATAACCCTGATGAACATAGATGCAAAAAAAGTCAACAAAATACTAGCAAATGAAATTGAACAGCACATAAAAAGTATCATTCACTATAATCAAGTGGGGTTCATCGTAGCGATGCAAGGATGGTTCAATATATGCAAATTAATAAATGTGATGTGTCACATTAATGGAATGAGGTTCAAAACTTACATGATCATCTCAATATGTGCTTAAATAGATGACAAAATTTAGCAAACTTTCATGATAAGAACTCTCAATGCAATAGGTATAGAAGAATTACACCTCAGCACAATGCCATGGCTAACTTAATATTCAACAATAAAAAGTTGAAAACTATTTCTCTAAGGTCAGGAATAGGACAAGAATGTCCACTCTTACTGCTCCATTCAACACAGGACTGGAAGTTCTAGCCAGACCAATTAGCCAAAAGAAAGAAATAAAAGGCAGTCAAATACGAAGGGAAGAAGGTAAATTGTCTCTGTTTGTAAATCATAGGTTCTTATATACAGAAAACTCTAAAGACTCCACCAAAAACCAGCTAGAACTAATAAATGAATTCAGAAAGTTGCAGGATTCAAAAATCAACATACAAAAATCCATAGCATTTCTATACACGAACAACAAACTATCTGAAGAAGAAATCAAGAAAACAACCCCATTTATAATAGCCATAAATAATAAATTTAGCCCAGAAAGTGATAATCTATACACTGAAAACTATAAAACATTGATGATAGAAAGTGAAGACACAAATTAATGGAAAGAAATCCCTAGTTTATGAATTGGAAGAATTAATATTATTAAAATGTCCATACTACCCACAGCAATCTATCAATTCAATATAATTTCTTTCAAAATTTTAATGCCATTTTTTCACAGAAATAGAAAAAACAATCCTAAAATGTATATAGAACCACAAAAGACCCTGAATAGCCAATGAAATATCGAACAAAAAAATGAAGCTGGAAGTATCACAATACTTGACTTCAAAATACACTCCAAAGCTGTAGTAATCAAAACACCTTGGTACTGGCATGAAAACAGACACATAGACCAATGAAAGAGAATAAAGAGCCCGGAAATAAGTCCACACATTTATAGCAAATTGATTCTTGACAAAACTGTCGAGGACACACAACGGGAAAATAAGAGTCTCTTCAATAAATGGTCCTGAGAAAACTGGATATCCACATGCAAAAGAATGAAATTAGACCCTCATCTCACACACCATATATAAAAATTAATTCAAAATGTATTAAAGACTTGAACATGAGACATGAAATAATGAAACTACTTGAAGAAAACATAGGGAAAAATCTCCATGAGATTAATCTGGGCAGTGAATTTTTGACTATGACCCCCAAAACACAGACAATAAAGCAAAGATAGACAAATGGAATTACATCAACCTAAAAAGCTTCTGCATAGCGAAGGAAACAATTGACAAAATAACGAGACAACCTATGGAATGGGAGAAAAAGTATTTACAAACCATACATCTGATAAGGAGTTAATATCCAAAATATATAAAAAACTCCAACAGCTCAATAATAAGAAAAAAAATGATTAAAAATGGGCAAAAGACCTGAATATATATTTCTTTAAAGAAGACATATGAATGACCAATAAGTATATGAAAAATACTCAACATGACTAATCATTAGGGAATGTAAATTAAAGTCGTAATGAGATATTCCCTCACAACTGTTAGAATGACTATTATCAAAGAGATGAAAGATAAATGTTGGTGAGGATGCAGAGAAAAGAGAACCCTGTATATCATTGATGGGAATGTAAATAAGTACAGCTATTATGGAGAACAGTATAGACATTTCTCAAATAATTAAAAATATGATCTAGCAGTTTAACTATTGGGTATATATCCAAAGAGTATGAAATCAGCATTCCAAAAAGATATTGCACTCCCATGGCCCTTTTAGCATCATTCACAATAACTGAGAAATAAACCTAAGTGTTAATAATAGATAAATGGATAACAAAAATGTGATATATATACACAATGGAATAGTACAATTCGGCCTTAAATATCCAAGCCACAACATGGATGGACCTGCAAGACATTATGATAAGTGAAATAGGCCAGGTACAGAGAGACAAATACTGCATGATCTCATGCATATGTGGAATCTGTAAAAGTCAGACTCAAAGAAGTAGAAAGTAGAATGGTGGTTATGAAGGGTTGGGGTGAGAGGGGAGTTGGACAAAGGATACAAAATTTCAGTTAGGAGAAATAAGTTCAAGAGATCTATTGTACAGCATGGTGGCTAGAGTTAAGAACAACGTATTGCATTCTTAAAAACCTTTAAGAGGGATGTTAAGTGTTCTCACCTCAAAAAATGATAATGATGCATGTTAATTAGCTCTACTGAACCATTCCACAATGTATACATGTTTCAAAACATGATGTTATACCCAATAAATGTATACAAGTTTTGTTAGCTGAAAGATAATTTATTAAATATAATATTAAAAGATTTATTTCATGGACGAGTTCATAAGAATTTTTATAAAATTTTTGGATGTTTAAAAAGAATACATAAGATGATGACATTGGTTTTTCTACTACTAGAGTAAAAAGTTACAAGTAAGGTAATTGGAAAGACTAGAATAATATGATACTGGGCTAGAGTCAGATAAATCAGGATGAGCTTATGTTTATATATAGGTGTACCTCATTGTATTGTTTTATTTTATTGCATTTTTCAGATATTATATTTTGTGTAGATTGAAGGTTTGTGGCAACCTTGTGTTGAGCAAGTCTGTTGGCACCATTTCCCCAAAATAATGTGCTTACTTCATGTCTCTGTGTCATATTTTAGGTAATTCTTGCAATATTTCAAACTTTAAAAAGTTTTTTAAAAAATGAATTTTTCTTTTTTTTTTTTTGAGACAGAGTCTCATTCTGTCACCCAGGCTGGAGTGCAGTGGCGTGGTCTCTGCTCACTGCAAGCTCCACCTCCCGGGTCCACGCCATTCTCCTGCCTCAGCCTCCCGAGTAGCTGGGACCACAGGTGCCCGCCACCATGCCTGGCTAATTTTTTGTATCTTTAGTAGAGATGGGATTTCACCATGTTAGCCAGGATGGTCTCGATCTCCTGACCTCGTGATCCACCCGCCTGGGCCTCCCAAAGTGCTGGGATCACAGGCATGAGCCACCAAGCCCGGCCAAGAATGAAATATTTTTAAGTGAGACAGGGTCTCACTATGTTGCCTAGCCTCGTCTTGAACTCCTAGGCTCATAGGATCACTTTTATTATCATTGTGTGTGTTATGGTGATCTGTGATCAGTAATCTCTGATGTTACTATTATAATTGTTTTGGGGTGCGATGGATCATGCCCATATAAGATGGCAAGCTTAACTGATAAATGTTGTGTGTATTCTAACTCCTCTACCCATCAGCCATTCCCCTGTCTGTCTTCCTGTTATCTGTCCTCTCTATTCCCTGAGGCACAACAATATTGAAATTAGGCCAATTAATAACCCTACAATGGCCTCTAAGTGTTCAAGTGAAAGGAAGTGTAGTTGCACACCTCTTACTTTAAATCAAAAGCTAGAAACGATTAAGCTTAATAAGGAAGACAGGTTGAAAGCTGAGACAGACTAAAATCTAGGCCTCTTATGCCAAACAATTAAGGAAATCATGAATTCAAGGGAAAAGTTCTAGAAAGAAATCAAAAGTGCCACTCCAGTGAAGACAAATGTGATGAGAAAGCAAAACAATCTTATTGCTGAGATGTAGAAATTGTTAGTGGTCTCAATAGAAGATTAAACCAGCTGCAACATTCCATTAATCAAAGCCTAATTCAGAGCAAGTCCCTAAATGTCTTCAATTCTATGAAGGTGAGAGAGGCGAGAAAACTACAAAAGAAAAGTTTGAAGCTAGAAGAGATTTATTCATGATGTTTAAGGAAGAAAGCTGTCTCCATAACATAAAATACAAGGTAAAGCAGCAAGTGCTGATGTAGAATCTGCAGCAAGTTATCCAGAAAAATCTAGCTAAGATCATTGATGAAGGTGACTGCACTAAACAACAGATTTTCAGGGTATACAAAACAGTCTTATATTGGAAGCTTTCATTTAGAACTTTCATAGCTAGAGAGGAAATTCAACGTCTGGCTTTAAAACTTCAAAAGACAGGCTGACTTTCCTGTTAGGGACTAATGCGGTGGGTGGCTTTCAGTTGAAGGCAATTCTCATGTGCCATTAAAAAAAATCCTAGGACTCTTAAGAATGACAGTAAATCTACTCTATATGTGCTCTAGAAATGGAACAACAAAGCCTGGATGACAGTACATCTGTTTGCAGCATGGTTTACTGAATATTTTTTGGGTGGTACGGATTGGAAGTTTACTGAATATTTTCAACCCACTGTTGAGACCTAGTGCTCAGAAAAAAAAGATTAATTTCAAAAGATTTTCAAGACTTATTATTTAAGAAATACACTTTGTAAGGCTATAGCTGCCATAGAGATTTCTTTAATGGATGCTGGCAAAGTAAATTGAAAACATTCTGGAAAGGATTTACCTTTCTAGATGGCATTAAGAACATTTGTGATTCATGGTCAAATATCCACATTAACAAAATATACACATTAACAGGAGTTTGGAAGAAGTTGATTTCAACTCTCATAGATGACTTTGAGGGATTGAAGATTCGGTAGAGAAAGTAACTGCAGATGTGGTGGAAATAGCAAGAGAACTAGAATCAGAAGTAGAGCCTGAATTGCTGCAACTCATGATAAGACTTGAATAGATGAGGAGTTGCTTTTTTATGGATGAGTTAGAGAAGTGGTTTCATGAGATGGAATCAACTTCTGGTGAAGATGCTTTAAACATTGTTGAAATGACAGCAGAGGATTTAGAATGTTACATAAAATCAGTTGATAAAGCAACAGCAGAGTTTGAGAGGATTAACTAGTTTTTAAAGAAGTTCTATTATGAGTAGGATGCTCTCAAACAGCATTGCATGCTACAGAGAAATCTTTCATGAAAGAAAGTTAATTGATGAGGCAGACTTCACTGTTGTCTTATTTTAAGCAATTACCACAGTCATCTCAACCTTTAGCAACCACACTGATCAGCAGCTATCAACATAAAGACAAGACCCTCCACCAGCAAAAAGGGCATAACTCACTGAAAGCTCAGATGAAGGTCAGCATTTTTTAGCAAGGAAGTATTTTTAAATTAAGGTATGTATATTGGTTTTTCAGACATAATGCTTTCACACACTTGACAGACTCCAGTATAATGTAAATATAACTCTTATATTCATCGTGAAACCAAAATGTTTCTGTGACTTGCTTTATCACGATATTCACTTTATTGTGGTGGTCTGGAACTGAACGTGCACTGTCTCTGAGGTATGCCTGCATATAAGGCATACCTTACAAATATTTTCCCAGGCCTCTTCATTGAAAGGAACTAGAAACAGTGACACCCTAGTAGCAATGAACATCTCCAGCACCCAGATTTTTGTTTTCATATGCCATTTTTCAATTAAATGAGCCAGTGCTCCTTGGTGAAATAGTTGATTTTAGGATTGAGGAGGGCAAAATATAAAATGAGACTAGCTGGGCGCTGGCTCCCACATGTAATCTAACCTATTTGGGATGCTGAGGAGGGAAGATCGCTACAGCCCAGGAGTTCAAGGCTGCAGTGATCTGTGATCACACCACTCTAGCTTGGGCAGCAAGCAAGATCCTGTCCCTTTGAAAAAAGAAAAAGAAAAAGAGGGTTACTGAAGGTTGTGCTAAAAAACAAAACCAAACAGAAATAATAGTGGCATGTTAAAAGGATGTAGCAGCCTATCTAACTGCTGGAGCAATTTGAGTAATAAATAAGTAATGATAATATTGGATTGCAACCCCTAAAATAAGTATTCATAAATTCATACTGATATAAATAAATAGAGTTTAGTTTTCATCTCCTTGAGGGTTGTCAGGATTTATTGACTTGCTTTTAAATAATAGAGTTTGAGAAGAGAAAAATAATAACTTTACAGTGAGGAAACCTAAGTGACACCACATTAACCAAGTGATTAAGGTTAATACTAGCCATCTAAAATTTAGGTAATAGTATTGTACCAATTTACTGCAGTTATGTAAAATATTAACAATAGGGACACCAAATGAATATTTTGTAGGAACCCTCTGTTCTACCTTTGCAACTTTTCTAAAAATGTAAATTTATTCACAAATAACGTTCTTTAAGAACAAAATGTTCTGCAATTATTGGTTGCAGTATCTTATGTATGTCTTTTATGTTAATTTATTTGCAAGGTAATTATAATCTAATTCTTTGATGTGTGTTTTGAAATTTAGAAAGCTTGCATTGTAGTAATAATTCTATTGGACAAATATATGTGCACCTGTAATGTGACTTCAAACTACATAAAATAAAAATGGACAGAACTACATAGAGAAATAGAGAAATCCATAACCACACTGGGAGATATTTTTGTTAACCTTTCTATATGTTTATATTATACATACTTTCCTTCTTACCAGCATACAGTTGGGCCTGAAAAACATATTTTTTAAAAATGGAAACACTTAGTCAATAGTATAAATTACTGACACATTGGGATTTAAATTCACTGTCTTTTGTCCTTACTCCAGCTTTTGTATGTTCTCCTTTTCTCTTTGTGTCATTCTTTGAATTATTATTTTTATTATTTTCATCCTTATTAGCTAGTTGATTTTATAGATTTTTCCTCTTCTTTTAGTGGTTTTCCTAAAAAATTACGTCATGAATTCCTTGCATACAAGAGTCCTTGGTACTTTTATCCTTTTCTCAGAAAATGTACAAATCTTAAAACACTTTAACTCTATTTATCCTCTTCTTAGCTTATATGGTATATTTGTTATTTTGTTATTTTTGTCTTTATATATATATAAATGTTTTCTTAACAAATACACATACACGTGTGTGTGTGTGTATGTGTGTGTGTATGTGTGTATATGCGTGTGTGTGTTTTAGAGATGAGGTCTCACTCTGTTGCCCAGGATGGAATGCAGTGGCACAATCATAGATCACTGCAGCCTCAAACTCCTGGGATCAAGGGATTCTCCTGCTTCAGCTTCCTGAGTAGCTAGGAATACAGACATGTGCAATGACACCCAGCTTAATTTTTAAAACATTTTTTTGCAGAGTAAAGGTCTCACTAGGTTGCCACACACATATTTTTAAACACTATTATACTCTTAAAATGTTTTAGAAGCAAATTTCATTCAAATCTTTACACATGTTTATCATTTTTATTGCTCATCCTTCCTTCACCAATTCCTGAACTCCCATCGGGTTTCATTTCCCTTCTGCCTGAAAAACACCTTTTTGTATTTCTTTCAGTGCTGGTCTGCTGGAGCTAAATTTTCTGTTTTTCTTTGTTAGAAAATGTCTTTGTTGTACCCTCACTTTTGAAAAATGCATTCTTTGAGTATAGCATTCTCAGTTGGCAGTTATTTTTTTTCCATGCTTTGAAGATATTAATCCTGTGTTTTCTGGCTTCTATTGCTTCTGTTGAAAAATCTCCTGCAGTCTGATTCTTGGTCTTTTCAGATTCATCTTTTTTTGTCCCTTATGTGGTTGTAAGATTTTCTCTGTTTTTAACATTTTCAAATGATATGCCTATTAAAAAAATTTATCCTGCTTGTGGCTCAGAATGCTTTTTGAATATTTCCTTTGGTTACCACTTTAGGACAATTCTCAACCACTATCTTTTCAAATATTACTACAGCTCCATTTTGATTTCCTTCTGGGAAAGCAAATTACATGTATGTTAAATACCCTTGGTCTCTTTCTCCTCTATTGTTTATTTTTTCCTACACAAGTTTTCTATCTGTTTTGTTCAGAGTATTTTTTCTGCCTGCTTTCTAGTTCAATAATATTCTTTCCAGTTCTGTTTAATATGCTGCTAAATTTATCCAGTGGATTTTTAATTTTGGACATTATATTTTTCAGGTCTAAAATTTTCTTATTTCATTTTACAGTTTGTAGTGTTCTGTTGAAATTCTCAATCTTGGATTTTATTTTCTTAAACATATTAAGCATAGTTATTTAATGTCTCATGTCTGCTAATTATTTTGTGGGCTCTTTGTGTATCTATTTTATTTTCTGCTTATTTTCCTTTTTAAATTCATGTGGAATTATCTCCTTTTGTTCATGGTTCTTTGATTAAATGCTGGATATTATGTGTAGAAATATTTTTAACAATTTTGCTGATGATATCTTTATAATACATAATATATGTTACATTATATATAATTAAATATATAAAATAAGTATAAATTCTTCAGGGAGGATGTATACTTGTTTCCAGAAGTAAGTAGAGGCACTAGCAATCTGGATAATCTAATCCGGTTCTGGATTTGCTTTATTCTTATGGTGTAGCTGGTGTTTGTTGTTCAAACTCTAATTATGTGCAGTTTACCAGGGTTGCTCCTTCTTGTTTAGACATAGACTCTAATACTTGTGCCCCTAGACAATCAAAGCTGTTGAAAGTGCTTTTCAGCTCCTCAGGCTCTCATATGTCTCTTCCTGAATTGGAAGACATCCTTGGGATACATGCCAGGCTCAATTTTCTGGGGATTCTTCTTTTCCTGGATCATATGCCCTAATTCTTCACTACCTTGTTAATTCCATCTTGCTTTCAAAAAGCTTTCATGAATATTTTTTCCAGATTTCGTGGTTTGTTCTTAATGAAGGAATTGTCTAGTCCACTTTAACTTGAAATAAGTTAGTTACTGCTTTATTTTCTTAGTCTGGTAGAAAGCAAAGTTATCAGTTGTGCATGAAGATGAGAAAGGAAATGTCAGCAGTTTAAGGAGCAAGAAAACATGTGAAAAAGTCAACTATTACCATAGTGAGAGGTTAAATGAACTTAATGATAACGTAATACTATAGCATTATAGTATCAGATTATATTTTACTTGGTATTATTAACAGCACGCTTGGGGTTTTTAGTCATTAATTCAAAATGGTACTGGACAGTGTGGTTGGGCTTTCCTTTTGCTATGTTCTTTCGTTATACAGGTGCAGAAGGCAGAGATTATTGCTTTTATCTATGTCTTTGGCTTTGAAATGACTACATTGTCTGAGGTATATACCCTGGGGTTTGTTGTTGCGTGCCAGGAATATTTAGGACACAGACACACACAAGGAGTTTAGGAGCAGAGGTTTAATAGTAGAAGAGAAGAGAAAGAGAAACAGCTTTCTCTATAAAGTGGTCTCTCAGCAAAAAGATGGACAGGGGGCTCATGCGCCCAATATTATAGTCAGGTTTGAAGAGGTGGTGTCTGATTTACATAGGGTTCACAGATTGGTTTGATCAGGTATGACTTTTACATAGCGCAAGGGGAAGGCTGTTCACCCCACCCTAATGGGCTTTCCAGTTGATTGGGGGCCATCTTGTCTGCTTCTTACTGTACACGTGGCTGACATGGAAAAGAGAAGATGGAGCCACCATCTTGAACATGTCTAGTCCTTAGTTCCTGCCAGCATTCACCCGTGCAAGCTCCCCGCTTGCTTGTCTGTGTCTTCAGCTCAACTTTACCGGCTTCTCTTTGTTAGAAAATGATTTGGGCCTGCTTTTCATAAAAGTAAAAGCCTTACAGAGGACTCCCATACCCTTACTATCTGCCTAAGTGATTTCTTCGTAACTCCTGTATCAGTTTTGTCTAACAAACCCAACGAAGACTTTGAGGGGCAAATAAATCCAGTTAATCAGGGAAGAGAGGTGATCATGGAGGTGAAAGAGAGTGAAAGCTGATGAGATCAATGAATTGAAAGTCTCAATGGGATAGAAAGATGATTGGCATTAGAGCGCTAAAGGAAGACAGCTGGAAAGAAGTAGAGCTCAAAGAGGGATTCGTGGAATTGAGGTTGTTGGGAGATTGTGGGTATCGATGGTTACAAGGTCTGAGGGAGATTCATAAGAGAAAGTCACTGAATCATTGAGATAAATTGGAGGACAAATTGAAAGAGAAAAGTTGAAGACCGAATGCTGGAATATTGGAAGAATTACTTATGTGCATACTGAAATGGCCAATAATTAAGACTGGGGTAGTCTTGGTCTAACAGAGAGCCATGAGAAGTGAGAAGAAATAAAAAGAGAATTGAAGAAACCTTGGAATTGGTAGGAAACATAAGTAAGAATAATGGATGATATAATCTCATAAGGTTGTAGGTAAAGAGAATGGTCTGGAAGCATCAATGAGGTCAAACCAGACAACTACTTCACATTCAGTTTTTATTTATTTATTTATTTTTTTATTTTGCTAGGGGTCCGAGGGAGAAAATACTGCCACCATTTGAGAAGGCTGCTGGGTAAGCACTGTCTGTCAGAGACAATCAGATTTTCATGACGAATCATAGATTCCAATTGGCCCTGTGGAAATCGATGTATGTCCACATTGAAAGACTATTGTTGGGAATAAGAAAGAAAATGTGTATGAGACCATCAGGCATAGACTTGCCTACAGTATGAGTTCCCGTAACTCTAGTGAAATACCAGTTTCATATTCCTTAGGATGAGTCTAAAATGTGTCAAGAGAGAAGGAGAGTTTTGACAATTTCTTTTGACCTCTTGACAATAAGCACTAACCAAGTATGTGCTCTTTCTCCACACACAATGTGCACAATTCTGCCTAAAAGCTTACATTAGAATGCCTTTGGCAGCAAATAACAGAAAATACAACTAAAATGGCTTAATTTATTATTTATTAACTCAAACAACAAAAGGTCTTCTGGTAGGGTGACTTCATGTTTTTTTTATTAAGGGGGTCGATGACATCTTCAAGGTCACAGCTTCATATTTTCTATTTTTGTATTCTGCCATGTTCAGCATTTTGGATTGTTTTCTTATGCTGGTTTTCTTTATTCACCCAAGATAGCAGATGCAATTGCAGCCACCACATCCAGGTAATCTGGAGAAATGAAAAAAAAAAAATTTCCTCCTGTGTGCAACTTTTTAACAGTGAGAAGAAGTTTTCACAGCCACTTCCCCTTATGTCTCACTGTTCGGAGCTTCATCCCATGCCCACACCTAGGGCAGTGAGGCCCATGAGTGGATCCGACCAGATAGTGTCCACCCTCTGAGGCTGCCACCTCCTTCATTGAAGGACATACCTACTTACATGTTGAACAAAATCAGGGCATTGTTAGCAATAAAGAAGGAACAAGGACTATTGTTTAGCACCCAAAAGTGTACTTCACTCTTCTCCCTTTAATCTTTTAAACAGTTGCTCCTAATATTATTTGTTACAATTATATTCTAGTTATCTCTTGACCCTAAACTTTCTGACATCTGTTTTTTCTATGTATAAACATACAGATATAATACATACATAGGCATAGGGTATATTAATGTTCTATTGCTGCACATCAAATCACCACAAGTTTAGTTTCTTAAGACTACATATATTTACTATTTTACAGTTTTCATGGAGCGGGAGTCCAGGCAAGCTGGCTCTTTGCCTCAACGTCTCACATGGGTGCAATTGAGAGGTTGGCCGCAAATGGTCCTTTTCAAAGTTGATTCAGTTTGTTGGCAGAATTTAGTTCCATGTGGGTATAGTCATGAGATGTCCATTTTCTTGCTGGCTGTTAGCTAGGTCCTGCTCCCAGCTCCTAGAGGCTGCTGCAATTCCTCCTCATGGGGTCCCTATAGGTGCAGCATGGATGTTCGCTTCTTCCAGACCATCAAGACTGCCTCTGACCTCCAACCCTCTCCATAACATAACCATAGAGATGTCTATCCCATCACCATTTGCCATATAATGTAACCTAGTCAAGAGCAACTCTCCCATCATATTCACAGGTTCCACTTACACTTAAGTGGAGGAGATTATACAAGATGTGCATACCAGGGAGTAGAAATCTCGGGGACCATCTTAGACTTCTGCCTACCGAAATATATATGTGTTTTGTTATTATAATTATACTAGTTTTCATTCCCATACAGATTTACTCCTTTGAAAGGAGAATCTTTTTTCCACTCTGCATTCAATACAAATATCTATGCACTTTAATACAATAAGGACCATGCACTCATTCATTACAATGGATTGACCATAAGAGCTGAATGTTCCAAACTGAAATCAGTATCCAGAACAAAAAGCCTTTGGTGGTATAGTGGGGGTACAGTTTTCAATATCTCTTCTTTGTCCACTTGCTTTTTAAAATTCAAATTCTTCCCAAAGAAGTAAAACATATTTTCATAAGTCCTGCCTCAGAATATTCTTATCCTTTCTTTTCCTGTGGTGATTTGTCTGTCTCCTCCCTCTCTTAGGTGTTTGAGATTTTCTCAGATTGGGTAACATGGGGCCTGACCCAGGATTAGCTTGTGTGGAGCAAATATGTGGGAACAAAGTCAAGACAGTTCTGGGTGGGGAAGTTCTCTAAGGAAAATAAGGAGAACGTCTCATCTAAATCCCGTGAGTTCAGAGTTTAAGGTCTTTAATTACATTTTTAAAAATGTGCTAATTAGTGTAGCAAGTGACTATGATTTAAAAACCTTATTCTGATCCTGATTCAAATAAAACAAACTGTAACACATTTAGAGACAATCTGAGAAATGTGAATATGTGTTAGATGCTATGGAGGAATTATTGCTATATTTTAGGCTTAATAACAGCACTGAGTATTGTAAGAAAATGTTTATAACTTTTAGAAATATGTTCAGAAGTATGTAGGAGTGAAATGATGGCTGGGACTTGAATTAAAATTATGCAGGGAAGAAAGAGAGAGACATGAGAGAGGAAGAGGGAGAGAGAGGAGAGAGAAAGAAAAGAGAGTGCACGTGCACAAACAATAGATGAAGTAAATGTGGCAAATGTTTGATAATTATGAATCCTGTGATGAGTATCTCTAGAAATTCATTATCTTAACCTCTTTTTCACATATTTTAAGTGTTTTATAATAAAACATTTAAAAATGAGATTTGCCAAGTGCTGTTGGGCACTTCTCCATTTGAATGTCTTTGCATAAACTAAAGGAATAATGTGGTAGGATACTTATTTTCCTTTTATATTTTTATTAAGAGACCCAAACAATAATGTGATAAATACATTTAAAATAGATAACATCTAGATCAATTTTAAAGTCATCTTCTAACATTTTAAAAGTCATATCTGAATTAAGCCCACACTGTTGGGATTGTCTTGAATCAAAATTTATTTTCGTTTCTCTCAATGCTTTCAGAATATCTTTTGAATTCACTTGGCAAGGTATCTGAAGGTTTGCCTTTATTTATTTATAAATCCCTAGGTTCTGCCTGTACAGTTGGCAGCAAGACTATTATAAAATAACTTTCTGAGTAGATCCTGTCCTTCTGTGTATTGACCTCATCAATAGAGACACTGATAACGGAGAGTGTTACAGGGACAACCTAAGTAAGCAGATTGTGGTGGACAGAGGAGCCAAAATGTAATGCAAAAAATGCTTCTGTGATGGCTCTTGCCCCAGCAATGAACACGCAGATTTGCCTATGCCATGACTCAAGTCACCCAAGGATGGGTTAACAGGGACCAACTCACTTTTGCTTTCTGTTTTGCCAGCTCTTCTGCTCTTTACAGTGGAACATTATGTCATCCTGATCAGCACACAGCTGAATAACCTTCTGTCTTAAATGTTATTAGCAAGCCTTCTCTATTTGTTTTTTTTTTTTTAATAGAATTGATGGAACTGTATTACGGGTTGAATTGTGTCCCTCCAAAATCCATATCTTAAAGTCCTAATCCCAGTACCTCAAAATGTGCACGTAGTTGGCAACAGGGACATTGTAGATGTAGTTAGTCAAGGTGAGGTAATTAGGGTGGACTCTGATGTGACTAGTGTTCTTACAAAAAGAATGGTGTGTGAGAAGAGACATACAGAGGAAAGCCTGTGAAGACACAGGCAGAAGACCATCATCTGCAAATCAAAGAGCGAGCTTCTAAAAGAACCAACCCTGCTAACACCTTGATTTTGGACTTCTTACCTCCAGAGCTGTGAGAAACTAAATTTCTGTCATTTAAGCCACCCAGTCTGTTGTGCTTTGTTATGGCAGTTCTAGAAAATGAATACAAACACCAGATAAATATTAGATGTCTTTTCATTTGCATTGCCACATATTAATTTTTTGCCTATGTTTGAAGCCTTCAAACATTCCTAAAGTATATACCAGTAAAATGCCCACTTCACTCATTTAGGATGTATCTATGAAACACTAAGAGATGTGAAACAGCCATTCCTTTTGACTTATAGTTAATCAGTTCCACCAGAGGACAGAGAAACCCCTTGCTTTGGTGCTGAGTTATCTGATGTGCTCTCCTTGCTGCCCTTCCCTGCTTTGGCAGTTTCTACCTTTAGTTATCCTGATTAGTTTTCTTTCTTTAATGTGGGGAGTGGAGGGTGTGGTGAGGAGTATCAAACACAAGATTAGAGTAGTTGTACTTGAACTAGTATTTTTCTTAACAAAATGTCTTTATTTTTAAATTAAATCATACCTCTAAAGTTTAGTAGGAGAGAATAAAAATAGAAAAGGGCTTCACTAGACTATACAGAACTCCTAGGAAATTTTCTTTATAATTTGAGTCTTGTTTCCATTGTGTGTTACTTGTATAGCTCTGAGTAAGTTACCGAACTCTTCGAAATTTCAGTTTACTCAGAGACGAAATAGACAATCAATCATAAGAATCTTTCAGGGATCAAGTAAGATTGTCAATACAAATACATTTCTAAAATATAAAGCACTCTGGAAATCAAGATCTTGGCAATTATTAGGTCTCTGAAGGCAGAGTTTGTATCTTACTTTAAACAAATATTCTTGTAACACTTTGTAGCATATTGCTGAGTGCATGGAGAAATCTTCATACTTGCGAAATGGAAATAATGGTTGAAAATAATTGGAGAATGGGGAAGCCTAACATCTCACTTTTTCTCCAGAAGTGAACTGAGGCTAAACACACAATATTGATTTATTATTGGTGGTGGCAGATCGTATCTTCCAAAGATGCCACTGCCAATACATCTATCTTATCCCACAAGCTCTTCTTACAATGTGGCTGACACTCATCTTCCTGAAAGATGAGTCTAAGCTCTCTCTCCTTGTGACTGTGCTGAACAATGGAGTACAAGTGATGCTACCATGACTTCTGAGACTGGGTAATAAGGGGTATAGCCTCCCAATCCTTCTCTCTCTCTCTCTCTTCACTTGACTTTCAAAGCTGGCTACCACATTATAAGAAAGCCCCAGCCATACAGAAAGGCATGTATAGATGTTCCAGTCAACAGTCCCAGCTAAGGTCTCAGCCTGCATCAACTGCAAGAACATGCATGAGTGAGCCTTCAGTTGATTTGAGGCCACAGCCTTCAAGATTTCTGGATGAGGCTCCAGGCATCATGGAGATGAGCTGACCTCACTGGGCCCTGTCAGATTTTCTTTCTTTTTTTTTTTTTTTTTTTGTCAGTAGAAGGTGATTTATTGGAAAGTTTAGAAACATGTGGCAACAAGACAGGTAGATCTCTGCACTGTTACTCCCCAGACCCAGAGCTTACATACCATATAGAAAGAGCATACGTGCTTCAGAAGGAATGTGTAGGATCGCTGAAACTGACCCCTCAGGGAAAGGCAAGAATGCTGTGTCTCATAGCCCATAATTTGCCAAAGGACAGGACTTAGGTAAGTACACGTTTATGATAACATCAAGGTTGTCTTGGCTTACACAAGCAACAGTAAGTAAAGTAGAAATCTTGAGGCATTCCTGGGCCTGGGGTTAATCAGAAGTCAACATGGCAGATTAGCATCCAAGATGAAGTGGCATCATCCTGCACAGTGTCCAACGTTGTACACTCGATTAGGAGGGAGTAATCGAGATTGAGCACTAGGAGCAACAGTGGCAGGACACCCAACAGCCCAAAGTTGGAAGGAGCACAAGTGTTCACTGATGGATGAATGGATAAACAGAATGTGGTCTAAACATACCATGAAATATTCTCCAGCCTTTAAAAGGGGAGGAAGTTCTGATGCATGCTACAACATGGATGAACCTTGAGGACATTATACAAGTGAAATAAGCCAGGCAGAGAAGGATAAATGCTGTATGATTCTACTCATATGAGGTACCTAGAGTAGTCAAACTGATAGAGAAAGTAGAATGTTGGTTGCTAGGAGCTGTGGGGATGGGAAGATGGGAAGTTGTTTAATGGGTAGAGTTTCAGATCTGCAAGATGAAAAGGGTTCTAGTGATGGATGGTAGTGATGGCTTGCACCACAATGTGAATGTCCTTTACTAACTGCACATTTCAACATGGTTAAGATAGCAAATTTTCACTGTGTTTTTTACCAGAATTTAAAAAGAAAAAAAGGGTTTTTTGTTTTTGTTTTTTTCAAAAAAGTCATAGGACAAAACAAGGTGAGAATGGTCTCATGAAAACCAAAGATATAGAGTGTTTCTAGAATGAAGGATTCATTGAATGCTGCTAAGAAAAAGATGAGATTCTGACTCACAAAAAGTGCGAGAGACTACAAATGCTAAATGTGTTTTAAAGCACCAAAATACATTTATTGTGTGGCAGTACATAACCAATACCTTGGTGAAGCTGGATTAGACAAAGGAGAGCCTGTTTAGGGCACTCTGAACTGACAAGTGATACTCCTGGTCCCAGGCAAAGAAGCTAGAGAAGGGCTGTGACTCTCTTGACCTTCCCTATGAGTGAAAAAGGCATGGGAGAGCATCCTGTGTACTGGGGGAGCAGGAGAGGGTGAGGGGAAATATCTGTGTGTCCATGAAGCAATGCTGCCCTGATTATTATATCTAAATGGATGATTGGCTCTCTCCTGTCTCAATTTGGGTAAGTCACTTCTCCTACCATGGAGAGGAGTGACTGTAAGAAGTGTTTACTTCTGAAGTTCTGAACTCCTATAGAAATATCAAAATGAGATGTGTTCACCAACTGTGAAAACAGATCATTAAAAAAACTAGAAAAGATAAATCAAACAATTATTTTTAACTCTAATGTAACAACCATTTTTAAAAATAGTAAGGTCAATTTGTGTGTGTTTGATATTCCTAGCACACATTGACCTACTCCCCAGTTATAACTTTTCCCTCTCTTGCCTGACCTACTTCATCTTAAACATCACTATGGTTATGAAAATAAGGAACCTGATTAACATCAGTGGTGGTCACTGGACCACTGAGAACACATGCAGTGGTTTCAAAAGAAGAAATTGGGGACAGAACTAATAATACTGAAATACTGAAAGGTGGAATCTGGTTCTGAGTAATGAGGATGTGGTTTCTGAAATCATCTGATCTGCTCTACCAGAGCTGATACAACTTTTCTTTATGGAAAAAATAAGAATGAAAGTACCCGGTGGTTCTTTTTAATCTGGTGCTATTTTAAAATTGTATGACAGCGTTAATACTTGCTCTTTCCTTTCAATTGACTTCCTTGGGGATTTAATCTGTAGGTTTCCTCTTTCTTTTACTCAAAAGGAAGAACATTTTTTTTGTAGTGTCTATGCCACTAAATTGTCCATGTTTTTCACTACTTTTTCACAGCAGAATGATATTTTGTCCTGGTTTTTAAGTTTTATGTTTTTAATTTAAGGCTTATATACTTAGACATTGTCATTTCATATAAAAACATACTGACACTTTCAAAACTCATAATTAAATTGGATGAATAGCCAATTTATAAAATTGCTAAGGTTGTACAATTTACCTTTTCCTACATCTATTTAATTGAGCAATCTTCCATTAAAAGTTTAGCGGTGAAGTATTTTTCAAACCCCCACCATTTTTTTCCTCTATAAACAAAATAAATATGTTTATTTTTAGACAATCTTATATTAAATCAAAGGGGTATATCAAACCCTCTAGTGGAAAAGGGTGCCAAGAGAGATGTCTGCCACTGATCTTGTCTTGGGATAAATGTGTTCTCTTTCATTTAACCTACTCCAAGCCTGTCTCTGAGTCGAAACTTGTGTTGGCCACTTCAAATGACAAAGATACAACTTGTCTACTGAAAGGTGCTCTAAAAGATTACTGAAAAATCATAAGAAATTTCAGCTGCCTATGAATGTTTCTGGTAGATTGAAGAGATTGACCTTGAGACCAACCTTAAGCAATCTTGGTATTTGTCTCTCATATATTTCCCTGATGGGTATGAGTATCACTTGCATTAAAAATGATGGATGTTGGCAATTTCATATTAATTGGCACAGGAAAAAAATCTTAACACCTTCTGATGGGCTCTGACCAGAGAGAGAAAGAGAGGGAGACTCTATTGCCGCTAAATATGTTTCCTGGCAATTTTTGTGTAAACAAGTTTGAATTGGGGCCTTGGAATAGCTGAGAAAAACGTGTCATTGGCAATTGTCCTAGAATTACAAACAGTGCAAGAAAATGATGAAGTCACCTATTCAAGTAATCTCCAGGCTCAAAAAGAGAAAATAGGACATTTATTCTGTCTCACACTTTTCTTGGATCTGCTGGAGAGGAACTGAATCTCAGCAAGTTCTAAAAACAACTAGATTTGTGCTTATTCTTACTTATTCCTAGTAGAATTTCTCTCATCACAGACAGAATCATTTATCACTTTATAATGTGCATTTCCCCCTTACAGTCTCCATGTTTTAAATTAATTAAATGAACTTTAAAATATTTTAAGAACTCAGTACTGAGTACTTCTTCAGCGTGTTTTCAAAATGGGACTCTTTGGCATACTTTAAAGCCCTGTTAGTTGAGTGTGTGAGTGTGTGTGTGTGTGTGTGAGAGAGAGACAGCATGCATGCATGTATGTGTGTTAACCTACTGAGCCTTCTTTTTAGTATGTATTGAAAGTAACTTGGCAGAGGTAATTTTTTCTGAAAAATGTCTGGGTATATTATGGTTAGTCAGTTGTAGTATATCCTGCAGACCTAATAAGGACAAGTTATTGTTTGTTCATTCAAGCAGAATATTTACTATTTCACTTCTGTTCCAATATATTAATTTTATTCTTCTCTTAAGCTCATACCACACTCTATATTTTCCTTTGAGAGAGCCGTGGCAGATAGTAGTCTAAGCCCGAGACTGGAGTGTGGGGTGAGTGTGCATGGGGTGGAGGGTCGTGATGATTGTGTAAATAGGTCAAAGACACTATAGGCTAGATGTGAGTTAAATAATGAGTCAACCATTGTAAATTAAAATGACAAAAGGATGGCTTTATTTTCATATTACACTTTCTGCATGCACTAACAGAAAATGAATTTACTCTGTAAAAATATTACTAAGTGCAGGCCCAAAAGATTATTAACCAAAAGTATGGGTATTGATTGTATAGCTCAAGATTATTATGAAGCTGCAAAAAGTAGTTCTGATAGAGCATTTTTCAAAAAAATTTAATTGAGACAGATATAGTTCGCATTTAATAATCAAAAAGTCTCTATTTGCAAAGAAATAATGTTCATCATTGTAGTGAGTTAATCTGATTGGAAAATTCTTGGTCTCATTTGTGACACTGGATGTACCTCTTTTGGCCCTGTGTTTTTACTCCTTTTGCTACCATGCAGATTTGTGATGAAAAAGAATCCCCACATATCTCAGTTGTGCAGGTTTGGCCACAATAGTAATAGATCAGACTCAAGTGAAAAAAGAAGAGCCGTGAATTTTCTTCATACACTGTGGACTGACAAATAAATAGGTGCTTTTAGTTTTCTTAATGATAAAATCAGATCAACTGTTAGGGAAATTCAGTCAGTTGCTAGGTAGGCAAATGACAAAAACACACCCAGTTAAACAAAAATATTGATTCAAGGATTTTGTATCAAATAATAGAACTTCAAAAATGCCTGAATTAGCCAAAGCAGAATGGAATATTTGCAAACTGCAAGTACATAGCATTTCGAACACAAGGAAAATGATTATTTATAAAGACTTCCATGTTACTCTCAAAAATTTATATTCTAAACCAATAGAAAAGGGCAAAAGCACTGTTATTCTAATATCTTCTTTTCATTTTCTTGAAAATTTTATTTTGGGAAACTCCCTATCTGAGTTTTTAAGTATATAATGACCAAGAGATTGCATTATTCCCATTAGTTAAACAGTTAATTTAAAGAAATAATCGAAGAGATATGAGTTAGAAAAAAAGATGACTTGAATTCAGATGTGGGCAATTTTAATCAAGACGCGCTATATTCAGTAAACTCCATAAGATCAGTGAAGGGAAAAATGTATTAAGGTTAATCAGTTTTGAACAAATGTAACTAGTAGATAATGTGCCCTGTTTTTTTTTCACTATGACAGGTGTAATAAGCACAATCACTGTTCATCTATATTTCACTGGGCATAAATGCAAATTTCACATTTTCACAGAAGAGGGAATTTTATTACATTATATTGATTTAGAAATAATTCATTAACCTCTACTCCTTCTTTTTCTTTACATATCAATCTGTCTCTATTCAGGGCTTTATCTTCATTTTTCAAGTGGTTACTGTGAAGTGTCTTATATTGCAGGCTATTAAAAAACCGTCTTTTATATATTCAGGTTTGTCATTCTTCGCACAAAACTGGTACTTCTTTTCTGCACATTTTTGGATATTGTTTTGGTGTTCAGGAATGCTCGTTATGTTTTCTTGAAGTCAATTGAAGACAATTACATAGTCTCATATAGTGCAAAATACTTGTCGCATCCTTCATGGACCTTTACCAGTTTTTGGAAATGAAATATATTTATATGCTGATTTTTTCTTCTCCCTCCAAAATCAAGTCTATATAATGTAGATGGATCTAATGGGTCTGAGTCTTTTATATTCGATCAGTGAGTTTCAATGAGAGAGGAGAGGGATGTTATGATCCCCTCGCCCAACCTGGGACATTGGACAATAATATCTGGAGACAATTTTTATTGTCATGAGTGGAGGGTTTCTTGCTACTGACTTCTAGGAATAGAGGCCAGAGGTGAGGCTTAATAGTTTACCATGCATAGAATGACCCCTGACAATGAAGAGTTATCTGGTTCAAAATGTTAACGGTGTATGAAGTTGGGAAAACCCGGATTAGATGGTTTGCATTGAAGTCTAGAGTTCATTACTCTTTAGCAGTGTGAAATCAGATACAGCTTAACTTCCTTGTGACTTTCTTTCCCTTTCCCATAAAAGTTGAAAATTGAAACCCCAAATAAATAATCAGTGATGCACAAAAATGTTTATGCACAAGGATGCTTACAAAATTTTACTTATAATAGTAAAAGGTAGAAAACAAGCTAGATATCTAATGATGCAAGATTTTATAGAGTTAAATTATTGTTAATTCATAATTAAAATAATATGTAGCATAAAAACATATTTTAGGTGAATGTTGAAATAATGTAGAAAGTGTTCAGTGCAAAACGTGAATAAAATTATCATAACATGTGAAGTATACATAGTGATCTAATATCAGGAAAACATATGTGTTGTTTATTTATTCTCACAGAAAAAAACTGAAAACAAAATTTGGTTGCCTCTGGGTAGTGGCACTATGGTCAATTCTGCAATTAATATATACTTTTAAATTATAAAAATAGAAGTGACATTTTAAAAAGCATAGACAACAAAACTCGCTCTGAGACTCAAGGCGATTGGATGTGGTTGAGAGCACAAACCCTGGGACCTAACAGGTGTGAGTTTACATTTTTATCTTGCTACTTACTTGCTGTGTGACTTTGGGCCTCAGTTTTTTCACTTGTAAAAGTAATGGTCCCTTAAAGTGGCTGTTTTGATGCTTAAATGGTACTGTATATAAATCATCTGGTCAAATTTAGCTCTTGTCACCCTTCTTTAAATGAGATAATTTAAGGCATTATTCTGTGGATTCTTGAAGGTGTTTTCTTATTTATTTATTTATTTAATTAATTAATTAATTTATTTATTTATTGTGACAGGGTCTTGCTCTGCCACCCAGGCTGGAGTGCAGTGGTACAATCATGACTCACTGCAGCCTCGACTTCCCAGGCTCTAGTGATACTCCCACCTCAGCCTCCTGGATAGCTGACTATAGGTGTACACCACCATGCCCAGCTAGTTTTTTGTATTTTTTTTGTAGAGACTGGCTTTTGGCATGTTGCCCAGGCTGGTTTTGAACTTCTGGGCTCAAGCGATCCACCCACCTCATCCTCCCAAAGTGCTGGGATTTCAGGCATGAGCCAGCCCGCTGGCCTGTTTTCCTTTTTATTTACCCCCTATAGTGACCAATCCAGATCTTGGATTTTAGTACTGAGAAATGTACTTGCTGATTGATCTGTGGCTGCATTAGAGAACTTGGTTTGATGCCATATTCCCATCCCCACCACTACCCCAGCTTCCAGTTTCAATTCAATTTAATGTGATTCGATTCATAACTATTAACAGAGCACTTATGTGTTTCTCTAATAAATACAAATATGAATAAGACAGGATCCCTCTTTACCACAGTCTCAGGGCCTGGCAGGTAAGGCAGATAGAGATGAGAACATTTTGTAAAATTGGGGGCAGTACTAGGTACAGTTTTTAAGAATGGGAGAAACTAGTGGTGGGAAAGGAGACTATTCCAGGTGTTCCCTTCATGTTGCACTGACACCTTGAAAGTGAAGAGTTGAGGCATCTTCAGGAACTGCAAAAGATCTGATGTGGATGGCTTGTTGTGGACAGTAAAATAAGAATGAGAATTAGACTGTAGAAGAAGTCTTGGAGCAGATTAGAATGGTCCTTGACTACTGAGCTAAGGAAACCAGGTTTTATTCTGTGTGCAGTGGGGGAATCACTGAAAAAGTTCTTAATGGGGAAGTGGCATAAAAATAAACTCTGATTAGTGACTGGAAAGGTCATGTAGCTAAATTTAAAACCTGTTTTATCTTACGTAAAATAGGCTAACTTACAACTACGCTCAACTCCTCCAGGCAAACCACATATTTATTGATTATTTTTGTAATTAATTAGAATTAAAGAATTTTGGACAAAATTAATGGGAGCAAGGACAGTATCTTATGCCCTGGTCATGATATTGGTTGAAGATATAATGATGGTGATTGATTCCTGAATAAAATTATTATTTCTATCTCTAAAATGATCAGATAGAATTCATCTGAGAAATTCATTTATTATACAGTTGAGAAATAAATTAATATCAATGCTTAAATTATTAATTCTAATTCCAAATTTCCAAAAGGAAGAAGTATGATTTGGATACATACTTTTGAGTATATATGTCATGTGTGTGGCCGATCTGTAAGATTTACTTTTTAGGAGATGACACCCTTGATTTATAACATTGTTAGTAAATTCATTTTCAGAGAGAAGAAAATCTTGCTTCAATGGCAAGAAAAATTAGTTCTTAGCAATTCTAACTTCAGTGCTTATGTTATTAATTTTAGAGAATGGCCAAGGGAAGCAAATAAAAAGAATTTGCTTATCTGAGAAAAAATATACTAGACCAGAGAATCTGTCCACTTTCTTTTTAGATGATTCTGTGGAATATGTTGGCCCATTACCAAAATACATATTTTAAGAATTATCCTTCTTTCTAAGCAGTGTTTTGCAGTCCATTTCCAAGTCTAAGGTGATTTAAATTACATGATTTCTCTGTGCATTTCAAATAAGGTTTTTAATATTTTAGTTTTAAGTAATAAAATGCCATTCAAGTGTGTAATTTATTACTAAACCCATTAATATTTATAGCCCTAAAATGATTTTCCTGAATGGTGGGAAAAAAACCTCTCGATGTCATTTCTTGCCCAGGAAAAAAAAAGCAACAACAATGACAAATCCTGTGACAGAAATATATTAAATATAAACTTTTTTTAGATAAAGAACATAAACTTTTTCATGAAGTCATTTTCTATAGAATTCTGCACTCTGAAATTCTAAGTTAAGTTTAATTCATAGATTAAGTGTTTGGGGATATTTATGTGATTGTGCAGCATTCTCTGTAAACTCTGATTTTGGAAACTTTCTTTTGAAATAAACAATTCAACTGAATGAATGTTCCATGTTATGTATTTAAGAAAGAGATTATGATGTCTAGTGGCATCAGTCATTAATTTCATTTAATAAATATTTATCCACACATTAATATGCACCAGGCGCTGTTTGAGGCCTGAAAGTACAGCAATGGTACAATAAATTTCCAACATCTATAGTTTTATGGAGCTTACATTTCAGTGGAAATTGGGGACTATTTTGTTTTAATTTGTATTAATAAATGAAAAGCATGACTCATATTTTATGCATTTAATTTTTTCTCAAATGTTGTAAACTTTTGACATATTTCTACTGTGTGTCCAGGGCTGTATTGCACCACGAAGACGCTGAAAAGACGAATACCAGAGTCAATGACTTTGAAGAGTTGATGATCTGATCATTTCTTTATTTTTGTCTCCCTTCTGAGGACTCTATCTCTCACTTGACTTACCATGATAGGCCATGTGGTCCTATCTCTTCTTTCAGTTATTAACTCTCACAAGCCAGGATGAAATTAGAATGAAAACCACTGTTAAGTCATCTCCCCAAAGACCCACTTTTACCATGTCATTCTCTGCTTGAGAAGCTTTAATGTTCAATTATTTTCTATGAGATCAAGGCTGAATTCTAAACTCTGGTGTCACTCAGTATTAATCAGGGGAGCAGAACCATTGCATTTATTACAAGTAAGGAATTCATTTTAGGAATAAGACCTAAACAACTGGGCAAGAGAACTGGGGCAGTGAAGGTCTGAAAGATGAGTTGGAGCATGACAGAAGTCAGGTGGTGAGTCTGATGTCTCTGTTGGTTAGCCCAGCTGACAGGTGGGCTTTTTTAATGCTGTCTGATATACCTGGAATACTTATCTGCCTTCCCTTTGCCAATCTGCACACCTGCTCCCCAATTTAGATTATCCATTAAACCCCAGATTACAATGGCTGTGGCTTTGTTTAAAATTGTGATAACATTTGTGAATATAATATGTATTTGAAATTTTTGTTTCTACTATGAAATGGCTGCCAAATTTTGAGAAAGAGATGACTAACAATGTGGAAAAACAGATTTGCCTAGAGAAAAAGTTCATTGACCTTGGTTAAGAATGGTTTCAAACAAATGTTGAGAGGTAGAGTTTCACAGATTCATAGAGGATTAGGTGATCTAAAAATGGGAGAAGAAAAAGTAAGCTGGGTAAAGGTATAAGATTTTTAAATATGATGGGACTAGACAGATAGATGAGGAATAAATGGAAGGGAGATTCATCATGTTGCAATAAGAAGGAACAGGGGTCAGGCCTGGTGGCTCACACCTGTAATCCCAGCACTTTGGGAGGCCAAGGTGGGTGGATCATCTGAGATTAGGAGTTCAAGACCAGCCTGACCAACATGGAGAAACCCTGTCTCTACTAAAAATACAAAAAATTAGCCGAGTGTGGTGGTGCATGCCTGTAATCCCAGCTACTCAGGAGGCTGAGGCAGGAGAATTGCTTGAACCCAGGAGGCGGAGGTTGCAGTGAGCCGAGATCGAGCCGTTGCACTCCATCCAACCTGAGCAACAAGAGCGAAGCTTTGTCTCAAAAAAAAAAAAAAAAAAAAAAAAAAGGAACAGGGTTGAAAGCCAGATTTACCAGAAAGCCAAGGGAGTTGTGAGAAAAATAACAAGTTGAACATTTCTTTCAGTTCTCAATATGACCTCATATTGATATCTGTGAAAACAAACAAAGATAAGAAAGTGGCAGATGTTGTTATATTGCTTGACTGGGCCAGAACATGCTCTTCACGCTTTCCATATGTTAACTAGTAATCCTCCCCATCTCTGGAGAGGTAAGTACTCTTATTATCTCCACTTTACAAATAAGGAAATGTGGTACGAGCAGATTATTATTATTATTATTATTTGCTCACACTATCATAGCTATCAAAATATGAAGGTAGAATTTGAAGCCATTCAATTGGACTTCAGAATACATAGTTTTTACCATTGCACTATTCTCTATTTAGTAGAAAGTTAATTTGTGAAGTTAATAAAAGCAACTTATTTCCCTCCTGAATATCCAAGATACACCAAGACCAGAGAGTATTAAAAATTCTAAACATTCAACAGTGTCTCCCCATCAACTTGGAAACCAGGGGTGTTTCCTCTACCTTCCTACACTTACATTCTTAATTTTTGTTGTGCCCTTTTACCTGTCAATTTATCAAACTGGAGCAGCAAAGTATGGTCCGTAGACCAGCAGCATCAGTACAACTTGGGAGCTCGCTAGAAATGCAGTCTCCTACTGAATCAGAATTTGTCTTTACCAGGGGGTGATTCATATGCACATGAAAGGTTGAGAAAACTGCTTTAGATTGTCTTTTAGAAAAAAAGGTATTCACAAATGAGGGCCAGTACATCTTCACGACAAAATTTACTGCCCATTCCCACCTCCTACCCAATTCACACCAAACTTCACATAATATCACCTGGGAGTTTAGAAATAAATACAAATTCTTGGGTCCCTTTCTAGATGTACTGAATCAAAACTTTTCAGGAAAGAAAGCTAAAGTCTTTAAAAGTATCTTGAGTTTTTCTGAAGTGGGGTTAGATTTGGACACTTGGGTTGAGATTGTAACACCTCTTTACCTCTGTCTAGAGTGCAGAAGAAATGCATGATGAATCCAATTCATTTATCAAGGCTCAGAACAAAGATGGCCTTCTCTCTCAGGCTTTGCCTATGTCTTCAGTTAAAATCATTTTATTTCTCATCATGTGAAACATCCTTTGCTATTGTACCTATTACACTGTGCTTATTTGTTTACATTCCTATCTTGCATCCTGGCTAGATTTCTTAATAGGAATTCCATAAATTTTTATTGGATCAATGAATATATAACAAATGACATGCGTTATGAGCATATAGTACCATTTAGTAATAATGGTACTTTCTTACTATTGACCATGGCTGCTTGCTTTACCATCTACTATTTATTAGTGATAGAGTTTTTCATTCTTGCAGTTCCTTGCAGATGAATTATTTCATAGCATCATGTTAGGTTATCATTTTTATGACTAATATTTGTTTTAAATATTTGTTCTTATGTATAGGTGAAAAAGGTAAAAATACCAAATTATCCACTTAAATATATTTTATACATGGTTCATACATAATTTCATGTTAAGAAACTAACCAATGCATTTAGCTTTAGTTTGTTCTTAATTACAAAAAAAAAGGTATATAAGTTGAACTAATTCTCAAAGATCTGTTTGTTCTCTTTCTTAGAGCTTTCAGAATGCTCTTATTGTTTAAAAAATTAAAAAAAAACATGTTTTGGAAATTTTCTAAAGGAGAATTTCTTTAGAATCAGCAATGAGTAAGACTATACTTTGACTCCCATTTCTTTTCTTTCTTCTTAAAAAAAAAAAAGCATGGCCTTTACATAGATTTAAGGGCATCAGAAACTTCAGAGTGACTCATAGTAGCTACGTTTTCAACTTCCACTTCAAATTTCTGAATTTAGAATTTCCCTGTGGAAACCAGAAATTGAGTTTCTCCTGATTATTTAATTTATAATTGCTCCAGCTATTTAGCATGACAAAGTTAGCTGAAGCAATTTGGAAATTAGGCCGTGTGGTCACAAAATGACACCAACAAAAATGAATGAAAATCTCCTTTGCTATGTAATGTACAACTTCCTATTCTTAGAAAGGTGCTTCGCTACAGTTGGAATCAGATTAAATATTCACTACCTTGTTTAGATTCTTCTATTTATCCTAGGGTTTACTTAATTAACTCCACTGTTCCAATTGTAAAACACAATTGTCAATTTTAGGCAATATGATCAAAGGTGTAATTGTAGGGGAAATATGTAAGCTTTATATATCCCCTTTAAAGATAATCAGAGTAAATGTTTCCTTTTCCTTAGGAACAAATATACCTATTGACTGGGCCCAAGATGGGAGACCTTGCTTGAGGCAAACCTTCCTAACCATTAAACAAAACAAAGTTTATGACCCCAAACAGCTGTTACTAAGTGGAGGAGGAGGTTTTGTATAAGGATGACACTGAAAAATAAAACTAAAAATAGAATTTATTAATAAAATGTATAAAATTGTATTTTACATACATAGATAAAACTACACATTTACCTTACTTCAGTAGACGGTCACATTCAGAAGTTCAGAAGACAAAAAAATGTGAAGAATTTAGAGAAGTTCCAGATATAAAAATGATTTATAGTATTAAAAATAGAATCAATGAAATAAATACATAATGACCAGAAAACATTTTAGAGAAGAGAAGCACAGCTCCATTTATGTGTCGTCAAATCAATAGGCTTAAAAGATGTAAAACCCACCACACTTGATGAATAGCTTATAAATAAGTTTCCTCTTAGTGAACTAATCAGCAGTTTGAATCAACCAAATTTAGCATCACCTGAAGGAGAGGGCTAATTTTTAGCTAGAAACTTACAGGTTATATACAAGAAGAAAACGTGGCACTTGGAATAATCTTTTTTATTAATTGCTAAACATCTTCATTTCTAAGTCCTCATAGCAGCTATTTCAAAATTACCTTTAAAATGCTCCAGTTTGCTCTTCCTAGGTGATATCATTTAGTCCCACACTTTCAAATACCACCCATATGTATGCCGATGGCTCAAGTCTATTTCTGAACAAGATTTCTTACCTGAGCTTGAGTTTCCTGTACTCAACAGCACTTTGGACAATTGTAATTATTTGCCTCACGCTCACTGCATTCTCAACAAGGACGATGCAGAAATAGCACTTCTCCCAAATATGCTTTCCCTCGTCCTTAATGTGAATAACACAGTTCTTCCAGTTATTTAACTAGGAGTTCTCAGCATCATCCCCAATTCCTCCTTCTCTGTTAATCGATAACCCAGTCAAAGAGATTTTACCCCTCCCTACTATATTGGTTCCATCTCTTCCTTTCATGCTCTGAGTGAATCTGAGGAGCTCCTGGGGCAGATATTTGTCCTATCTCATCTCATCCTGGCTGTTACAATGGTCTTCGAAGCACCCTCATGTATAATTGTTTTTTCTTCCCTTCAATCTATTTTCCACATCGCCAACAATAAGTTTGTTTCAAAGACAGTCATTTGATTTCTCTTCTTAAAATTCCTTTCTCTGGGCAGCAGGATAAAATCTATCCTCCATGGAATGTCATTCCAAGCCATTTTGGATCTGATGTCTCCTGTAACTCTTACCTCAGTTCTTCGGATTCTCTTCTCATCTTTTAAACTCTTCTAGTACTAACCTTTCAGTTCCTTGAACATTCTGTACTCCCCCATGCCTTTGTGCCATTTTTCCTTCTATATTTTTGCCTAGAATGACCTCTACGTCCTCTCCATTTGGCCTTTTCAATTCACCATTGAAGACCTAGCTTAGCACAGCTTCTGCTATGAAAGCCTCCATGACCTCCCCAAGGAGGACAGACTCCTCAAGTGTCAAGGTGGTAGATGACAGTTTTCATTATTTAAAATTTACATTTCTTTAATAAATGCTAAGTTTAAATACTTTTATTCACTGTTGATTTCTCTGTAAGCTTAAAAAAGATGATTTTTTTTTTCTGTGTTCCTAGAAAATTATAAACTTCTGGAGATGAGTAACTGTGATCACTTCATCTCAGGCTGGAGTAACAGAGGCTTGATTTAGTGACAACTGATGGACAATGAGAGTTTCCAAACAAGAAGAAAAAATAAATAACTGGAAATCTTATTAGTATTAATGTATTAGCATTAGTATTAATGATGCAAGTATTAATTAATCCCACAAATACATTAAAATACTTACTACATATTTATCGTTATAATATGCATAACTCATTAAATCAATTATTTTATTTCTGTTTACCACTAAAGATTTTATTTCAGAAAATTTTTTTGCTGTTGTTTGCTTTATAGCACTCTCCCAAAGTGGTGCTATTTAAGCTTCTAGTAGATAGCTAATATCTATTCATTAAGCAGATCAGTCCCTTATAGTCCAGAATGTGTTTATCAAGATGACAGGAGCATTTCTGCGGAAAAGAAAACCATTTTCACATTTTTACTTGGAACCATATCACATATTGCTTGAGCCTTTGCTCCTATATTTTGTTATCAGACAACAGTCTCCAAAGATGGGCATTCCCACCTTTACATTTCTTTCTAGATGCCTTTATGAATTTATTAATGATTAATCAAACCATTTGTATGCATACACCACACCTTTTGCAATCACTTAGTTTGGAAATAACTTAGACTATCTCTTATAAATAAAACATGCAAAACAGACAAAATCAGTGCTTAACTTTTTTTTTTTTAATTTTACTTTACGTTCTAGGGTACATGTGCACAACGTGCAGGTTTGTTACATAGGTATACATGTGCCCTGTTGGTTTGCTGCACCCATCAACTCATCATTTACATTAGGTATTTCTCCTAATGCTATCCCTCCCCCAAACCCCCACCCTCCGACAGGCCCCAGTGTGTGATATTTCTCGCCCTGTGTCCATGTGTTCTCATTGTTCAATTCCCACCTATGAGTGAGAACATGTGATGTTTGGTTTTCTGCCCTTGTGATAGTTTGCTGAGAATGATGGTTTCCAGCTTCAACCGTGTCCCTGCAAAGGACATGAACTCATCCTTTTTTATGGCTGCATAGTGTTCCATGGTGTATATGTGCCTCATTTTCTTTTTTTTTAAATTATTATTATACTTTAAGTTTTAGGATACATGTGCACAATGTGCAGGTTAGTTACATATGTATACATGTGCCATGCTGGTGTGCTGCACCCTTTAACTCGTCATTTAGCATTAGGTATATCTCCTCATGCTATCCCTCCCCCCTCCCCCCACCCCACAACTGTCCCCAGAGTGTGATGTTCCCCTTCCTGTGTCCATGTGTTCTCATTGTTCAATTCCCACCTATGAGTGAGAATATGCGGTGTTTGGTTTTTTGTTCTTGTGATAGTTTACTGAGAATGATGATTTCCAATTTCATCCATGTCCCTACAAAGGACATGAACTCATCATTTTTTATGGCTGCATAGTATTCCATGGTGTATATGTGCCACATTTTCTTAATCCAGTCTATCATTGATGGGCATTTGGGTTGGTTCCAAGTCTTTGCTATTGTGAATACTGCCCCAATTAACATACATGTGCATGTATCCTTATAATAGCATGATTTTTAATCCTTTGGATATATACCCAGTAATGGGATTGCTGGGTCAAATGGTATTTCTAGTTTTAGATCCTTGAGGAATCACCGCACAACCAGTGTTTAACTTTTTAACTAGAGGCAAACTCATTGGCTGTGAAGCTAACAAGTATTCATAAAGTGTATTAGTTTCTCATTGCTGCTGTAACAAAAGTCACTAATTTAGGGGCTTAAAGCAACATAAATTTATTGTCTTGCAGTTCTGGAGATTAGAAGTCTGAAATCAGTCTCATAGGATGAAAGTAAAGATTCTGGTAGAGCTAGTTCTTTCTGGAAACTCTAGGGGAGAATGTGTTTCCTATCCTTTTCCAGCTTCTAGGGTCCACCTACATGTCTTGGCTCATGGCCACTTCCTCCTCCTTTAAATCCAACAGCGTAACATCTGCATGTGTCTCTGTTTCCATTGTCATATCTCTGTCTGACAATGACCTCTGTCACCTTCATTTAAGGAAACTTGTGGTTACATAGGGCTTATCAGGTAATCCAGGATAATTGCCCATCTCATGATCCTTGATTTAATCATATCTGTAAATTCTCTTTTGCCATTTAAGGTGACATAGTCACAGGTATTAGAAATCAAATATAGACTTTAATGGGAAATATTTTTCAGCCTACCTAAATAAGTATTTTGTAATCATGCCTTTGTAGTGACAAAATGCTAAAAATGCTTATCATCTAGGAAACCTAAATACTATAAAACAAAATATTAAAGCCTACTTATGAAATAGATGAAAAGAGTAATCATTGTTATTCCCATTTGATATCTGAGAAACAAATATAGAACTGTTATGAATTGCAAACCAGAGAGAGTCAGAAATAACAAAAGGGGTGTTTGGGGATGAGGTTCACAAAGTGAAGAAGGGAAATCCAAGCTGGAGGCTGAGAACTGGAGGAAGATCATACAGTACCGTGGCTGTCATGAGAGTGTGGCAATAAATAATTCTGCATTTAGCTTGGCTTAACAGATGGACTGTTGCCTGCCTAAGATTGACACTAATTGATACTATGAAATATATACCTGAAAGTAAAATACAGCTGTGTAGCTAGTTGGAAAAACGAAGAAATCCCCATGAAACCTTCAAGTACAAGGTTGGCCCATCATGCTGGGAACCAAGATAGTTCCCATGTTTGACCTACAAGAATTACAGACTTTTGCTAACTCTAGAATCTTTTTATTTTTTATTTATTTTATTTTATTATCATTATACTTTAAGTTTTAGGGTACATGTGCACAACGTGCAGGTTTGTTACACATGTATACATGTGCCATGTTGGTGTGCTGCACCCATTAACTCGTCATTTAGCATTAGGTATATCTCCTAATGCTATCCCTCCCCTCTCCCCCCACCCCACAACAGTCCCCAGAGTGTGATGTTCCCCTTCCTGTGTCCATGTGTTCTCATTATTCAATTCCCACCTATGAGTGAGAACATGCACTGTTTGGTTTTTTGTCCTTGTGATAGTTTGCTGAGAATGATGGTTTCCAGTTTCATCCATGTCCCTACAAAGGACATGAACTCTTCATTTTTTATGACTGCATAGTATTCCATGGTGTATATGTGCCACATGTTCTTAATCCAGTCTATCATTGTTGGACATTTGGGTTGGTTCCAAGTCTTTGTTATTGTGAATAGTGCTGCAATAAACATACATTTGCATGTGTCTTTATAGCAGCATGATTTATAATCCTTTGGGTATATACCCAGTAATGGGATGGCTGGGTCAAATGGTATTTCTAGTTCTAGATCCCTGAGGAATTGCCACACCGACTTCCACAATGGTTGAACTAGTTTACAGTCCCACCAACAGTGTAAAAGTGTTCCTATTTCTCCACATCCTCTCCAGCACCTGTTGTTTCCTGACTTTTTAATGATCGCCATTCTAACTGGTGTGAGATGATATCTCATTGTGGTTTTGGTTTGCATTTCTCTGATGGCCAGTGATGATGAGCATTTTTTTATGTGTTTTTTGGCTGCATAAATGTCTTCTTTTGAGAAGTGTCTGTTCATATCCTTCGCCCACTTTTTGATGGGGTTGTTTGTTTTTTTCTTGTAAATTTGTTTGAGTTCATTGTAGATTCTGGATATTAGCCCTTTGTCAGATGAGTAGGTTGTGAAAATTTTCTCCCATTTTGTAGGTTGCCTGTTCACTGTGATAGTAGTTTCTTTTGCTGTGCAGAAGCTCTTTAGTTTAATTAGATCCCATTTGTCAATTTTGGCTTTTGTTGCCATTGCTTTTGGTGTTTTAGACATGAAGTCCTTGCCCATGCCTATGTCCTGAATGGTATTGCCTAGGAAGTCTGGGAGAGACACAACCAAAAAAGAGAATTTTAGACCAATATCCTTGATGAACATTGATGCAAAAATCCTCAATAAAATACTGGCAAACTGAATCCAGCAGCACATCAAAAAGCTTATCCATCATGATCAAGTGGGCTTCATCCCTGGGATGCAAGTCTGGTTCAATATATGCAAATCTATAAATGTAATCCAGCATATAAACAGAACCAAAGATAAAAACCACATGATTATCTCAATAGATGCAGAAAAGGCCTTTGACAAAATTCAACAACGCTTCATGCTAAAAACTCTCAATAAATTAGGTATTGATGGGACGTATCTCAAAATAAAAAGAGCTATCTATGACAAACCCACAGCCAATATCGTACTGAATGGACAAAAACTGTAAGCATTCCCTTTGAAAACTGGCACAAGACAGGGATGCCCTCTCTCACCACTCCTATTCAACATAGTGTTGGAAGTTCTGGCCAGGGCAATTAGTCAGGAGAAGGAAATAAAGGGCATTCAATTAGGAAAAAAGTAAGTCAAATTGTCCCTGTTTGCAGATGACATGATTGTATGTCTAGAAAACCCCATTGTCTCAGCCCAAAATCTCCTTAAGCTGATAAGCAACTTCAGCAAAGTCTCAGGATACAAAATCAATGTACAAAAACCACAAGCATTCTAATACACCAATAACAGACAGAGAGCCAAATTATGAGTGAACTCCCATTCACAATTGCTTCAAAGAGAATAAAATACCTAGGGATCCAACTTACAAGGGATGTGAAGGACCTCTTCAAGGAGAAATACAAACCACTGCTCAATGAAATAAAAGAGGATACAAAGAAATGGAAGAACATTCCATGCTCATGGGTAGGAAGAATCAATATCATGAAAATGGCCATACTGCCCAAGGTAATTTATAGATTCAATGCCATCCTCATCAAGCTACCAATGACTTTCTTCACAGAATTGGAAAAAACTACTTTAAAGTTTATATGGAACCAAAAAAGAGCCCGCATCGCCAAGTCAATCCTAAGGTTTTCCCAAAAGAACAAAGCCAGAGGCATCACGCTGCCTGACATCAAACTATACTACAAGGCTACAGTAACCAAAACAGCATGGTACTGGTACCAAAAGAGAGATATAGATCAATGGAACAGAATACAGCCCTCAGAAATAATGCCGCATATCTACAACCATCTGATCTTTGACAAACCTGACAAAAACAAGCAATGGGGAAAGGATTCCCTACTTAATAAATGGTGCTGGGAAAACTGGCTAGCCATATGTAGAAAGCTGAAACTTGATCCCTTCCTTACACCTTATACAAAAATTAATTCAAGATGGATTAAAGACTTACATGTTAGACCTAAAACCATAAAACTCTAGAATCTTTAATTATATTTCTGTGGCCTTTCACAGAGACTGTGCTTAACCAACATGTGTTCAATCTGGCAAAGTTGCTCCTGAGCTTTAAAAAATGGAAAGTATATGCTTATGGATCATGGCTACTTCACCATTTCTTGTATTGGTAATCTAGTATTAGTTGGCAGAAGGAGATGAACAACATAGGAAAATATTAATGTTTATAGCATAATTAATCACAGAACATGCCAACAAGAACATATTCATCTTAAACTGGCAATAATATGAGTGTAAGAGGCTATTTGCATAGGAAAGCGAACACTGCCTGTTCTACTCAACATGTCATCCAACACTTGCTTGATTTTCTTATTATAAACTCCAAAGGGACAAAGTTTAAAAGGAATGTAAAATTATTCAATTCATAATCCAGTAAAAAAGTACAGATTCAAAGACTCTTCCAGTGTAACGTTCTAAATTTCAACAACTAGTGTCAGTTGTTTTTAAGTACAACATTTTGTAAATGCTTTCAAATGCAGGTGTTTTAGACGATTTTGCATCTCATCGTAAAGATCATTTTAGGTTTAGTAATTCCTGGTAAAGTACTGCTCTTTATTTTTTAAACGCATAAAGCATATTTAACATTATATAATAAAATTATAGCATTGTATGGTAATAAAATGGATTCCCACAAATGCGTTTTAGTAATAAATCCTAGGGGCATAGATTTTTAAAATAAATATAAAATGTAAACTGAATTTTAACTAAACAGAATAAAATATAATGAAAACTCCTGAAAGTGGCATTCCTAAATTTTGGTCTCACAAGTTGGAATTGAGATGCCCATTAAGGTTGAAGAAGGGGTGCATAGGGAAAGACACACACACACACACACACACACACACACACACGGACACACACACACACAGACACAAAGACGTAGCAAGTGCTTTGAAAATAGAATCATAAACTTTTAGAGATGTAAGAGACCTTAAAAAGACATTTAATCTAAGCTCCTTAATTCCAGATAAAGAAATTAATATTTAATATCACATTATTGCTAATAGCATTTTCCAAAAATTGAAGCAACATAGGAAAGTGGAATATTTTACTAAAAAATCATCCCCAATGTTTAATAGCCAGTGCAAATAAAGAAGTAAAATTTTTAAAGTGCTTATTAAATTCTAAGAAGGAACTTGAAGGCCTGGAAAAACAGAAGTCAGAAGCCAACTATAAGCTCAGCCTCTATCATATAAGGTTTTTATGACCATGGGTTAGTCATTTAGCCTTTTTGAACTTGGTTTCTTGGCCTACCTTCTATGAGGTTTTGTGAGACTTGGTGAATATTTTTACCATTCATCCAGTGGTATGGTAATATTCTCTCCTATCAGCTATAACAGAGTTTGTCAAATGGTTTTCCTAAATCCAAGTCAATGTTAAGACGATTCTTAACATATGCTGTCATTTCTTCAACATATTAAAAAGTTTGTCACTTCTGTAATCCTAGCACTTTGGGAGGCCGAAGCGGGCGGATCACAAGGTCAAGAGTTCGAGACCTCCTGGCCAATATGGTGAAACTCCATCTCTATTAAAATACAAAAATTAGCTGGGCGTGGTGGCACGTGCCTGTAGTCCCAGCTATTCAGGAGGCTGAGGCAGGAGACTCACTTGAACCCGGGAGGTGGAAGTTGCAGTGAGCCGAGATAGTGCCACTGCACTCCAGCTTGGTGACAGAGTGAGACTCTGCCTCAAAATAAATAAATAAATAAATAAAATTTGTTGGGTATAAATGTCTGTTAACTTTCCTGTTTATCAATGAGTTGATCACTATGCTTTCTGTGACTTATTCATTTATATTCTTTGATTATTTTTCTATTGGGTTATTAGCTTAATTAATTTGAAGTGTTTTTTAATATGGAAAGAATATTGCCTTTTATGTTGTTTACAATAAAAATGTTTTCTTTCAGTGTGTAGCTTCTATTTTAATTCTCTTTCTCTCTCTCTCTCTTTCTTTCTTTTGTTTGAGATAGGGTTTCTCTCTATCACCCAGGCTGAAGTTCAGTGGCATGATCTTGGCTCAGGGCAACCTCCACCTCCTGGGCTCAACTGATCCTTTCACCTCAGCCTCCCAAGTAGCTGTGACCACAGGCAAACAACACCACACCTAGCTAATTTTTTGTAGAGACGGGGTTTCACTATGTTGCCCAGGCTGGTCTGAAACTCCTGGGCTCAAGAGATTCTCCTGCCTCGGCCTCCCAAAGTGCTGGGATTACAGGTGTGAGTCACTGTGCTGGGCCCTATTTTAACTTTCTTGATGGCTTTGCAGAATTTAAGATTTCAATGTGATCAAATCTGCCAATGTAATTTTCTACAACTTCTGAATAGTATGTCCTACTCAGAAAGACTTCCCAGATCTTTAATAAAACTATTTTATATTTTCTCTTATTATATTTAAAATTTTAACACAGTTTTCTTTACTTAATCTGGAACTTATTTTCTGAATTTTGTGGGATAAGGCTTATATCCTCTTACTTTGTTTGATACACTCATGTCTCAAACATGGGCTTATGTTGTTACCCACCGGCTTTCATAGTGGTTTGATCATAGTGACAACAATAGGTTGGTTAAGCGGTTAACAGTAGGACATATCATCAAATCAGGATGTCACTATTAAAACCAAATGCAGTAACACTAATTTGTTAAAGTGACATGGTATCTCTGATTTGAGTTGCTTTGTTTGAGGAAACTCACTCACCCACTTACCCTTTACCAAGATCTAAGAAAATCTGGTTGTTTTGCTTTCCTAGCTGTTTCTAGAATACTAGGGAACATTATGAATAAGGGGTCAGTTTTAATCTGGATTTAGCTTAGATGTGTTCAATATTTATATCAGTACTGTATTAGATATCCTCTAAGACATAAGTTGAGGTAGTTCTGAGTTATACTCATATAGGTGTGTATAAATGTTTATGCAGATATAAATTGTTTCTATGTAACTTGTTACATCTTCCAAGACTAATCTGAAGCACTTTGCAGCACTGCTATCAGAGCGTCATTCCATGGAATTCAAATGAATTCAGCCTCGTAACTGCAGACACTTGGAGTTAGACAATCATGAGTTAACATCTGTGTGAAATCATATTGAAAAGACAGTTTTTGTACTTTAAGGTGATATTCTGTTAGTGAGATTAGGAATTTAGCTTCAACCTTGCCAAATTTGGAATTTAAAAGCTGAGAATTTGGAGACAGGAAGAATTTTCTAATTACGAAAAACTTTAGAGTTGCAGGAGGGATTGGCTTCTCTAGATCAGAAGCAGAAGCAGAAGGATGAATTCAGGGAGTGACTCTGGTGGCCCAGAAGAATCATGAGAGCTCAAGGCCTACTGGATAGTTCAAGGAAGGCACCTGGCAAATGCTTATTATATTATTGATCAATAAATAACTTCTCTACATTCTGATGGGAAAGAGGTCATGGAAGAGAGAATTGTTTAATGGAAAGACAAAAGTTAGGTCAATTGATCAACGGTTAGAGAAAAAAAAAGGTTGACATTCAATACGTCATTAGGTGCTAAGATTAAGGATGCCCAAAAACTTGAAGTCTACATTTGGAATCATTGCTGCTGTTCTGGCTCTTAGATTATAGTTACTTTCTAAGACTGCATTGACTCCTGACGATTTTTAACGTATGCTGCTATTTCTTCCCCGTCTGAGACCATCGCAGGCTAAAGAAGAGAATGGCATGGCCTTACACTCAAGGAGAATCAGGAGGGCTCAGCTGCAGCACAAGATCATCCTGGAACTTCTAAATTTTCTATGAAAGGGGCTTATTTAGTTAATATTTTTGCCATAGAAGGAAGAAATTGGGGCATATTCTCACAAGTAGTATGATTAATATATTGTTTAATTTGCACTAAAATTTTAATAGTTGAATCTCTCTTCAAATAGTTCACAAGCTAAGTGAAGAGAGTGCATGCTGGAGAAGTGGATAAGTCCTTTGCAAGAATAAGAAAAAGCTTTCTGCTTTATACAGTGAAAGCACGTGCAAAATATCTATCTAACTCATCATGCTAGCTGCATGTGCACTAACCAGAATTTTATGTTTGTCTGGAAAGTTGATGGATGCTCATTGCAACACTAATCTCATTGTTTCGTCTTTTGGCTTCCTGACACCTATCTTTAAAATGGTGTGTGAGGATTAAGGCAGACATTTTTGTTCTGACCATAATGAAGGTAACACTGATACCCTGTTTCTAGTTATAAAGAATGGGAAAGCAATGTGGAGCCAGTGTATCTATTCTTCTTTGTGACAAGGAGTGATTTATAGCATCATGCCATGCTGAGCATATGCTCTATCTAACAAGGACAGTTGTTATTATTTGAGTAAACCATGCTAGATCCAATTCCAAGGAAAGTTTTGAAAACTTTAATTAAGTTCTACAGGATGATTTTTGTTTCCGTTTCTGTTTTACTCAATTGTATGTCTGTTAGTGCCACACAATAAAGGGCTGTAAGACAGGAATGGGTTTACTATTAAATGTATCATTCAAAATACTGTTCTGATATTTTGCTGATACTTTTCCTTTCCTTTTCTTTTTTTTTTTCATTCCTTTTTGCCACCATGGTTGCTATGATTAAATTGGTTTATTGATTTTAGATTGCAATCGTATTTCCAAAAAGTCTACAGAGGAATGGTTTAAACAGTCTTGATTTTAATGAAAAATTGAGCAGAGATAATTACAACAACAGCAAAAATGTAATAATAATAGCATTAAAAGGAATAATATGTGGTAGTTGTATAGGATGTGGATGCTGACAAAGCCTTTGAACTCTCATGATCTCATTTAATTTCAGTAGATTAAAATCCTTCATTGTATTTTAAGTGGTCTTGTTTTCATTTCCGTAATTTGTCCTCATTTCTGTAATTTATTATTTCCACATTTATATAATTGTTTTTCATATCTATAATTTATAAGCCTTTTTTTTTTTTTTTTTTTTTTTTTTACTAATCAGTAAAACCTAAAACAAGCATGAGAAAAATCCACGGGACTCACAGCTTAAGTCATGATGTGATTTTTTTTTTGTTTCTTCAGAGTGACGTGGATGGCTCTGTCAAATTGGGTGTTCACCAGCAAATTAATGGTTGGAAAATTACCATATGCTTTCTCCTCGACACACTCCTCCATGCGGCTGCCATGCCTGTGTTGAGCAGAGTTTCCCTCTAATCTCACTTCACTGGTACATACAACACCAATGCCCGTTGATGACATGGTCCCTCTCTTTGCAAGCAAATGACTGTGGATGGTACAAGCATATTTGACAATAACTAAATTTGTGTTAGAATCAAATATAATACTAGAGAAACACAAAAATCAGAATACTGTTATTTTGACACATTCAGTTATCTTTTGGAAAATGCTCTCCTAATTTTCAGCTTGATGTGATCTCAGCACCCAGTAGAAAGCTGAGGATTTTTCATCCCATTGACAGGAATCCATTAATAAAACAACAATCTTTTGTGTGTAGTAATCTTTAATCTTATTTTGTCACATACTTCTCAGTAGCATTTCCACTCGTTTTACAGTATAATTTATGGCACTGAAACAACTCCTGCCCTGGAAAAGGTCAGTCTGTCAAGGTTTACTTGTCTTTGAAGAAAAGTAATAGAGCATTATTTATGAACCAAAGAATACACTTCACTACTTTAATCAATCAGGAGGATGCTTGTATTATTGTATCTTTTGCCACTATTCTCCCCCCTTCCCTAAAAACCGTAAGCAAAGGAAATGCCACTCTTGCTTTCTCTTTCATGTTGCAAAAGGCCTCTTACCTTTCATGTCCCTTTTTCTTTTGTGTTTATGGCACTATGGAAATAACAAGCTTGATGGTGTCTGATATCTGGGAACAATTTGTCAATTATGAGCAAGGGGTTGATCTTTCTTAAAGATCATAGAACCTCTGGACAGATTAACCAGCCCTATCCCATATGTTTATCATGTGACATTCATCTGACAAAACAGAAGGGGATTTGCAATTAAAAACCTCATGAATAAAGACAAAGTTGAAGAGGTTTGAAACTATCTTAGAGAGCAATCAGCAAAACAAAAACAATTTCCATGTTTTCATACAGAAGATCCCAAACATAACCACAGTTGGTCCCCATATGTTTCTAGAAACCACCACAGCACAAATTAGAACATGCTGTGTGGGAATATGAATTGGTAGTTCATTAGAGAAAACAGTTACAGTGTGAATAAATGTCTTCAATAAGGATTTAATTTAGGTTAGAAAGGACATTGGGTGTGAATTAAATAACAGCTACTAATGCAATCTTGTTAAAGTTTAAAAAGTATATAAAAATCTATATCTAATTATAAAATGATTAAATATGGGTCTATGTATTTTTAGTACTCTGTTTTATAATACACTAGGAGGACTTCCGGAATATGTAAAATTATGTAAAGAGCCAGCCAATGATGACTCTTTAGAACTAAATGGAAAAAATAAACTGCAGAATTGAAAAAGCCCGTGAGTGAATTATTTTGTTTTAAACGTAACATTAACCAAAGCCTCAAATAGTGTATTGAGGCATTATAGTGGTTTCCAAGTAGATTTAGAAGATAAGAGGGGGTCAATTAACCTTAAGTTATTAGTTTATTTATTTACAACTACCACAAAGATTTTGTGGTGGCCTGTATTCAATTAAGACTATAACCTCTTGCAACAAAAACAACTGGTTAATTCAGCCAAAACTTTAAAAAATAACCCTTGTCCCTCAAAAAAATGACAAAATTAGTTTAATTTCCCAAAATAAATGAGCTGGATTTTAAATATTTAAAAATGTATGTAGTGATTGAAAAGAATCACTTTTACATGCAAATAGGTATTTTGAATACTAGATTGGGTATATAAAGTTCTCTCAAGGCTCAAGATGGGAAGGGGCCTTGAAGGCAGGCGTGAAATGGTGAGGGGTGTCGACTTAAAATGGTATCTGGTTTGCCTCTCTGTTATAAGTCACCCAGCTTCTTAGTAAAATACTTGTAAGGAAATGAAGCACATAGGATAAAGATGTGACAATTCATAATGTCAAAATATAAGGCTGACTGCTGCCGTAGCCTAAAAGACATGGGATAAAATGGAAAGACAACAGATGAAAAACAGAGCCATGCCTGAAATGGAGCATCTGGCTCACTGGAAAAGAAGTGGGAATATACCATGCCCTTTCCAAAGTAAGCCCCCACATTCCTTCCAAAGTAGGGATACCCCACAACTGCTTTCCAATGTCTGTTCACTGGCTCGTCAATCCTTAGCTGAGGCTCTGCCATGAGTGTGCAGTTGTTTGCATACCACTTCCCTGTGATATCACCTACACAGCAAAAAGCTCCCTCCTTTTTTTTCTTTTTTTTTGGCAACTGGGTGTTACAGTTCTCATAAAACAAGAAAGGAAGAGATTGACGGTAATTCAGTATGTTGGAGATGACAATAAAAAGAGGCATAGAGTGGGAAAATGAAAAAGGCTTCATAGCTATATATGTATTTGTATATACGTGTATATATATGTATATGTACATATATATTTATGCATGTGTATATATTTATGTGTGTATGTGTATTTGTGTGTACACAAGTAAAATTACAAGTTTTATTGAATGCCATAAATTTGTGGCATAAAGAGTGTCAGGGAGTAAGAATAGGAGAGGCTACCATCTCAAGTCAGCTAATTAGTCTGAGCATTGGTTAAGAGTATAGGCTCAATAGTAGACTGTTGGGCCAAATAGCAGTTCCATAGTTTGTTTAATTTCTGGATTTTCTTTTAAGAGACAGGGTTTCACTATGTTGCCAAGGCTAGAATGTAGTGGCAGAATTGTAGCTCACTGTAGCCTCAAGCTCCCAGGCTCAAGTGATTCCCCCTAACTCAGCTTCCTGAGTATCTAGAACTACAGGCATGTGTCACCTTACTGACTAGTTTATTTAATCTTTAAGTCTCAGTTTCCCCACTTGGAAATTGGAGACAGTAATAGCAATTTCTTCAGAGAATTTGTGAAAATTAAGTAACCTATGTAAACTCTTCAACTCTGCCTGGCACATAGAGGACACTCAAACATATGATTTCTTTTAATTAGGGAGTAGAAAATGATTGATTAAGGAAAAAATATCTTTGAGGTACTTTAGTGTAGGAAAAGCCAGAGGCACAATCCATAGAGAATGAATGTTTTACACTGAGGAGAGAGACCCTTGTATTCCTGGGGCAGGATGGAATCTTATCAATACACAAGCAACCCACTAGGAAAACAATCAAGCCACATACTGATATTTGCTCCTTATCCCTTGGGCCACCATTTGAGTAAGTATGGCCTTAATTCCAACTGTTTTGATCAGCATCTTTGTGGCGGAGAGGTCAGTTTTCTCAGGCCTGATATGCCAGAGGAGTAACTCCCCTCTATGAGCCCTTAACTAATGACTAGCAGGAGTTGGCATTGGTATATATTCCACATCCTTCTATCCCAGAAAGCTACCAAGCTTCCTAGACTTTTCTCATGGAATTCAGTTCCAGTTACTTACAGTGTAGCTGACTTTATAGGGCACCTTTACTTGGTTGCCTTCCCTTCTCTGACTCAAGTTCCTATTCTACTACTAGTGATTTCTTCACCAACCATGTAAACTACTACTTGCCCTAATTCTTGTCTCAGGAGCTTCTGGGGAACTCACATTGAGACACCACACGTACTTCTATGTCAAACAGTGTCTCTTGCTATATCTCATTTAAATCTTAGTAAACAGAAAACAACAACAACTGCAACAACAACAATGTAAGACTTATTAAAAGTACAGCAAATTTGGGGACTAATTGAATGTGACTTTCAAAGCCAATGGCAGAGACTAGAGCATGTACTTTGACAGGGTTCATAGTCATTTCTAGTGAAAAATATTGACAAATGATAGTGTGCTTTATGTCACAAGAATTTTATAGCAGCTAAGTTTTGTGTATTAAGACCACATGATGTATTTTCACACATTCCAAAAATAAACTGTTATAAAGAAATACTGAGAAGAATACTCTATTTAATACTCCATTAAGCAGTAGATTGAAATTAAGAACTCAAGAACCATGAAAGCATGATATAAAAGAATGTGATGACATTAAGCCATTCAAAATGTAGGTGTATAAATATTTTAAATTAAATAATTGTTTTATATAATCTAGTTATAAAATTGAATGAAAATGTTTAAAATTATTAAAGAGAAAAGGTATGATGCAAAAAACACTAAACAAACATAACTATCTGCTTGAAATTTCAAACTGTATTAACAAATACTAACACTTTGGGAATGAGTAAAAGTGAGGAACATATATAATCTTACATTAAATGATCAAAACACAAAATTCCATTTTTGTTATCTTTTAGAATTGAAAATAAGTTACATACTTTCCAAATCCTAAAAGGAAAGTAAATGAATAAGTCTGTATATAAAAATGGAAGCTGAAGGAAACAGAAAAGAGCATAAAAAACCAAAAGCAAGATGGCAACATTGTTTGACTTCCCTGACTACAGTAGAAATCCCAAAGCCAAAGAGTTTCTGTCTGATCGGCTGGAATTTACCAGCTTCGGGAAGCATGCCTGACACATAATAGAGGCTCAATAGTTATTTGTTGCCTGAATAAAAGCCAAACATACCATCTTTAAAGTAGACGTAAATGTGATCATCTTAATCTACCTAAAAACGAAGTGTGTTGAAAGTAGTTTACAAAAAAAAAAATTCCAACTGCTTTAAAAATCACCTAATCCAAAATGAAATAAAAATGATTAAATTTTAATAGCATATCAGTGAAATATATTTTAAAAACCCTTAAAAAATATAAAGGAATGCTAAAATAAATAGGACTGTTAATATTGTTGAGACCGTAACACTTTATTTTAGCTTCGACAGATAATGTGTAAAGACATAAAAGTGGAATATCAAGGATTTAAATAAAAAATTAATGAGATTGAACTAATAAAGATACAATTTTACATTATGTAAAAAGAGATATACTTTTTTTCTAGTGAATTTCCCCCAAGATACTAAAAATGCATTAAAAGTTACAATAATTAAACAGTATAATGCTGATACAAGAATAGATTATCTACATATATTTGGAAATAGAGCTTTACGTTTGTGATAAAGTTATGACAGCCAATGAGAAATCAATGCATTACTGTTATATAATTTTGCAAAATGGATTATTTGGGGGAAGAACTCTTTGCCTTACAACCTGCAGTCAATTAAATAATAATGATAAAAAGAAACCAAGAGGAAAAGAAAAACCTAAAAGAAAACATGCATGAATGTTTACTCTCTGCCTGAGAAAGGATTTTCATACGCTTTCAAAGCAATTAAAAGATTACATCTAAAAATACCTATATAATTGTCCTTTAAGAACTCAGGATTACCTGAGTATTGTAAATCAACATGAAAATCTAATAAATGACAAGCTGAGTATTATATTTGTTACATGCATAATTTATAATATTGTATTTGTTATATATTTATATACTTAATATTTTGTACATTATAGTTGATATTCCAAAAGTAATTTGTAAATCACATTTATTTTTAATTACCTTAAATATAAAGACCTGTTATGAATAATAAGACAAATTTGAAATCCTGATTTTTTAAAAATAGATGAGTCATGAACAATTTACAAATTAAGAAATATAAACAAAAATAAATATGCAAAATGCTCAATCTCTTGACTATTCAAATCAATGCAAATAGCAAAAGGATATGGTATTTTTATCAACAAATTAGAAAGAATATCTTTTAAAGTTGAATAATTGATGCTTATGTGGTAGGTGAAACCAATGGTCTTAGGCACTGCTAATAGAAAAGTAAATGAATACATTTTTAGAGAGCAATTTGGCATCAGATTTCAAAAACCTTTAAGAATTTCCATGTTGTTTCACCCAGAAAATCTACTTTAATTAAAGCTGCAGACAAATATTCATGAGGAATGTTCATTATATAATTTTAAAGTAGCAATGAATAATTTATAAATTCAGAAAGAAAAGAAGTTTCTTAAACAAAAGAAAAGAGAATGATAGATGAAAAAATGGAGAACTGTACTAATGTAGAGTGAGTATTTTGTGTTAGGGGAGAAACTTGTGTTTTACAAGGGTAGAAATGAATTGACTAGCTCTGGGGTCAAGTTAATGGAAGAGACATCACAAACAAAATGCATTTGGATATATCTGAGTCCCAAAACTAAAGCAACATTTTACTAAAATATACCCCAAAGTGAGGTTAACAGAGGCAAATAGCCCGGAACTTGAAATGGCATTGATTAGGCATCAGAAGCATCACCCCAGTAATCAAGGTCTTGTGTAGACCAGGGTAAGTAAGTAGCAGGAAGACTTGATGAGTCAATGAACATAGAAATCTTCCTTGTGACTTAACTCACTTGCATATACTTTTTTTAAAAATTTTTTCAGACAGTGTCTTGCTTGCTTCGTCCCCCAGGCTGGAGTACAGCAGCACAATCATAGCTGACTGCAGCCTCAAACTCCTGAGCTCAAATGATCCTCCCATCCAGCCTACCGCGTAGTTGAAACTACAGGCACGTGCCACCGCATCCCACTAATTTTTTTGATTTGTAGTAGAGTCAAGGTCTGGCTATGTATCCACAGCTGGTTTTGAACTACTGAGCTCAAGCTATCCTCCTGCCTCAGACTCCTAAAGTGCTAGGATTACAGGCATGAGCCGCTGTGCCTGGCCTGCATATAGAGTTCTTAATGAACATTCCTCAATATTTCACTTATGCACTTGTGTCTGGGGATTTGTATCTTGCATGCTGAACTGCAACAGGAGACAGTTTACGTAGTAATTTGGACTTTGGGCTCTAGAGACAGACAGATATGGGTTCAAATGCTAGTTCTGCAACTTCATATTGATATTTTAGGTAAGTTATTTAACCACTAATTCTCATTTCTTCATCTGTATAATGCAGATAATTGCACGTGTGTGCGTGCATTAGATGTAAAATGTGTGCATTAGATGTAAAGTCGAACACCATATGTGGTGTTAATGACACGTGTTAGTAGTAGGTATGTACGTATGCGTATCCTGACAGAGTCTCTCCTTGACCGATCTCTGTTGACTTGGCCTCAACCATGGCCCATAAAGCCTTGAATGAAGACTAACATAGGTTCTAATAACTTGGGGCTGCATCCCCAAGATACTGCTAGTCTCCCTTAAAATGCCTGCCTGAGGAAACTCCAGACTGCCAAAATAATTTACTGTTTGTTCCAGCTAATATCTGAAGGTAGGGTTCTCAACTTCCCATATCTGTGGGAGAGCAGGAGCCTAACATTCATAAAGGCTAGTTAGCAAAGCCAAATGGGTTTCACATGCAACAACCTTCCTTTCCTGCTTTCTGTAGTTTTCTACTTCCCTGCTTCTACTGAGCCCACATTCTGCCCCCTGCCAGTCCCTCACTGAAGCACATAAAAGTCTCCAAATGTTTGAAAGACTTCCAGAGAAGATACACCATCTCTTCTTATAGGCACTCAAGGCTTGAAGATCATACTTTCTTATTTAATTTCATAATTACTGTAATGTATGTGTGCATGTATTTCAGTCTAATCACTCTGTCTCTTTTTGCTTATAGGGATAAACTCATATTCAACTACCATTTATTAGACATTTGATATTAAAAAAAGAAATATTCATTTAGCCTTTATAATAACTACAGAAAATAGGCCTTGTTAACCAACAAGGAAAATGAAATTCAGAACAAGTAATTACGAGGTATTGAGGGACAGAGCAGGGATTCGAGCTGAGCTATCATGACTCCTCGGGTGCCATCTAGTCCAGGGAGACACACAGTGTCTGTGCCGCCACCATTCTTTCCTACATCTCTGGCACACATTACTATTGAACGTGGAGCTGTGTCTTGCTGCATGGAAGCATGGTGCAGAATCCTCCACAAGGACCCCCTAACAAGTGACGAGAGTTGGCATAAAAGTTTAAACGTATTTGCCATCTCTGATTTGACAGAAGATTATCATAAAAGCACAGTCATTATTAACTTAAAAATGCTTTCTGTTTTAGTCCGTTTTCATGCTGCTGATAAACAGCATTACCTGAGACTGCGCAATTTACAAAAGAGAGAGGTTTCATTCGACTTACGGTTCCACATGGCTGGGGAGGCCTTGTAATCATGGCAGGAGGCAAGGAGGAGCAAGTTATATCTTACGTGGATGGTGGCAGGCAAAAAGAGCTTGTGCAGGAAAACTCCCCCTTATAATAACCATGGGATCTCATGAGACTTACTATCATGAAAACAGCACGAGAAAGACCTGCCCCCATGATTCAATTACCTCCCACTGGGTCCTTCTCACAACACGTGGGAATTCAACATGAGATTTTGGTGGGGACACAGCCAAACCATTTCACTTTCTTTGTAGGACATTAATAATCACTGAGGCGATCTGTGTCTCTTTTACATAAAGGAGCCCCAAATAGAAAGGAATATTCCTATACTATCCAAAACTTAACAAAAACAGAGCTTTATTCCAGAGTCGGTACACTTTCTAATGAGTTCAAATTCATCTTACTTGCTTATTTATGTTAAGATCTATGGCTTTCTAAATTGTATTTATTTTATACTCGTACAGTATCATATCCCAGTACCTAAACGGTTATATACAATGACCAATAAAATGATAAGGTACAGTTTCAAAAAAGAAAGATATGTATGTGTATGCCCTTTTCCGTCCTTACCAGAAGGAACAGCTTTAGACTTGAACATGAGAATGTATTTTAAAGCTTATAAACTAGGAAGACACAGTATTCTAAGGAACAATAATTAAAGCTAAGGAGATTATAATGCAGCCACGAATGGCTATATCACTTGTTTGTGCACTGAAATTGAAATAATGCTGTTCAAAATTCTATTGAAAATATGATTGCTAATATCAGAGATAGTATAAATGAAGCTAAAATTTAATGAGGAAAGAAAATAGAATGACTCTCCAAGCCTATGTAATTTGTTCAACTCAGAGCTAAATATATTATCTTAAAATGTATAGAAACTGATATGCTCAACATACCACAGCAGTAAAATGTTAGTGGGTTACCAGAAAATATTCATTACTTCTCCTGAAAAATGATGATCCTTTGTAATAAAAAGTAAGAAGGTGCATGGTGTTTCTTCACAAAGGGTTAGTGTTTACTGTGAGGGTGACTTTCATGTTGAAATGTTACAAGTTACACAAATTTCTCATGGATTACAAGGTATTCTGTGTGTTTGCAGAATGTAATGAACAGCTAACTGAAGGTCAGCATTTCACCAATGTTTAAATCCATTTACTATTCTACTGGAAAATGTCCTGAAAATTGTAATATATCCCAGTTTATTTGTTTAAATGCAATACCTGTGAATTCAGAAATTACACTATTTAGAAATATATGGCAGAGAGGAAAGGAATGAGATTCCCATTAATGGAGAAGATGCTTTGTCTTGTTACGAAGTTTTTGTTTTTTCTGTTTATAACACAAAGTCTGTGTCAATGGATCATTGCCTATCTTATGGGACCAAAGGAATATACCCTTAACCAAGAAATCTCCTGTTTACTTGCCTGAGATTTTGAGAAATAGTATCAGCAGTTGAAAGTCTTTTTCTAAAGGCTTATATTTTAACTGGTTGAAGCATCGCCCAGTTGGGAGATTTCGAAGGAATGGATCCCAGACTTCCACCGTTCTTTAACTTCTTCCTTCTAGCACCTTCCGTAGGACATAGGGGAGGAATTTCTAGTCTAGTAAAAGAACCCCTAATCTTCCCTGTTTCTTCTTTATCTCACAAAATGCCTGTCTGCTGCAATCTTGTATGTATGCATAGGTGTATGTGTGTCTGTGTGTGAATATATGTATGTCTGTATATATGTATTCGCTATTTATTCATTAATACAGTTACACATTCACAGAATATCTACTAAATATTTACTACATGCCTGTTGTGCTATTGCAGAAAAGTAAAGATGAGGAAGACTTGAAATGGTACCAAGTTTGAATCAGACAAACCCAAATTAAATATTTTACTCTGCTGCATATTGTCTGTGTAATGTCAGAAACACGGCCTAAGCTCTTCTTTATAAAATGAGGGTAGTAATATCTAGCTCCTAGAGTTGTTGTTGGAAATATATAATTGCCTTGTGAACAAAGCACATAGCACTTCACCTTATAGCAAGCACTCAAATAAATAAATAAATGCCAGATACATAATACTGATTAAGTTTTAGTAAAAATCATTCCTTCCTTCTCTTTTATCATAAGGTTTTCTCTCTCTCTACTAGGTTATTCCTATTAACAAACAAACATTTTGATATATCATTTGTGTAAAAAATATTGTCCTTGCCCCACTTTTGTACCCACTTAGAGCCTCACTTCTTAGATCATATTTACAGCAAGACCCTATAAGTAATCTGTACCCATTCTCTTTAATTCCTCCCATTCTGCTTTGAAATCAATCAAATCAGGCCTTCTACTGCCCAATTCCACAAAAACTGCTTTTAGGAAGACCACCAGTGGCTTCCATTTTGCCAAATCTAAAGGTCAGCAGTCAGTCCTTGTCTTAATCTGTTGTCAGCGTCTTCTGACAAGTTAATGTCTCCTTCCTTTTTGAAACACTTTCTTTTTTTAAAAAAATTATTTTTATATATTTGAGGGAGTACAAATGCAGGCTTCTTTCTTTCTTTTTTTTTGAGAAGGGGTCTGGCTGTATCACCCAGGCTGGAGTACAGCGGTGTGATCTTGGCTCACTGCAAACTCCCCCTCCCGGGTTCATGCTATTCTCCTGCCTCAGCCTCCCGAGTAGCTGGGACTACAGGAGCCACCACGCTTGGCTAATTTTTTGTATTTTTAGTAGAGACGGGGTTTCACCATGTTAGCCAGGATGGTCTCGATCTCCTGACCTCGTGATCCGCCCGCCTTGGCCTCCCAAAGTGCTGGGATTACAGGTGTGAGCCACCGTGCCTGGCCGAGTGCAGGCTTCTTTCATGCATATATGGTGTACTGGTGAGGTCTGGGCTTTTAATGTACCCATTTCGCGAATAAGAAATATTGTATCCAACAGGTAATTTTTCAACCATCAACCCCATCCAACCACCTCCACTTTTGCAGTCTCCAATGTCTATTATTCCACTCTGTATGTCCATGTGTACTCATGGTTGAGCTCCTACTTATATGTGAGAACATGCAATATTTGGCTTTATGTGAGATATTTTCTATACTAGGCTTCCCAGAAAAAATATTCTCTTGGTCTCCTTCCCACCTCACCAGGAGCTCCTTCTCAGTCTTCTTTGTGGATTCCTCATCATCTTCCTGACCTCTTAGACTTAAAGCATCTTAAAGCATTCCATGCTCAGTGCTTAGAATGTTTCTCACTCCTGACATTTACTCCCTTCCTGATCTCTTCTAGTTTCATAATTTTATATGCCAATGACTTACAAATGTATATCTCCAACCTAGATCTCTCCCTTGAATTCCAGACTCACATAGTCAACTGCTTAGTTGATATTTTTCACTGGATGTCCAACTGACACCTTGGAAATAATGATATTGGTCTTTCTTCAAAGCGCACTTTTCCAGCAGTCTTTCTTATCTTAGTAAATGGCAACTCTATCCATCGTTCACGCCAATGACAAACCTGTCATTTCTGACTCTGCTTTTCTCCTCATATTGTATGAGGAGAATACAATACCTCATTTATCAAACCTGTCGCCATTACCTTCAAAATGGATCCCAGACTGGCACATCTTACCACTCTGGCAAAACACCAGCATCTCTTGAATTAATCAATTGCTACCTAACTAATTTTCTTGTTCTTGCCTCTCCACAATCTGGCAGCTAGAATTATTCTTTTCCATTTTAAATTGGCTTATCATATCTCTTTGTTCAAAATTCCCTAATTGTCTCACTTTTGGTAAAGACCATTGTACTGACAGGGGCCCACAAGCCTTCCCTATGATCTCCTCCGCATCCACCCACTCCTCTCTGACATCGTCTCCAACTATGCTCCTGCCACACTGGCCTTCACAGGCAGACATGCTCCAGGCTCAGCAATTCTACCTGTGTGTGTTTCCCTCTTCCCCAGATATCCACAGGGCTCGTTCCCTCATCCTCTTCAGTCTTTGCTCAAATGTTCCCTTCTAATGAGGAGTTCATTGAGATGCTTTATTTAAAATTGCATCTCTACCCCTCCCTTCTTTCTCTCCACAGCAGTTATCACCATCCCATGTATTGTTTACTTCACTTACATGTTTTATTTATCAGCTGTTTTCCATGCTAGAATTTAAACTTTATGTGAGTTCTTTTTTATTGGTTTTTAATCTGTTTTGTTTGCTAATGTTTTCAGAGTTAAATCCAGGTTTTGTGGGGCCTGGAGCTTCTACAATTTGGCTGTACCTCTTAAAAACATGAAACGAGGTATGAAAATTGGTATTTATTTAGAATGATAACAAAAAATTATAACCAGGTTACACTTTTTAAGAAGCTTACAACTGAAACACCACAAAATTTAATGTCTTAAAAAATTGCCCAAAGTTTTGTTGCATACTGTTTAATCAATATTAAGTGATAATTTTGTCATATAATTTTCAATAGATTGAAACAGAAAATGAAAATCTCTAGCATGGTTAATTAAAATTGTTTTAGTTTCAATAAATTGAAAAGTTATTCTGCTTCATTAGTGTTATTGGTAAAGTCATGTAAATTTTCACAATTGTTGTCAAATTTGGGGAAACAGCAATCAAGCTTCATTCATATGGGAGTTTTCTAATTTGGAGGAATTTTTCACATGCTAACCTCTGGCTCTGTGCATTTCTATCCTTATTTTTTCTCCTTTACACGTACATTTCCGGTGTGCAGAGTCACAGACATTTTCGGATCATGAGACAAACTCTGGTTGGAAGAATTAGCATAAAGAGTGACATGAGAATTCCCGGAAGAAATACCTACATCCAATTGGCTAACAAGAATGTAACTATACTCAAAAGTGACTGCAAACTGCAAAAATATGTCCTACTAAAAGCAAACTAAATGTATTCCCAACTAACCTCCCCACAGGAGAATTGCAAAATTGCCCAGAGCTACTGCAACACCACCATACAGAGGGGCAGCATTATGGAAAGAAAGTCAGTGATGAGAAACAGTGGTCTGAACCAACTGCAGCCAAAATATCTTACTTATATAAATGTTCCAAAGGCATATGATACCCGATGGCCTCGTGGGGAGGGAGGGCACCTGTGCAAATGAAGCGAGCAGAAGCTTGATGGTGAGTCTGCCTCTGGTGCAATGCTTAGAACCGCACTGGATACAGAGTACCATCCCAAGAAAAATTAGGTAAATGAAATGTTCATTGGCCATATTGGTAGGCTTTTCAGAAAACATACAGGATACTCATTTAAGTAACAGTTTTGTATAAACAGTGAATGATTTTTAGGATTAGCTATTAGGTTTTTGAGCAGTCTGCTTAACAACCGGTAAGATAAAACTTTACATGTAGCTTCTATATTTGATTTTTGTTTTTAATTTTAAATAAATTTTATTGCACACATTTAAATATTTATACCAACTGGAATTTATTTTGATAATTAATAGATGGTGTGGCTTTCACTTACTGTTTATGATTATTTCTTCTTAATGGTTTCTTACTATGCTGCATGCTTTTTGGGAACAGGCATATCTCACCTGATGTCAGAGGGAGACCAAGGGAGGGGTGGTGAACGCAGCCTGCACTGGGTGCTGGGTAAACTGTCCGTAGGGAATTTATAAACAATAATAACAGTGACTGAAAGCCGGCCAGCTTTTTATTATCATCATGCACTGGCAATTCTAAACAATGTCAGTAATAACATACTTTTCCTTGCTGGGGCAAATCTCTACCACTGCCCCGCCCCGTTGGTATGCTACTGTTTTGAATTCCTGTCTCCCAGCTCAGCGCTCTTGTTATTGAGTACAGAGTAATTTTTCTGTAAATGTTTGTGAACTGCATTGAAGTCTCACTGAGGGCCTGATCTATAGCAGCAACTTTATTAGATTTCTTTTGTTTTTGTATCCAGTTTCTCGAGAAGTTCCCATTTTTCTTCCAGCTCCTTCACTAAATTTCACCAATACAAGCCAATTTCCAGATCCATATTTTACACCCTGTCTCCTACTTCAGTACTGCTGTCTTCTCCAACAATATAACACACAGCACTTCAAAACTTCATGCTCATGATTTTCCTCCACATTTATACCAAACCTCTGCTCTGGGGGAAAATATTTTCTTTTGTTACTATTACGTGGCCTATTTTTTGGCTAGGTCTTATCTTAGTGCCACCTATCATGCATAGCAGCTGAGTACTTGACCTTTAAAATATGGAGTAAAATAAGGCCAAATTTTCATTATGTGCTGGACATTTTTCAAAGCACTTTTGCCAGCAAACAAAAGATGAGCACTTAACAGCTACTCCCTATGAGTAGGTGTTTTTCTAATCTTCCCTTCAGAGACAAGGCACTAGGAAGTGAAGTGACACTCGTCCAGCCACCCGGTAGTGAAGTGGTAGAGTCAGGCTTTGAACCGCAAGTCATTTCAGAGTCTGCGTCTGTAACCGATCTGAGCCTGATGTTTCATGTGTATTATCTGATCTCATTCTCAAAAGACTCCATGCACAAAATTATATTATTCTCATTTACAGATGAAGACACTGTGGTTGGAAAGACAACGTAACGTGTCTAAATTCATGCAGTTGGTAAGGGGTGAGGTCAGAATATGAACCCAGATCCATCTAACATGAAGCCATGCCCTTCTTGGGCATTGTTTTCCACTACCAGCTTCTGTACTGTGCCAGGATACACCATCTACAGAGGGTCCTGGGAGGCTCATGGATCACGTGAGAAGTTGCCACCACAGGTGGAAAACCACTGAAAGGAGGATAGGTGGCTCAAAGACAAAGTTCCCCCACTGTCTAATTGTAACTCTGGGCTGTCAGGGGCTTCAGGGCACCATGGTAGCTGTTGTCCAAGGTGCCTGCATTTGTCACCTGCCTCAGACACCCACAACTGCCATGGGGGCACAGCCAGTGCAATGTGGAGGTGCAAGCACCCTGGGTGGCTTAGAGATTGATGTGTAGAGAGTATCAGCCCCCCTTTTATTTTGAAGCTTTTTGGTGCAAAATAAAAACTCATAAACTAAGTTTTCTTTTCTCTTAGAAGGTTATTTGCCCTTATTACACTTTTGGTTAATGTTATGGACTTGTCCATAAATGTTTTCTCCCTGAGTTTCCTCTTCAGTGGAAAGAGAGCATGTTAATAGAAACATTTTTAAAGGGTTAAAAAAAACCCCTTTTTGTACTTAAATTTTCTGATCACATTACTTTGGTCTCTGGTTGAGATATGCAATTTTACACACTCGCCTCTTCCTATATTGTTTGTGTCCCACAGTCTCCTGGTTAAAATGGGTGAAATTTCCATTTTAATTGCTGTGAATCATTAGTTTGAGACTTACTTCATTAAACAAAAAATATGGAATTAAAAACATTCTGGAATAAAAATGGTTAATAAACAGAAAGAAATGCAACATGGAGGGTAAAACTCATGACGTGGCATACTGCAGACTAACATGCTACCCTTCCTGCTTGCTGTCTGGAGAAAGTTTTCCTTTTTCAATCAATTGTTTCTGAGTCCGCTAGGCACAACCTTGGAATTTTTTTTCTTGTGTTTGTGAGGATGCCTGCAAAATTGTTTTGGATGAAAATGCAGGAAGCCAATACTTGAAAAGTTTTCGTGGCTGTTTTTTTTTTTTTTTTTTTTTTTGGTACCATTTAGATAGGAGAAGAGCTGAAGGGATCAAGGATAAAAGTAAAAGTGTGAATGACATAGGCAAGAACTGTTTTTCAAAAAGGGCTTAAGACTGAGGCAAAAAAGGGTCTGTTGGTTTATGCCTTTCCCCCTTCTTGCTACAATCATTGTCTCAGGAATGAATTCATATTCTGCATCATTTTCGGTTACCTTTATAGTCTTTCTTACAAGAATGAGAAATGAAAATTTTAATGCCTCATATATTCTATGAATTACTGTAGATGGCTAGACTGCACTACTTTGATCTTTCCTATATTCTGTGGTTTGATTGGATCGTGATGTGAATGGAAAGCAGCACAAAACAAATCAGTTTCTGAGAGAATGACTTTAACAAGAAAAAGGGAAAAAGGTACCTCAGTCCACTTCAGAATATTACATATGTGACAGTGAGAGTCCAGATAACTGCTCCTGTGTCCAGCTCAAAATAATCTCGGTCTTTCTGGTTGATACACATTCTGACCTGGGAATTCATTACCGAACTGGCCATCAAGCTTTGGAACAAATAACAATTTATTATCATTTAGATTTATGTTTTTTGTTTCCCATGAGCCCAATCACTGCACCTTGCACACTGCAGGTATACAGTAGATGTGGATGAACAAATGAATGAATAAATGAATTCAATGCTAATATACTAGAATAAATGGAACTGCACAGATAAATTTCTCTACTCCTGTGCATGCTTCTGTAGTGAAAATTAGCTCATAGTCAGTAAATAGAAGAATCATGTTATTATAATGTGGAAATTGTGTTAGTTCATAAGCAATTTTTTCCCCAGAATTTTAATGATGTGTCACCAAAATAATACCAGCCAATCTCCACATACACCAGCCCAGCGGAGCTAAGCATGCTAGGCAGGAGCTCCAGGTGTGCACAGGGACCTTCCTAGCATTTGTTCTTTGCTCAGTTTTACCACATGCTCTGTTTGGAAGTGCGTGTTGCACAGTTTCTCAGATCCAGAGGCATTTTACTTCACTCTTTTGCACACTACTTTTAATAAAGTTCTTAATGCTTTTATCTAAGGTAAAGTCTGTAGTATTATTTTAAATTAGAAATTCAATGATTTTTTTTCTGAATTAGAATCTGCTTTTGTTAGTGCTCTGGTTATAAAATTGCATAGGTTTGAAGGTGTACTCTATGCCCCAAATAATGATTTTTAGAGTGCAATTTTGCAGGACATGAGAGTATTTTTCAGGAAGGCACATATTTCTTTAGAATGGAAAAGCCCAGGCCGGGCATGGTGGCTCACGCCTGTAATCCCAGCACTTTGGGAGGCCGAGGCGGGCGGATCACAAGGTCAGGAGATTGAGACCATCCTGGCTAACACGGTGAAACCTCGTCTCTACTAAAAATACAAAAAAAAAATTAGCCGGGCGCGGTGGCGGGCACCTGTAGTCCCAGCTACTCCAGAGGCTGAGGCAGGAGAATGGCGTGAACCCGGAAGGTGGAGCTTGCAGTGAGCCGAGATCGCGCCACTGCACTCCAGCCTGGGTGACAGAGAGAGACTCCGTCTCTTAAGAAAAAAAAAAAAAAAGGAATGGAAAAGCCTATACTGGTTACAAAAAAGTAGGAAGTTGAGGAAAAGAGTCAGCCTACATAGGGTAGAGAAAAAATGGTTTGATAAGTCTTTGACTATCTTGGCAAGAAAAATCTTACAGTGTCACAGCCGTGGAGGGTTTCAGAGATTGCATATTTCTACCGATTTATTTTACTGATGAAAGAATGTCACCCAGAAGAAGTACATAAATTGCCAAAGATCTTCACTTGGTATTGACAAATTGAAATCAGTTCTGGTGTCTTGGGACACCTGTCTCAGTACTTCTCATGCTCCTGAAAAAGGAATTTCATCTTGGTGCGTTCCACATCTTCTGAATGAGCCTTGTACCATGCTAATGCCTTACCGTTCTCATGGGTAAAGCAAATATTTCTTTCCTTACCATTAGCTTGTGTTATCAGTAGATAATTATGCCTCTGTTTGTTGGGCAATTGCAATTGGTACCAGTTGTCCTGGTTGCTAATTATTAATTGTCCCTGCTCTTCTTAAAAGTGTCCTAGTTTGGAAGACAAGTTATATGACTGTCCTCGTTATGAGACAATGGCAGGAATCCAAAAATCATATATGTCTTCTTCATCCCCTTCCTTGAATATTCAAATTTTATACATTCTTTAAGACCCTGCTTAAATTCAGGTTGCTGCGGAAAGTATTTCCAGTGTTACGTAGCAAGCAGTTACCCTTTATATCTGATTTTCCTAGTATTTTATTTGTAGGTCTCTAATGCTATATCAACTTGAATCTGTGTTCCATAGTTTATTTCAGTGTTTCTCAAAGAGGGCACTGCTAGCATTTTGTGTGCGACTTCTTCCTGGTGTGCAGAATCCTTTCTAATGTTGAGGGATGCTTTGCAATTCTGAATGCCAATAGAGTCCCCCAGTAATGTGACGGCTTAGTATGTCTCCATCCATTTCCAACCCACCTAACACCCTGTAAGGGGCAGAACTTGCATCCTCCTACTCTAATTGTAAATCACAGAGAAGAGTGAAAGCTCAATAAGGCAAGATGCAGGGTTTTTTCCAACCCTTTTTCACCCCTTACCACTCACCTACCCCTCACACAAATGATGGGAACTTGATAAATATTGTAGAATGAATGATCTAAAAGAGTTATTGTAGACATCTGATATAATTCAACATTACTGTCTCAAACTAAGAGAAATTGAGGGAAAATGAAGATGCTGCGGTTGATCACAGAAGATGCCTAAAACTCCTTAGCAAAACTTGCCTTTCTATATAGTCATTTATCTTCAGTAGAGTAGATACAAGTTGCTAAGCACAGATGGGGGCCATGGAAGATGGTCAGATGGTACCCGCCACCTGCACCCCATACACTGGAGGTGATGGACTAGGGACAGTCCTGTTGAACAGACTCTCATGTTGAAGAAAATAGACAGTAGTTGTGTGATTCCTACTGCTATTATTCCTACTCCTTCTCCACCTATTACTCCTGCTCCTAATAATAGTAATTATAGAAGACAACATAACCTTAAGGTTTCTGGTGTGCCAGACACTTAGTTCTAAGTTTAAAAAAATATGAATTATATAGTGGAATCCTCGCAAGGCAACAAAAAAGTTATTGTTAGAGTTGTTACTAATTTTCCCTTTTCCACATGGGGAAACTGAGGCACAGATAGGGTAAATAACCTGTTCAAGTTCCGACAGCAAGTGATGGAGTCAGGATTAAACTTGGGCTGTCTGACTTAGTCATCCTGAATCACCAGTAAGCCTCATCCTGAGACTCATAATCTGGTTACAGTGTTGGCTGACTCTGAAAAGCTTCTCACAATCCTCCTGCATTTGTATTTACAGCATTCTTGTGTGTCATAATTATAACCATGTATTTTCTTTTAATCTTCAAAGATTTTCAATGACACTTATTTCTTTTGTTTGAGCTTAGAGAGGTGAGTGCAGTGTATTGGCATAGGCACCTGTACAGGGAGATAATATGTGTAGTCTACAGCGATGTAATGTGATGGATTGGTTAAGAACTTTGACCTTCTAGTGCCATACTTCTTGGGTTCAAATCCTGGCTCTACCATTTACTAACTGTGTGACCTTAAGTGAAACACTGTCTCAGTGATCAGATTTCAGAAATGAGGATAACATTACTATGCACCCCAGAGGGTTGTTGCAAAAGTTTAATGAAATAATGTACCTGTACAATTAGACTTGAGCCTAGTGCGTAGAGTCTGTATTTAAACATAGCATTTTAATGATGATGTTCATGAACTGCTCATAAGACAGAGTAAAAATGCAATTGTCTTCAGCTTTTATTACCAATGAAGAAAGCTAAGTGCATAGCAGAATTGTATTTGATTAGGTGAGTTGGAAGCAGCAATGGATTGGGACTCCAATGACTATAGGTCTGATCTCAGATCATCATTAGTTTGTGGTACTGGACAAATAAAAGGTTTACTTCTCTCTCCCTGGTTACCTTTTCTGCAAATTGAAAAAAAAGAACCCTCGTGTTCATCAAAATCCTGAAAAAAATTTATGTAAATGTTAAGCATTTTCTGATGAGTTAGAGGCAGTAGTGTTTTCCTCCTGGCTGGCCATATGATTTTTCACCCCCAGATAATGCAACCTTTCCAACAATCATGCCACTTTCATTGTCTTGGGAAACAAACACCAGCAGCACTTTGAGGAACATAATTTTGAGAACAAAAACATCTCTCCACCACAGAGGGAAATGTAAGCTGTCTATTCTCCCTCTTATGACATTCAACTATTAAAGGCAAGAATTCCACTTTATTGGCTTCTTGTAATCGGGATGATGTGACCTTTACAGGACTAATATCTCATTCTTTTGCTAACTAATTTACTCTAATAATGCAGGAAGATGCTTTATAGTGTAAAAAACACCTTGGGGTATTGGGATTGAATATAATAGCTAGAATAAAGCCATTATAGCTGGATATATAGTAGGAGTAAAATCTTAAATAAAAATTTGTAACCATGGGATATGGAAAATTTTTTTAATGTTAAAGTTTTGCTTTTATTAGTTCTTTGTTAAAAGAGCTGCTCTATTTTTGCAGTAAATTCTCGAGGGCCTTTACTTAGCTTTTTGTCATCTTTATTTTTATTATTCTTGTATTTTATATAAAGCCAAGTTAGGAAGTCCTATCACAGCCTTGATATTAATTTGAATCTAGCCATAGGAAAACACTCCAAGGACACATATCTGCTCTACCTGCCTTATTAGATTTTAAACTCACCCAAGGTAGAGACCTTTCTTCTGAGTCTTTCTGTTCCCAGCATCTAATCAAGTGTCTGGCACACAGAAGATGATCAATCAATGTGTAATAAATAGTGACTTTTCTCTTCATTTGAAAAAATTCAGCATTTACATTCCATAAGGTCCAGGCAGTATAAATTGTCCACTCTGCAATCAGTAGGAATATCCTTGCAATTTCTAGGTATCCAGGATAGCAATTACTGCCAACTCTGACTTCACTCACCCTTAAACAGTTTCAAAGATGTCCAGTCTCCCTTATGGTCTCTTTCTTTGTTCCTTGATCTCCAGATAATAATAATAATATTGATTGATTAAATTTTTAACATGAACCGGGCATTGTTCTGAGCATTTTACATGCAGCAGCTCTAATCCTCAATGATAGCTCCATGAGGTAGGTTCTGTGATTATCTTCATTTTATGATGAGGACATTGAATGGTAAAACTCAGATTCTATCTCTGATCTTCTGGATGCAGACACAACTTGCTTAACTATTAGTTCCTATGACCAACCTCCCAAATACAGGTTGAAAGGTCTTGGGCCCTCATTCTCCTCTTCTCTCTCCATACTCTGTCATGGTGATCTTAATTCTTCCCACTGGGTCATGTACATTCATCTCTAATTTACATCTTCTATTCAGACCTATCCTCTGAGCAACTTCCATAGTGAACCACATGCTTGCTATCTCTATGTGTTGATCTCACATACATCTTAAACTTAAGGCGTCCTTAATATTACCTAGATCTCCTCTCTGGCCCATCAACCTTCCCTCTCCCATGGAGTTAGGCTGCAAATCTGTCCCACACTCACCACCTTCATTCTTTCAGCAAGTCCTGCCAATCTTCTCTCCAAAAATATGTTGACTCCCCTTTTTTCTCCATCTTCTCTCCATGACTTTTGTCCAGGTCTCCAATTTCTTTCACCTGCAGCCTCCACTGCTTTCACTGTTGCTTCTCTCCAATTCATTCTCCATACTGCAAAAAAATTTTTTTTCTTAACATGTAAATAGTTTAACATATCACTTTTTCCCTTATATCCCTCAAATGGCTTTCTACTGAAGTAGAGTAACAGCTACATTTTTGTCATTGCATACAAAAACCTATGTGATCCGGTCCCTGGTTATCCCTGTAGTACCTAATCTAACTCAATTATTTTATTTGTAATGTATTTTTAAAAAATCTACCTTCCTGCAACATAAGATTTTTGAGGGTAGTGACGATAACAATTTCACTTATTATTGTATCCCCAGCACCTAACATTCTGTTTGATACATGATAGGCACACAAAAGTATTTGGTAAATATGTAAGAAAATTTTTCTCTCCTATTTCACCCAAATATTCTCCACTTGAATCTAATGCTTGATGGCATTCTGTGACATTCTTTCCTTTCTGCAAATTATTATATTTGCTATTTCACTAAGTATATTAAGTAGAAATCTTTCAATATTTCCTTCTCTTTTGGTATTTCTATTTGATTTTTCTACTTTCTATCTCCACATCCTCACTTCCCACCTTGAAGGGAAGAACATTTCTCTTGCTCTTCTTGTCAACATTTGACTTAGGTTCTTGATCTCAGCTTCCAAGACCGTCTTAGGCGTTGGCTCCTTCTATCCACTGTCCTCTTCCCAACATCTGCAATCCTTTCTTCTCTATGCTGGCATCTACTTTTTTCCCTTCAACACATTCAGGCATCTCTATTTTTTTTGTATATAAGTATTCAGTAGTATCTTATGATGTTAAAATGTAAAATAAATGAAGATATTTAATTAATTTACTTAGATATATATACAGTATTATCTGTCAAAATAAGATCATTTGCAATTAGCAGTCTCTTTTTTTTTTTGATGCTCCCTTCTTTAGGGTTGATTCAAAAGATAAAACCAGTTAACCACTTTCTAGTAATCTAGACAATGAAAATGGGAAGATCAATATCTTTTAAGGCAGGATGAAAAGTCCATTGAGATAATTGGTTGGAAAGAGGCTTGTTGTTCTAATCTACAGGTGAGATGATAGACTGTTCTCAACTATCATCTATTTCTGCAGGAAATTTTCACAATAAAAGGAAATAAGGAATTAGATATAAGTAATATATGTCTAATTCCTTATAGGTAATATCTAATTCCTTATTTCCTTTTATTGTGAAATGCTTTGATATCCTGGTACTTATTCCCGCTAATTCTTTGGTGCTTGTGTTTCCTTTATACTCTTGCAAGCTAAATATACTTTTTATTTTGTTAAAAATTTTTCATGTCACCAATGATCTCCTGATTGTCAAACACAATCTCATCCCAATAGCTTGCGCCTACTTGTTGACAACTTTCTTTTCTAAGTTCTCCTATTTTGCTTCCCAGCACTTTAGACCATCCTTGCACTTTATTTTATTTTTATGAACAGCAATTTTTTGTTTTCTTCATGGGATCTCTATTATTTTACTGCCTTGTAAATGTGTATTTATAATTCAATCTGATTCATAGGATTTCCTTTTTGTACAGTCTCCCAAGAAAAACTCATTTATTCCCAACATAACTTACCCTTCTTTTCCTTCCAGATCAGTTTTTCCCTTGAGTTTCTATTGTGATCGTTCCAGGCTCTCAAACACAAATTTTCAATTAGTTCATTCACTGCCATTATCATACTTCTTACCAGGTCCCAGCCCCTGCCACACTACTTAGCACACAGTGGGCACTCAATAAGTGTTTGTTCATTGAACTAAATGAGAACAGCTTTTCATCTCTCCTAGGTTAGAACAATAAGCCTCTTCCCAACCAATTACCTCAATTGATTTTTCATCCTGCCTTAAAATATGTTCCATTTTCATTGTCTAGATTAGTGGAAAGTGGTTAAGCTGGTTTTATCTTTTGAATTAACCCTAAATAATGGTAATTGCTGTCTAGAATAAAGTATTATGAAGGATTCTGAGGTCCCATTAAGACTTAGTAGGAAAGAATATGATCATCATTTAGGGATAGCTGCCATAGTCTGAGAAGAACAAATGCAGAAAGAGATGCAACGTATGCTAACTATGTTCATTTCTGGCCTACAGGATAAACAATAACATTATTAGCCTAAGAAATCAAAGCCTGAATTTTTGTTTCATGGCTCATGATTCATACTTTCATCTCAATTAACATCTTCAGTTATTTATAGTTTCCAGTATTTTGCTTCAGCAAAACTCACTGTTCCTCAAACAAATCTCTCAACTTTTTCTGCTATGGTTGCTTATATATTATACTAACTTAGAAATTCCTTTTCTCCTTTTACCTCCTTTCTCTCCTCTCAATTGAAATCTGTTTCCATAAAGCCTTCCCAGAACCTTTTAATCCAGAACAGTGTCTTGTGAAGTAAAAAAGAAAAAAAAAATTGTTTAAAGTAATGTATACAGATCGTATTTGCCGAAAACTTGGTTCAAATGAAGGTCAGAAGTACTGAGTGTCACTGGAAAAATGGATAGAAAGACATGCCTCATTCTTAAATAAAACCCTATTATTCAAAGGAGCTATAGTTAGCTGTACAGTGCTACCTATTTCTGGTCATTGGCTATTGTGACAAAATGACATCAGAGTATCTGTTTATACAACCAGTATTCTCAAATGCTAATAAATCTGCAGCAAAAAAGAAGTCATAGTTTTGTCAGATTGCTCTAGTCCTGAATCTCTGCCTCTGGAATGCATGCTGTGGAAAGCAGAGTGTGGATTGGGACTTAACTATTCCAACAGATAACTATTCTATTAGCTCATTATTCTAAATGGAAGAAAAACGAAATAGTTCAAAGACCCATATTACATACAGACTCAAATAAATAGCCGAGGGCTTGCCCCACTGATCAGGTTGGATTCATTGGAACACATTTAAGTCAATTGGAATCCTTCAAAAGAACCCAGACTCTCGGAGATATTCAGAATGGCTACTCTTTTTTTTTTTTTTTTTTTAGATAACTTCAGTCTGTCTAAGCTGAGAAGGAAAATCTCCAGAAGACCTTGTAGGACAAAGATAGTCAGGGACAGTTAGAAAGGACCAACAATCCCATTTAAGTGGTACAGGATGCCCCTAAGCCTGAGAAAGGTGTAATTTGACTGCAGCCATCAGAGTTCCCCACTTGGGGGCACCAAAATAATGCCTCTATTTTCTCTTTATTTCTCATGGCAAGAATTATTTTACAATGGGATGAAAAGAATTCCATATGCAATTATTTTAGTAAGAAGACAAGTTGGTAATGGTTTATATTTATCATTCACTCACACAGCCTGCTTTTAATGCTTACGATCTCTCTATTAATGAACTAGAAATTGGCTGCTTCCAAGAGGAGGTAATGCCCTTCTGATGGATAGTGCATTGGGCCAGGAGTCAGCTGACCCAGATGCAGGAGCAGAATTAGAGTTCGAAGGGACTTCAGAGGTTATAATCTGACCTCTGGCTAATTCACAAATACCCTCTACAATGCCCCTGACAAGTGATCATTCACTTCTAGTTCAGGAGGACCACTGAGTAATTGTGTGATTAGGCACACCACTTAGCAAGTACATTATAGAATCATTGGATGATTGAGCAGAAAAGGACCTTGGAGATGAGCTAATCAAGCCCTTGACTCTGAGACGAGGGCCAGTGAGGTTAAGTGACATACCTCCAAAGTGGGGTGGGGCTAGAACGAAGTGTCCTGGTGCCCAAGTCAGGAGGATCACTCCATCATAACAATTCCTGTGTTGGTTAAATGGAAGTGGTGACAACTATTTCCTAGATGTCAGTGCTTTAGGGAAAATAATTGCAGATTGAAGATACTATCACTGAATATTCTGATTATGAAGTTATGGCAAAATCTGGGGGTAGAGGGGAGAGAGATGACAATGGTTGTGGAGCCAGTTAGAAGTTAATTTAAATCAAGCAGCACACTCAGGTCTCGAATGGTATTACGCTCAGGAATAATACCATTTCCTGGAGCATCACTTTCAGGAAGGTTGCTGGCAGGACCACCAGATTTCAACAAAAAATATTTTATCTTCTCAATAATTTTGACTTGCCCTCAGGATTAGAGAAGCTCACTGGTTAATTTAAACCTATTCATTCCAATTTCACATTTTAATCCATTTTTTCATGCATATCTCAAAGATATAAGTAACTTTGAAAATTTACATATCTCCTCAAACTGTGATACTTTCAGCCCATAGATTTTTATTTGAACAACTTGAGGACTAATTTGAATCACACTTCAATTGTGGGTGCCCAGAAATTGTGTGATACCTTAGGGAGTTACCTTACAGAGATTTTTAAAGATGTTTTTAAATAAAGTATATTGAAAATCTTAAATTACATATGGTTTAATCTAGGAAAGGACAATTGAAGGCTTCATTAAAATAGATTTATTCAAATTTTATATGTGGAAATAAATTTTTTTTGAGATAGCTTGGTATATACCTATCCAGATTGTAGCATTTCCCTACTTTCTAAATTAAATGTTGCTGTATGTGAATCTTGGCTTCACAGTGGCATATATTAAAAGGCTTAGTCATCATTATTGTAAATATCCCAGAATTGAGTCAGGTTTCACTGGAGCTTAGCGGTAACTTCCTTTTCATCTTCTCTTTTTCATTTTCACTTCTTCTATTTTCTTGTACTTCTCCTTTACATTTCCTTGCTATTTTCTTTCTTTCATCGATTTCAGCCTTCGTCAAGAACACAAAACTATTTTCCACTTTACAAAAATCTAGTATTCCCTGTCTTAAGTTAAAGGGGCAGTGTGGAGCCTTGATGTAATAGGAAGGAAGGAGCCTTACTTACTGTATAGGAAGCAATTTATATTCACTGTGTCATTTAATAGTTTTAAAACCTTATAAGGTCATTATTTTTAGATCCAATTACGTGTTAGGAAAACAGCTCAAAGAGATTCAGTATCTTACCCAAGGTCACAAAAATAGTAAATGGTAGAGCTGGGACTTCAACCTGAGCCTTTCCTACTCTAAAGCCTACATACTTTACATCCCATCATGCTTGACACTTATTGAAAAGTATATAATTATTTATTTCTATCCAGTATAGGCAGTCACTTTATACAAAACAAAGTACCTTAACTTCTTTCTATTTATAGCAATATGGAGAATGTCTAAACATTTCTTATATAGGCACAATGGGATATCTCAGTGGCTGACTTCCAGTCTGCCTGGCCCTTAAAGAAGATGAAAGAAAAGGGAGAATTTCCCATTTGAAAGACTTTGATATCTGACCTAATTTTGAGACAGAAAGAGCACCAACTTGCTACCCCAGCGGGATCCCAGCTAGAAAAGGGCTTGGCCAGAGCACAAAGTGCAATACGAAATAAAATAAGTAGATAATGTATTTTAAGTTGGAGTCACTGTTACATTATTTAATGCCATGTTGAGTAAAGGGCAAGAACTTGCATTGTGGAAGGTATTACCAATAAAGAATAGTTATGCTGACCAGCTGGAAGTTTCTGGAAGTTTATCAGGGTGAGCTGATTTTGATTTTAACTCCCTTCCTCTGTACAAGACCCTGTGTGTCATTGCCCTCTGCCCAGCTGGAGGCAACAAAGATGGCACCACAAGTTCCCTAACACCAGCATGTGGCAAGCCGTCTATCATCTATGGAGATACTGGCTGAGCTTGTTATGATGCAGACATGACAGATTGTAACGTATGCCCTTTTGGTATTTTCTCTGTAATCATTCAGGAACTATGAGATTGTTTCATTTCCTGTTGTAAAAAACAGCAGACATTTTCTCTGCCTTGCATGTAACTATATCGGTGGGAGGGCATTTTCTAAAGAAATCATATTGAACTCTTTTCTTAAAAAAAAGAGATTTCACTGAAGTTAAAACAAGAATAATTGGTAGGCTTCCTTTTTGCCTGTCTTGAAGCAAAATAAAATACTCTATCCTGTTTTAAAGATCTATAAACAGCTCAGCTAATAGAAAGGGGATGGGCAAAAAAAATAATAAAAAGCATTAACTTCTGAATTTTAGCAGAGGCCTATATATTGGAATAAAGAAAATGATTCATAAAAGTTCTTTGATAGTTTTTTTCCACAACAACAAAATATAGCCATGCTTGTCGGCCCATCTGTATTTTCCCTTCCTCTAATAAACTGGCTAGGCCAGAGCTGCAAAGGAACATTATAATATTGACAATGTTGCTGGAAAGCCATGTGCTTTAGAATGAATTAACTTTTGCTGCACTGTTGAACATATGAAAAAAAATGGCTCAGCAGAAAAAAAAATCACTTTAACCCATTTTTTGCCACTGGAGCTCAATGCAACAATCAAAATGAATAGGATCTGATAAAGAAGCTAGTATGTTTGTCCCCAGTAAAGAAGCCCATTTTCACACATCTTCTGGCTGTAATATATCTCAGAAGCTTCAAGAAATATCTGGCAGGTCTTAGATTGATGTGAACGAAATTGCAGGTAAAACTGTTGCCAAATAAGCAAGAAATGAGGGCACTGCAGAGGTTAATGTATTGGTAATAGTGTGAAAACTAAAACTGAAGTAACTTTATGTCCTTATTTATGGTATGTAATACTCATCTGCAGCAACCATAACAGTACATGCTTCCACTAGATTCTCAGGTCACTAGCTGAGGAGAGATTGCATTCTTATAGTAATTTTCTATCCCACACCTCCCAGAATATCTGTTAAAAAGAACATGCTAGAATTGGCTTGTGCCCTATCTTTTCTGTTTTATCCTCACACCTATTACAGTTTCATAATATTGTCCCCTAACTCCTGTCTTCTTTCAATTCCCAACAAGAATATATAGTTCCCTTAAGAAAGTTAGCACGTAATATTTGATTAATAGAGTATACATATTTATGCACACATCTGATAGTAGTATAGTAATTAACAATGTATAACACAATAAAAAATACATAAAAATTAAAACATTGTAATAACTTCAGATTATTGTGTGAGTTATTTTGTATGCATTATCTCTTGTGCTATACAGATTAACCAGGAAGTTTCTAGTTCTACAAGTGGAACTAGGAGCAAGTTCCTTTCTCTATATGAGTGAGCCATCCATCAAGATTGCAAACACACAGAGTGTGAGTAGAATAAAATCTAAGCCTAATGTCAGCTCCGTAGACCAGAGGAGAGGTTAGGGAGATCCCCAGCACAACAGGAGAGTGGAAAGTTGCAGTTGCTCATCATTCCAGGTTCATGCCCCTGGAGATACTGCAGTTGTGGCAGCCAGTAGGCTCTCAAAGAAGACAGGTCCTTCAGCATTCTTTTGGAGGAGGGGAGATAGTGTTTCTGCCCCTGGGTCTCAGCAGTTACTAGAACAGTAGCGTGGACCAGGGGCATACAAGGATATCTATGCTGTCCTAGAGAGATTGTCAATGTACCCTTCCTATGAGGCCAACTAGTGTAGAGAATTTTGATGGAGGTGATCAGGTCTTTAGCCACAGGATTCCTCCCACCTCTCACATCTTTGTTACCAATGAGTCACCAACCTTTTTGAAATGTGTAAATTAAAGCAGATTGCACTCTTACATTTCAATCGTGGAATTTATATTCAAATCTAACTGCTGCATTATAATCGACTTACAGACTTCAGCTAATTTAGGGAATGACTAGACAATATAAAGAAGAAAGGCTCATTATGATGGGCCCCAGCCCTAAAAGCAATTGTCTCAGAGACCCCCTTCAAAAATACAATCCTAAGATTGCAGATTGTCTGCATTGCCCCAAGAATACCCTGACCTGGTGAAAAAGATCATAAAACTCACATTGCACAGCCTCACCCACAAGAGCTGGGTCATCATCCCTGAAATTCCTCCTCTTTATAGATTGTCCTCTAACTCCATCTTCTTTCAATTCCCATATGGACTCTTCCTTTGGTTCTGCAAGAATATTCCCATGGAGATTTAAGAATCCATATTTCCCTGCAACTATACCTGTAGCACCCTCTGTTCACCAGTCACTAATGAATGCTGCAACTTCAGCTCTCAGGGACCTGAGCAGTGACTGCATAATGTGTTGCGAATGTCTGTGCTGGGAACGTGGTCCATTACTAGCCCTCCTTCCACAGCCCAGCCCTGCAGGCTTCCTTCTCCATACCCCTAACCTGCCCCCTTCATCCTAACATTACCCTTCGTCTCCCTATTCCTGTCCCTAAACCCTCCCCAATGACTGCCCCTACTCAGTACCGTCAGACAACTCCCTCCCTCCAGATTCTCCAACTAAAATGAACACAAATTGTTTGAAATGGGAGGAAACTAAAAAATTAGTGTTTTAGAGAATAAAAAAATGGAATTTGACCTGTCTGAAAGGATCTCAGACTAAACTGTTGGGGATCTGAGACTAATTTCTGGCAGGGAAAATCTGTATTGAAAAAACCTTTGTGGAAACTGGAAGGAATCAAAGACTCCAGTTGCTTTAAGAAGGTAAGGAAATAAGTGTCTTGTGCTGTGTCACTGTAGTAGGATGAGTTGGTCACGTGGAAGTGCTTTGGAGTCAGACAGTCCCAGGCTCAAATCCACATCCCTCATTGCTATTTACCAGTGTATGGGCATTTGCAAATTATTCAAGCTCTTCAAATTTAAGTTGTTGGTTTTTTTTATTTTTTAACTTGCAAAGTAAGATTAGGGTTAGTTTCTTCTTTAGAGATGTTTAAAGATTAATGAGAAGATATATGTAAACTTTGTAAGACAGTGCTTGGCTCATGGCAAGTTACCCAGAAATGTTATTGGCCTTACTTCCTTATTCTGATCACTATCCCACTCAGATTCATTAGTTTTCATTTTGAAAGCCACTAGGTTTATACTTTATCTGAGCCAATGCTGTTTATCCCAGCATAGCCAGAGCTCCAGAGTGCCCATTAATGAGAGTTTGATGAATCTTCCTTTGCAACTTCCATTTCACGAGATGGAAAAGCAACATCAGAAGGAAGCCATTTTTACATGATTTTAGGTTTGGTGAAATATTGCCTATTGCCCCACAGAGCACTGATGAGCTTGAAATAATTAATACAGGAAACCAATGGAAAGAAAATGTGTCTTCAAGTCCCGTGCATTTTTCTGATGTCAACTGGTACTGTACTATGTTTGTGAAAAATGGCTTACCCTCAAAGAAGTAGAAATGCTTTCCACAATTATACCAAGTGCTGCCAAAGCCTCAGAATGAGGGCATCATTTAAGGCCTGTCAAACAAAGCCAGTCAGTAGCTAAAGCGATTAAGGACAAATTTTTATCAGAAATATTCATTGCAATAGGGAAAAGAGTTCAGCACAAACTGAACTCAACTCTGATTTATACACAGGTGACTGGATGTTTGTCAGGGAGAAGAAGGCAGTTGAGAGGAGGGTGAGCTGGGGATCCATGGAGTCAGGAAAGTGAAAAGTTAAAAAAGCAGGAATGGAGGCTTGTTCCGTGTGAAACCCATCTGGGTTTATTAACTGGCACTTAGTGAAGTTTGGCTCCTGCTCTCCCAAGAGATGAGAAAACAGAGGCCCTATCTTCAGGTGTGGGCTGGCACAAACAGTAAACTGTAAATTCTTTTTTTTTTTTTTTTTTCAAGACGGAGTCTCGCTCTGTTGCCCAGGCTGGAGTGCAGTGGTGCAATCTTGGCTCACTGCAACCTCCACCTGCCAGGTTCAAGCAATTCTCCTGCCTCAGCCTCCCAAGTAGCTAGGACTACAGGCATGCACCACCATACCCAGCTAATTTTCTGTATGTTTAGTAGAGATGGGGTTTCATCTTGCTGGCCAGGCTGGTCTCAAACTTCTGACCTCATGATCCGCCTGCCTCGGTCTCCCAAAGTGCTGAGATTACAGGCATGAGCCACCATGCCCGGCCGTAAGGCCGTAAACTGTAAATTCTTTTTGCAGCCTTGAGTTTTCTTAGGTAGACATTTAAGTGAACCAGGGTCCTTCCAGAGATGTGGCCCTGAGCTATTAGAACCTAAGTGAGTTTTTTCTTTTCTTTTCTTTTTTCCTTTTTCTCTTTTTTTTTTTCTTTTTTTACGTGTTTCTAGGCCAAGCTTGAGGCCTAGTCAAGAAGAGGGCTCAGAGGAGCTTGGATACACTTTGCTCAAGAAACAAGAGTATCCTTGTCAGATCTCAACTCTGAAGATTACTGACTATGTTCTTTTGCAGACTCCACATTGTATTGCATGGGAAAAGAAGCCTGAAAATGTAAAGGCTTTATTATTATTGGGAGAAAGATCAAAGGCAGTTGGTTTCTTCAAAGTTTCTGAGCTTTATTTGAGATAATGGACAATTCCTCAACTTGAACCCTCTTCATTAGTCTCTCAAGAACTGAAAGAAATTTTCCTTGACAATTTATACTTGTAATGGAGTATTAAATAGAATTCAAAGAGGACATTACAGATGATAAAACTGAGACGGGGTGGAGGAGACATGACCTATCAAAGGTGGCCCAGTTAGTGAATAGGAATTCACCACCTGATGCCATCTGATTGCATGCGTTTCCTGCCCTGTGACCTACAGTTCCATGACATGGAATAGAAGGTTTATTTCCCTACTTAAAACAATTGAAGTATTTGATTCCTTCCACTACTTTCACAAATATTTTTTTCAATATGGATATTTTTCCCTGCCAGAAATGACAGCCTCAAATCCCCAGCAGTTCAGGCTGAGATTCTTTCAGACAGGTTACATTTCTTTTCTGTTCTTCAAAAACTAATTTCTTAATTTCTTCCCATTTACATAATTTGTGTTCATTTCAGTTGTCATTGGGGGAACCAGACAGTGATTTGTCAGATGATGCTGAGTAGGGACTGCTTTTTCAGCTTACCACATTGTGCTTTGGAGGATTCCTGGATTATGCTTTCTGACCATCGAATACTCCAAAAAGAAAAAAACATCTACTAACAGGGTACTCTCTATCTGATCTCTTTTGTGCTGTTAGGATTTTACTCACTTAGGTAAATGAAATCAGCTGGGAGTTGGGTAGAGAGTGTCAACTCACAGAGGACAGTCACTCATATTACTCTAAAGGGAGCTTCATTGCTCAAGATGTACATATAAAAAAATGAGATCCACAGCATATCTTAGCAACATCCCTTTTTTTTAGATTGGGAAATTGGTATAGTTTCTGAGGCCTCAATAATCAGCCTTTCACTTTTTATTTATTGACTATACCTTGGAGGGAAATTTTACTCATTTTAATGATTATTGCAATGGTTAATGAAAACTTGTAATCATGTAGCTGTGAGATTGTAAGCACTTTACTAATAAATGTTGCCTTTTGTTAGTTTATTTGTTTTACTAAGCAAATATAACTAATAATTGTATTTGATTAAATCTTATTTCCATTTAGTTCATTTCTTCTTTACTTTTAAAGAGGGAGTGTCTTGCACTGTTGCCCAGGCTGGAGTGCAGTGGTGCAATGATAGCTCACTGAAGCCATGAACTCCTAGGCTCAAGAGATCCTGAGTAGCTAGGACTACAGCCTCCTGCCTCAGCCTCCTGAGTAGCTAGGACTACAAGCATGCACTGCCACAATTGGCTGATTTTTAATATATTTTTAGAGGGTCTTGCTATGTTACCCAGGCTGGTCTTGAACTCCTACCCTACAGTGATGCTCCCATGTTGACCTCCTAAAGAGCAAGGATTGCCAGTGTGAGCCACTGTACCAAACGTGTTTAGCTTATTTCTTTTCTTTTTTTTAATTTTTAATTTTTGTGGGTACATAGCAGGTGTATATATTAATGGAGTATATGGGATATTGTGATACAGATATAAAGTGTGTAATAATTACATCAGGGTAAATAAGATATTCATCACCTCAAGCATTTATCCTTTACATTAAATATAATCCAATTATACACTTTTAGTTATCTTAAAATGTAACAACTAAATTATTATTGAATATTGTGCAATCAAGTACTAGATTTTATTCATTCTTTCTAACTATTATTTTGTACCCATTAACCATCTCCTCTCCCCCCGCCAACTACCCTTCTAGGCCTCTGATAACTATCATTGTACTGTCTATCTACGTGAATTCAATTGTTTTAATTTTTAGCTCTAGAAAATAAGTGAGAATATGCAAAGTTTGTCTTTCTCTGCCTGGCTTGCGTCACTTAACACAATAACCTCCAGTTCCATGTTGATACAAATGACAGGATCTCATTCTTTCTTATGGCTGAATAGTACACCATTGTGTATATGTGCCATGTTTTCTTTATCCATTGTCTGTTGATGGACTTTTAGGTGACTTTCAAATCTTGACTGTTGGGAATAGTGCTGCAATTAACATAGGAGTGCATATAACTCTTTGGTAAATCTTCCTTGGTCATGATGAATGAATATTTATTCAGGTAATTTGTGTTTCTACCATATACATCTTAGGATTGTTTTTTCTATTTCTGTGAAGTATATCATTGATATTTTGATAGGGATTGCATTGATGCTGTAGATTGCTTTGGGTTGTACACATATAAACTATGGATTCTTCCAATCCATGAACATGGAATATCTTTCCTGTTTTGGTATCTTTAATTTCTTTCATCAGTGTTTTACAGTTTTCATAGTAGAACTCTTTCACTTCTTTGGTTAAGTTAATTCTTGGGTGTTTAATTTTATTTGTAGCTTTTGTAAGTAAAATTACTTTATTTATTTTTTATACTGTTTACTATTGGCGTATAGGAATGCTATTAATTTTGTGTATTGATTTTGTGTCCTGCAATTTTACTGAATTTATCAGTTCTAGTAGTATTTTGGTGGAGTCTTTAGGTGTTTCCAAATATAAGATAATATCATTTGTGAACAAGGATAATTCAACTCTTTAATTTCCAATTTGGATGCCCTTTATTTCTTTCTCTTGTCTGATTGTTCTAGCTGGTACTTCCAGTACAATGTTGAATAAACAGTAGTTATTCAAAAGTGGACATTCTTGTTATATTCTAGATTTTGGAAGAAAGGCTTTCCATTTTTCCCTTTTTGGTATAATACTAGCTATGGGTCTGTCATATATGGTTTTTTTTGTGTGTTGAGGTATGTTCCCTCTATACCTAGTTCTTTGAGGGTTTTTGTAACCATGAAGCGATGTTGAATTTTATCAAATGCTTTTTCAGTGCCAATTGAAATAATTATATGTTTTTTTTTCCTTCATTCTGTTCATATCATGTGTCAAACTGACTGATTTGCATGTGTTCAACCATCCTTGCAACACTGGGATAAATCCCCCTTGGTCATGATGAACAATCTATTTCACGTGTTGTTGAATTCACTTTGCTAGTATTTTGTTGGGGATTTTGGCATCATTGTTCATCGGGGCATTGGCCTATAGTTTTTCTTTCTTTATGTGTCTTTATCTGGTTTTGGTATTAGGATAATGCTAACCATGTACAAAGAGTTTGGAAGTATTCCCTCCTCCTCTATTTTTTGAAAGCGTTTGAGTAATATTGGTATTAGTTCTTCCTTAAATGTTTGGTAAAATTCAGCAGTGAAACCATCAGGTGCTGGGCTTTTCTTTGCTGGGAAACATTTTATCACAGTTTCAATATCCGTGGTTGTACCTTGGTTGTTGTTGGCTTTTTCAGGTTTTGAATTTCTTCCTGGTTCTTTCTTGGTAGGTTGAATGTGTATAGGAATTTAGCCATTTCTTCTAGGTTTGTCAACTTATTGTCATATAGTTGATCATAGTAACCAATAATAATCCTTTGAATGTCTGCTGTATTGATTGTAACATCTCCTTTTTAATCTCTGGTTTTATTTATTTCAATCTTCTCTCTTAGTCTGGTTAAAAATTTGTTGATTTTGTTTATTTTTTCAAAAAACAAACTTTTGTTTCATTGATCTTTTTTATTTTTTTATTTAGATTTTATTTATTTCTGCTCTGATCCTTATTGTTTCTTTTCTTCTACTAGCTTTGGGTTCTTGTATGCCCTTGTTTTTCTAATTCTTTTAAATATAGTGTTAGGTTGTTTATTTGAAGTTTTTCTTCTTTTTTTTGGTGTAACCACTTACAGCTCTAAACTTCCCTCTTATACTGTGTTTGCTGTGTTCTATAGGTTTTGCATAACTTCAAAGGGCAAATCTAAGAGTGACTGGAATTAAAAAGGAGACAGAGAGATTGAGTAGAAAGTTTATTCAAAGTGACAATATCAGAGAACTTCCCAAACCTAGAGAATGATATCAATATTCAAGTACAAGAAGGTTATACAACACCAAGCAGATTTAACCCAAGTAAGACTACCTGAAGGCATCTAATAATCAAACTTCCAAAGGTTAAGGATGAAGAAAGGATTCTAAAAGCAGCAAGAGAAAAGAAACAAATGACATATAATGGAGCTTCGATATGTCAGGCAGCAGACTTCTCAGTTGAAACCTTACAGGCCAGGAGAGAGTGGGATGACATATTTAATGTGCTGAAGGGAAAAAACCAAACTTTTATCCTAGAATAGTATATTCTTCAAAAATATGCTTCAAATGTGAAGGAGAAATAAAGACTCCCAGACAAATAAAAGCTGAGGGATTTCATCAACACCACACTTGTCCAGCAAGAAATGCTAAAGGGTGTTATTCGATCAGAAAGAAAAGGACATTATTGAGTAATAAGAAATCATCAAAAGGTACAAAACTAACTGGAAATAGTAAGTATGCAGAAAAGCACGGACTATTATAACACTGTAAGTGTGATATGTATACTACTCATGTCCTATGTAGAAAGACTAAACGAACCAATCAAAAATAATAACTGCAACAACTTTTCAAGACATAGATAGTACAATAAGATGTAAATAGAAACTACAAAATGTTAATAAGTGGGGAGGTGAAGTTAAAGTGTAGAGATTTTATTAGTTTTCTTTTTGCATATTTGTTAATTTGTTTATGCAATCATAGTTATCATAACTATCATAACTGATGACTTTTTATGTCAACAGTTTAAAATAATGGGTTATAAGATAGCACTGGCAAGTCTCATGGTAACCTCAAATCTGAAAACATACAATGGATACACAAAAAATAGAAATCAAAAAATTAAAACATACCAACAGAGAAAATTGTCTTCGTGTAAAGGAAGATAGGAAGGAAGAAGAGAAGACCACAAAACAACCAGAAAACAAACAAAAAAAAAGACACAAAATGGCAGGAGCAAGTCTTGGCTTATCAATAGTAACTTGAATGTAAATGGACTACACTCCCCCATCAAAAGACACAGAGTTGCTGAATGGATGAAAAAAGTAAGACCCAACTGTCTGTTGCCTGAAAAACACACTTCACCTATAAAGACACATACAGACTGAAAATAAAAGAATGAAAAAAGATACTGTATGCAAATGGTAACCAATAAAGAGTAGGAGCAACTATGTTACATCACACAAAATAGATTTCAAGACAAACATGATAAAAAGAGACAAAGAGGGTTATTATATACTGTTGAAGGTGTAAATTCAGCAAGAGGATATAACAATTGTAAATACATATGCACCCAACACTGTAGCATCCAAATATATAAAGCAAATACTATTACAGATAAGAGAGAGACTCCAATAAAATAATAGTTGGATACTTCAACAGCCTACTTTCAGCATTGGAGATATTATCCAACAGAAAATCAACAAAGATTCATCAGATTTAATTTGTACTATAGATCAAATGTATCTAATAGATATATATAGAACATTTCATCCAATGACTTTAGAATACACATTCTTCTTTCAACAACTGGATCATTTTCAAAGATAGACTATATGTCAGGCCACAAAACAAGTCTTAAAACATTCAAAAAAACTAAAATCATGTCAAGTATCTTCTCTGGCTACAATGGAATAAAACTTGAACTCAGTAACAAGGGAAATTTGGGAAATTATACAAACACATAAAATTTAAACAGTATGCTCCTGAATGACTGGTACATCTTGTAAGCTTGCTTTATTCTTTTTCCTTTTGTCTTCTCTATTTTCATGTAGGCTGTATTCAAGATCATTTATTCTTTCTTCTGATTGTTTAATTCTGCTATTAAGAGACTCTGATGCATTCGTCAGTATGTCAATTGCATTTTTCATTTCCAGAAGTTCTGCTTGATTTTTAAACTTATTTAAATTGCTTTGTTAAATTTATCTTATAGGATTCTGAATTCCTTCTCTGTGTTATCTTGGATTTCTTTGAATTTCCTCAAAACATCTATTTTGAATTCTCTGTCTGAAAGGTCACTTATCGCTATCTGCCTGGGATTATTCACTGGTGTCTTTGTTTGTTTGGTAAGGTTATATTTTCTTGGACAGTCTTGATGCTAGTAAATGTTCACTGTTGTCTGGCATTGAAGAGTTAGGTATTTATTACAATCGTCACAATCTGGTCTCGTTTGTATCTGTCCTTGTTGCGAGTCTTTCCAGGTTTGTGAAGGGACTTGAGTGTTGTGATCTAAGTTTTTGGTCACTGCAGCCATATCTTCATGGGTTGGGGGGGATATCTCAAGCCCAGTAATGCTGTAGTTCTTCCTGAATCATAGAGGTGTCACCTTGGTGGTCTTGGATAAGATCCAAAAGAATTCTCCAGGTTACTATGCAGAGACAGTTGTTCTTTTCCCTCACTTTCTCCCAAACAAATGGAGTCTCTCTCTCTGTGGTGAGCTGCCTGGAGCTGGGGAAAGGGTGACACAAGCACCTCTGTGGCCACCACTGCTGGGACTGCACTAGATCAGCCCTGAAGACAGCACAGGACTGGGCCTTTCCCAAGTCTCTCTGTAACCACTACCTGGCTACTGTCCATGTTTGCTTAAGGCCCTAGGACTCTACACTCAGCAGGTGGTTAAGCCAGCCAGGCTTTTGCCCTTCCCTTAGGGACAGTGTGTCCCCTTGGGCCCCTGATGAGTCCAGAGATGCCTGTCTGGGAGCCAGAGCTTGGCATCAGAAACCTTAGGAATCTATCTGGTGCTCTGTTTTACTTTGGGTGATCTGGCACCCAAGCCACAAGACAATATTTTTTTCACTCTTCCTTCCACTTTTCCAATCAGAAGAGTATCTCCCCATGTCCACTACCACCACAGGCCCATGGGGAATACTACCAGGGTAGTGCCAATCATCACTTAAGGCCCAAGGCCCTTCAGTTGTTGTTAATGTTGCCAGGGCAGTGGGCTCCTCTCTGACCCAGATTAGGACCAGAGATGCCATCCAAGAGCTGAGGCCTGGAATTGGGGACCCCAAGAAGCCCCTTGGTACTCTTTCCCACTGTGGTAGAGCTGGTACATAAGCTCAAAGTAATGTCCACTTTACACTTTCCTCTGCTTTTCTCAAGCAGAAGGGGGCCTCTCTTCATAGCCACCATAGCTGTGAATGTTCTATGTTACACCTGAAGCCACCATGTCTGGGATTCTTACCCAAGGCCCACAGTGTGTACTCCCTAGTTACTGATGTTGACTATTCAGGGTCCAAGCGCTCTTTAGTCAGTAGGTAATGAATCCTGCCAGGACTGGACTCTTCCCTTCAAGTCAGTGGGTTCCCTTGAGGCCCAGAGTGTGTCCAGAAATGTCTTCCAGGAGCTAGGGCCTGGAATGGGTGTCTCATGGCTCTGTCTAGTGCCCTATACTACTGTGGCTGAGCTGGTATCCAAGTTGCAAGACAAAAATCCTCTTAACTCTCCCCTCTCCTCTCCTTAAGTGGAAGAAAGCAGTCTCTTTCAGAGCTGTGAGCTGTGTTGCCTTGAGTTGGGGGAGGTGTGGCCCAAGCAATCCCTTAGCAACCTCAGCTGGCATTTCACTAGGTTGCATGCCCCGTTAGTCCACTGGCTCTGAGCCCAGGAGAGGACTAGGACTTGCCTGGGAGTCACAGTCCTTGTGGGCTAGACTGCCCTTCAAGTTTATTTAGGACCCTAGAACACTTGAGTCCATGGTGGTGAGGTTGACCCAAACTCAAGTTCTGATGGCTGGGATGGGTGACTGCCCTCTGGCTAGGGCTGGTCTAAATGTTCCTTCTGTGGGTCCTGGCTGAGTTCTGCCTGGTTTTGGCAGCACTGCATCCTAAGGCAAAGTCCCCCAATTGGTGCTCTTTTCCTCCCCTAAGCACACAGATTCTCCATGCTATGTGGTCACCTCTAGCGGATGGGAGAGGAGAGGTGTAGGCAATTCAAGACTGTCTTTTCTACCCTCTTCAGTGCCTATTTCCAGTGATATTAAATTAAAACTAGGAACTGTGATCACTCATCTGATTTTTGGTTCTTAAAAAAGTGCTTTTTTGTGTAGTTAGGTGCCAAATTTGGTGTTCTTGTGCAGAGAACAATCAGTAGAGGGTTCTATTTGGGCATCTTTCTCCACCTCCTTCCTTGAGCTCGAGATCTAGATTAATTCTTAATTCATAACTTAGTCATTGCATAATAGCAATTGCGTGCTTTGTTCAACATTAAAAAAATAAGAGTTGGAGCAAGATGCAGATTTCTAGGTGATACTAGAAGAGTTTGGCCATCTTTGCAAATCATATCACTGGGTTTGTTCCTATTTTGGAAATTGTATCTCCAACTATAACTTTCTTTATTCTTTGGTCCTGCGAATGCCTACAATACATGTCTAGCTTGTTATCTGGCCAAATAAAAACTGTATATTTATAAACAATTTTCTTTCTTTGTGAGATTTCTATTTCTCTTACTGACATCACCATTTTCCCAGACTTCAAACTGAAGTGTTGAAGTCATCACTACTCTCAGTAAAGTGTCTAACCCTGCAGACTCTAGGCAGGTTCACTGGTTTTGATTCTTGGCTTTACCATTTACTAACATGAGCAATGTTAACAATATAACAACTGATGTGTATCTATTGTACTAGAAATGGTTGTGAGTATATATTTCCCATTCTAAACTGTGATTGCCATAAGGACAATGAGTATGTCTTACTTATTAGTATTTGTATATCTTACAGTATACACATGGCAGAATGTTGTGTGCATGATAAAAGCTCAGTAATGTATGAATGGATGAGTAAATGGAGTAAAAGATGAACAGCAGAATCTAAAGTTTACAATGGAAACCAAACTTGCCATTTACTTTTCTGTCAATTGAATCACCTTTTCAGGTCACTGGGAATGTTTTTTCATTGAAATCTTAGCTAAAAAGTCATTTTGAAATAGGGGTCATATTTAGATAAAATATTTTTAACAGACCTTCTTGGCAAGATTAAGGTTGGAAATTGGCTAACATGATTGCTGAAAGTAATGAAATTATAACGAGGATTTTATTGCACAAAGGAAATAGCTGCTTTCATTGACAGAAATTATTAGTATTTGAAAATAGAATTTGATATGATTATGAATACAGGTTTTTTTTGTTAAAGAAATTTATTTCATTCCCGCATTTCCTTTTTCTGTTTTCTTCTTTTTTTTTTTTTTTTTGTTTTTTTTTTTCAAATTTCCAACTTTTAAGTTCAGGGGTACATGTGCAGGATGTGCAGGTTTGTTACACAGGTAAACGTGTGCCATGGTAGTTTGCTGCATAGATCATGCCATCACTCAGGTATTAAGCCCAGCATGGACTAGCTATTCTTCCTGATCCTTTCCCTCCTCCCACCCCTAACCCTCTGACAGGCCCCAGTGTGCATTGTTTTCTCCCATGTGTCCATGTGTTCTCTTCATTTAGCTTTCACTTATAAGTGAAAACATGTGCTATTTGGTTTTCTGTTCCTACCATTTTTATCCAGTCTATCACTGATGGGCGTTCAGGTTGATTCCATGTCTTTGATGTTGTGAACAGTGCTGCAGTGAACACTCACATGCATGTGTCTTTATAACAGAAAAATTTATATTCCTTTGAGTACCTAGTAAAAGGATTGCTGAGTAGAATAAAATTTATGTCTTTTGGTCTCTGAGAAATCACCAACTGTCTTACATAATGCTTGAACTAATTTACACTCCCACCAACAGTGTAAAAGCCTTCTGTTTTCTCCACAACCTCACCAGCGTCTCTTATTTTTGCACTTTTTAATAGCCATTGTGAGTGGTGTGAGATGGTATCTCATTGTGGTTTTGATTTGTGTTTCTCTACTAATTACTGATATTGAGCTTTTTTCATTTTTTTTGGCTGCATGTATATTTTCTTTTGAGAAGTGTCTGTTCATGTTCTTTCCCCACTTTTAAATGGGTTTCTTTTCTTGTAAATTTTTTAAGTTCCTTATAGATGCTGGATATTGGACCTTTGTCAGATGCGTAGATTGCAATTTTTTCCCCATTCTGTAGGTTGTTTACTCTGTGATTGTTTCTTTTGCTCTTCAGAAGCTCCTTAGTTTAATTAGATCCCATTTGTCAATTTTTGCTTTTGTTGCAATTGCTTTTGGCATCTTCATCATGAAATCTTTGCCATACTTATGTCTTGAATAGTATTGCCTGGGTTGTCTCTCAGGGTTTTTATAGCTTTGGGTTTTACATTTAAGTGTTTAATCCATCTTGAGTTGACTTTTGTACAAGGTGTAAGGAAGGTGTCCAGTTTCAATTTCCTACATATGGCTAGCCAGTTCTCTGAGCACCATTTATTAAATAGAGAATCCTTTCCCCACTGTTTGTTTTTTGTCAGGCTTGCCAAAGATCAGATGGTTGTAGGTGTGTCTTATTTCTGTATTCTCTATTCTTTTCCATTGGCATGTGTTTTTGTGCCAGTATTATGTTGTTTTGGTTACTGTAGCCCTGTAGTATAGTTTGAAGTCAGGTAGCATGGTGCCTCCAGCTTTGGTCTTTTTGCTTAGAATTGTCTTGGCCTTTCACGCTCTTTTTTGGTTCTATATTCTATATTTTAAAATAGTTTTTTTATAATCCTGTGAAGAATGTCAATGGTAGTTTAATGGGAATAGCATTGAATCTATTACTTGCTTTGGGCAATATTGCCATTTTTACAATATTGATTCTTCCCATCCATGAGCATGAAATATTTTCCCATTTGTTTGTCTCATCTCTAATTACTTCGAGCAGTGGTTTGTAGTTCTCCTTGAAGAGGTACTTCACTTCCCTTGTTAGCTGTATTCCTACGTATTTTATTCTTTTTGTAGCAACTGTGAATGGGAGTTCATTCATGATTTGGCTCTTGGCTTGTCTGTTGTTGGTGTAGAGAAATGCTAGCATTTTTTGCACATAGATTTTGTTTCCTGAGACTTTGCTGAAGTTGCTTATCAGCCTCAGAAGCATTTGGTCTGAGATACTGGAATTTTCTAGATATAGAATCATGTCATCTGCAAGCAAAGATAGTTTGACTTCCTCTCTTTCTATTTGAATATGCTTTGTTTCTTTCTCTTGTCTGATTGCTCTGGCCAGAACTTCCAATACTATGTTGAATAGGAGTGGTGAGAGAGGACATTCTTGTCTTGTGCCACTTTTCAAGGGGAAAACTTTCAGCTTTTGCCTATTCAGTATGATATGGGCTGTGGGTTTGTCATATATGGCTCTTATTATTTTGTGGTATGTTTCTTCAAAACCTATTTTATTGGGACTTTTTAACATGAAGGGATGTTGAATTTTATTGAAGGCCTTTTCTGCATGTATTGAGATAATCATGTGGTTTTTGTCTTTAGTTCTGTTTATGTAATAAATCACATTTATTGATTTGCATAAGTTGAACCTACCTTGCATTCCAGGGATGAGGCCTACTAGATTGTGGTGAATAAACTTTTTATGTGCTGCTGGATTCAGTTTGCCAGTATTTCAAGAATATTGGCCTGAAGTTTTTGTTGTTGTTGTTATGTCTCTGCCAGGTTTTGGTACCAGGATGACACTGGCCTCATAAAATGAGTTAGAGAGTAGTCCCCACTTTTCAATTTTTTGGAATATTTTCAGTAGAAATGGTACCAGCTATTCTTTGTACCTGTGGTAGAATTTAGCTGTGAGTCTATCTGGTCTTGGGCATTTTTGGTTTGGTAGGCTATTTATTGCTGCCTTAATTTCAGAACTCATTATTCGTTTGTTCAGCAATTCAATTACTTCCTGGTTCAGTACTGGGAGGGTATATGTGTCCAGGAATTTATCCATTTCTTCTGTATTTTCTTTATTTTTATTTCTATTTATTTATTTATTTCGAGATGGAGTCTCACTCTGTTGCCGAGGCTGCAGTGCAGTGGCATGATCTCGGGTCACTGCAACCTCTGCCTCCTGGCTTCAAGTGATTCTCCTGCCTCAGCCTCCCAAGTAGCTTGGACTAGAGGCACATGCCACAATGCCCAGCTAATTTTTGTATTTTTAGTAGAGATGAGGTTTCACCATGTTGGTCAGACTGGTCACAAATTTGTGACCTCAGGTCATCCACACACCTCTGCCTCCCAAAGTCCTAGGATTATAGATGTGAGCCACTGTGCCCAACCTCTTCTGTATTTTCTAGTATATGTGCATAGCGATGTTTATAATATTCTTTGATGGTTGTTTGCATTTCTGTGGGGTCAGCCATAATATCCCCATATCATTTCTGATTGTGTTTATTTGAATTTTATCTCTTTTCTTTTTTATTAGTCTAGCTAGTGATCTCTCTATTTTATTAATTTTTTCATAAAACCAGCTCCTGGATTTATTGATTTTTTGAATGGTTTTTGGTGTCTCTGTCTCTTTCAGTTCAGCTCTGATTTGGGTTATTTTTTTGTCTTCGGCTAGCTTTGTAGTTTGTTTTCTCTTGGTTCTCCATTTCTTTTAGTTGTGATGTTAGGTTGCTAACATGAGATCTTTATAGCATTTTTTTTAATGTGGATATTTATTACTACAAATTTTCCTGTAAACACTGCTTTAGCTGCACCCCAGAGATTCTGGTAAGTTGTATCTTTGTTCTTATTTGTTTCAAATAACTTAATTTCTGCCTGAATTTTAATGTTTACCCAAATATCATTCAGAATTATGTCCATGTAGTTGTTTGGTTTTGAGTGAGTTTCTTAATCTTGAATTCTAATTTGATTGTGCTGTGGTCCAAGAGACTGTTTGTTATAAATTCAGTTCTTTTGCATTTGCTGATGAGTGTTTTACTTCCAACTATGTGATCATTTTCAGAGTAAGTGTGCTGTGGTGATGAGAAGAATGTATATTCTGTTGCTTTTAGGTGGAGAATTCTGTAGGTATCTCTTAGGATCACTTAATCCAGAGCTATGTTCAGTTCTTGAATATCATTGTTAATTTTCTATCTGTATGATCTGTCTAATATTGTCAGTGAGGTGTTAAAGTCTTCCTCTATTTTTATGTGGGAGTCTAAATCCCTACTAACTTGCTTTATAAATCTGGATGCTCCTGTGTTGGGTGTATATATTTAGGATAGTTAGCTCTTCTTTTTGAATTGAACCTTTTACCATTATGTAATGCCCTTCTTTGCCTTTTTTATATTTGTTGGTTTAAAGTCTGTTTTATCAAAAATTAGGATTGCAATCCCTGTTCTTTTCCATTTCCCATTTGCTTGGTAAATTTTCCTCTTTCACCTTATTTTTGTGTCTGTGTGTCTTTGTATGTGACATAGGTCTCTTAAAGACAGCATAACAGTGGATCTTGGTCTCTTATGCAGCTTCCCACTCTGTGTCTTTTAATTGAGACATGTAGCCCATTTAGTTTAAGGTTAGTGTCATTACGTGTGGATTTGATCCCGTCATGATGATGCTAGCTGCTTATTTTGCAGACTTGTTAACGTGGTTGATTCATAGTATCACTGGTCTGTGTATGTCAGTGTGTTTTAGTAGTTGCTGTTAATGGTTTTCTTGTTCCATATCTAGTGCTTCCTGCAGGAGCTCTTATAAGGCAGGTCTGGTGGTAGCAAATTTCCTCAAAATTCACTTGTCTGAAGCAGATCTTATTTCTCCTTCTCTTATAAAGCTTAGCTTCACTGGATATAAAATTCTGGCCTGGAATTTCTTTCTTAAAACAATGTTAAAAAACATCCTAACATGCTGTAAGTCTTGTGGACTTTCCTTTGTAGATGACCTTGCATTTTTCTCTGGCTGCTGTTAACATTTTTTTCTTTCATTTAGACCTCGTGGGGATCTGATGATTATGTATCTTGGGGATGATCTTCTCGTGGAGTATCTTACTAGGGTTCTCTGCATTTCCTGAATTTGAATGTTGGCCTATCTGGCTAGCATGGGGAAGTTCTCCTGGATGATATGTTGAAATAGGTTTTCCAGATTGGTTCTATTCTCCACACCTCTTTCAGGTACGCCAATCAGTCATAGATTGGGTCTCTTTACATAATCCCATATTTTTCAAAGGTTTTGTTCATTCCTTTTTATTCTTTTTTCTCTATTCTTCTCTGCCTGTTTTATTTTAGCAAGACAGTGTTCAAGCTCTGAGATTCTACCCCGTGCTTGGTCTATTCTGCCCTTTAATACTTGGATTGCTTTGTGAAGTTCTTGTAGTGTGTTTTTCAGCTCTGTTAGGTTGGTTATGCTCATCTCTATAATGGCTATTTTGTCTATCAGCTCCTGCATTGATTTATCATAATTCTTAGCTTCCTTGCGTTGGGTTACAACATGTTCCTTTAGCTAAGTGAAATTCATTTTTATCCATATTCTGAAGCCTACTTCTGTCATTTCAGCCATCTCAGCCTCAACCCAGATCTGAACCCTTGCTGGAGAGGTGTTGTGGTCATTTGGAGGAAAGGGTCACTCTGGCTTTTTAAGTTTTCAGCATTTTTGTGCTTATTCTTTCTCATTTTTGTGGGCTTATCTACCTTTGATCTTTGAGATTACTGACCTTTGGATGGGGTTTTTGTTATTTGTTTTCTTTGTTGTTTTGTTTGTTTGTTTTTCTTTTAACAGTCTGGCCACTCTTCCACAGGGCTGTTGAAGTTTCCTGGGGATCTTCTTCAGATCCTAGTCATCTTGGTTTCTCCAGTACCTGGAGGTATCACCAGTGAAGGCTACAAAACGGCAAAGTTGGCAGCTTGCCCCTGACTTGGAGCTCTGTCTCAGGGGGCTACCGACCTGTTGCTGGCCCAAATGCACCTGTTTGTGGTGGCAGGAGACCCAGATTGGAAGGTCTCACCCAGTCAGAAGGAATGAAATCCCCCTGCTTAAAGAAGCAATCTGGCTGCATTTTGGTAGAGCAGTTGTGCTGTGTTAGGAATCCCTTCAGCACCTAATTGGTTTGGGCTCTCTGAGGTAAAGGCTGGACCAGCTGAGATGCCCCAACAGCAAAGGTGGCAGCCTGTCCTGTGCCCCTGGCACTCCTTTCCAGGGAGAAATTAGACCTCTGTCAGCCATAGAACACAAGTAAGGGTGACCAGAGGCCCCAGCTCGGAGGACCCCCCCACAGCAAGGATCAATGAATTTGGGTCCCATTTAAAGAAGGAGTCTGGCCACCAGGCACGTTGGCTCACACCTGTAATCCCAGCACTCAGGAAGGCCAAGGCAGGAGAATCATGAGGTCAGGAGATCAAGACCATCCTGGCTAACGTGGTGAAACCCCGTCTCTACTAAAACACAAAAAAATTAGCCAGGCATGGTGGCAGACACCTCTAGTCCCAGCTACTTGGGAAGCTGAGGCAGGAGAATGGTGTTAACCCAGGAGGCGGAGCTTGCCTGGTTTCATGTAGTAGACCTTCAGGAAGGAAGAGAAAGGTGGCACTTTGTCTATTCCTTGTGTACCATTTAGTGCCATTATTCTATGCTCACAGGTGTTCAAAAGCCTTGGAATGCACATAGTGTCACTGCATTCCAGCCTGGGTGACAGAGCACGACTCCGTCTCAAAAAAAAAAAGAAGGAGACTGGCCATTCTTTGACAAAACAGCTGTGCTATGCTGGGGAACCTGTCTTTGCCCCTCAGCCTGGACTGTCCAAAGCCCACAGTTTGGAAAGATTGAGTTGCCCAAACAGCAAAGGTGGTGGCCCAACCCTCCCCGTAGGCACTCTGTCTCATGGAGAGATCAGAGCTCTGTCCATAGAATACAGGCAGGGGTGAGACTCCACATAGCTGTGCGTCAGACTCAAGGGCCTGGAGAAATGCATTCATGAGGGGATCTCCTGATCTGAGATCCATGGGAGAAGTGTGGTTTCCCAGAGTCACACATTCACTCACCGCTTCTCTTGGCTGGGGGTGGGGGTTTCCTTGGGTTCATGTCACTCCTGGGCGGGCCATTGTCCTGCCCTGCTTTTCTCGGTTTTCCATGGGTCCATTTGTTTCCCTGATCAGTCCCAATGTAAGTACTTGGATATTTCAGTTGAAGGTACTGTATTCATTTGCCCCTTTCATTCCCTTTCTGTGAGTGCCACACACTGTAGCTGCTTCTGAATATAGTTTTATGTGAAAAATTATATCAGTGATAAAATGTGTTTACTTTGAATCTAGAAAGGCGTCTAAATGTCTGAAAATGAGAAGTGGTTAGAATGAGACATAAGAGAATAATGGTTTATTATTCATATATTGGAATTTTTAAATGTCACCACCTGAATGCATGAATATCTGAGAAGTAGAAGAAAAAGAAATAGAAGTTGATCACAAAAAGGATGTCACTCCTTTCCTTCACTTTTAGAAAATATCTGAAATTCAAACCTAATTGAATTCTGAATAAGAACTTTTATTTTATTTTGATTTTTGGTTTTGTTATTGTCAATTAAATTATTTAATTTAAAAATATGTATTTATTACCTCCTAGTGCCAGAGAGAGTACTAGAAGCTGGTCATAAAAGAATAAATCCGTAATAGAAGAAATTTTATATTGTATATAAAAATACATATTATATAAATGTATACACATACATAAAGTATATATACATGTATACATGTATAAATATAATACAATAATTCCCCTCTTATTCCACAGTTTCCCTTTCCATGGTGTTAGTTACTTGTAGTCAACCATAGTACAAAAATGTTAGATAGAAAATTCTAGAAATAAATATTTTTTAAGTTAAATCATGCACTGTTTGAGGGTGTGATGAAATTTCCCACCGTCCTTCTTTGTCCCACTGGGAACTTGAATCCTCCCTTTTTCCAGTGTATCCATGTGGTCCACACTACTTTCCCATTAGTCACTTAGTAGCCATCTGTATTACCAGATCGACTGTCCTGATATCATAGCACTTGTGTTCACGTAACCCTTATTTTATTTAATAATGATCCTACAGTACAAGAGCAGTGACACTGACATATTCTTATAATTGTTATATTTTATTATTAGTTACTTTTGTCAATCTCTTACTGTGGCCTATTTATAAACTGTTTCTCATATTATGGATGTTTAGGAAAATGACAGTATATATAGGATTTTGTGCTAGTCACAGTTTCAGGCATCCCAAAGAGGGCCTTAGGATGTATTCCTTGAGGATAAGGAGGACTACTGTATACAACAGTATGGGTTGAAAAACTAAAACACTTACTAAAAATACTTTAGAAAAAATAAGGTTATAGTACACATTAGCATATAGCATACAGAAGTTAATCACAAAATGGCTTATGTGTACACATCATTGGCTTATGTGTACACATATAGTACCAACATTAATTCATTCCCCGTCTTCTAGCCATTGTGAGGTAGAAAAAGATGAAAGATTTTATTTTAATGAGCTTACAGTGTAGTAGGAGAGATAATACATATATGTCTTAAAGTATCATCTATGGTTTAACATCACATGAGAGGTATAGATTATATGTTACGCTAGTTCAAAGGAGCACTACTAGTGATAGATCTTTTGTATGAGATAATAAATTATGGAAAAGGAAAGGCTTTGATAGGTTACCCCTTGTTAAGGGTGCAGAGATTGCCCACAGAAAGTACAACCTGCATTTCACACCCCTGGAAGTCCTGGACTCAAAAATAGGTCAATAAAAAAGATGTCTAAATTCTTACTCAAGACAAATAAAAATAACAAAATTCTATTAATAGGTGCACCTGACAGGTTTCAGGGCTGATTTGGGGCTTCTGGACTCATTGCATGTGTTTGCGGCTCGTGCTTCCTGTAGAGCAGCTGTGGCAGCTGCTCCTCTGGGGGCGGTCACAGGACTGTCCCTTTTGTTGGAATTGCTGCTTCTGGCAGTAGCAATGGTCTTGGGGAATTATATCTCTTACTAAACTAGCTAAATAGCAGTTTGAGACAATAAGTTGTAGAATGTTAAAATGCTGAAGTCGATTGCCCTTGAATTTCTGCAGCAGAGACTGATTAGATTTAGTGGTTGTGTTTTGTTGTTTTTTATATCACTGCCTAGTAATCTGTGTATCCAAAATATTTTATACTTAAAGAACAGAATTTGCAATTAAAAGTAGGTTAAATGTGGGATGAAGAAAAAATACAACAGGAGTCGATATCCTCACATTAAAGTTCCAATTTCTTTAATCTTTCTATTAATTTTGCGTTGAGCTCATCTTAAGAATTTGTGCTTATCCTAGATCTTAATTGGCCATTTGTGAAAAAAATTCTTACTATTACCTCACTGGAATATCACCCAATTTAAAAATGTACCTAGAAAGTATCAAGCACTAGTATTAGTTTATTATTATATCTTTGTATTTTAGTAAATTGTGTGGGGTACATTATGATTTTCATGTTGTCCTATGTGGAACCTGGACAAATGTTATTTTATGTCAAAGTATTCCAATGGTGAATGGAATATGTGATTTTCGTTTAAATTTCTTTGCTTTAAAAGATTTCGTGTTGGTTTTCACCCTCCTTAAGCAAGATGATAGCCTACTTTCCCAACATTTTCTACATATATTTATCCACCCATGTAATGACTTTGAAGTCTATCCTAGTTATAGAGTACAAATCTTTGTTGCAAATCCTTTTTATCTGCAAATACTTCTTAAATTTCAGCCAGAATTTTAAACAAAGCTCCCACAGTGTAAAATTGGGGAAATTTACATGAAAAGATACTCATAAGGGTTAACAGAGATCTGATAGATGCTGGATGGTGAAACCGAGATATGATACAGTATAAAGAATCAGTGGGGTTTCTGTAAAAACACCCGATCATACATACACATACACACACATACACACGCGCACACACACACACACATACACACAGCCAGCCTTTGAACAACACAGAAGTAAAGGGCACTTACTACACTGCACAGTCAAAATTCTGTGTATGCCTTTGACTCCCCCAAAACTTAATTACTTATAGCCTACTATTGACTGGAAGCCTTACCCATGACATGAACTGTCAATTAACATACATTTTGTATGTCATATATATTATTTACTGTATTCTTACAATAAAGTTAGCTAGAGAAAAGAAAATGTTATTAAGAAAATCATAAGGAACAGAAAATATACTTACTATTAATTAAGTGAAAATGGACCATCATAAAGGTCTTTATCCTAATGGGCTTCAGATTGAGTAGGCTGAGGAGGAGGAGGAAGAGGAGGGATTAATTTTGCTGTCTCATGGCTCGCAGAGGCAGAAGAGGTGGCGGAAGTGGAAGCGGGGAGCAGGAGAGGGAAGCCCACTTTGTGTAACTGTATGGAAATACATTGCCATGTCTCTCTGATGTTTTTGCTTTTTAATTTTTCTGAAAATGTTTGTGTATGGTGCAAATTCTATTAACATTTGCTTTAGTTTTAGTGCCTGTGTCATAGAGAGATTCACGTTATTAAGGAAGTCAAAAGCAGTTTTGAATGATGGGAATCCTTCTACCAATTGTCTAATGTACTTTGTTTTTGACACTGCTTCTTCTACATCTTCTTCTTCATTGTCTGGCACTCATTCAGAAGCACTCTTCTCTATCTTCTCTATCAAGTCATCTGTTAATTCCTCCACCTCTTCTGCCTCTGGTGTCATGGCTGTTAGCTCTTGAACTTCTCCGAGATCTGTATCTTCAAACCCTTCATCCCCTGCCTTTTTTTTTTTTTTTTTTTTTTTTTTTTTGCCATATCCACAGTCTCTTTCATGATTTCCTTTATCGGCTCTGTTGTAAATCCTGTGAAGTCACAGTATCTGGAAAGTTTTCTCTAGTAGAAATTTATTGTTTTGGGGCTTGATGGCTTTTGTGGGTTTATAACAACCCATGAAACAACAATGGCAATCCTCTAACAACAACGGCATCTTCAGTGGTGTAACCCTCCCAGACTTTCATGATGTTCTCCCTGTAGAGGTTCTCTTCCATAGCATTGACAATCCCCTCCATAGAGTATCATGTGCAATAAACCTTAAGAATCGTAGGACCCCCTGATCTAGAGGCTGTATTAGAGAAGTGTTTAGGGGCAAGTAGACAACTTTTATATCTTCAGTGTTGAACTCATGGGGTTCTGGTTGGTTAAGGACATTGTTCAATATGAACAAAACTTTAGGAAGTTTTTCCTTAATGGAAAGTTACTTCCTGATTTCAGGGAAAAAGAAATAATTGAACCAATCAGAACAAGCATTCTCGTTGTCCAGATGTTTTTGTTGTACAGTCATAAACTTGAAGCTGGTGTTTATCTTTTCTCTACCAGGCTCATGGGTTAGCAGCTTTATATAACAGATGTGGGTCGTCCTGATCATCAACCTGTCTTTGCACAAAACACTAGAGTTAGCCTATCCCTTCCTTCCTTAAATCCTGCTGATCATTTCTCTGCCTTACTGATAAATGTTCTTTGTGGCATTTGTTTTTTCTAAAACAGGGCACTTTCATCTGTAGTAAAAACTTGTTTAGGCAGATTATTTCCCCTCATTGATTTTCTTAGTGGTGTCTGGGAACCCATCTGCTTTCTTTTATTTGGCAGTAGCTGATTTTTGCCTGTTATCTTGACATCTTTTAAGCTAAACTGTTTTCTAAAATTATCAAACCATCCTTTGCTGGCATTGAATTATCCAGACTTAGATCCTTCACCTTTCATTTGCTTCAAGTTGTTGTGTAATAACTTTGCTTTTTCTTGAATCATTTAGAGTCTTTAGGTATGCCTTTCTTATAGCAATCCTGCACCCACATGAAGCTGTGTTTTCAAGATGAGATAAAAAGGTATTTTGCAAAAAGTGCAAATTTTTAAGTGTGATGATGTAACTACAATGTGATGGCTTCATAAATCTCCTTTTCTTTTTTTATAGGTAAGACTTTTAATTAATTAATTATGTATATATTAAAACACAGGGCTCGAAGGGAGTATTGGGAGAATCTGCTGCCAGCTTCAGGCAGACCTTTCTGTCCTTTGCTGTCAAAGCCAGATGTCTAAGGAGTAGCGAAAGAAAATCCTGAAATAATAAAACAGAAAAAAGTTGCCCTCAAATCCGACCTGGATCCCTTCCTCGCCTTCATCCTCACCATGCCCTGCATCTCCAGCTGCTGAGCAGCTGAGGTGCTGCAGCCCCTTCCCTTCCAGCCCACAAGTGCGTTCATATTGAGCCCCTGCTGTGGTTAAGCACCGCAACAGATGCTACCAGAGATGCAAAGAGGAGCCAGAGAGGCACCTTGTTCTCCAAGAACTTACTGTCCAATAATGCTGCAGTGCATTCCTTTGAAGATCATCAAGAATAGCCAAACTTGTCTTTAAGGGTGAATTTGACACTTTAAAATAATCAGAAGTCATTGAGACCCAAAGCTGGTGAATAATTCAAGTGACTAAGCGACTAAGCTAGGTATTTAAGGATGATAGAGCAACACTAAACTAAAGCAACGAGTCTGCTTTTCTTTAATGATTTATATAATGACTCCAAAGGCAATCCCAAAAGCAAAGATATAAAGAATGTTTTGAGCAATGGTAGGATTACGGAAATAAATGTATAACTATCCAAAGTGATTACTTTCAAAGATGATTTTTACTTAAAGATATTGGGTCTGGCCAGGCGAAGTGACTCACACCTGTAATCCTAGCACTTTGGGAGGCCGAGGTGGGCGGACCACCTGAGGTCAGGAGTTCAAGACCAGCCTGACCAACATGGTGAAACTCTGTCTTTACAAAAATACAAAAATTAGCTCGGGATGATGGCGGGTGCCTGTAATCTCAGCTACTCAGGAGACTGAAGCAGGAGAATCGCTTGAACCCAGGAGGCGGAGGTTGCAGTGAGCCGAGATCGGGCCATTGCACTCTAGCCTAGTCGACAGAGTGAGACTCAATCTCAAAAAAAAAAAAAGAAAAGATATTAGGTCCTAGAATTTTTAAAATATGTCTTCATAATCACAGGTAGCTAGGTTATAAACTATTTAAAGACAAGATCACGTGATAAGCTTCTCATAATTCCCCTTACTTAGCATTGTGTTAGACATACTAATAGGTACCCAGTGAAATACTTATTGTTGATTGTTTAAAAATAAGTCAAAATAAACAGTTTTAGAAAACCTTTTCAAAAGTCAGAGTTTAGGCCAGGGGCAGGGACTCATGCCTATAATCCCAGCACTTTGGGAGGCCGGGGTGGGCAGATCACTTGAGGTCAAGAGTTTCAAGACCAGCCTGGCCAACATGGCAAAACCCCATCTCTACTAAAAAAAATACAAAAATTATCCAGGCATGGTGGTGCATGCCTGTAATCCCAGCTATTTGGAGGCTGAGGCATAAGAATTGCTTAAAACTGGGAGGCAGAGGTTGCAGTGAGCTGAGATTGCCCCACTGCACTCCAGCCTGGGAGACAGAGTTCAAATCTATTTTGGTCTAATATTTTCTTTTCTTATTTTATTATACTTTAAGTTCTAGGGTACATGTGCACAACGTGCAGGTTTGTTACATATGTATACATGTGCCATGTTGGTGTTCTGCACCCATTAACTCGTCATTATGTTAGGTATATCTCCTAATGCTATCCCTCCCCCATCCCCCCACCCCACGACAGGCCCCAGTGTGTGATGTTCCCCACCCTGTGTCCAAGTGTTCTCATTGTTCAGTTCCCATCTATGAGTGAGAACATGCAGTGTAGAACTAGAAATTCCATTTGACCCAGACATCTCATTACTGGGTATATACCCAATGGATTATAAATCATGCTGCTATAAAGACACATGCACACATATGTTTATTGCAGCACTATTCACAATAGCAAAGACTTGGAACCAACCCAAATGTCCATCAATGATAGACTGGATTAAGAAAATGTGGCACATATACCCATGGAATACTATGCAGCCATAAAAAAGGATGAGTTCATGTCCTTTGTAGGGACATGGATGAAGCTGGAAACCATCATTCTCAGCAAACTATCACAAGGACAAAAAAACATAAATCTCCTTTTCACATTTTGCAATGAATTTTTGCAGCTGCAGACCTCAGTTTATGGTACATATCAAGCAATTCAACTTTTTCTATGATGTCACGACTTTAATTTGCTTCTTGGGAGCATTTTCAGCATCACTAATAGCAATTTGAATGGATCCCACTGAATTATCAAGGTTTATGATATTGCACTAAAAATGATGCAAAATATGCAAGGACAGTAAGCAATCACTTTTTACCATGATACACAATTTAACTGGAGTGATGAACTGTTCACCTGGAGATGATTCGTGTCATAAGGTGTTTTACACAGATACAACACTTGAGCTCACTGCAACAGCATCAGGAGGTTCCTGTGGAATTATTATAATAGTACAGTATGTACTACAGTTAATTTTATGCAATCATGATTTAAAACTGAACCTTTAAGTTTGTTTACATTTCTCTTGACTGCAAATATTGCCATGTACAGTTTTAGTGGGTGAATGCAGAAGTTTTGATAAATCTTAACTTTTAATAATAGACTTGTATACATTTTATGGTAGTTAATGATAAAATAGACTTGTATCTACATATATGTTATGCTTTCATGACATTTTTAACTTTATGTTAATATTTTTGGTGTTTCTAGGCTATATGGTTCATATATAAGTTTCTTCAAATTGTCAAAAGTGCTTTATAGAATTTTCCAATACATGTATTGAAAAAAATCCATATACATATGAACCTGCAGTTTAAACCCATGTTGTTTAAGGATCAATTGCACATACATGGAAACACAAACTAAGGTACAAGCACACAGAGACACATATACATACAAGCATATACATAGACATATACAAACACACACTTTCTGTATTTAAACTTAATTTACTAAATCAGAAACTCCCAGTGAGTGCCTAGATATTTATACAAAGGATGTTGTGTACTCTTTATCTGGTTTCCTCTAATAGTTTTGTTTTACATAGCTGCAGAAAAATACTAAAACCAGGAAGTTAAAAAAACCCAGAAAGTTGACATCGGTACATTATTGTTAACTAGACTACAATTGTGTTCAGTTTTCACCATTTTAAAACCTGCATTCGTTTGTGTGGGCATACATGTGTGCTTGTGTATTTCTGTGCAGTTTTGGAATTTCATATTTTTGATAAGCCCTCTGGGTGCGTTATAATAAGACAGGATAAATAAACACTAAATTAATGCAATTAATGACAAAAAGAATGCAGAAAAATAATCTTGTGGCTTTTTTAGTACAACTTCCCAGGTTCTGATTTAGGAGGTCTGGAGTTGGCCCCAGGGATATGCATTTTAACAAACACCCATGAACACCTGGCTGACTCTGATGCTGTTCTACAAACCAAACGTTAAGAAATTCTGACTGTCATCTTCAACAGGTAAAACTAGCCTTTTGTGGAGGCACATTCACAGAAAGAAGCATGTTGTAACAGAAGTGGGTGGAACTAGTTATTGAAGGGGGCAGCATTGAAGGACCAGCTGTTTAATTACCTATATTGAGTGATGCAATTTTGTTTTTTATAGATAAGAATGCTGACAGCCAGCATCCTTATCTGTAACACAAAGTGAATTGGTTATATCATCTTTAATGTCGCCTGAAGCTTTAAAATCTTCTAAATTCCCACTTGTATTTTGTGATTCTCTAGATTTGACAAAATTCTAATCTATTTTTTTCCAGGGCATGATGTAAAACTCAAACGTTTAATAAAGGTTGGTCTGATTGGTGCGAAGGGATCAACTTGATTTCATGAAATTAAAGACATTATTGATTATATTAATGTTGTTGATATATTGTGATCCCCAAGAGTGGAGGTTCTTCTGTAAATAGATAAAAATAATAAACATCAGCAATTTATTATACACATATTCCACAAACATTTAATAAAAATAAATTGCTTTGACTAAATATTTCAAGTCAAATTTAGTACCTGTGAATTTCTAGTTTTTGTTAATATTCAATTAAATTTTGATAAACATTCTTTTTCTCTTCACTTCAATGTAAATTCTTTAAAGAAATTGTCTATCTTAACATTTACTTTGTCATACTCTGACCTAATTGTTATGAATCACATTGTGTATGCTCTCAAATGAGATCTCAATCATTCAAGCTAGTCAAGCAATTTAGAATGAGTTTGCTGAAAGCAGTTTTCTACATAGATAGAATTAGACCAACAGCTGGAACCACTTCTACTACCCAGAAATATAATAGTTTATTTATTATTGCTTGTCTTTATTGTATCCATTCACAGCTGAACTCATTTGGCACAATTTAAGATATTCTGGAATGAAAATCAATCTTTGTCTCTATAACTTTTGACAGAAACAATGATGAGCAAACACAATATACACACAAAGCCACAAAATACAAATGTCTCCAGTATTTCTCTAAACCCTAGTGAAAGTAGAGCTAGTAGCTGCCAATTGTAACCTCAGGTTGAGTTTTATAGTCTCCCCATATTTGAAGAGTTTGACCCTTTTAGGTTTTCCTTATCCTATCTTTGATTTCTTAAAAAGCATTTGTCTTGATTTTTAGCCTGTCGAACTTTTCCAAAGGGAAAAGTTGCTGCAGGCATGCGTGACTAAATAGATAGCTTTGTCAGTTTCCAGTGGCTAGACCTAGTCAGACATTCTTGCACTTACATACTTCTATTTAAAGCTATTATTCTATTGATAAAGTTCCTTTAACAAGATACTGCCTCTTTGATCTTCTTAAAGTTGAATATTTTATTTGCTTATTATAACATGGAAGTGGACGGTCCGAGGAGAGCCAATAGGAATTAAGGTGTCCTATTTATTTGCTTATTATAGCATGATATTTTTAAATACTATAAGTGGAGGGTCTGAGGAGAGCCAATAGGAATTAAGGTGTCCTATTAGGAGCCAAAACAAATACCAGTGACAGTGCTGTCATATCATTCACAATCTCTTGAGCAAGATGCTGGATCTCTTAGCCTGTTTACTGATTTGCACCTTAGAGAAGGATGTAAAAGTCTGTTGTGCCCATTTCACAAATATAATGTTACACATGAAAAAGTACTTAGCAAACACAAATTTTAAAAAATATTGAGAATTCAAAATTGAAGATAATTAATATAATAATTTCAATATCATCAGTATATATATGTATTTAAAAGTCTACTTGTTTTGAAGATGCAGATTGAGTATTCCTTATCTGAAATGCTTGGAAACAGAAGTGTTTTGGATTTCATTTTTTAAAAACTTTTGGAATATTTGTATATATTTAATGAGATATCTTGGGGATGGGACCCAAATCTAAACAGGAAAGTCATTTATATTTCATATACACCTTATGCCCATACCCCAAAAGTAGTTTTATGCAAGATTTTAAATAATTTTATGCATGCAACAAAGTTCTCACTGTGTTTTGACTGCAATTTCATCATCTGAGATCAGGTCTGGGATTTTCCACATGTGGTGTCATGACGGCACTCAAAAAGTTATGGGGAGCTAGGCATAGTGGTGTGCACCTTTAATCCCAGCTACTCAGGAGGCCAAGGTGGGAGGGTTGCTTGATCTCAGGAGTTTGAGTCCAACCTGGGAAATATAGTGAGACTCTGTCTGTAAAAAAATATTTTTTTAATTTGGATTTTGAAGCATTTTGAATTTTGAGGTTAGGAATGCTCAACCTGTAATATTTTGTTCAGTATATCCTATATATAATATTTGACAAGGTGCACGAAAACATAGATTGAATTATGTTTGAGAGGAAAGACAACAAGAGCTACCTGTAAGGTGTGGGAGTGAGACCTTCACTTTTTCTTAATTAAACTTTTAATTTTGGGATAGTTTTAAACTTATTTTTTAATTTTTTTATTTTTATTTATTTTTTAAATTTAGTTTTATTATTATTATACTTTAAGTTTTAGGGTACATGTGCACAATCTGCAGGTTAGTTACATATGTATACATGTGCCATGCTGGTGTGCCGCACCCATTAACTCGTCATTTAGCATTAGATATATCTCCTAATGCTATCCCTCCCCCCTCCCCCGACCCCACAACAGTCCCCAGAGTGTGATGTTCCCCTTCCTGTGTCCATGTGTTCTCATTTTTCAATTCCCACCTATGAGTGAGAACATGCAGTGTTTGGTTTTTTGTCCTTGCGATAGTTTACTGAGAATGATGATTTCCAATTTCATCCATGTCCCTACAAAGGACATGAACTCATCATTTTTTATGGCTGCATAGTATTCCATGGTGTATATGTGCCACATTGTCTTAATCCAGTCTATCCTTGTTGGACACTTGGGTTGGTTCCAAGTCTTTGCTATTGTGAATAGTGCCGCAATAAACATACGTGTGCATGTGTCTTTATAGCAGCATGATTTATAGTCCTTTGGGTATATACCCAGTAATGGGATGGCTGGGTCAAATGGTATTTCTAGTTCTAGATCCCTGAGGAATCGCCACGCTGACTTCCACAATGGTTGAACTAGTTTACAGTCCCACCAACAGTGTAAAAGTGTTCCTATTTCTCCATATCCTCTCCAGCACCTGTTGTTTCCTGACTTTTTAATGATTGCCATTCTAACTGGTGTGAGATGGTATCTCATTGTGGTTTTGATTTGCATTTCTCTGATGGCCAGTGATGATGAACATTTTTTCATGTGTTTTTTGGCTGCATAAATGTCTTCTTTTGAGAAGTGTCTGTTCATGTCCTTCACCCACTTTTTGATGGGGTTGTTTGTTTTTTTCTTGTAAATTTGTTTGTGTTCATTGTAGATTCTGGATATTAGCCCTTTGTCAGATGAGTAAATTGTGAAAATTTTCTCCCATTTTGTAGGTTGCCTGTTCACTCTGATGGTAGTTTCTTTTGCTATGCAGAAGCTCTTTAGTTTAATTAGATCCCATTTGTCAATTTTGGCTTTTGTGGCCATTGCTTTTGGTGTTTTAGACATGAAGTCCTTGCCCATGCCTATGTCCTGAGTGGTAATGCCTAGGTTTTCTTCTAGGGTTTTTATGGTTTTAGGTCTAACATTTAAGTCTTTAATCCATCTTGAATTAATTTTTGTATAAGGTGTAAGGAAAGGATCCAGTTTCAGCTTTCTACATGTGGCTAGCCATTTTTCCCAGCACCATTTATTAAATAGGGAATCATTTCCCCATTGCTTGTTTTTGTCAGGTTTGTCTAAGATCAGATAGTTGTAGATATGCAGCATTATTTCTGAGGGCTCTGTTCTGTTAGATTGGTCTATATCTCTGTTTTGGTACCAGTACCATGCTGTTTTGGTTCCTGTAGCCTTGTAGTATAGCTTGAAGTCAGGTAGCGTGGTGCCTCCAGCTTTGTTCTTTTGGCTTAGGATTGACTTGGCGATGTGGGCTCTTTTTTGGTTCCATATGAACTTTAAAGTAGTTTTTTCCAATTCTGTGAAGAAAGTCATTAGTAGCTTGATGGGGATGGCATTGAATCTATAAATTACCTTGGGCAGTATGGCCATTTTCACGATATTGATTCTTCCTACCCATGAGCATGGAATGTTCTTCCATTTGTTTGTATCCTCTTTTATTTCATTGAGCAGTGGTTTGTAGTTCTCCGTGAAGAGGTCCTTCACATCCCTTGTAAGTTGGATTCCTAGGTATTTTATTCTCTTTGTAGCAATTGTGAATGGGAGTTCACTCATGATTTGGCTCTCTGTTTGTCTGTTGTTGGTGTATAAGAATGCTTGTGATTTTTGTACATTGATTTTGTATCCTGAGACTTTGCTGAAGTTGCTTATCAGCTTAAGGAGATTTTGGGCTGAGACAATGGAGTTTTCTAAATACACAATCATGTCGTCTGCCAACAGGGACAATTTGACTTCCTCTTTTCCTAATTGAATACCCTTTATTTCCTTCTCCTGCCTAATTGCCCTGGCCAGAATTTCCAACACAATGTTGAACAGGAGTGGTGAGAGAGGGCATCCCTGTCTTGTGCCAGTTTTCAAAGGGAATGCTTCCAGTTTTTGTCCATTCAGTATGATATTGGCTGTGGGTTTGTCATAGACAGCTCTTATTATTTTGAGATACATCCCATCAATACCTAATTTATTGAGAGTTTTTAGCATGAAAGGTTGTTGAATTTTGTCAAAGGCCTTTTCTGCATCTATTGAGATAATCATGTGGTTTTTGTCTTTGGTTCTGTTTATATGCTGGATTATATTTATTGATTTGCATATATTGAACCAGCCTTGCATCCCAGGGATGGAGCCCACTTGATCATGATGGATAAGCTTTTTGATGTGCTGCTGGATTCGGTTTGCCAGTATTTTATTGAGGATATTTGCATCAATGTTCATCAAGGATATTGGTCTAAAATTCTCTTTTTTTGGTTATGTGTCTGCTCGGCTTTGGTATCAGGATGATGCAGGCCTCATAAAATGAGTTAGGGAGGATTCCCTCTTTTTCTATTAATTGGAATAGTTTCAGAAGGAATGGTACCAGTTCCTCCCTGTACCTCTGGTAGAATTCGGCTGTGAATCCATCTGGTCCTGGACTCTTTTTTGTTGGTAAGCTATTGATTATTGCCACAATTTCAGAGCCTGTTATTGGTCTATTCAGAGAGTCAACTTCTTCCTGGTTTAGTCTTGGGAGGGTGTATGTGTCGAGGAATTTATCCATTTCTTCTAGATTTTCTAGTTTATTTGCATAGAGGTGTTTGTAGTATTCTCTGATGGTAGTTTGTATTTCTGTGGGATCGGTGGTGATATCCCCTTTATCATTTTTTATTGCGTCTATTTGATTTTTCTCTCTTTTCTTCTTTATTAGTCTTGCTAGTGGTATATCAATTTTGTTGATCCTTTCAAAAAACCAGTTCCTGGATTTATTAATTTTTTGAAGGGTTTTTTGTGTCTCCATTTCCTTCAGTTCTGCTCTGATTTTAGTTATTTCTTGCTTTCTGCTAGCTTTTGAATGTGTTTGCTCTTGCTTTTCTAGTTCTTTTAATTGTGATGTTAGGGTGTCAATTTTGGATCTTTCCTGCTTTCTTTTGTGGGCATTTAGTGCTATAAATTTCCCTCTACACACTGCTGTGAATGTGTCCCAGAGATTCTGGTATGTTGTGTCTTTGTTCTCGTTGGTTTCAAAGAACATCTTTATTTCTGCCTTCATTTCATTATGTACCCAATAGTCATTCAGGAGCACGTTGTTCAGTTTCCATGTAGTTGAACAGTTTTGAGTGGGTTTCTTAATCCTGAGTTCTAGTTTGATTGCACTGTTGTCTGAGAGAGAGTTCATCATAATTTCTGTTCTTTTACATTTGCTGAGGAGAGCTTTACTTCCAACTATGTGGTCAATTTTGGAATAGGTGTGGTGTGGTGCTGAAAAAAATGTATATTCTGTTGATTTGGGGTGGAGAGTTCTGTAGATGTCTATTAGGTCCACTTGGTACAGAGCTGAGTTCAATTCCTGGGTATCCTTGTTAACTTTCTGTCTCATTGATCTGTCTAATGTTGACAGTGGGGTGTTAAAGTCTCCCATTATTAATGTGTGGGAGTCTAAGTCTCTTTGTAGGTCACTCAGGACTTGCTTTATGAATCTGGGTACTCCTGTATTGGGTGCATATATATTTAGGATAGTTAGCTCTTCTTGTTGAATTGATCCCTTTACCATTATGAAATGGCCTTCTTTGTCTCTTTTGATCTTTGTTGGTTTAAAGTCTGTTTTATCAGAGACTAAGATTGCAACCCCTGCCTTTTTCTGTTTTCCATTTGCTTGGTAGATCTTCCTCCATCCTTTTATTTTGAGCCTATGTGTGTCTCTGCACGTGAGATGGGTTTCCTCAATATACCACACTGGTGGGTCTTGACTCTTTATCCAATTTGCCCGTCTGTGTCTTTTAATTGGAGAATTTAGTCCATTGACATTTAAAGTTAATATTGTTATGTGTGAATTTGATCCTGTCATTATGATATTAGCTGGTTATTTTGCTCTTTAGTTGATGCATTTTCTTCCCAGCCTCGATGGTCTTTAAAATTTGGCATGATTTTGCAGTGGCTGGTACTGATTGTTACTTTCCATGTTTAGCACTTCCTTCAGGAGCTCTTTTAGGGCAGGCCTGGTGGTGACAAAATCTCTCAGCATTTGCTTGTCTGTAAAGTATTTTATTTCTCCTTCACTTATGAAGCTTAGTTTGGCTGGATATGAAATTCTGGGTTGAAAATTCTTGTCTTTAAGAATGTTGAATATTGGCCCCCACTCTCTTCTGGCTTGTAGAGTTTCTGCCGAGAGATCCGCTGTTAGTCTGTTGGGCTTCCCTTTGTGGGTAACCTGAACTTTCTCTCTGGCTGCCCTTAACATTTTTTCCTTCATTTCAATTTTGGTGAATCTGACAATTATGTGTCTTGGAGTTGCTCTTCTCGAGGAGTATCTTTGTGGCATCCTCTGCATTTGCTGTATCTGAATGTTGGCCTGCCTTGCTAGATTGGGGAAGTTCTCCTGGATAATATCCTGAAGAGTGTTTTCCAACTTGGTTCCATTCTCCCCATCACTTTCAGGTACACCAATCAGATGTAGATTTGGTCTTTTCACATAGTCCCATATTTCTTGGAGGCTTTGTTTGTTTCTTTTTATTCTTTTTTCTCTAAACTTCCCTTCTCGCTTCTTTTCATTCATTTCATCTTCCATCACTGATACCCTTTCTTCCAGTTGATTGCATCAGTTCCTGAGGCTTCTGCATTTTTCACGTAGTTCTCGAGTCTTGGCTTTCAGCTCCATCAGCTCCTTTAAGCACTTCTCTGTATTGGTTATTCTAGTTATACATTTGTCTAAATTTTTTTCAAATTTTTAACTTCTTTGCCTTTGGTTTGAATTTCCTCCTGTAGCTCGGAGTAGTTTGATCATCTGAAGCCTTCTTCTCTCAACTTGTCAAAGTCATTCTCCTTCCAGCTTTGTTCCATTGCTGGTGAGGAACTGCGTTCCTTTGGAGGAGGAGAGGAACTCTGCTTTCTAGAGTTTCCAGCTTTTCTGCTCTGTTTTTTCCCCATCTTTGTGGTTTTATCTACTTTTGGTCTTTGATGATGGTGATGTACAGATGGGTTTTTGGTGTGGATGTCCTTTCTGTTTGTTAGTTTTCCTTCTAAAAGACAGGACCCTCAGCTGCAGGTCTGTTGGAGTTTGCTAGAGGTCCACTCCAGACCCTGTTTACCTGGGTATCAGCAGCGGTGGCTGCAGAACAGCGGATTTTCATGAACCGTGAATGCTGCTCTCTGAACTTTCCTCTGGAAGTTTTGTCTCAGAGGAGTACCTGGCCGTGTGAGGTGTCAGTCTGCCCCTACTGGGGGGTGCCTCCCAGTTAGGCTGCTTGGGGGTCAGGGGTCAGGGACCCACTTGAGGAGGCAGTCTGCCTGTTCTCAGATCTCCAGCTGCATGCTGGGAGAACCACTGCTCTCTTCAAAGCTGTCAGACAGGGACATTTAAGTCTGCAGAGGTTACTGCTGTCTTTTTGTTTGTCTGTGCCCTGCCCCCAGAGGTGGAGTCTATAGAGGCAGGCAGGCCTCCTTGAGCTGTGGTGGGCTCCACCCAGTTCCGGCTTCCCGGCTGCTTTGTTTACCTAAGCAAGGCTGGGCAATGGCGGGCGCCCCTCCCCCAGCCTCGCTGATGGCTTGCAGTTTGATCTCAGACTGCTGTGCTAGCAATCAGCGAGACTCCGTGGGCGTAGGATCCTCCGAGCCATGTGCGGGATATAATCTCCTGGTGCACCATTTTTTAAGCCCGTTGGAAAAGTGCAGTATTAGGGTGGGAGTGACCCAATTTTCCAGGTGCCATCTGTCACCCCTTTCTTTGACCAGGAAAGGGAACTCCCTGACCCCTTGTGCTTCCCGAGTGAGGCAATGCCTCGCCCTGCTTCTGCTCATGCACGGTGCGCTGCACCCACTGTCCTGCCCCCACTGTCTGGCACTCCCTAGTGAGATGAACCCAGTACCTCAGATGGAAATGCAGAAATCACTCGTCTTCTGCATCGCTCACACTGGGAGCTGTAGACCGGAGCTGTTCCTATTCGGCCATCTTGGCTCAAACTCCATAGTTTTAAATTTAAAGAAAAATTGTGGAGTTAAGACAGAGAGCTCACTCCTGGTTTCTACTATTATTAAAATCTTACTTTAATATGATACATTTGTCACAATTAAATGGACCAATATTTATATATTTTTGTTAAAGTCCATAGTTATTAAGATTTTCTTAATTTTTATTTAATGTTCTTTTTTAGTTCCAGGATCCTATTCATGATACAATATTATATTTATTTGACCTGTCTCCTTGGGCTCCTCCTGGCTGTGACAAATTATCAGGCTTTCCTCTTACAGATGACCTTGACAATTCTGGGGAGTCCTGGTCAGGTATTTGTGGAATGTTTATCAATTGGAATTTGTCTGATTTTTTTCTCATTTTTAGATTGGGGTCTTCCATTTTTAGGGGGAAGATCACAGAAGTGAAGTGTCATTCTCATCACATCATACCAAAGATACGCACTATCTATACAACTTATCAGTGTTGAAGTTGACCTTAATCACCTGGCTGAGGTAGTGTGTGCAGGTTTTCTACTCTAAGGTTATACCTTCTCCTCTTCTCCCAATCCATCACTTTTTATACTGTACTTTTTAGAAGAAAGTCACTATGCATAGACCACACTCAAGGAATGGGGAGTTATGTTCCACCCACTTGAGGGTGGGGTATTTACATAAATTATTAGAAATTCTTTTGCATGGGAGATTAGTCCATTCTCTCCATTTATTTATTTATATCATCATGGACTCATTTACGTTTATTTTGTGTTTTGAGTTAGAATCAAAACATACTACTTTATTTGTTGCACAAATTTTTCCACCTTTGGCCATGGGAGCTCTTTCAGTTGAATCATGCCTCCTTTTGACATACCCCATGGGGGTGTGTGTGTGTGTGTGTGTGTGTGTGTGTGTGTGTGTGTGTGTATGTTGAGCACTTTCTTACTTTCTGGCACTTCAAAATGCTCCAGGCTCATCTTGTATATTTTCTGCCTTAGTCCTAGAATCAGCAATTTCTTTAAGGATCCCTGGTTCCCTTTATTGACAGATGGATTAGAAACCAAGGTCTGGGGGCCAGGTGTGTTCCTTTGGGGAATTGTTCTTTCTAGGCCTTCTCAGATGAGACAACAAGAATGTATATATGTATAACCCATGTATATACACATGTCTATAAAAATGTAACCATGTCTCTACATTAAGTTAAATATGAATTCATACTGGTGTCTTCAACTCTAATACATTATCATATTCTAACCTCATCTCTTTGCTATCTGTAAATCCCCACTGCAGCAGGGAGATCTCTGGTTCCTATCAGCCACCATCCATTCACTGAAATATTCAGTTTCAGTATACATATATAGTTGTTTCAGAATTGATAACCTGTAAACTATGGTAAGAAAAGTCAATCAACTAGGCCATGAGACTTATACACAGTGCCTTTTGCCTATATACAGCCTGTACTCACTTGCAAAGTTACTTAGGTCAGCACCTTTTCCCCCTCACTACCTTTAGTGAAGTTTCTTCTTACGTTAGTAATATAGTTTCATTATTATGTCATATTCTGCATTCGTTCCTGGGATCCTCAACCTCTTAAATGATGTTTAAAAATTTGTGTACATTAAATAAAGTTCACTCTTTGTGCCACAAGGTTCTATGTGTTTTGAGAAACCCATCGTGTCCTGTACCTACTTTCACTGTAACATAAGAATAGTTTCCTGCCTTAGAAAACATTTATTGTGCTTCATCTATTAATTACCACCCTGAACTTCTGGCAACCATTGATCTGCTTACCATCTGTGTAGCTTTGCCATACCCAGAATGTAATAGAATTGGAATCATACAATATATGGCCTTTTCATAGTAGGTTCTTTCACTTAGCAATATTCATTTGAGGTTCATCATGTTTTCTCCTTGCTTATAGCTCATTACTTTTATCGTTTAATAATTTTCCATTGTGTGCATGTACTACAGGTTTTTTTTTCCATGTGCCTATTGAAAAATATCTTGGTTGTTTCCAGGTTTTTGTGATCATATATAAAGCTGCTATAAACATTCATGTGCAGGTTTTTCTGTGGATATAAGTTTTCAAATCAGTTGGGTAAATACCCAGAAATGTAATTGCCGGAACTTAAAAACCTTACAAATATCAAGTTTTCCAGTCCACAAACATGAAACATATTTCTATTTACATATATAATTTGATTTCTTTTATCAGAGTTTTGTATTTTCCTATATAGATCTTGTGCACCTTTTGTTAGATTTATGTGCTAAATACTTCATTTTAAAAAAATTATTATTTATTTATTTTTAATCATTAATTTTTGTGGGTACATTGGAGTTGTATATATTTATGGGGTATGTAAGATATTTTGATACAGGCATATAATGAGTAATCATCATATCAGGGGAAATGGGGTATCCAATACCTCAAGCATTTATTCTTACTTTGTGTTTTAAACAATACAATTATACTCTTTAGTTATTCTAAAAGGTACAATAAATTAGTGTTGACTACAGTCACCCTGTTGTGCTATCAAATACTAGTTTTCATTCATTTCATTTAACTATATTTTTGCACACATTAACCATCCTACTTCTCTGACCCTACATGAGTACCCTTCCTAACTTCTGGTAACCCTCATTCTACTATCGATCTCTGTGAGTTCAATTGGTTTAGTTTTTTTAGCACCTACAAACAAATGAGAACATGTGAAGTTTGTCTTTCTGTGCCTGGCTTATTTTATTTAACATAATGATCTCCAGTTCTATCCTTTTATTGTGAATGACAAGATCTCATTTTTTTTATATAGCTGAATAGTACTCCATTGTATATATGTACCAAATTTTCTTTCTTCATTCATCTGTTGATGGACACTTAGGTTGCTTCTAGATCTCGACTATTGTAAATAGTCCTGCAATAAATGTAGGAGTGCAGATATCTCTTCAATATACTGATTTCCTTTCTTTTCAGTGAATACCTAGAGGTGAGACTGCTGAATCATTTGGTAGTTCTATTTTTAGCTTTTAAGGAACCACCAAACTTCTCTCCATAGTGGTTGTGCTAATTTACATTCCCATCAACAGTGTACAAGTGTTCCCTTTTCTTCACATCCTTGTCAGCATTTATTGTTGTCCATCTTTTGGCTAAAAGTCATTTTAACTGGGTAAAAGGATATCTAATTGTGGTTTTGATTTGCATTTCTCTGATGATCAGTGATGTTGAGCATTTTTACATGTCTGTCATTTGTATATCTTATTTTGAGAAATGTCTATTCAAATTTTTGCCCTAGTCAATGTTTTCTTGTAGTAGTTTCATACTTTGAGGTCTTATATATAAATCTTTACCCATGTTGATTTGATTTTTGTATACAGCAAGAGATAGGGATCTAGTTTCACTCTTCTTCATATGGATATTGAGCTTTCCCAGCACTATTGATTGAAGAGACTATCTTTTCCCCTATGTAAATTCTTGACAGCTCTCTCAAAAATGAATTCATTGTAGATGTATGGATTTATTTCTGGATTCTCCATTCTATTCTATTGGTTCATGTGTCTATTTTTTATGCCAGTACCATGCATTTTGGTTACTATAGGTCTGTAGTATAATTTGAAGTCAGGTAATGTGATTCCTCCAGTTTAATTCTTTTTGCTGAGAATAACAAATAAGAACTAGTCTTTTTTGGCTAGCTTTGGTTATTTTGGGTCATTTGTGGCTCAGTATAAATTTTAGGATTTTTTTTTCCTTTTCTGTGAACCATGTCATTGGTATGTTGATAGGAATTGCATTAAATCAGTAGATTGTTTTGGGTAGTATGGACATTTTAACAATATTGATTTTTCCAATCCATGAACATGGAATATATTTCCATTTTTTATGTTCTCTTTAATTTCTTTCATCAATGTTTTATAGTTTTCATTGTAAAGATCTTTCACTTCTTTGGTTAGCTTAATTCCTGGGTATTTTATTTGTAGCTATCGTAAACAAGATTACTGTTTTTAAATTACTTTTGCAGATTGTTCACTGCTGGCATATGGAAATGCTACTAATTTTCGTGTGTTGATTTTATATCCTTCTGAATTTGTATATCCAACTAAATTTGTTTATCAATTTCAATACATTTTTGGTCAAGTTTTTAGGGTTTTTAAAAATATAAGATCGTATCAGCTGCAAACAGAGATAATTTGACTTCATTCTTTCTAATTTGGATGTCTTTTATTTTTTCTCTTGACTGATTACTCTAGCTAAAACTTCCAGTAAAATGTTGAATAACAGTGGTGAAAATGGGCATCCTCATTTTGTTCCAGATCATAAAGGAAAAGTTTTCAATTTTTCCCTATTTAGTATGATACTATTAGTGAGTCTATTGTATATAGCTTTTATTGTGTTGAGATACACTCCTTCTATGTCTAGTTTTTTGAGGGTTTTTATCATGAACAAATGTTAAATTTAATCAAAAGCCCTTTCAGCACTCTTCAGTATGCCAATTGTATTTTTCGTCTCCAAAATGTCTGCTTCATTCTTATTAATTATTTAAATCTCTTTGTGAAATTAATCTGATAGAATTCTGAACTTCTTCTTCGTGTTTTCTTAGATTTCACTGAGCTTCCTCAAAACAGCTATTTTGGATTATTTTTCTGAAAGGTCACATCATTCTCTTTCTTTCTGGGATTGGTCACTGGTTGCTTATTTAGATTGTTTAGTGAGGTCTTGTTTTCCTAGATGGTCTTGATGCCTGTGGATGTTCGACTGTACCTGGGCATTGAAGAATTAGATATTTACTGTAGTCTTTACAGTCTGGGCTTGTTTGTACCTGTCCTTCCTGGGAGTTTTTCCAGGTATTTGAAGGGATTTCAGCGCTGTGATCTATGTTTTTGCTTACTGCAGCCATGTCTGCTTTAGGGGTCATCTCCATCTCAGTAGTGCTGTGGCTGTTGCAGACTCATAGGTTTACTGCTTTGGTGGTCTTGCATAAGGTCTGGAAGAATTCTCTGGAATATCAGGCAGAGACTCTTGTTCTCTTCTTTTACATTCCCCCAAAAGAGCAATGTCCTTCTCTCTGTGTGTTGAGTTGCTTGGAGGTATGAGAGGGGTGACACAAGCACCCCTGAGACCAATACCACTGGGACTCTTTAGGCAGCAGGTGGAAAATTCTTCCATGACAGGGCCCTTTCCTTTAAAGAAGCAGGTTGCCTTCTGGCCGGGGTATGTCTAGAAATGTCATCTGGGAGCTAAAACCTGGAATGGAGGCCTCAGGACTTTGCCTGGTGCCGTATTGTACTGTAGCTGAGCTATTATCCGACTTGCAAGACAATTTTATATGTATATAATTTAATATGGTATACAAGAAAATACTTGACTTTTTAATATTAGCCTTGTGTCCTACAACCTTGTTATAATTGCCTATAAGTTCTAGAAGATTTTTGTTGATTCTTTTTGTTGATAAATTCATATATAAACAATTATGTTACATATAAATAAAATGTTTTTATTGATTTATCTTCAGGCTCCATGAGTCTTTCTTCGACCACGTCAAATCTACTTATTAAAGACATTCATTTCTATTACAGAGATTTTATTTCTTGTACTTAATTCTTTTTTGAGTCTACCTCTCTTCTTGTATTACTCATCTGTTCTGGCTTTTGTCTACTTTTTCCATTAGATCCCTTAATATATTAATCATGGTTATTTTAAATTCCTTAACTGTTATTTCACACATTTGTGGCACATCCTATCTGAGTGTGGTTCTGAAGATTACTTAGTCTCTTCATGTTATCTAGTGCAATAGCTATGTGACCAAGGCGAATTTCTAGCCCACCTCAACTCCGGTTATCTTTAGGAAGCAGAATGCCTGAGGTCAAAAGTTCCCTCTTGTTACCAGAATAGCTAAGACTGGTGGAATCCAAGAGGGCTCACTTGATTTCTGTGGAACCTCCAGCTTCATTATAACCTAATTTTCATGCTAAGTGACACTCACACTAGTGCCATGATAGTTGACAATTACCATGACATCAAATAGAAGAAACGATGAAAGGACAAAAAGGGGGGAGGAGCCAAGATGGCCGAATAGGAACAGCTCCGGTCTACAGCTCCCAGTGTGAGCGACGCAGAAGACGGGTGATTTCTGCATTTCCATCTGAGGTACCGGGTGCATCTCACTAGGGAGTGCCAGACAGTGGGCGCAGGCCAGTGGGTGCGTGCACCATGCGCGAGCCGAAGCAGGGCGAGGCATTGCCTCACCTGGGAAGCGCAAGGGGTCAGGGAGTTCCCTTTCCAAGTCAAAGAAAGGGGTGACGGATGCACCTGGAAAATCGGGTCACTCCCACCCGAATATTGCGCTTTTCAAACCAGCTTAAAAAACGGCGCACCACGAGACTATATCCCACACCTGGCTCGGAGGGTCCTATGCCCACGGAATCTCGCTGATTGCTAGCACAGCAGTCTGAGATCAAACTGCAAGCCATCAGCGAGGCTGGGGGAGGGGCGCCCGCCATTGCCCAGGCTTGCTTAGGTAAACAAAGCCCCCGGGAAGCTGGAACTGGGTGGAGCCCACCACAGCTCAAGGAGGCCTGCCTGCCTCTGTAGGCTCCACCTCTGGGGGCAGGGCACAGACAAACAAAAAGACAGCAGTAACCTCTGCAGACTTAAATGTCCCTGTCTGACAGCTTTGAAGAGAGCAGTGGTTCTCCCAGCATGCAGCTGGAGATCTGAGAACAGGCAGACTGCCTCCTCAAGTGGGTCCCTGACCCCTGACCCCTGAGCAGCCTAACTGGGAGGCACCCCCCAGCAGGGACACACTGACACCTCACACGGCAGGGTATTCCAACAGACCTGCAGCTGAGGGTCCTCTCTGTTAGAAGGAAAACTAACAAACAGAAAGGACATCCACACCGAAAACCCATCTGTACATCACCATCATCAAAGACCAACAGTAGATAAAACCACAAAGATGGGGAAAAAACAGAACAGAAAAACTGGAAACTCTAAAACGCAGAGCGTCTCTCCTCCTCCAAAGGAACGCAGTTCCTCACCAGCAACAGAACAAAGCTGGATGGAGAATGACTTTGACGAGCTGAGAGAAGGCTTCAGACGATCAAATTACTCTGAGCTACGGGAGGAAATTCAAACCAAAGGCAAAGAAGTTGAAAACTTTGAAAAAAATTTAGAAGAATGTATAACTAGAATAACCAATACAGAGAAGTGCTTAAAGGAGCTGATGGAGCTGAAAACCAAGGCTCGAGAACTACGTGAAGAATGCAGAAGCCTCAGGAGCCGATGCAATCAACTGGAAGAAAGGGTATCAGCAATGGAAGATGAAATGAATGAAATGAAGTGAGAAGGGAAGTTTAGAGAAAAAAGAATAAAAAGAAATGAGCAAAGCCTCCAAGAAATATGGGACTATGTGAAAAGACCAAATCTACGTCTGATTGGTGTACCTGAAAGTGACGGGGACAATGGAACCAAGTTGGAAAACACTCTGCAGGATATTATCCAGGAGAACTTCCCCAATCTAGCAAGGCAGGCCAACGTTCAGATTCAGGAAATACAGAGAACGCCACAAAGATACTCCTCGAGAAGAGCAACTCCAAGACACATAATTGTCAGATTCACTAAAGTTGAAATGAAGGAAAAAATGTTAAGGGCAGCCAGAGAGAAAGGTCGGGTTACCCTCAAAGGGAAGCCCATCAGACTAACAGCAGATCTCTCGGCAGAAACCCTACAAGCCAGAAGAGAGTGGGGGCCAATATTCAACATTCTTAAAGAAAAGAATTTTCAACCCAGAATTTCATATCCAGCCAAACTAAGCTTCATAAGTGAAGGAGAAATAAAATCCTTTACAGACAAGCAAATGCTGAGAGATTTTGTCACCACCAGGCCTGCCCTAAAAGAGCTCCTGAAGGAAGTGCTAAACATGGAAAGGAACAACCCCTACCAGCCACTGCAAAATCATGCCAAAATGTAAAGACCATCGAGACCAGGAAGAAACTGCATCAACTAACGAGCAAAATCACCAGCTAATATCATAATGACAGGATCAAATTCACACATAACAATATTAACTTTAAATATAAATGGACTAAATTCTCCAATTAAAAGACACACACTGGCAAATTGGATAAAGAGTCAAGATCCATCAGTGTGCTCTATTGAGGAAACCCATCTCACGTGCAGAGACACACATAGGCTCAAAATAAAAGGATGGAGGAAGACCTACCAAGCAAATGGAAAACAAAAAAAGGCAGGGGTTGCAATCCTAGTCTCTGATAAAACAGACTTTAAACCAACAAAGATCAAAAGAGACAAAGAAGGCCATTACATAATGGTAAAGGGATCAATTCAACAAGAAGAGCTAACTATCCTAAATATATATGCACCCAATACGGGAGCACCCAGATTCATAAAGCAAGTCCTGAGTGACCTACAAAGAGACTTAGACTCCCACACATTAATAATGGGAGACTTTAACACCCCACTGTCAACATTAGACAGATCAACGAGACAGAAAGTCAACAAGGATACCCAGGAATTGAACTCAGCTCTGCACCAAGCGGACCTAATAGACATCTACAGAACTCTCCACCCAAAATCAACAGAATATACATTTTTTTCAGCACCACACCACACCTATTCCAAAATTGACCACATAGTTGGAAGTAAAGCTCTCCTCAGCAAATGTAAAAGAACAGATATTATAACAAACTATCTCTCAGACCACAGTGCAATCAAACTAGAACTCAGGATTAAGAATCCCACTCAAAGCCGCTCAACTACATGGAAACTGAACAATCTGCTCTTGAATGACTACTGGGTACATAACGAAATGAAGGCAGAAATAAAGATGTTCTTTGAAACCAATGAGAACAAAGACACAACATACCAGAATCTCTGGGACGCATTCAAAGCAGTGCGTAGAGGGAAATTTATAGCACTAAATGCCCACAAGAGAAAGCAGGAAAGATCCAAAATTGACACCCTAACATCACAATTAAAAGAACTAGAAAAGCAAGAGCAAACACATTCAAAAGCTAGCAGAAAGCAAGAAATAACTAAAATCAGAGCAGAACTGAAGGAAATAGAGACACAAAAAACCCTTCAAAAAATCAATGAATCCAGGAGCTGGTTTTTTGAAAGGATCAACAAAATTGATATACCACTAGCAAGACTAATAAAGAAGAAAAGAGAGAAAAATCAAATAGACGCAATAAAAAATGATAAAGGGGATATCACCACCGATCCCACAGAAATACAAACTACCATCAGAGAATACTACAAACACCTCTATGCAAATAAACTAGAAAATCTAGAAGAAATGGATAAATTCCTTGACACATACACCCTCCCAAGACTAAACCAGGAAGAAGTTGACTCTCTGAATAGACCAATAACAGGCTCTGAAATTGTGGCAATAATCAATAGCTTACCAACAAAAAAGAGTCCAGGACCAGATGGATTCACAGCCGAATTCTACCAGAGGTACAAGGAGGAACTGGTACCATTCCTTCTGAAACTATTCCAATTAATAGAAAAAGAGGGAATCCTCCCTAACTCATTTTATGAGGCCTGCATCATCCTGATACCAAAGCCGAGCAGACACATAACCAAAAAAAGAGAATTTTAGACCAATATCCTTGATGAACATTGATGCAAATATCCTCAATAAAATACTGGCAAACCGAATCCAGCAGCACATCAAAAAGCTTATCCACCATGATCAAGTGGGCTCCATCCCTGGGATGCAAGGCTGGTTCAATATATGCAAATCAATAAATATAATCCAGCATATAAACAGAACCAAAGACAAAAACCACATGATTATCTCAATAGATGCAGAAAAGGCCTTTGACAAAATTCAACAACCTTTCATGCTAAAAACTCTCAATAAATTAGGTATTGATGGGATGTATCTCAAAATAATAAGAGCTGTCTATGACAAACCCACAGCCAACATCATACTGAATGGACAAAAACTGGAAGCATTCCCTTTGAAAACTGGCACAAGACAGGGATGCCCTCTCTCACCACTCCTGTTCAACATTGTGTTGGAAATTCTGGCCAGGGCAATTAGGCAGGAGAAGGAAATAAAGGGTATTCAATTAGGAAAAGAGGAAGTCAAATTGTCCCTGTTGGCAGACGACATGATTGTGTATTTAGAAAACTCCATTGTCTCAGCCCAAAATCTCCTTAAGCTGATAAGCAACTTCAGCAAAGTCTCAGGATACAAAATCAATGTACAAAAATCACAAGCATTCTTATACACCAACAACAGACAAACAGAGAGCCAAATCATGAGTGAACTCCCATTCACAATTGCTTCAAAGAGAATAAAATACCTAGGAATCCAACTTACAAGGGATGTGAAGCACCTCTTCAAGGAGAACTACAAACCACTGCTCAAGGAAATAAAAGAGGATACAAACAAATGGAAAAACATTCCATGCTCATGGGTAGGAAGAATCAATATCGTGAAAATGGCCATACTGCCCAAGGTAATTTATAGATTCAATGCCATCCCCATCAAGCTACTAATGACTTTCTTCACAGAATTGGAAAAAACTACTTTAAAGTTCATATGGAACCAAAAAAGAGCCTGCACTGCCAAGTCAATCCTAAGCCAAAAGAACAAAGCTGGAGGAATCACACTACCTGACTTCAAACTATACTACAAGGCTACAGGAACCAAAACAGCATGGTACTGGTACCAAAACAGAGATATAGATCAATGGAACAGAACAGAGCCCTCAGAAATAATGCCGCATACCTACAACTATCTGATCTTTGACAAACCTGAGAAAAACAAGCAATGGGGAAAGGATTCCCTATTTAATAAATGGTGCTGGGAAAACTGGCTAGCCATATGTAGGAAGCTGAAACTGGATCCCTTCCTTACACCTTATACAAAAATCAATTCAAGATGGATTAAAGATTTAAACGTTAGACCTAAAACCATAAAAACCCTGGAAGAAAACCTAGGCATTACCATTCAGGACTTAGGCATGGGCAAGGACTTCATGTCCAAAACACCAAAAGCAATGGCAACAAAAGACAAAATTGACAGATGGGATCTAATTAAACTAAAGAGCTTCTGCACAGCAAAAGAAACTACCATCAGAGTGAACAGGCAACCTACAAAATGGGAGAAAATTTTCGCAACCTACTCATCTGACAAAGGGCTAATATCCAGAATCTACAATGAACTCAAACAAATTTACAAGAAAAAAACAAACAACCCCATCAAAAAGTGGGCGAAGGACATGAACAGACACTTCTCAAAAGAAGACATTTATGCAGCCAAAAAACACATGAAAAAATGTTCATCATCACTGGCCATCAGAGAAATGCAAATCAAAACCACAATGAGATACCATCTCACACCAGTTAGAATGGCGATCATTAAAAAGTCAGGAAACAACAGGTGCTGGAGAGGATATGGAGAAATAGGAACACTTTTACACTGTTGGTGGGACTGTAAACTAGTTCAACCATTGTGGAAGTCAGTGTGGCGATGCCTCAGGGATCTAGAACTAGAATTACCATTTGACCCAGCCATCCCATTACTGGGTATATACCCAAAGGACTATAAATCATGCTGCTATAAAGACACATGCACACGTATGTTTATTGCGGCATTATTCACAATAGCAAAGACTTGGAACCAACCCAAATGTCCAACAATGATAGACTGGATTAAGACAATGTGGCACATATACACCATGGAATACTATGCAGCCATAAAAAATGATGAGTTCATGTCCTTTGTAGGGACATGGATGAAATTGGAAATCATCATTCTCAGTAAACTATCGCAAGATGAAAAAACCAAACACCGCATATTCTCACCCATAGGTGGGAACTGAACAATGAGATCACATGGACACAGGAAGGGGAATATCACACTCTGGGGACTGTGATGGGGTGGGGGTAGGGGGGAGGGATAGCATTGGGAAATATACCTAATGCTAGATGACGAGTTAGTGGGTGCAGCGCACCAGCATGGCACATGTATACATATGTAACTAACTGGCACAATGTGCACATGTACCCTAAAACTTAAAGTATAATAAAAAAAAAAAGGATGCAGAGGATGTTAAGGTAGCAGATTTGCTAATATAATAAACAAGAGTTAACAGAGAAAAAAAAAAAAAAGAAAGGACAAAAAGGAAAGTGGCAATTCCAGTTCCTATAAGTTCTCCACTTATTCCCTGAAAAGTCGTGAATATTCCTCCCCTTAATTTTAATGCTTAACCTCTTTATTAAAGATGCCCTATATCTTTTACTACCTGGCCCTCATGGGCTGAGAAGTTGATTTGTGAGCCAAATCCCTGCTTCTTAATTCCATGGCCATCTAATAGTGTTTGCACTGCTTGATGCTCACTTTTGGTTTTGCATATTGGCTTCATGGCACTGAAGAGGGAAAGACCCCATTTTTTTTGAGAACCAGCTTTGTCAGCAACATTCAGACTATACACACACACACACACACACACACACACACACACACACACATAATATGCTGCCTTTTGCCTTTGCTATGTCTTGTAATTTCTTGTTGAAAGCTGGACAAGTTGAATAATAGGGACTAAGATAAATCAGCCTTTAAAGTGTGTATTTATGCTAATTAGGCTAGGAGTTGAGCCATATTTAACGTTTGTTATAGCTGCAGGTGCCAGATACCTCAAATTCCTTTAGTGTGCTCATTCTGTCTCACCTCTTCAGCCTTCTCTAAGTACTCCTGAGACAGTCTGTGTTCTGTGGCTCTTGCAACTGTAACCAATTCATTGATAATATACTGAAATTGTTGGTATGGCCTTAAGGTACGAGGGATGGGAAATGTTCTAATATCTTTCAATTAGATCTCAGTCTTTCAGTGGATCTGTGTCTTAAGGTCGTTAACTTCACACATGTTTTTCCTGTTCTATTCTCTTGACCGCCCGCATCCTTCTTTGGCTGAAGAATTACCAATCTCTTTCCTGGAAGCCCTGGACTTCACTGAGTGCTTTGTTTTCACTCTTAGATGAGACAGGAAGTCTAGAGGGCAACAGAGTGGATGTATGGCCTTCTTCCAATAGGCATAAGGTTCTTGCAAAGTTCTTCACCCTGGAGAGTAGGCTTTTGCTATGGAGATGTCTAGGCATGTTTTATGATGGTTATACTTCCTCTTCCTCTGTCAGACCTACAAGAGAGGGGATATTTCTCAGATCTTTACTGTGAGAATTTGGTAAGATTCAATGAGGGAAAGCCAATGAAAAAGTAAGCTTTCCCTAAGACTGCAACCCCCAGAGTTTCTTATTTTCCAATTAGTGCACACTCAGCCTCCAGCAAAAACTAGCATTCACAGGTTCCTATCAGTTTCTGGTTCCAGTGGCTTCTGTTCTAGGTCAGCAATCTCAAGTGTGACTGTCTGAATCCTCCTCTTTGTCTAGGTTTCAAGATGGTTGTTTGCTTGGCTACCTCAGTTCTCCAATAACCTCAAGAAAAGCTACTGATTTTTGGTTTGTTCCAGTTTTTCTTTTAAGTACAAGAGTGATGGCTTTCAAGTTATTTCCATGTCAAGGCTGAAACTGGAAGTCAGAACTTTTATGTTTTACTATGTATAATTCTGTTCAATTATTTTTTCTATAATAAGCATATATTAATGTTGATATAAAATAAGCAAAATAAATATATTGCTCACTTCTGTAGTTTATTGGGTAGAGATCACATTGAAATAAACCTGAAGCACAAAGCTTTTAACAGACTTTACGAAAGGTCCAAGAATGAAAGGTAAATTTAAATAACCTTTTTTGAGGTAATTCTTTGATTCCCTCACAGATGTTTAGACAAGAATCAAACTTCATATGTGTTTATATGCACACATATACAAATACATATATGATACATATATATGAATATGTATTATGTGAATTATGTGTATTATATGAAAATATGTTTGCCTGAAGAGATAGGATAGTATAAGCTTTAGCTTATAGACTTTGGAAGCAATGTCTGGATTCAAATTCAGTACAATCAAGTGTGTCAGCTTAAAGCACTATTTACCCCAAAAATAATAACAAGAAAATGCTTAACGTCTACTATATTGTATGGACTACATTATGGTTTTTACATATTTCAATCCACGCTACCATCCTATGAGAAGTGTATTTTGAAAGCTCTTTTTAAAGCTGAATAAACTGAAGTCTCAGAAAGGATATACCACTTGCCTCAGGCTGTACAGTGAAGAAATGAGAGAGATGGGATTTGATTCCAAAACTGCTGAGTCTCAAATTTAGTCTTTTTTTGTTCTCTGCATCCCATAAATGTCAGGAAGATCAGGCCCAATCACAGTATGTAATCTGGGGAGAAGTTCTAAGGTTCTGGGGTACATGCAGTTGGCTTATTTTAAATTGAACTGTCAGCATTAGGACTGAGCCCATGTTGACTCATCTTGCCCCTGGATGAAATCCTTATACAAAGATAATAGCCAGTTATGCCTCTTTGACAAACTCTTGTAACTGGTCCCTGGATTTCTATTGTCTCTGATCTTCCATAACATATTTATCAATTTTCCTAACATAACTGGCACCTAGTCATTCACTTTGATGTTAGCCTAGTGATGAAGTCAACCTCTCTGGAGTTATCGACTAATTCTGTGACTTATAAGGTATGGAGCTTAAAAAATTATCCAACCCCCACTTTTTCATCACTAATTTAGAGTAATTGTGATACCTACCTCATCAGGTAGTTATGAGAACCCAAATTAAGTAAGTCTTGTAAAGGACTTACTAGCCAAGTGTCTAACACGCCGTTGTTCAATACAGTGTGCCCTAGCCGCATGCACCGACAACAGAGTATTTCGAAGGGAGTTAGTATAAATGGAAATGAACTGTAAGTATAAAATGTACAATGGATTTAGAAGACTCAAAACAAAAAATAGAATACAAAATATCTCATTAATAATTGTTAATGTTGATTACATATGCAAACGGTGATATCGTGGATATAGTAAGCTTACATTTTTAGTCTCTTTTTTCTGTTTACTTTCTTATAAGGTGGCTTCTAGAAAATTTAAAATTATATATGTAGCTTGCATTATGGCAAACATTATACAGTTGACCCTTAACATGGATTGGAGCTGTGTGGGACCACTTATACATGAATTTTCTTCTGCCTCTGCCACCCCTTAGACTCCTCTTCTTCCTCCTCAGCTCACTCAGTGTGAAGACAACAAAGATAAACTTGTCCACTTAATGAATAGTAAATATATTTTATTTTCCTTATGATTGTCTTAATACAATTTTGTTTTCTCTAGCTTACTTTATTGGAAGAATATAATATATAAAATATACAACATATAAAATATGTGTTAATTGACTGTTTATGTTATTGGTAAGGTGTAAGACTTCTATTCCACAATAGTTTAGTAGTAGTTAAGTTTTTGGGGAGTGAAAAGTTATATGTAGATTTTTTATTGTGCTGGGGTCAGCTCCCCTGACCTTTGTTTTGTTCAAGGGTGAACTGTATTTCTATTGAACAGTGGTGCTCTAATACATAACAGACACTCAATAAATAATATTTTCCACTATGATTAAGTTCTGCAGCCAGTGAATTATGATCATTATGCCTCATTTGTTGGCTTAAACTTATTTATTTTAAGGAATATCTTAGTAGCCTAAAGTGTTTAACTCCAAAACTAAAATGATATAGTCTATCCATCAACACATGCTATTGTTCTTATGTAAGCAAAAACTAAACATGTGAAGCAAAAATATGTTCCTCATTTCTTGCTTTCAGTATTCTCCTGAGGTATAACAGACCGTATTAATGACATTAGAAGACCTTGATTCATGTTGATTGATATTATGGAAATAACTGTTTGACACTTAAAGCATGACATCTGAATTCTGTCTTAATTTCATTTCTACAAAATAGAATGATTATTGGGGCCTGAACTCTTCAATATGCATCCACATCAGCAATGTATGATCTCTGCCCAAAGTAATAAAATGTACTAATGAAACATGATAGGTGTAATTGGTAAATTATGAAGCAGTTTATAACATTTATGTTTACAACACTGTTTTGGAAGAATTCCACCCACATCAATGTGCTAAGAAAATAATAATTAGCTTCAGAGGTTTATTGAAAAACTGTTATTTATGAAACATCATAAGAAATGATTCACCATTTTCCATGGTGCTAATTTTGCAAATACCTGGAAAACCTTCTTTGATTATTGGAATTTTACTAGTTTTCCTCTTGGGTAAAGACTAGATCCTCTATTTTTTTGACAGTTCTATTCAAATCCCCTAAATATCCTTGTAGTCAAATCCATTTAGGACCTCTCTTCCCTGCATATCATCCCTACTTCTCAGGTTGGATCTCCTTTCTTAACCAGTTTTTATCACTGTTACCAAGAGATATGCTATCAATTGTTTTCAGAATAAGTGGTTTCCACTTATTTGTGCATAAAGTACTGACTGAATATGTTATCACTAAAAATGTACTCTATCCCCAAATCATAAGCTACAAAAAAGTACTAGAAAATGTGTAAAGAAAAATTTAAAATCTTTAAGATATTGACATGATATACATTTGTGTTCTCAAACTTAATAAAAAAAATGTAACAAAAATTTGATGGCAGAGGGGGCATTATGAAAAAGCATTAGTACATGTTTACTAAATTCTTTATTCACTCAGTTTAAATATACTATTATATACCTAGTTCAAAATAATAAATGTGTTCTCTTTTAATATTAAACAGCCAGGAGGAAATTATAAACAAAAAAGAAACCAAATTCTATCTATAAGGTAATAAAACTATGGGATTATTAAACTTCTCTGATGTTACCAGTAGTTAAAAGCTCAAAGCTCATGATAATAAAAACACATAAACCATTTATTAACTTTAAACTCCCAGGAGCATCCAGAATTAATACATACATATTTTCTAATTGAGAATTTAAAATAAATTAAAAATAATAAGCAAGTACTATTTATTTTATTAAAAATCCCATATTATTTTGAAACACAGCAAGGCAAGGAGTGGGAGAGACGTAAAAATCACTAAAATCTAAAGATTATGTGAATAGTTTTTAAATATAGTATTCTCTTAGTAACCTTCATTTACAACTGATTCTCAAGAAGAAAATGAATTATCCTATTAATTTTGCTATTTAGACCAAATTGTTTTTTAAAAATGGTAACAATACTAGTGTCTTAAAGTAGAACAAATTTGTTTCCCACTTACTCCGTGAAATAAATCATTTATTGAAATAATTTTAAATGCAAATTTATTATTAATTATTGAATTACTCTCTTACAAAGACTCTTTGTATACATGTTCCAGAACTTGCTGCACTGCATTAGATTGGAAATGGATTCTCCCACACGATGGAGAAACAGTGCTGCTAGACATAGTTATGTGGTATGGTTTCAGATGATTGAACATGATAGTCTTTTCTTTAGATTGAATGGTAGAGTATAACTTGTTTGGGGCTTTATATTTATTAGGTTCTCCATATGGCATTGAATCTCATGCCAGTTATCAAGCTAGAAGGAGGAAATGCTCAGCCTTGTAGACTATTATATACCCAGCATGTTATTCGGTCCTGTATTTCTAAACAATGGCTTCAACACATTCCCCCACTCAGATATTCCCATGCCTCCACTATAGTCCATGTTGCTACCTTCATACTTACGCCTTTAGTTGCTCTTGATTCCAGTTTCCTTAACCAAAATAGTGCCTTAATCATAGTGATTAGCACTTCCAGGACATCTACCACATGCTAGGCACTGTGCTAAGCACTCTTCATGGATATCTGTATGAGTGCTTCAGGGAACATGCCAACAGAGCCTAATGTGCATTTTCAAAACAAGGAAGCTGAGGCTCGAAAAATTAAGGAATTCGCCCAGAGTCCCAACCACCAAGTGGTAAAACCTGTGCACAGTCTGACTCCAGACCCCGCTCTTCACATCACAATCCATGCCATCCAGGCACTTGGTCCTGTCACCATCTTGGGGAATGTATTTTCTGTCTGACGTCCCCATGACTTCCACCCAGAACATTCTCTAGCTCCTCTTTCTACCCACTATCCAGAGCTGTGCTCTTAGCCAGCTTCCCTGGGCCTAGATGCGGGCCAGTGAGCTTGGGGTAGAGCATGGGCTTTTCATCTAAAGTATGACTTCATTTAACCTGACACATATACGAAGTTGCTAGAAGAGCGATGGTTTCTCTATGGAGGCATCCAGGTGTACATTTTACATCAGACAATCTATCTTACAATGACCGCCTTCATGGGAAAATATATTGACTCACAACAAAGCACCCATCTTATGGGAGGGATGCACCGGTATACAAGGTACAATGTCTGCTCTAAAGATTTAGTATCTACAGGCAATCTAAGAATTCTTTCACCTCTCGGGATCCCAAGCTTGGTATCTGAGTGCTTCAGCTCAAGAAGGTGACCAACTTTATTTCCCATCCAGTACACCCTTCCTCTCTACTAGCAAAGTGTCTTCAGACTCAACTTTTTTGTCTGCCTAGAGCAAATGTCCTCTCTTCTTCCTGCAATTAGGCTCCAGAACATCACCTTATAGCAATCTTGATTGGGCAGCAAATACCGCAGCATCCTGGCTGAGAAATGATGACTCAAAGGCAGAAGGACCCTTAACTTGAGGCTGGTTGGTAGTAAAAGAAGGCAAATGATTAGCTTGACTCTGAGAGAGACCATGAAATCTCAGTGTAGATAGACAAGAAGTCAGTAGATCATGAATAGTGGTCTCATTCAGAGGTAACTAGCAGTATTGACTGCAGACAACCAGTTGGTTATTTCTATTCATTGGCCCAAGCACAGTTGTGGCCCTGGGATCTTTTGGTCAAATTAGGGTGGGGAAAAATTAAAAAATGGAGGAGGACAGATGAATTTTTAAAAATCATGATCAATATTTAATAGATTATTTCCTTTAATTTGTATAATGGATTCTGAGATTTTTATTTTCATGACAACTTTTCCCATTGATGTTTATGCCTCCTAGGCTAATAAACAATCACTACCAGCTGGTAAAACCAACTACAGAGTACTAGCTAATAGTGTAAGACAAGTGTGGTCATAAGGCTGAATATGTGACTACACAGTGAAATTCTTCTCCAAAGTTCAGTTTACTGTCTGTGTGTGGCCTCAGAGACCCCTTAAGAGTCTGCAAAGGGGTCCCCCAACCCTTTCCTTTTAGTTTATATATTTTTTAACAATAGTTAACTTTTTTCTGTTATATATACTATTGTTTATATAACAATAGTTTGTTTTCAGTTGCTTTTATTTTTTATTCCAAATGCAGATTTTGAGAGTAGAGTTTTATTGTAGTATTGATACAGGAGGTAGAAAGAAGATATTTAAGCAGATAGTGAGGGCAGAGTCCTCAGCAGAACTTTTCTTCAAACAAAAAGCAACCCAAGAAATCACTCCTTTTCTAACAAAGAGCAACCTGGGGAATCAGGCTGCAAACATAGATAAGGAAGCTGGAAGTTTTCAATGGGGGATGCCTGCAGCAGACAGATAGAAAGGGATGTCTAGGGCCAGGCAGGTCCACTCCCTTTTTTTTAGCACATGCACAGTAAGAAATAAATAAGCAACATGGAGTAGCTCCGGCTGAGGACCTGCCTGCATAATAAAAGATTGGGGTGGGGACTGCCAGAGATTCTCACTCTATGCAGATAACACACCTGGTCCTAACCAGTTTTTTGTACCCTATATAGATCAGATACTGGTTCCCACTAGCTGGTCTATAAAGACCCTTGCATTTCACTGTGGGACAGCAACCCTTTTTCTGGGACCCTCTCTGTAGCAGAGAGCTGTTCTCTTTCTTTCTCCTATTAAATTTCTGCTCTAAACCTCAACCTTGGTGTGTTTGCATCCTTGATTTTCTTGGCCGTGAGACCAAGAACTCTGGGTGTCAGTACATTGTACAGTTTTACTACAGGGGTTTTCTTTTTTCATTAGCTGTTTTGTTTCTGTTTTAAAGAAAATGTGATATACTATGCTACTCTGGGATATCTTATTTCCTAATAGATACAATTCCTATATGTTCCTTTTCTGGAGTGTTATTTTTTGAATAAAAATAACTATAACATAAGAAAAGTCAGGTTTCCTTTTTATAACCTTAAATTTTGAAAAAGAAATATTTTAATAGCAATGTTATTAAAACATAGCATGACAGCTTTGTAAAAATGGACATGTTATCTGGTGCTGCTCTGACGAATATTTCACAAAGTTATAAAGGTGAAATTATAATTTCTAATCAATTAGCAAGTTTTTTTTAAAGGTCAGTCATATGGAAATTACTGGGAAATTAAAAAATATATAAGGCATGGTCCATGATCTTAAGGAGTACACTGTAGACATGGAGGACCAACACAACATAAAAATATTGTCATGGTCCAAGACAGGAAGTGACAGTTCAATGTAACAAGAAAGAAATAAATCTACACAATTAGTTGCAAAGTGAATGGTATAGATAATCTGATCACTTCTTGGAAATGAACATGTGAGATAGATTTGTTTGTTGAGCATTTGAGCAACACTGAAGAAATTACTACTAAAATTCAAAGTAAGAATATAAGCCTTTATTGGATTAAGAAGTGGCACAAATCTGATTTTAGATGCAATTATACTTTTCTTAAAAGATTTAGCAATGGAAATTCTTTAAGACTGTGGTCTTTCTGCAAAATCGAAGCTATCTTTGATGACTAATGCTTTGAAACTATCTCTGTGTTGGTTATAAAGCTCTAGTGTTTTGGATAATTTTAGTCAAAAGAAAGAACAAATATATCTAGGCTATTATTGATATGGCTACTGCATTTATAGATGACTACACTTTATCTAGGGTTAGTGGTAAATTTCTTACGCCTATAAATTTCTTACCATGACAAAAGTGTAGGTAAGTAAATTCCAATTCTCAAGGGTCCATTGCACATCTTTCACCATGATCAGCAAATATTTGTTTTCAAGAGAGTTACTCAACTCATTACTGCCTTAGATCTGTTTTTTTTTTTCCAGGAATTTAGTCTGGCATTAATGGTTTTTTCTCAATATTTAATTTTAAAATTTTCAAACCTATAGAAAAATGGCAAGAATAGTGAAATAAACACCCATTAACTTTACTAAGATTCACCAGTTATTGATTTTTTGGAACATTTTCTTGCTCTTTCTCTCTCTTTCTTCATACTACTGTAATGACTTCATAGCCATCTCCTGTTGCTATTGACCTGAGCTCAAGCATTGTAAGCATTCACTTAAAATGTCACGTTATGTTAATCATCTCTGCAGTGGCAGTTTGTCTCTCCAGTAAATTACATATCATAGTCAAAAGTGATCTCTTGTGGTTCTTGTGTATTTTTCATCATGCTTGTGCAATATTGTAAACCTTGAATAACACCATGGGGCCCATATGAAGAGCCACTAGTGATACTGGAAGTGCTCTTAAAAAGCAAAGTCATGACATTGGAAGAAAAAATTGTATTGCTTGATATGTACTACAGATTGAGGTCTGCAGCTGCAGTTGCCCATCATTTCCAGATCAATGAACCCAGCACAAAGACCATGGTAAAACAAACAAACAAACAAAAAAATGAAATTCACGAAGCCATCAATGTAGCTCCACTAGCAAGCAAAGAAACTTTGCACTTTTTGCAAAATACATTTTTTTTTACTTTTATTTTAGGTTTGGGGGTACATGTGAAGGTTTGTTACATAGATAAACTTGTGTCATGGGAGACCGAGGAACAGATTATTTCATAACACAAGTATTAAGCCCAGTACCCAATAGTTCTCTTTTCTGCTCCTCTCCCTCCTCCCAACCTCTCCCCTCAAGTAGATCCCAGTGTCTGTTGTTTCCTTCTTTGTGTTCATAAGTTCTCATCATTTAGCTTCCACTTATAAGTGAGAACATGTGGTGTTTGGTTTTTCTGTTCCTCTGTTAGTTTGCTAAGGATGATAGCCTCCAGTTCCATCCATGCTCCTTCAAAAGACAATATCTTGTTCTTTTTATTGGCTGCCTAGTATTCCATAGTGTATATGTACCACATTTTCTTTATCCAATCTGTCATTGAAGGGCATTTAGATTGATTCCGTGTCTTTGCTATTGTGAATAGTGCTGCAGTAAATATTCATGTGCACGTGTCTTTATGGTAGAATGATGTATATTCCTGTGAGTACATAACCAGTAATGGGATGCTGGGGTGGATGATAGTTCTGCTTTTAGTTCTTTGAGGAATCATCATACTGCTTTCCACCATGATTGAACTAATTTACACTCCCACCAACAGAGTGTAAGTGTTTCCTTTTCTCTGCAATCTTGCCATCATCTATTATTTTTGGACTTTTTAATAATAGCCTTTGTGACTGGTGTGAGATGGTATCTCACTGTGGTTTTTAATTTGCTTTTCTCTAATGATTAGTTATATTGAGTCTTTTTTCCATCTGCTTGTTGCCTGCATGTATGTCTTCTTTTGAACAGTGCCTGTTCATGTTCTTTGCACACTTTTTAATGGGGTTGTTTGGTTTTCTCTTGTAAATTTTTTTAAAATTTCTAATAGGTGCAGGATATTAGACCTTTGTCAGATGCATAGTTTGCAAAAATTTATTCTCATTCTGTATGTCATCTATTTAGTCTGTTGATAGTTTCTTTTGCTGTGCAGAAGCTCTAAAGTTTAATCAGATCCCACTTGTCAATTTTTGCTTTTGTTGTGATTCCTTTTTGTGTCTTTGTTATGAAATTTTTGCCCATTCCTATGTCCAGGATGGTACTGCCTAGGTTGTCTTCTAGGGTTTTTATGGTTTGGGGTTTGACATTTAAGTCTTTAATTCATTTAAATTGATTTTTGTATATGTTGTGAGGAAGGAGTCCAGAATCAATCCTCTGCATATGGCTAGCCAGTCATCCCAGGATCACTTATTGCATTGGGAGTCTTTTTCCTGTTGCTCGTTTTTGTCAGGTTTGTTGAAGAGCAGATAGTCATAGGTGTGTGGCCTTATTTCTGGACTTTCTATTGTGTTCCATTGGTCTATGTGCCTGTTTTTTTATGAGTACCATGCTGTTTTGGTTACCATATCCTTGTGGTATAGTTTGAAGCCTGGTAACATGATGCCTCCAGATTTACTCTTTTTGCTTAGGATTACCAATGCTATTTGGGCTCTTTTTTGGTTACTTGTGAATTTAAAATAGTTTTTCCAGTTCTGTGAAGAATGTCATTGGTAGTTGGATAGGAATAGCATTGAATCTATAATTTGCTTTGGGTAGTATGGCCATTTTCACGATATCGATTCTTCCTATCCATGTGCATGGGATTTTTTGGCCATTTCTGTCTTTTCTGACTTCTTTGAGCAGTATTTTGTAATTCTCATTGTAGAGATCTTTCACCTCCCTGGTTAGCTGTATTCCTAGGTATTTTATTCTTTTTGTGGCAGTTGTGAATGGGATTGCCTTTCTGATTTGACTCTTAGCTTGGCTGTTGTTTGTGTATAGGAATGTTAGTAATTGCTGTAGATTGATTTTGTATCCTGAAAGTTTGCTGAAGTTGTTTATCAGCTGAAAGAGCTTTTGTGTTGAGACTATAGTGTTTTCTAGATATAGAATCATATCATCTGCAAACACGGATAGTTTGACTTCCTTGCTTCCTATTTAAATGCTTTTATTTCTTTCTCTTGCTTATTGCTCTGGCTAGGACTTCCAACACTAGGTTAAATAGAAGTGGTGAGAGAGGGCATCCTTGTCTTGTGCCAGTTTTCAAGGGGGATGATTCCAGCTTTTGTCCATTCAATATAATGTTGGCTGTGAGTTTCTCATAGATGGCTTTTATTATTTTGAAACATATTCCTTCAATATCTGATTTATTGAGACTTTTTAACATGAAGCGATGTTGAATTTTGTCAAAAGCCCTTTCTATGTCTATTGAGATAATCATGTGGATTTTGTCTTTAGTTATGTTTATGTGATGAATCACATTTATTGATTTGCATATGTTGAGTCAACCTTGCATGCTAGAGATGAAGCCTACTTGAATGTGGTGGATAAGCTTTTTGATGTACTGCTGAATTCAGTTTGCAAGTATTTTGTTCAGGATTTTTGCATTGACGTTCATCAAGGATTTTGGCCAGGAGTTTTCTTTTTTTGTTGTGTCTCTGCCAGGTTTTGGTATAAGGATAATGCCAGCCTCATAGAATGGGCTGGGGAGGATGCCCTCCACCTGAATTTGTTGGAATAGTTTCAATAGGAATGGTACCAGCTCCTTTTCACACAACTGGTATAGTTTGGCTGTGAATCCATCAAGTACTGGGCTTCTATTGGTTGGCAGGCTATTTATTATAATACTGATTCAATTTTGGAGTTTGTTATTGGTCTTTTCAGGGATTCAATTTCTTCCTTGTTCAGTCTTGGGAGGGTGTATGTGTCCAGGAATTTATCCATCTCTTCTAGGTTTTCTAGTTTGTGTGCATAGAGGCGTTCATAGTAGTTTCTGATTTTTTTTCCTGTGGGATCAGTGGTAATATTCACTTTATTATTTCTAATTGTGTTTGTTTCAATCTTCTCTCTTTTCTTCTTTATTAATCTAGCAAGCATTCTCTCTATATTATTAATTTTTTCCAAAAACCAACTCCTGGATTTTTGTGTCTCAGCTTCCTTCAGTTCAGCTCTGATTTTTGTTGTTTCTTGTCTTCTGCTAGATTTGAGATTGATTTGTTCTTGTTTCTCCAGTTCTTTCAGTTGTGATATTACATGGTTAATTTGAGGCATTTCTACCTTTTTGATGATTTAGTGCTATAAATTTCCCTCTTAACACTGCCTTAGCTGTGTCCCAGAGATTCTGGTACATTGTATCTTTGTTCTTATTAGTTTCAAAGAACTTCTTGATGCCTGCCTTAATTTTATTTTTTGCCCAAAATTCATTCAGGAGCATGTTGTTTAATTTTGATGCAATTGCATGGTTTTGAGTGATTCTCTTAGTCTTGACTTCCATTTTTATTAACCTGTGGTTGAAGAGTGTGCTTGTTATAATTTCAGTTCTTTTGTGTTTGCTGAGGATTGTTTTATGTCCAATTATGTGGTCAATTTTAGAGTACGTGACAATGGGAAGAATGCTGTTTTTGGGTGGAGAGTTCTGTAAAGGTCTATAAGATTCATTTGGTCCAATGCTGAGTTCAGTTCCTGAATATCTTTGTTAATTTTCTCCCTCAATGATCTGTCTAAGGGTATCTGTGGATTGTTGATGTCTCCCACTATTATTGTTTGAGAGTCTATGTTTCTTTATGGCTTTCTAAGAACTTGCTTTATGAATCTGAATGTTCCTGTGTTGGGTGCATACATATTTAAGGTAGTTAGATCTTCTTGTTGAATTGAACCCTTTACCATTATGCACTACCTTCTTTGTGTTTTTTGTTCCTTGTTTGTTTGAGGTCTGTTTTGTCAGAAATTATGACTGCAACCTTTCCTTTTTTATTGTTTTCCATTTGCTTGGTAGACTTTCCTCCATCCATTTATTTTGAGCCTATAGGCATCATTACGTGAGATGGGTCTCTTGAAAACAGCATACTATTGGGTGCTGCTTTTTTTAATCCAGCTTGCCACTCCGTGCCTTTTAAGTGGGGCATTTAACCCATTTACATTCTAGGTCAGTATTGATATGTGTGGATTTGATTCTGTCAATGTGCTGTTAGGTGGTCATTATGTTACCTTGTTTGTGTGGTTGCTTTATGGTGACACCAGTCTGTGTGTTTAAGTGCATTTTTGTATTAGCTGGTAGTAGTCCTTCCTTTCTATATTTAGTGCTCCTTTCAGGATCTTTTTGTAGGGCCAGTCTGGGGGAACAAACTCCCTCAACATTTGCTTATCTGAAAGATACCTTATTTCTCCTTTGCTTAGGAAACTTAGTTTGGCTGCATATGAAATTCTTGTTTGAAGATTTTTTTTTTCTGTAAGAATGTTGACTATAGGCTCCCAATCTCTTCTGGCTTGTAGGGCTTCAGTAGAGAGATCTGCTGTTAGTCTGATGGAGTTCCCTTTGTAAGTAACCTGCCTTTTCTCTCTAGCTTCCTTTAGCATTCTTTGTTTCATTTTGACCTTGCAAAATCTGATGATGTGCTTTGGAACTTCCTGAATTTGACTGTGGGCCTCTCTAGCAAGGTTGAGAAAGTTTTCATGGATAATATCCTCAATCACATCCTCCAAGTTGTTTGCTTTCTCCCGCCGACCCCCTTTTCAGGGATTTCCAATGATTAACAGATTTGACCTCTTTACATAATCCCATACTTCTTGGAGGTTTTGTTCAATTTTTAAAATTATTTTTTTCTTTATTTTTGTCTGACTGTCTTATTTCAAAGAACCAGTCTTCACGTTCTGAGATTGAAAATCTCATCTTGGTTTATTCTGCTGTTAAGACTTGTGGATTACATTGTGAAATTCTTGTATTGTGTTATTCAGCTCTGTCAGACCTGTTAGGTTCTTTTTTATACTGGCTATTTTATCCTTCAGCTCCTATATCAGTTTATTGTGATTCTTAGTTTTCTTGGATTGGGTTTTGCAATCATCCTGAATCTCAATGATTTTCATTTCTATCCATATCCTGAATTTTTTTTCTGTCATTTCAGCCAGCTCAGACTAGTTAAGAACTCTTGTTGAAAAACTGGCGTGGTTGTTTGGACAACATACGACACTCATGTCATTTGAGTTACAGAGTTCTTGCATTGGTTGTTTCTCATCTGTGTGTGTGGGTTTTCCTTTAACTACAGTCAATAGACTTTTTATCTGGATGTCTTCACCGGGCTGAGGCTATCTGCACAATCTTTATTTGAAGCTGACTTCTTGTCTCTGGTTTCAGAGGGGTATATGTTAGTGAGGTATTTTTGGTGTTGAAGCTTCGGGGTATAATCCAGTAGGTAGCACTTGGGCTTATTGGTCAGTTGGTAGACTCTGCTTGTTTGTGTGGTTCCCCTATTTTTCTTCACAGTTGCAACTGTGTTCCCTTTTCATGCTCTTAAAGTGTGGGTTCCTCTCCCCATTGAGTGCTGGCTGTAGACGATGGCTTGGCACTCCTGGGCTGCCCACTGCAGCTAGGATAATCTCAGTGTTTATGTTCCTTCTCCAACTTGGAGGCAGCAGAGGAAGGGATCTTAGTAGTGGTTGTGGCCAAGTGATTTTGAAAAAAGGGAAGTCATTATATGAGTTATATGACAAATTAAAGCAAAAGGGAGGTGAAGAATCTAAATCTGGAGAATTTAATGCCGGCAAAGGATGGCTTGATAAGTTTAGAAAGGGGTTTGGCTAAAAGATGCCAAAATAACAGGAGAAGCAGCCACTGAAAAGCAAAAGAAAGCAGATGGGTTCCCAGATGCCATTGAGACAATCACTGAGGAAAAAGAATCTGCCTGAACAGGTTTTTAATGCAGATGAAAATGCCTTGTTCTAGAAAAAAATGCCACAAAGAACATTTATTAGTAACGGAGAGAAGTGAGCAGCAGGATTTAAGGCAGGAAAGACCAGGCTAACTTTAGTGTTTTATACAATGCATTCAGGTTTATGATCAGTACAACCCACATCTCTAAAGCTGATAACCCCTGAGCTTTGTAGGATAAAGATAAACACCTGCTACCAGTATTTTGGTTGTACAACAAAGAAGGTCTGAACAACAAGAACCCTTTTTCTGGATTGGTTCAATTGATTCTTTGCCCCTGAAATCAGGAAGATGCTTCCAGTAAGAAACTGCTTTTTAAAGTTCTTTTCATATTGTACAATTTCCTTGGCCACCCAGAACCCCATGAGTTCAACATGGAATGCATAAAAGTGGTCTATTCACTCTTAAACACAACATCTCTAATCCAGCTTCTAGCTTAGGGGGTCATAGGACCTTTAAGGCTCATTAAACTTAGAACTCTTCATGAAGGATTCCCAATGTTTGGGAAGAGAAACCCTACAGAGAGAACATCATGAAAGTCTGGGAGGATTACACCATTGAAGATGTCATCATTGCTATAGAAGAGACCATGAAAGGCATCAAGCCCCAAACAATAAGTTCTTACAGGAGAAAACTCTTCAGATATTGTACATGACTTCACAGAATTTACAACAGAGCCAATCAAGGTAGTTACGAAAGACATTGTAGATATGGCAAACAAGTGAGGAGTGAAGGGTTTGAAGATATAAAACTTGGGGAAATTCAAGAGCTAACAGTCACCACCCCAGAATGTTTAACAGAAGAAAATTTTATGGAAATAAGTGCTTCAAACCAGTGCCAGATGATGAGGAAGAAGGTGTAGAAGAAGCAGTGCCAGCAAGCAAATTTATGTTAGACAATCTGACAGAGGGTTTCCCATTATTCAAGGCTGCTTTTGACTTCTTTTGCAACATGAATCCTTTTTTGATATAGGCATGAAACTAAAGCAAATAGTGGAAGAATAATTGCTACCATAGAGAAACATTTTCAGAGAAATACAAAAACAAAAACAAAATCAGACAGAAATTACAATGTATGTCATAAAATTGTATCAGTATGCCTGCCTCTCCTACCACCCCTTTCACCTCCTCCACCTCTTTCACCTCTGCCACCCCTGAGACAGCAAGACCAACTCCTCGTCTTCCTCCTGCTCAACCTATTCAATAGTGACAAGGATGAAGACCTTTATGATGATCTATTTCCACTAAATGAATAGTAAGTATACTTTCTCTTCCTTATAATTTTCTTAATAACATTTCATTCCTTTAGCTTGCTTATTATAATAATACAGCTTATAATACATATAACATACAAAATGTGTATTAATTGATTTTTAATGTTCTTAGTAAGACTTCCAGTCAACAGCAGGCTGTTAGTAGTTAAATTTTTGGAGAGTCAAAAATTATACATAGATTTTTGACTGCTCAGGAGGGTTGGTGTCTTTAACTCCTGTGTTGTTCAGGAGTCAACTGTAGAATATTTCTATTACCCAAGAAAGTTCTTTTATGCACATTTCTAGTCAATCTTCTTTCTTCTACACTGCTCTAGAGGAAACTACTATTGTAATTTTTATCCCTATGTATTCCTTTTGCCTATTCATGAATTTCATACACATGAAATCACAGGCTATGTGCTCTTCTGTATTTGGTTTCCTGTGGATTCCAGTGTCTGTAATAAAGTTTTATTTCAACACAACCATGCTCATTTGATTATATATCCTATGCCTCCTTTTGCATTGCAATAGCAAGGCTAAATACTGATGCTCTTGGATTTATGATGGATTTCATCCTGATAATCCCATCATAAGTTGAAAATATTGTAAATCGAAAATGCACTTAATACCCTTAACCTACCAGACATCACAGCTTAGCCTAGTTTCCCTTAAACATGCCCAAAACACATATTTGTCTACAGTTGAACAAAATCATCTAAAAAATCCCCTATTTTATGGTAAAGTATTGAATATTTCATGTAATTTGTTGAATACTGTACTGAAAGTGAAAAACAATGGTTGTGTGGTTACTCAACATATGTTTTCTACTGAAAACATATCACTTTCATGTTATCATAAAGTCAAAAAATTGTTAAGTTGAACCATTGTAAATTGGGGACCATCTCTACATGCAACAAAGGTTCTGTGCCACACTCATTACTTTCCATTGCTGCTTGGCATACTACAAATCACAATGTCCCAGTTATAACTGACTAACATCTTGAACTAGCATGCCTAGTATTGTGCCATGACATTTAATAATTTTTTTTTATTACTAGTGAATACCCACAATGTCAGAGCAAGAAAAGAGAAAAGTTGGTTTTGAATGTCGTTCTTTTAAGGCAGAGTGGAGTATGGATTATTTTGTTATCAAATTAGATGGCAAAGCATTGTGTTTATTATGTAGTGATATGGTAGCTGCGCTACAATAATATAATAACCATCAACATTATTTGGCTAAGCACACTATAATATTCCCACTCATAGAAAAAGGAATTTCAGAAAAACTAGAAATTTTAAAATGAAATATCAAAGCAAAATTTATTCAGAAAAATTTAAAAAATTGAAATGAAGTTTAAGTCAATGTAAGCTTCTGAGCAGCTCATTTGTTAGCCAAGCAAGGGAAACTGTCTACTAAAGTTGAGTTAATTAAATTGTGTTTGATTGCAGCAGATGAAGGAATGTGTCTTGAGAAAATAAACGATTAAAACTATTAGCCTTTTAGTGATAACAGTTGCTTGAATAGTTGAGGACACGGAGGGCAATAGATGGAGTAAACATTCTGTCCATATTCTTCCCAATAAGTACAGCTAAATGCCCTAGATAATATATACAAAAAACGTAAGAAGACTCTGAAAGATGTAGAGAAGAAGGCAGACTGAAAAGGGAGTTTAGGGCCAAAGCAATGACATTGCAATGAGTTCCCTGAGTTTTCTTTCTGACTCATATATCCCATACTGGGGAATGGAGAATCCAGAAACCTAATAATGCCAATGAACACAGACAATAAAAGCCCCAAGTAAAGTTTCTGCTTACTCTAGCCAAAGGGCCAGGCAAGGGGCCACCTAACCAGAGAGCTTTCAGATAATAACCACTCTACTGCAGCCAAACACCACAGACAAATATGAGGTCAACCTTCAGCCCCACCAGCAAAGGTGGAGTGGAGAATGTGGACATCTATCCACACTCTCCAGGCTGAAAAAAGGGACCCCAACCCCCCGCCATGATTATCAGAGGCTGGGTGGGGAAATAGGATCTTTGTTCCTGACTGGTGGTAATGAGGACCGCCCTGCACTCACAGGGTAGGCGCCAATGACCAGGGGAGACTGGAATTCACCCCTACCCGGGACAGTGGTCTAAGAGGAGGGCTAGTGGAAAGTCAGGGCTTTCACAACCCCTCAGAGACAACGAGGACCACTCCCCTCCCAGTGTAAGTGGTGGCCATGTCGGGAGCCTGAATTTCCACCTCTACCTGTGGTAACAAGGAGCCCATCCCTCCAACTGTCAACAGAGGCCTAGTGGAAGCCCTGGGCATCCAACCCCACTTGGTGAAATGAGGTAGTTCCCCTTCTCCCACTGGAATTGTGTCAGAGGGAGCTGCCAAAACACAAGATTCACAAAAGACCCAGTGTCTCATGGCACAGCTAAAGGAAAAGTGGATACTCTGAACAACTTTGTACATCCATTTGACAAGTACAAACTACTATAACTTACTCAATAAGAAATAGACAATTTAAATAGCCCAATAACTATTAATGAAATTGAATTTGTATGCATACTCTTTCTCTATATATGCATGTATAGGTGTATACATACATACATACATGTATATTGTTAGAACAGAGTAAAAATCCAAGAATAGTCCCACACAGCGATGGCCAACTGATGTTCGACAATGATGTAAAGGCAATTTAACAGAGAATAATTTTTTCAAAACATGGTGTTGAACAATTAGATATCCATAATAAAATATGAAATCTTGACATAAACTTCACACTTTACATAAATATTAAACAAAACATTATATATTTAAATGTAAAACAAGTATAAAATTTTTAGCTTATAAAATTGGAGAAAATCTTTGGGATTTTCAATGAGAGGTTGGTAAAGAATTCTTAGCTGTGACACCAAAAGTGTGTTCCATAGAAAAATAAAATTGATAACTTGGACTTCATCAAAATAAAAACTTTTGTCTGTAGAGGACTTCATGAAGAGAATTAAAAAAACAATGTATATACTGGAAGAAAATATTTTAATACCACATATCTGAAAAAAAAAAGACAACCCAAAACTCAACAGTAAAGAGCAATTAATTCAACTAAAACATGGACAAAAAATATAAGGAGAGGCTTCACTGAAGAGAATATATAGATAGCAAGCACATGAAAAGATGTTCAACCTCATGAGTCACCAGAGAAGTGCAAATTAAGACCGCAATGAGATATCATTATATACCTATGAGAGGAGCTAAAGTAAAAATAGTAACACCACCACATGCTGGTAAGAATGTGGAGAAACTCAGTCTCTCATACATTGCTGGTGGGTTTGTAATATGATGTAAAGGCACCCACTCTGGAAACTATTTTGGCAGTTTCTTAAAAAGCTAAACGTACACTTACTGATTGATTCAACAAATGAATTCCTCAGCATTTATCACAGAAAAATAAAAATTTAGGTCCACACAAAAACTGATACCCATTTGTTCATAGCAGCTTTATTTGTAATAGCCAAAAACTGAAAATAACCAAGATGTCTCTCAATAATTAAGTAAACTGTGGTATATCCATATGAATCATCAGTGTTAAAAATTAAAAAATAACTATTGATATACTCAACAATTTCAATTATTTCAAGGGCATTATGAGCATGGAAACATTGCAAAAGGCAGCAGGCTATATGACTTCATTTATATATTGTTTTTTAAATTATGAAATTACAAAGATGGGAAAGAGATTAGTGGTTGTCAGGGGTCAGAGATGGTGGTAATGATGGTGGTGTGACTTAAGGGTTACCACACGGGAGATCTTTGTGATGACTGAATAGCTCTGTATCTTGATTGTGTGGTGGTAGTTACACCAATTTATCCATGTAATAAGATGACAAAGGACCAGCTGTTGTTTATTCAAGAAGTCAGTGTTGAATTTGAGTGACTGAAGAATTAGCTTCTATGAAGTCTGCATATATTTGAGAAAACTCTAATTTGTCAAATATTTCTCAAATATTTGAGAAAACTCTAATTCAGTACAACCTGAAGTGAAATCTTTGAAGTTCTGTTACATCCAATCATGGTAAAAATATGTGTGGAGAAGAAAAAGATTTACTTGGAAAAAAATTCAAAGCTTTGAAAATACAAAATATTTGTATTATTCACATGCAGGTAATTTCTGGAAACTACTTGAACATTTCCAACAGATTTTCTTCATAAAAGTCAGTAATACTAATTAAGTGAGATGTTGTCCCCGAGAAAGATAATTCCATTTTTCTAATTGGAGAAACTGTGTGCAACCTATGTGCAACTTACATGCAAAAAATTTACTCAGTTATTATATTTTGGACTTTATCAATACATTTTTTGTGGAAATTCATTCTCTCTTGTTATACACGTACTTATAAAATCCCTGATTTTACCTCTAATGCTACAAAACCTAAAATACAGTCATGTGTTGCTTAACGACAAGGATATGTTCTGGGAAATGCATTGTTAAGTCATTTCATCATTGTGTAAACATCCTTGGGTGCACTTACACAAACCTAGATGGTACAGCCTGCTACACACCTAGACTAGATGGTATAACCTATTGCTCATAGGCTACAAACCTGTGCAGCATGTTACTGTACGGAATACTGTAGGCAATTATAACACAATGGTATTTGTGTATTTAAGCATATATGAACAAAGAAATGATAAATTAAAATATGCTATAAAAGATTTTAAAAGTGGTACACCTATATAGGGTATTTACCATGAATGGAGCTCTCAGGAGAAGAAGTTGCTGTGAGTGAGTCAGTGATCGAGTAGTGGGTGAATGTGAAGGCCTAGGACTTTATTGTACACTACTGTAGACTTTATAAACACTGTACATTTAGGCTACATTAAATTTATTTTAAAATATTTTGCTTTCTTCAATAATAAATTAACAGCTTACTGTAACATATATATTTTTTAACTTTTAAGTTCTTGGGTACATGTGCAGGTTTGTTATACAGGAAAACTGGTGTCACAGGGACTTGCACAGATTACTTTTTAAACATTCAAAATTTTGAAACTTTTTGACTCTTTTGTAATAACACTTGAAACACAAAGACATTGTAAAGCTGTACAAAAATATTTTCCCTACCCTATAAGCTTCTTTCTGTTTTTATTTCTAGTTTGTTTACTTTTTAAAGTATTTTATTAAAAGCTGAATGCACACATTAGCCTAAGACAACACAGGGTCAGTATCATCATTATCACTGTCTCCCACCTCCACATCCTGTCCCACTAGAAAGTCTTCAGGGGCAATTACACACATGGAGCTGTCATCTACTATGATAACAAATGCTTCTTCTGGATACCGTTTGAAGGACCTGCCTGAGGTTGTTTTCTAGTTAACATTTTGTTTTAATAAGTAAAAGGAGTACCCTTTAAAATAACCATAACAAGTATAGTATAGTAAATACATAAATGAGTAACATAGTCGTTTATTATCAAGTATTATGTACTGTATAGAATTGTATGTGCTAGACTTGTATACAACTGCCAGCTTGGTAGATCTGTTTAAATTAGCATCATCACAAATATGCAAGTAATGCTTTGTGCTATGATGTTACAATGTTAAGATGTCTAGACAACAGGAATTTTTCAGCCCTTCATAACCTTGTGAGACAACTGTAGTATATGCAGTCCATTGTTGACTAAGACGTTGTTATGCGGCTCATGATTGTATTTATTCTCTGTTTTCAGAAAAAATCTGCGGGCCTTGGTTCTAGCTGCCTATGATTCAAATATGGGAAGACTATTGATTTCTGCGGGCCTCGGTTCTAGCTGCCTATGATTCAAATATGTGAAGACTATTGATTTTTTATGTTATTTTATATTCTGCAACCTTAGATTGAGTTAGATTTATTGTTGGCTCTCTCTAGTTTTCAAGTATATTATTTTTCTTCAGCAATAAGAATTTTACTTCTACTTGGCCGAGGTGGGAGGATCACGAGGTCAGGAGATTGAGACCATCCTGGCTAACACAGTGAAACCCCGTCTCTACAGAAAATACAAAAAATTAGCCTGGCATGGTGGCATGCGCCTGTAATGCCAGCTACTTGGGAGGCTAAGGCAGGAGAATCACTTAAACCTGGGAGGTGGAGGTTGCAGTGAGCCGAGATGGCGCCACTGCACTCCACCTGGGCGACAGAGCGAGACTCTATCTCAAAAACAAAAACAACAACAACAAAAAATTACTTCTACTTTTATAATGATTAGACTCAACTAATGAAAAAGATATTTTAAAAAATGACTTTCGAACTGACGTGCATACAATTTATTGTAATAAATATATATCTATCATTCTATTTTACTCTGTTTTATAGCAGCATTAAATTTTATCAAAGTCCTTTTTATACATATGGAAATAATAATGATTGTCTCATTGTATCTATTAACGTGTTATTTTATTTAATTTTAAATGTTGAATCATTCTTATTCCTAGAATAAGTGATACAATTTATTATTTTATTGCTTGTATTTGATTCAGAATTTTTCCATCAACATTAATAAGTGATATGGATCTGAAGGTTTTTATTTTTTCTTTTTGATGCTATCTTTCTTAGAATTAGTTATCAACATTATACTTTTTCCATAAGAAGAGTAGAAGTTTTCATTATAAATTCCATAACAATATATGTAATATTGGAATTATTTGTCTTTTAGAGTTTTGGTAAAATTCACTTAAGAATTTCCTGAGATAGGTAACTTTTGTGATTCTTTTATCTGTTTCCTCTATGGAAATTAATCCTTCTAATCTTTCTAGATCTTTTGTGACAGATTTGGTTTAATTTTATTTTCTTAGGAAATGATACATTTTATTTTTGGATTTAAAATCATCATTTTAAATTCTGTGAATTTGTCCTTTCCTCCCTTTATTCTCAAGTTACCCGATGATCTATTTTGTTAATTTTAGTTCAATTATTTTTCTATTTTCTAACTCAACAAATTTTATTTTAATCTTTATTATTTTCTTTCTTATGTTTTCTCTTTATTTCCTTGGTTAACTTTTTAGCTTTTTGAGTTGGTGATTTAATTTGTTTGTTTTCATTCTCTCCTTTTTAAGGACTCCCTTTACGAGTCCCCAGTGTCTATTGCTGCCATCTTCATGTCCATGTGTTTGCAGTTAAGCTCTCATTTATGTGAGAATATGTGGTATTTGGCTTCCTGTTTTGGCATTAATTCACTTAGGATAATAGTCTCCAGCTGCTTCCATGTTGCTGCAAAGGACATGATTTAGATTTTTTTTTTTTTATCATTGTGCAGTGTTCCATGGTACATATGCACCAGATTTTGTTCTTTTCACGGCTGCGTAGTAGTCCATGGTGTATAGGTACATTTTCTTTATCCAATCCACCATTGGTGGGCATTTGGGTTGCTACTGTGAATAGTGCTGCGATAAACATGGGAGTACAGGTTGCTCTGGTGTTGTATTACTTCATATGTAGTTGTCAAGAAGTCAGTGGTCAACTAGATTGACTTTCCTTTGTAAATAACAATAGCTTAGCTGAATATTATATTTGTTGGTTCTCACTCGTAAAGACTGTTTAAAATACCAGTCTACTGTTTTCTTGCTTTGTGTGTGATTGCCAATAAGTCTTTTGTCAACCATGTTTTCTTCCCTTTCTGAATGACACCTTTGTCCTGATGCCCTGAAGATTGTTTTCTCAGTCTCTGAAGTCTATTAGATTTATTAGAATACATCAGTTATCGGGTATACAGTAGACCCTAGAATATGTAGATTTAGGTCTTTTATTTCCAGAAAGTTTTCTTGAATAATAGTTTTAGATTTTAATTATTTTCCACTGATTTCTCTATTTCATGGACCATTATATGTATGTATATTATCTTCTTTGCTTATCATGTATTTCTTTCAATGTAATTCTTTCCACTTCTAAAAATTAATTATATTCTTTTGGCTTTTTCTTCATGTACCTTACTATATTTTCATTTAAATCCCTTCTGCTCTGGGATTTTTGTAATTTAGACTTTATTTCTCTTCATTTTGTATTCCTGGTAGCTACTGCTCTCAAAGCACAACACTGACACACTTCCTATCTCCCCATGAAAGGTGATATGCTATCAGGAATGATTTATCTCCATGTTCTGTCATCTCTATGCCCCAACTTCTTTCCTCGTTTCTACACAGTGTCCACTTGATGCTCTCTACCAGCATAGGTTCTGGAGCTGGGTATTTTGAATTTGGACATTTATTTTTCTAATTATAGACAACTTGACATTTATTGTATTCTTTGGGTTATGCTAAATGCATAAGTTGTAGCTGATTGTTTTTATTTGCTCTCTCTCTGTGGATCTGTACATATATTTTAATCCTCTGTATACTAATAGTGCATTATTAGAAGTGCTATTACTGTGTGCAAATAGCTTATTTTGGTGGCCCAGAAACACCAAAACACTCTAAAGTTGTCTCTTTCTGTTAAACAAAACATTCTTTTTTATTGATACAAATATTTGTGCATATTTATGAGGTACATGTGATATTGTGTTAAATGGATAAACTGTGTAATAATTCAGGCAGGGTATTTGGGGTGTCCATCACCTTGAACATTGATCATTTCTATGTGTTGAGAATATTTCAAGTGTTCTCTTCTAGCTATTCTGAAATATACAATACATTGTTGCTAACTATACTCACCCTACTCTGTTATGAACATTAGAACTTATTCCTTCTATCCAGCTGTATATTTGTACACATTAACCAACTTCTCCATATCCCATCACCCCACATCCTTCACAGTCTCTGGTAACTATCATTCTACTCCGGACCTCCATAAGATCACACATTTTAGCTCCCACATATTGGTGAGAACTTGAAATTTGTCTTTCTGTGTCTGGCTTATCTCACTTAACATAATGACCTGCAGTTCCATTCCTATTGCTGTAAATAACATGATTTCATTTTTCATGTCCAAATAGTATTCCACTGTATACATATGCCACCTTTTCTTTATCCATTCATACACTGATGGGCAGTTAAGCTGGTTGTATATCTTTGCTATCATGAATAGTGCTGCGATAAACATGGGAGTACAGGTATCTCTTTGATATACTAATTTATTTTTCTTTGGATAAATACTCAGGAGTGGGATGCTGAAGTGTATGATAGTTTTATTTATGGTTTTTTGTGAAATCTCCATACTGTTTTCCATAGTGGCTGTACTAATTTCCATTCCCACTAAGAGTGTATACGAGTTTTCTCTTCTCCACATCCTTACCAGCACCTGTTATTTTTTGTCTTTTTTAATAGTAGCCATCCTAACAATGGTAAGGTGATATGTCATTGTGGTTTTGATTGCCAATTCCCTAATAATTAGTGATGTTGAGCATTTTTTCATATGCCTATTGCTCATCCATATGTCTTTTTTTGACAAATGTCTATTCATGCCCTTGGTCCACTTTTTAATGGGGTTATTTTTTTACTCTTGAATTGTTTGAGTTCCTTGTAAATTCTGGATATTAGTCTCTTGTTGGATGAATAGTTTGCAAATATTTTCTCCCATTCAACAAAGTGTCTCTTCATTCTATTAATTGTTTCTTTTGACTAAAGAAGCTTTTTAGTTTAATGTAGTCCCATTCATCTATTTTTGTTTTTGTTGCCTGTGCTTTTGAGGGCTTAACCATAAAATCTGCATAAACCAATGTCCTTAAGTGTTTTCCCTATGTTTTCTTCTAGTAGTTTTATAGTTTCAGGTCTTACATTTAACTCTTTAATATGTCTTGAGTTGATGTTTGTGTATAATGAATGATAGGGGTCCAGTTTTATTCTTCTGCATATGGATAGCCAATTTTCCCAGAACCATTTATTGAAGAGGGTTTCCTTTCTCCAGTGTATGTTCTTGGCACCTTTGTCAAAATCAGTTGAATGTAATACATGGGTTTATTTCTGTGTTCTTTGTTCTGCTCTATTGATCTAAGTGTCTGTTTTTATACCAATGCCATGCTATTTTGGTCATGATAGCCTTGTAATGTGGACTGCTGGGGGTCACTCATGAACCGTTTTCCCATGCTGGGGACCCTCTCCCAACTCCCAGCCCATCCAAGTGGAGCAGACTGCTTTGTTTCCCTTGTCTTCCTTGCTTCGTTTCCCTTGCCTTCCTTGCTTTAGGTGTTTGCTGTCACTTCTCTGTAGAATTCCAATGTTCTCTCTTAGAGGATATATTTGAAGTGTGATTATCTGCTTGCTATTTTGGTTCTTCTTTGTGGAAGAGGCGAGTACCAGATGTCTCTAGTCAGCCATCTTGAAGTTGAGCTAAAGATAATGTTTCTAAATATGTCCCTACATACCTCCCAATTACTGTTTCAGATCACTGAAACAGGTTAAACATGTATGGCATTATTACAAAGAAACGATTATTATGGTAGTATGACATTAATGCAGGGCTACACATGTAAATCAGTGGAAGAGACTAGAGAGTCCAGAATTATATCATACATATAAGACACACTGAGTTACAGCCAAAAATGCCAATGCATTTAATAGGTAAGAAGTAAACCTTCAAACAAATGATATTGAAACTAGAATAAAAAAGAACATTAACTCTTATTCCAAAGTTGTATATTTACTCAAAATCATAGACCTAAATATAACAGTAAAAAATAATAAAACTTCTAAAAGAAAATATAGGAGTTTTCTCTATATTTTCCTCTCAACCTTGGGATAGGTTGAGATTTATTAATACACAAAAAGCATTAATCATTAAAACATTGATCAATTGAACTTCACTAAAACTAAATATTTTTGCTTTTTGAAAGATTTCATTAAGAAATTGGAAAAGAAAGCCACGGGCTGGGAGAAAATATCTGCAATACATATATTTGACAAAGGACTTGTAGCCACAACTCAATAGTAAGAATAAAATCAATCAAATAATGTATAACAAAAAATTTGTACAGTTGCTTCAAAAAAGCAGATCTACAAATGGCCAATAAACACATAAAAGATACTCAACATCATTAATCACCACGGAAATGCAAATCCAGACCAGAATGGGTATCACTCACCTGGTAGAATGGCTGATAATGGAAAACATCAGCAATAAAAAGTATTGGCCTTGGAACTTTTATATATTTCAAATAGGAGTATAAAATGATATAATCACTTTGGAAATCTGTTTGGGAATTTTTTATAATGTTTACCATACACTTATCAAATTATCTAGAAATTCCACTTTTAGGTATTTACCAAAAAGAAATGAAAATGTATGTCTACATAAAATCTGGCATGTGAACATTCATAACTGCTTTATTCATAATAGTCAAAAATTTTAAACAGCCATGTCCATAAGCTGGTGAATGGATAAACAAACTGTGGTAATATCCACATAATAGGATATTATCCAACAATAAAAATGAGAAAACTACTGCCATATGCAGCAATGAGGGTAGATCTCAAAAACATGATGTGAAGCGAAAAAGCCAGTCACAAAAAGTATACATTGTATTATTCTATTTATAAGACAATCTAGAAATGACCAATCAAATCTATAAAGATGGAAAAAGCATATGCATGATTGACTAGAAGCAGAGGTGGGTAGGATTGACTGGAAAGGGAGCAAAGGAACTTTCTAGAATAATAGGATTATTCTACAGTTTATTGTGATGGTGGTTACATTTGTCAAAATCATCACACTGTTTGCTTAAAATAGGTTCAACTTTTAAATGAAAGTTATACTGTAATGGAGTTGATATCAAATTATAAAAATGTTGAAAATATGTCCTTCCATCATCTCTTCCTGTTATTTATTCTTTTGAAGAGATGGGCTAATATAGGAAACTGACTTTCATAGTGCTTTCAATTAGTGAGATCTCTTTGCACAGTATATTTTAAAACTGTTAATACTAATAAAGTTCAGAAATATTCACATCTTTAATACTAAAATTATTAGTAAAACATATTTTTATCTCTTATCTTTCTACATGTTTTATCAAATACAGTCTGCTGACTTTTTGAGAATGAGCCATAGAGCAAGAACAGTTTCCTCTGATCATTTTGTAAATCTATTCTGTGTTGTTGCATGAATATTTTTCATGCATATTTTACTAGGGTATTAGTCACAATGCACCTGTTTTAAAATATGCTCCCTTTTCTTTCTCTTTATGCTTTTCTGTTAGTAGACATCTGTCTTTACATCAGAAAAGTGAAAAGTCAAAAACCTCTTACTTCTTTGAGTGTCGTGAAGCTTCATTTTCTTGTAATTCGTTCACTCCTCCAGAGTTTTGGCACACCTATTATTTTTTTCCTTGTGAAATACAAATCATCCGTTCTAAGAGTACTTTGTTTGAAAACATCACTGACCTTAACCATCTGTTTCTAACTTCTAAAATTTGACCAGCAATGATCTTAAGAAAAACAGAAGGCTTCATTGATATAATCAATGGCTGTTTCTTTCATCAAATTCATGCTCCTCGTACAGGAGAGCTGTAATCTATATCCGCACCTTCTGCAGGGTCAGTGTAAGTTGGAAAAGTAGACAGATGTATAGACATGGTTGTTTTCTTAATGACCCAGTTGCCAAATACACATGTACCAGATTGCTTGGGGTGTCATAACAAAATACGACGGGCTGGATGACTTAAACAATAGTTTATTTTCTCACAGTTCCGGAGGCTGGAAGTGCAAGATCATTGTGCCACGGGGTTGCTTTCTCCCGAGGTCTCTCCTTTTGACATGCCTTTTGTCTGTGTCCTCATATAGCCTTTCTTCTCTATGCATGCAAACCTGGTATCTCCTTATCTGTCCAAATTTATTTTATTTATAAGAACATCAGTCAGATAAGATTAGGGGCCACCCTAATAGCCTCATTTAATTTTAACCACCTCTTTATGTCTTATCTGCAAATACAGTCACACTCTGAGGGACTGGTGCTTAGGGCTTCAACAACATATGAACTTTGGGAGGACAATTCAGCTCATGATGACACATGACCCATCATCCTCTTCCATGAGGTTCTGTAGTCCCATAAGACATCAATTGATCCCCAAGGGAAAAACTGTGACTAATCAGAATATTCTAGTAGATCCTCTATGAACAATGCTCTAAACCATCTTCCTCCTTCTCAAGTTTTACCCAAATGCAAAGAATACATTGATCTCAGAGATTACTCACTTTGCCAATTTAGGAACACTTCTTTTTGCACAGAGTTAAACCAACTCTGCTATGTGAGCAACATCTGAAAGGAAATTACTAGCACTTTACATAAACATATAGAGCTTGAATACTTAATCTTATTTGAGAAGTTGTTCTAATATAGTCCAGTCAGTCACTACATCTGGATCTTTCAGAGCAAATTCCATCTCTATAGTGGCTGCCTCCAGAATTTGAGCCAAGTATTTTTTAAATGACATTCACCTTCTGCAACTTGAGCTTTTTTGCAAGCATGTGGTTTACATTTGAGTCAATGTTCTCATCCATCTGCCCTCAAGAATAGATACATTTTATTGTGCATTTCTTGAATTCACACCGAAAAGGTATTATTATCCTGAAACATCAACAACCAAAAGGCAAGGGAAAGGATTGCATTTTAGTCAGCGGATGAGTCATTCTAAAAATGAACATAGACTGTCAGCTGGTCCTTATGGAACGTGAAATAAAAGGTATGCTTTTTTGTGTTCTATCTTCCTATGTTGTAAGCTATACGTCACCTTCAAAATGGGAAAAGACATCTAGAATGTAACTGAATTAACCAAAAAAAGTTGAAGTTGAGAAGAAATTGTCATTATCACTGATAGTTACTATCTTCCTACACACAGAACTAATTAAATAGGTACAATTAGGCCAAGGTGGTTTACACAAGCTGTCCACATTCTCAGAGGACCCTATGCTGTACCCTTTCCCACGTAGTGAAAATATATGAGAAGCTCCTTGCATGTAATGCTTTGGCCTGAACCTTTTCCTGGGTTTCCTTCCTAATTCTTTGTTTTTCTCATCACTTTAGATTTCTTATGATAGGTAAAGTAGTGATTGCATTCACAGAGATTCTAACCTAGTTTCTTATAGGCCAAATTTAGCCCATAGAAGGATTTTGTTTGCCCCTTGTAGTTGTGTGTGTGTGTTTATTTGTTAATTTCTTTGTTTGTTTTTAGACAGGGTTTCGTTGTCTCTCCCAGGCTGGAGTATAGTGGTATGATCACAGCTCATGGCAGCCTCAACCTCCTGGGCTCAAGCAATCCTCCCCCTTCAGGCTCCCAAGTAGCTAGGACTATAGGTGAGCATCATTGCACCTGGCTAAATTTTTAAAAACAATTTTGTAGAGACAGAGTTTCACTATGTTGCCTAGGCTGGTCTCAAACTCTTGGCCTCAAGTGATCCTCTCACCTCGGCCTCTCAAAGTGTTGGGATTATAGGCATGAGCCACCACATACAGCCTTGCCTCCTGCAGTTTTAATTCTTTAACTTATCTTCTATAAAATTAGAAGATTTCATATAAAAATGTAGAAATTTGTGGGTGTTTTTCCTATTATTACTGGTGTTGGTGATAACTCAGGAAGTTGAACCCTGGTTTTAAAAACGTATAGTCTGTCCATTTAATGATCTTTTAGCAGTTGCCACATTGCTATTGAAGTAAAATGATGAATTTTGTAATAAAGGATAAAAATCATTGAAAATATAGACAAAAATGCTATCTAAAGAGTTGCATGATTTAAGGAAGGGAAAATAATCATGACTCCTATAACTATTGATCTTTGAGGTATAAATCAGCATGTGAAAAAAGGAAAGTGGATGAACATAATTTATTATGAAAGCTTTTGGTAAATTTCAACATCACAATTGTTATAGCAGGTGCCAAGGGATTTTGGGGGTAGGTTAAGGAAAGGGGGTTTGGTGAACATGGAGGACTAGTTCATCGGTAGAAATGATAGTGAGACTTGAATATGTTTGTGAATGCAAATTTGATAAAATGGTGCAGGCAGTCTTACCTAACATTTACATCAGCGAACTCAGAAACAGAATAAATAGTAACATGGACAAATGTTACAAATTTTATAAGTTTTTCTGAGTATTGAAATGCCATAGAGAAGATCAATTTGAAGACACATCTTGTGGATCTGAGGAAGTTATCATAAAAGTAACACCCCACATAAGATATCAGCAAGTATGAAGAGAAGAATTCATTTAAAAATGAATCCTACGAAATGTTAGGTGAACCTAAACTATGTTTTCCTGGTAGTTCCCAGGAATTCAGACTTCTTATCTACAAATTTGAAAAATTAACATCTGTTGGGAATTTGGAAACTATCTTCCATTAAATTCAGAAGTTGTAGGAAGTCAAAATTTCCAATTTTAAAGCACATTTTTTCATTACTTATTTGGATGCTCAACTGTTAGTCTAACTTGGCAAACATGAAAATTGTACAATTGTTTATTTTGGGGGTAAAATAAAAAAGTACTTTAGATGAAAAACGTGTGTGTGTGTGTGTGTAGAGGATATTAAATGAATAAATGTATACGTTTTGGAAAAACAAATGAGGTGAATCAAAGCTATTAATTTTGCAATAATATCAGATACTTTCTATTTCCTTATAAAATGAATCAGTCTGCATTTGATATTCTGCATTACTTACTCACATTTTACTTAATGATAGATAAAGCGTCTTCTTAAATTTTACTTGACCTTCCTCTTCTGCTCTGTTTACTTTGCAAGGAAAGCAATGCTATAAATATTGGGATTTGCATTCAGGATTTCTAAAATCACTCACAAGTATAGACTTAAAGGACTTTAAAAACCCAATTGTTCACACACTTGTAATGATGACTCATACCTTTTAAAGCTTCTTTGAAAACCCTCAGATCTTTCTGTACTTAAAAAATGTAAATGGCTTTTTTGTCCATGGGGAGATTAATTCAGTAAGGTGAAAAATTTGCTAAGGTGAAAAAAATGAATTCAGTCTTCCCCAGTACGAAAATTGCTCAAAGATTAATTTAGCCTGTTTAATTCAGCTCTCAAATGTTTCTCAGAGCTCTAAAATATTTTTCTACCTTCATTGCACCTGGGGCATCAATTTGATTATTTTTACTCTTGATTTTAATGTGTCTACTTTCTTCCATATGAAGCTATTTTCATTTTCATTCAGTTCATTTTACCCTTGGTTTCTTTTTCTTTTTTTCCCAGAAGATTATTACTATTCATATTTTGTTGATGATCTCTTCTTACATTATTTTAGGCTCAAAGCTGGAAGAAACTTGTAGTAGGTACCACATTTTCCCCTCCTCTTCCTAGTCTTTTCTTTTTGCATCCATAAATACACATCATCAGTGTTGATAAACACGTAGTTTGTTCAACGCTTGCCACAGTAGTTTTTCAAGGAAACTAACATTCTAAGCTGAGAAAACCCATGGTAAGTCCTAGCAAACCCTTAGTAATAACCTCCAGCCTTCCAAGAGCCTATAGTATTTACAAAAATGAAAATGATTTGGTCAAATTCTACACTTATTTGTTCTTTTTATTAAAAAAAAAAAAGAAAGAAAGAAAACAGTTGGTCAGGTGCGGTGGCTCACGCCTGTAATCCCAGCACTTTGGGAGGCTGAGGTGGGCAGATCACAAGGTCAAGAGATCGAGACCATCCTGGCCAACATGGTGAAACCCCGTCTCTACTAAAAATACACAAATTAGCTGGGCATGGTGGTGGACGCCTGTAATCCCAGCTACTCAGGAGGCTGAGGCCAGAGAATCGCTTGAACCCAGGAGGCAGAGGTTGCAGGGAGCCGAGATCCCACCACTGCACTCCAACCTGGCGACAGAGACTCCTTCTCAAAAACAAACAAACAACAACAACAAAACAAAAAAAAAAAAAAAAAAAGGAAAATATGTTTAACTGTCACATACTTTTTTTTACTGCCTATTTTAAACAGCACAGGGTGGCTCTGCAGCTGCTTTTGTTCCTGAGGTCAAAGCTTGGTGAATTACTTCTAATGTCCTCCTATTTAACTACAAAATGCAATGTGCTATATAAGATTCTCTTATTACTTATTACTTTCTTTTCTTCCCTGATATTACTCTGAATAGATTTTCTTACAAAATATACCAGATTTTATTGTGTAATTTATATTTCATATTGAAATTCATTTGCTATTGTGTTTATTATATTTACATTTTGTAAATAATGAATAATTTCATTTTTAGTTGAAATAATAAGCATTTTAGAAATAATAAGACTTAGTACCATTTCTACTTGAAGGGATCAGCTTCAATGGAAATATTTCCTTTGATGAGGATAACACTAGAAAATAATTGTTTTGCTACTAAAGCCTGTTTAGTGTCTTGGTATTTTGCTTGAATTGAGAAAGTACACTAATATCTCTAAAATGTTCAACTCTGTATAATTGCTTAAATTTTTTAAATAAAATTTTGATAAATCCAGAACATTAAATAAAGCTAAGGGCACTGTATGTGTTTCCTCAGTGTTCCACTCAAGGTATGAAAGATGTCCAACGGGGCTTTTAACCCCAGATGTGTGAATTTACCAAACTGTGATGAAACAGAGAAAACACAGTTAAATTATAGCCCATTGAACAAGTTGTTTCTACTCTGCAATTTACATATTTGATTAATCCATAGGGGTGAGGGGAAGGTGAGGAACAGATAAATCATTAATTACTACCAGAATACTGTACATGCAGGGAGGCAGCCCACCTCATGTGTTTACCTTTCCTAAGTGGCTTGTGACTGTTGTTCATTAACAGGGGACAACACTCAGCTTGGATGACACATCCTTAGGCCAGGTGCTTCTGTTTATTGGGCACAGGATCTGATTTTGCCTCCCCTAATGAAAAATGAATTCAAACAGAAAGAAGATACTATTTCAATGAGACAGGGGAAAAGATGCGACCTATAAGCTGTCTACAGACTACAGAATAAGAGAAATGTTATGACAAGGGGAAAATATATGTTGGTAACATAGCTTGACTCATATTTCAAGAGCAAAATTGAAACCATATTTCTGAAGGGTACAGACTGTGACAACAGAAAAGGTACTCTGAAATGCTACTATTTCAGAAAATGTCGGGCAGATCACCCTTTGTCCAATCATTTTAATGTGTAGGACAAATACATTTCAGGGGGAAAAGGCAATTTTGCTCCTAAGTCTGGGTTGCATTGCTGAGTAGGGGAAGGGAAGCAAAATGCTAAAATAAAAGAAATATATTCTTTAGACCAACATTAATGTTGTACATTACACACAAAACAGAGCCAAAGTCAAATAATTGAATGAAAAAGTGAGTATCCTAAAGGTCTGGTTATTGGCCTACAGGTTAGAGTGTACATGACTAAGTTAGTCATACTTGTTACATGACCTGGAATTTTGTGTCCCTATTAATTTAAATCAAAGTCACTATAATTTTTTATCTTGATATCAAAGTTACATTAATTCCCAGATGATTAAATACCTAAGCAAAAATGAAAGTAACAAATTATATCTAATCTAGATTTAATTTTGTTTTGATTTTAAAATTTTGTTTTTTTCTTTTTATTACAGCTAAAAGTAATGTTTAAGAAAAAAGCATAATACAATATTCATTTTTCAAGCAAAAGTGCCTGCAAGCCTCATGTGGTGATAATTTCTTTCAATGTGTTTTTTGGTTAATGAACCTTGGATAAAAAATTCAAATTCTCAGATAATGAGTGAACCATTAAAGGACTCAGGTATAAGCTCAACTCATCACCCATGAATTTAGAGGTTTATACTCAGTGAGTGTCAAACAACTTTTAAAATTCTTCTCTGAAGCATGGCTGTGGAGAGAGATTCTTTATAATTCAAAGGAGGCAGGAACACGCGATATCTCTTACTCTGAATAAGTGGTGCTCCAGGAGGCTCATGGCAAATATGATCCAAAGGCACTTTGAGGGCAAGGACTTTCTGTCGTGCATACTCTGCATTCCTGCTGATGGAATGTAAGGGCTCACTTAGGTGTGCAATGAATGCATTGTTGAATGAATGAATGAACAAACGAATGAACAAATTAATGAATGAAACACTTTCTCCACTGACTTTGTGAATCTTTCTTCTACTCTGTTTCAGTGATGCTGTTTGCTCCTAATTTTCCATCTAACTCTCGGGCTGCTCCTCTACAACCGTGTGTGTGTGAGTCAGTGTGTGTGTGTGTGTGTGGGTGGTGTGTGTGGGTGAGTGTGTGCACACATGCACATGACTGTCTCTCCTTGTTCACATGTCCATTAAATATCTTTGCTCTTTTAAGGTTTGATTTTCTTCATTTTCTTCTCTTTTTGGTCTACACTCCATCAGCAGGGAGCTATTGTTGCATGATTTCACATAGGTATTCTTGTGACTCCTGAATGCATATCTGAAAACATCTTTTCAGGGCTCTAGAACCACACATCTATATGCCAAGTGGATATTTCCACTTAATGTTTTACAAGTGAATCATACCATTCATGATTCAAACAAATGTTCTCCCTTTCCAAATTTGTTCTTCTTTTTATGTTCTCTTTCATCCACACCCTGGAGCCAAAACGGTTATCTCAGCATCCTAAACTTTCTCTATTCCTCACCTATCAGATACCGGGTCCTGAAATCTATTTCCTTAATATTTTCAGATTCTCCTGCTCCTTGTCTTTCCCCTTGACACTATATTGTTCTCAAACAAATGACTTCCAAGTCACGTTGCTCCAGTAGCCTTCCAACTGCCCTCTGCCTCCTCCTCTCCCTCCCTACTCCTTCTTCTACATTGCTATCATTGGGATTTTTTGAAAATGTCATATGACTGTGTCACACCCTGTTCAAATCTCTTTATCATTTTTTCTAAGTTTTTGCAGTAAGACAAATTCATTTCAGTACACAAAACTTGCAAAAACTGTCCCCCCTTTCTGTAGTAGCCTCTCTCCTCTTGTGACACATGCTCCTGTTACGTATACCAAACTGCTTATAATTAAGAAGCTCTGTTTCTTTCATGCTCGCATATCGTCATACTTCTGTACTTCTCTCTGAAATGTCTGTCTGAGTTTCTTGTCTTCCCTCTGCCTAACTTTCTATAGTTTACCTCCTCAAACTATGTTAAGCATCACCTCTGGGAAAACATTTCCTCATCCTCAACTCTACTGTGATCTGTATGGTTTATATGTATCCCTTGTATTCTTATGTCATTCTAAAAGCATAACACTTATCACATTGTATGATAATTTACCTCACCATCAGCTCTACAAAAACAAGTATCTTTTTATTTAACTTTGTGTTCCCAGAGCATATCATAGTGTCTGACACAAAGTAGACACTCGTATTTTTAAATTTTTTTAAAATTGATACATAAAAGATGCATGCATTGGCATCATACATGTGACAATTTAATAAATTCATATAATTTGTAAAGATCAAATCAGTTTAATTGGGATATTCATCATCTTAAATATTTGTCTTTTCTTTACGCTAGAAATATTCAAATTATTCTTTTCTAGATATTTTGGAATATATAATAGATTATTATAAAATATAATCACTCTACTGATCTATCAAACACGAGGTCTTATTTCTTTTATCAAATTGTGTGTTCATACCCATTCATCAACCTCTCATTACTTTATACTTTAACTCCATCCCCCCCTCACATTTTGACTTATGTTGTTCCAATTTATATATTTTCATATTACCTATCTCTTAACAAGTTACTGCAGCTATTATTGTTTTTGATAGATTTGTCTTTTGGGCTTTACACTAGAGTTGCAAGTAGATTGCACACCACGGTCACAGTATTAGAGTACTCTGGGTTTGTCCACTTACTTAATTTTCCCAGTGTATTTTATAGCTTCAAATATTTTCTTGTTGCATGCTTGTGGTTATTTTCTTTCAGACTGAAGAACTTTCTTCAGCATTTCTTATAAGACAGGTCTGGTGGTTGTGAATTCTCTAAGATTCTGTTTGATGGGGAAAGGCTTCATCTCTCCTTCATATTTGAGGGATAGCTTTGCTGGATACAAATTTCTTGGATGGCAGTTTTTTCTTTCAGAACTTTGAAAATGTCAACCCATTACCTCCTGACTTGTAAGGTGTTTGTTGAGAAGTCTGCTGCCAGACAAATTGGAGAACTTTATATGTTATTTTCTTCTTTTATCTTGCTGCTTTTAGGATCTTCCCTTTGTCCCTGATTTTTGAGAGTTTGATTATTATATGCCTTGGGGAGTCTTATTTGGGTCAAATCTGTTCTCTGACCTTTCTGTACCTAGATAATAATCTCTGTCTTGAGTTTTGGAAAGTCTTACATTATTATTTCTTTAAATAAGCTTTCTACCCCTTGTTGTTGCTCACCTATCTCTTGAACATCAATAATTCTTAGTCATGGTCTTAGCAGGTAATTTCTATGTCTTGTGGGCAATCTTTATTCCTTTTCATTCCGTTTTCTTTTTTCCTCCTCTATGTATTTTCAAATAGCCTGTCTCTGAGCTCACTGATTCTTTCCTCTCCTTGATCTTTTCTGCTCTCAAGAGCCTATAATGAATTTTTCAGTTCAGCAAACATATTTCTTAGTTACAAGATTTCTGGTGTTTTTTAATGTTTTTAATCTCTTTGCTAGATTTCTATGATAAATTTCTGAATGTTTTTGTGTGTGTTATCTTGGAGATCACTGAGTTTCCTTCAAACTGCAGTTTTGAACTCTCGGTTGGGGAGCTCACATATTATTATCTCTTTTGGACCAGTCACTGTTTCCTTGCTTTTCCATCTGGGAAGGTCATGGTTCCTTGTTTGCTGTGGTTTCTTGTGCAGGTAACACATTTGTATTATGGTACCAAAAACAACACAAAGGAAGTAGATGGGAACAAGCTGTCTTGGGCTTATTTTGTTTCTGGTAAATAATCAGAGATGGCCGGGCGTGGTGGCTCACACCTGTAATCCCAAAACGTTGGGAGGCTGAGACGGGCGGATCAGGATGTCAGGAGATTGAGACCATCCGAGCCAACACGGTGAAACCCCGTCTGTATTTAAAAAAATACAAAAAATTAGCCGGGCGTGGTGGCGGGTGCCTGTAGTCCCAGCTACTCCGGAGGCTGAGGCAGGAGAGTGGCGTGAACCCGGGAGGTGGAGCTTGCAGTGAGCCGAGATCGCGCCACTGCACCCCAGCCTGGGCGACAGAGCGAGACTCCGTCTCAAAAATAAAAAATAAATAAATAAAAAATAAAAAAAAATAATCAGAGGCCACCATTCCAGAATGGGGAAGCTCCCAAAGGAGATATTCTAGCAATATGGGAAGGCTAGCTAGGGGTTCATGCCCAGGAATCTATGGAATGAACCTTCTACAGTGCGTACAGTGTGATGCTGCTGAACAGCCACTCTGATTTGGGAGCTCTTTTTGCTAAGCTACGGAGCAGATATTCAGGGCTGGGGATGGTAGTCTCATTTCCCCCCTCTGTCTCTGGCTGTCCTCAGGGATATTTCTCCTTTCAGGCATTTGTGATGCATCCTGTGGGTTGAGGCAGAGACAAGACGCCTGCCAGGGAACCCAAGATGGTTGGAAAGCTGATTGTCCACCTCAATCTCACTGTTTCCAGTATAGAAACTATGAGTGGGGTAATTTTTTTCCCATGCACTTGGTGCTGAGCTGTTTGGAAAAAAAGAGTATTGTAGATATGAAATTCTGATTCTCTTACTATCGTATAGCCCTAGGAACTGTCTCATGTTCTTAATTATTCTAGGATTTTACTCAATGCTGTGTATTTGCTTTTGGTTTCTGCTGGGGAGAATGAAAACAGCTTGCTTCCTCTCTGCCATTTTAGAACTGGAAGTCTCTTCTTAGTAGAACTCATTATTGTTTGTGGAATCGATAAATGCCCAAATTCATGGTCAGAACTCTTGGACTTAATTATGGTTTAGACATGGAAGAAAACATGATTCTGATAATGGGCAATTTGGTTCTAACATATTGTGATTTTTTTTCAGAGATCATTCCAGATATTTGGATTTTAACAATAAAATTGAAAACATACTGTTAGTACAGCCATATGAGTAAGGTAGTGTTATGGCTTTGGATTTAATCTCCCAAGTTTAGTGATTGTTTTCATTAGCCTTTGGGTCTTATGTTCATGTGAAACTTGGACTAAACTGAGCTTCTTGAGTTTCATTATGAAACTAGAGCTTATATCTCCTAATATTAAAACCTCAGTTTAAAACTCAGCAGTTTCACAGGGGATCATTTCGTAAAACAATTTTTGCTGTTTTAGAATTGAGTGATAGCCAAAAGTTTTAGCAAAACATCTGAGCAAAATTACTCACCAGTACTTCATGAAATGATGAATAAAGTAATGGTAAATATAATAAAACTGAAAAATAGAAACCCATTTACATTATTTTAGCTATAAATTAAATATGTTTGGGGCAAAAGTCTGTGATTTCAGGAAAATTTATGACCTTAAAATATTCACAGTATCATCTAAAATTTTTGACCTACCTCTTGCATTCATATTTTCCATTCCCTTCAATTTTTCTGAGAAACTCTGACCCCGACCCTGGGTAAATAGAACATTTTCATCTATTTGTGTTTTTCTTTCATTTAAAAGAAAAGTGAAGTGAAATTACTTGGAGCCAATTTACCATGAGAAAAAATAGGAAAATTGCTTAACCTCCCGATGTCTCATTTCTCACTCACAGGTACTCTGATAGAAGAGTTCATATTCTGCTTAAGGTGCAATTAACTTTATGTGGGTTACTTCAAGCTGAAAAGTGTATTGATCATTCCACAGAAAACACGAATGCAAAAGATAACTTTATAATTGGGTAAAGTGCTCAATATTCAGAGGTGTTTATCTGTCAAATTTCAATGTAAAATTTTCATAAGGTTCTTATATTTCATATCCCATTAAAATATGTCCACAGGTTTAATGTCATATATAAGGTCTGTGTTGCCATGATGTATAATCCACATAAATTTTTTAAAAATAAATTAATGTTATCCTATGGCACCTTTTGACTTGTTCTAATGCTTTGCTCCCTAGCTTTTTCTTATCTCATAGAAAGCATATAATTTCATGTAAGGTCAATCTCCTCAAGTTATGTGTAAAGTTAAGTGTAAACATTGTATCTTTATTATTATTTAGTCTCATTTATTAACTTTTGTTGGCACCTGAAGCAGTGTTAGTTAGTGCAACAAACTAGAAAAGAAGCAATATGAATGTATTTAAGGATGCACAATGTATGCTATATTACATTTTAAAATCACTATTTACATTCTATATAATTTTTTATTACAAAATACATGCATGATCATTTTGCTATAAAAATCATATGCTGACAACTGATTTCGATGTTGTTTAATTTCTACGAAATCACTTGTGTTAGTTGGGATACAGATAATATGCCAACAATTTGAAATGATAAAATGTAAATTTAAAGGAGAATCAACTTCCAGCGTGTCAATATGAAGAGTTCTTTGGACCTGCTCCCTGTTAAAACTGGTAAAAATTATTTTTAAAAAACACTGACAACCATCTTAAAGCCTCTGAAAATGGTCTTTGGGGCATAAAAATGAAGAAGCATGTATTTTAAGACATCTATACAATTAGTAGAAAAAGCAAGTCTGTAGTATTTCAACCAAGACCACTCTTTTTCTCTTCTCTCCTTGCTCAGAAAGTAGAAACAGCACTGCAGACTGCCAAGGTAAAGAAAACAGGGCTACTTCTTTAGCCTACTCCCAGGGGGAGCACTTTCTTTCTGACAGGAGTAGGATGTCAGTGTTTGTCATCCTGCCACCAAATGCCTGTTCCTGAAGCTAAATTCTGGGTAAGTGCAGTTGGCAAGTGGGGCTCCATTCATCTTCCCAGCCTCCACCTATTAAGCGGAGGCTCTATTTGGTCAGGAAAGTACAGAGAATGCTCTGACCCTGACTGCCCTTGCCCTGGCTCATAAAACAATGTTTACTTGCTAGAAGTGGCAAGCCAAGAGAACTTTAGGCTAATGTTCGTTCCCTTCCATCAAGCACCTAGCTCCTAGAGTTGAGGTGTCACTCAAAGTAGTGGTTGCCTTTATTTCTACACCAAGCTCCATAGCTCTGGCTTAAAGATTTTGCCTGGGGTCAGAAACAGGCTGTAGAACAGATAACACCTAAATTTTCCACAAAAATTGACTTCATTTGCTACAGAGTGTAAGCTTAAGGGTTTTCTCAAAAGCAGTGGAGGTTGTGGTGGGGAACAATTGGGGGAGATTCAAGATAGAGGCTAAACTACAGGCTTAGTTTGTAGGAAAGAGTTGGGGAAGGAGATGGTTGGGTGGAACTCTCTTGAAGTCAGAACAAATATCAAACATTGAGCTTGGGAACTGTTTCTGCAAATAAGCTCAAATTCATCGGATTCATTTGTAGAGCAATTTATGCCACAGAATATTATTCAAACAATAAAACAATCAGCCTGTTATTTAGTGGAGCCTAACAGCTGGGTATGTCAAGAAAGAGAAAAAGGAGCCCTGCTAAAACCACTTTAATTCCAGGGTAACTTTGGATATGTCCAAAGGTGTGCCTCCTTTAGAAGCAACATCATAGGGTTAATCATATGGAATGGGAAATAGACTACACGAAAATAATTCAGCCAGTCACTAAACAAAGGAACTAGCAAATATAAATAACAAACCACATTGTGAGGGGGAAACAGTATCCAGATTTGTTTTGATATATTATTTAAATGTTTGGTTTCCAACAATAACAACAACAATGATTGACACCTGCAAAGAAACAGGAAAGTATGACCATATACTAGAAATAATAGCAGTTGGTAGAAATTGCCCATGAGAGTGACTAATGGGATTTAACAGAAAAATAACTTCAAATTAGCCCTTATAAATATGTTGAAAGTACTAAAGAAAACCTTGATTAAAGAAGTAAAGGAAGATATAACAATGTTACATCAAACAGAAAACATCAATAAAGAAATAGAAATTATACAAAAGAAGCAAGTAGAAATTTTGGAGTTGAAAAGAACAATAACTAAGAAGAAAAATTCCAGAGAGAGGCTCAACAGTATATTTAAAATGTCAAATGGAAGGTTTAGCAAACTTCAAATAGGTTAATAATACAATCTGAAAAACAGAAAAATAGAAAAATGAAGAGAGCCCCATAGAATAATGGGACACTGTTAATCACACCAATAGTGAGTAATAGGAATACCAAAAAAGAGAAATGAAGTAGAGAAACATTAGAGGAAAGGAGCAGAGAAACATTAGAGGAAATAATAATTGAAAACTCCCCAAATTTTTTGAAGAACACGTAGCGACACATTCAGAAAGTGCAACAAATTGCAGGTAGAATAAACATAAAGACATCCACAAACAGACACGCAGCAAATATGATGAAAGTCAAAGACAAGGATAAAATATTGAAAGCAGTAAGAGAAAAATGACTCTTCACTTACAAGATGTTGACAAAAAAGTCAAACTCTGTAAAATATTTTAAGAGATTTATTCTGAGCCAAATATGAGTGACTGTGGTCCATGACACAGCCCTCAGGAGGTCCTGAGAACATGTGCCCAAGGTGGTTGAGGTACAGCTTGTTTTTATATATTTTAGGAAGGTATGAGACATCAATCAATTACATTTAAGAAATACATTGGTTTGGTTCAGAAAGGCAGGATGACTGAAAGCAGGGGGGTACAGGTGGGCTTCCAGGCCATAGGTCGATTTAAACATTTTCTGGTTGACAATTGGTTACGTTTATCTGAAGACCTGGCATTAATGGGAAGGAATGTTCAGGTTAAGGTAAAGCATTGTGGAGACCAAGTTTTATTGTGCAGAGGAATCTCTGATAGAAGCCTTCAGAGAGACAGCAGGTTATAAAATGTTTCTTTTTTTAAAAAAAATTATACTTTAAGTTTTAGGGTACATGTGCACAACGTTTCTTATCAGACCTAAAAGCTTGTCTGGCTCTTAGTTGATTATCTCCTGGATCTGGGAAGGAAGGAAGGAAAACAAAGGGTAAAGGAAATTTCCTATAGAATGTGGATTTTTCCCACAAGAGACTTTGCAGGCAATTTTAAGGTATGGCAAGGAAATATACTTTAGGGTAAAACATTGTGATTTTCTTCCTTGTTATGCCAGAGTCCGATTGGAAAGTAAGTCATGATATACAGGGTCAAATGAAACCCATCTGATGATAATTTATGGTTTGTAGGGCATTACTCCCCAGACCCCTTAGATAGGAATTTGGGCAAGATAAAAAATCAGAGCTTAGTTCTCAAAGAGAATCTGATAAACTTTTATCAAAGATAAACAACGGACTCTTCCACAGAAAGGTAGTAAGAGAACATATTTAAAGATTAAAGAAAACCTGTAAATCAAGATTCCTACATCCAGGAAAGCTATCTTTTGAAAAAGAAAATGAAATAAACATATTCCCAGATAACTGAAATAATTTGTTACAAGAAATACTAAGGGAAGTTCTTCAAACTGAAAGCAGATGATGACAGATGGTCATTTGAATCCACTAGAAGAAAGAGCGAGCACTGGTAAAGTAATTATGTAATTATAAAAGAGAGTATAAATGTGTATTTTTCTCATTTCTCATCTTAGCTAATATGAAAAGCAATTATATAAAATAATATGTATCATAATGTATTGTTGAGCCAATAACATATAGAAATGTAATACATTTGTACTATGGTACCAAAAACAACACAAAGGAAGTGGATGGGAACAAAGCTGTTTTGGGCTAAGAAAATGACTACAAGTGGGAAATTAATAGTTAAAACTATGTATTAAGTTTGTAACATTAATAGATGTAACATGTGTAATAATAATGCTACAAAAAAGAGGAAAAGGGAATATAAGGGTAACATTTTTATATTATATACTATAAATACATACGGCTTCAATAACAAAGAAGCAATACAGATAAAGCAAAAACTGATAAAAATAAAGAATAAAGTAGACAACTGAATAATAAAAGTTGCAGACATTAATGCCTCACCCTCAATAATAGAACAACTATGCAAAAGTTCAACAAAATTAACAGCGAAATAAAAACACAATGAAGACACAGCATGCCAAACTTATGGAATGCAACCAAAATAGTGCTTAGAAGAAAACTGATAGCTGCAAATACCTATGTTAAGAAATACAAAAGACAGAAAAAAATAGCCTTGCATTTCCTTTTAAAACACTGGAAAAAGAAGAAAAAAACAAAACATAAAGTAAAAGAAATGATATAATAAAGATTTGAGTAGAAATTAATTAAATAGAGAATTTAAAAAATGGGGAAAATAAATGAAATCAAAAGCTGATTATTTGAAAAGATCAACAAAATTGGCACACCACTTTAGACTGATCAAGGAGAAAGAGAGGGAGAGAGAGGGAGAGAACTCAAATTACTATAATCAGAAATGAAAGGGGGCATTGATAACTAAACTTACAGATGTAAAAATGTATCAAGGAATGGCATGAAACATTGTGTGCAAATAAATTAGACAATTTAGTTGAAATAAACACATTTCTAGAAAACACCAACTACCAAAACTGACTACAAAAGGAAATAAATTAGCAACAAGATCTGTTTCTTCTTTTAAATTTTTATTTTATAGGGAAAAGGTTATTTGGAAAAATTATGGCTTTTTTGACCTAGCAGTTGCTCTTACTTTTTTCATTTTCTAATACACTTTATTTTTTAAAGCAGTATTATGTTCACAGCAAAATTAAGCAGAAGTTACAATTTCCCATATACTCTATACCTCAACACATTATAGTAGCCCCCATTATCAACGTCCCCTATTAGAGTGGTTATAATTGTTACACTTGATGAACCTACATTGACACATCATTATCACCCTAATCCATAATCTATTAGACAATAGGGTTCACTCTTAGTATTGTACATTACAAACCCATAGAATGGGTTGGACAAATATCAAATGATATTTATCTACCATTATAATATCATACAGAATAGTTTCACGGCCCTAAAAATACTCTGTGCTCCACCCACCTCTCAACCCTTGGCAACCACTGATCTTTTTACTGTTTCTATAGTTTAGTCTTCTCCATAATGTCGTATAATTGGAATTATACAATTTGTAGCCATTTCAGATTGGCTGCTTTCACTTAGTAAATGCATTTAAGATTCCTCCATGTCTTTTTATGGCTTGATAGCTTATGTCTTTTCAGCACTGAATAATATCCCATTGTCTGGATATACCACAGTTTATCCATTCACCTACCATTGAACATCTTGATTGATTCCAAGTTTTGGCAATTACAAATAAAGCTACTATTAACATCAATGTGCAGGTTTTTGGGTGAACTTAAGTTTTCAACTTTAATGTACTTTTCCAGGCCTATTTTTAAAGTCTTATTTTATTTTTAATTGACACATAAATAATCCACATATTCATTGGGTATAGTATGATGTCTTGATACATTTAAACATTGTGAAATAGATATATTTCTACAGTGAAGAGACCAAAGTAGTAATTTTTAAAAATTACCCACAAAGAAAATCTCAGACCCAGGTGACATCACCACAGAATGCTGCCAAACATTTAGAAAAGAATTAATGCCAATTTTTCATAAACTTTTCCAAAAAATAGAAGAGGAGATGCAACTTCCCAGCTTATTTTACAGGGTCAATACTGCCCTGATATGAAATTCAAAGACATCACATGACAACCACAAGCAAAATCTCTTATAAAAATGAACACAAAAAGCCTCAACAAAATGCTGCTAAACCAAATACAGCAACCTATAGAAAGAATTATACCTCATGACAAAGTGAAATTCATTCAAGGAATGCAAGGTTGGTTTACAATCTGCAAATTAATTATTATAACATATTAATACAATAAAACCAGAAAAATTATATGATTATCTCAATAGACACAGATAAAGCATTTGATAAACTACAATAACCTTTCATGATAAAAATTCTCAACAAGGTCAGAATAAAAGAGAAATTCCTCAACGTGATAAAAGCATTTATGAAAAACCCACAGATAATATACTTGCTGAAAGGTTAGATACTTTTCCCCTAAAATTAGGAACAAGACAAGGAAATCTGCTTTCTTTGCAGTGTTGTACCTGAGATACTTGCCAAGGCAATGAGGCTAAATAAATAAATAAAACCCTCATTGGAAAGAAAGAAGTAAAATTTTTTATATTCACAGATAACAATATTTATGTAAAAAATTTCTAATCCTAAAGCATCTTCTGAAAAATTATTAGCACTAATAATAAGGTTCAACAAGGTTGCAGGACATAAGATCAGTATATAACAATCAATTGTATTTCTCTACACTCATAATAAGCAGGCTGACAATAAAATCCAGAAAACTATTCCATTAAAAATAGCACCACAAAATAAAATAGAAAAAAGTTGAACAAAAAATTTCAAAACTTATACTCTGAAAGCTATTAAATGTTGTTTGACAAAAATAAAGAAAATTTAAATAAATGGAAAAAATCTCATGTTTATGGATTAGAATAATTAATAATGTTAACATAGCGACACTGAACAAATTTATCTAAAGATTCAATACATTCCCTATTAGGATCTCAGTACTTCCTTACAAAAAGTGACAAAGTGACTCTAAAATTCACGTGCAATTGCAAATGACCCAGAATAGCTAAAAGAATCTCAAAAAGAAGAGTAATGTATCAGGATTCACACTTCCTAATTGCAAAACTAAAAACTCATTTCAAAGTAATGATAACCAAGACAATGTGTTACTACCACAAGGACAGACAATGGAATAGAGTTAGGACTCTAGAAATAAAACCAAGTTTCTATGCTCAGCTGATTTTCAACAAGGGTACAAAGACCATTCAATGGGAAAATAATTGTTTTGTTATTAACCAATAGTGGTGGGACAATTGAGTAGCCATGTGCAAAAGAATGATGTTGCACCTTTACACACACAATATACAAAAGATAATTTTCAATAGGTCAAAAGACCTAATTGTAGGGATAAAACCATAAAAGTCTTAGAAGAAAACATAAGGGTAAATCCCTGGGACCTTAGATATGGCAAAGGATTCTTATATATTATACCAAAAATATGAGCAATAACAACAAAATAGGTAATTTCTACCTTATCAAAATTAAAATCTTTTGTGCTTCAAAGAACATCATCAAGAAAGTGCAAAGACAACCCCAGAATGGGAAAAGTATTTGCAAATTACATATTGGTTAAGGGATTTGCATCCAGAATATATAAAGAACTCTTATAACTCAATAATAGGCAAATCACCTAATTAAAATGTATGAAGCTATAGACTTTGGGTGATAATGATGTGTTGATGTAGGTTCACTGATTGTAAGAGGATGTTTATAGGGGGCAGGGCTATCCATTTGTGGGGGCAGCATATATACCAGGAACCTCTGTACCTTCCACTCAGTTTTGCTGTAAACATAAAACTGCTCTAAAAAATAAGTTCCGTAAAAAAATGTTAAAAACTGGTAAAGCATCTGAATAGACTTTTTTTAAAAAAACCTCTTGTAGAGAATTACTTAATTTTCTACTAAAACTTGTGCAAAAATCAGAATAAAATAGTAGGTTTTACCCCTCTCCTTCTACCTTTGCCCAAATAACGAAAATATAAACAGGGTAACGACTTTTTTTAAGACAACCTAATTAAAATTTTTTTTCTCATTCAATAACTGAGAACATAAAAGATACCTTATGTTTCAGTTCAAACCAAATAACATGCATTTTTCTTTACAGTTCTCTGATTTCTAAATACGCTTCCTTTTCCTACTTCTAAGCCCCCATCGCTTATCAACAGGTTGGATGCCAGCCACGGACTCAGAGGACATTTTTAGTTCCTGGAAATGAAATCTGAATACGTTAGTGGCTGGGGTGGTGTCTGTGTTAAAGTCAGCCCCTGGAATGCCCATGGCGGATACATGGCGGTAAACATGGCTGCCAGGTACACCATAGAGGAATTGCCCACCACTAAACGTAAGTCGCATAGGGCGAGGTGTTCAGTCACAGAGGGCAAACTTTCAGAATGGTAGGTTCCAGGTTTTCTCCAAACCACACAACGTGAGGTCACAGCAAGGCCCCACACCCTACCTCTTCACACTGGAGAAGTTTCTCCACTGGGATTCTGACTCCTTGTATTCCAGGTTCTGGAACCTTCTGGAGATCCACAGTAGCTTATTTAAAACTCGATGTACCTCTTTTGAAGTTGTGGCTGATAGTTGCAAGAGTCCAATTTGCCCAGCGTTATCAGGAAAAGCTGCTCCAGAACCTGGAGCTGTAACTGTGTGATTCCCTCCCTCAGTATGTCTCTGTGACTGTGTGCCTCTCATGGTCTGAACATCCCTCCTGCAGTGATTCTAGAGTTTAAAGACGATTTTTTTTTTTTTTTTTTTACAAATCACCCTAAAGGAAGCTGACTTCTTCAACTCACACATAGAAAGAATAATCAAGGTTATTAAAACACAAAAAATATTCACTTTATGCACTTTCTTTTTCTGAGATGTATGCTATGCTTATACATATACACATTTGCAATTTAGAAATTTACAAGTTATATGATGTAAATTATATTGCTCTGCATGTAGAGATAGGTCTTATCTATTAAGGCTAATGTCTTCTGTAGAAAAGAATAATAGTAAAGTCACAAATTTAAATTATATTCAGTATCTGTTAGAAGAGATAACCATTTATTAGCTCAAGTAAGACATTAAATATTGATTACAGGTGACAATAGGTGAATATTGATCTGGTATGAATCTCTAGTCTAGAATGCTGGGAATATGAAATTTAAACACTATCATGTATTAATCGACAGAATTCAATGACTATAATGAAGGGAGAAGATCTTAGTTAAAATGGATAAAAGCTTATGTTAACAAAATAAACAATTCCTGTCAGTTGTGAACAGTCCTATGTTTAATCTTTAGCTACTGACTATTTCATATTAGAGGTTTGCATTTTAGTCCTGCAGTGGTTAAACTATTCATATTAAAATTAATTATAGTTTAATAGCAAAGCATTGATTTTTGATTTACAATTATTCACTCTCTCTGCATTTACCTCCTTAGGTATCAATAAAATAAAAAAAGATTATCAAAAAATCAAAAGCTAAAACTGGTTAGTGAGCAGGAGTAGGTAAGAGACAAAACAGTCTAGTAAGGGAAGAGTGCAGTAGTAAATCACAAGAAGAACAGAAATTAGACTTTGTGAGTTTTTACTCTATGTCAGAGACAGACATTGTCTCATTTTACTCTTGACAATTGCCCTGCCTGGGCACTCTTTATCATATACAGAACCTGACCAACAAAGAACTTTAGGACTCTCTTCAAGATCATATAAGTAGTTAGGAGCAGAGTCAAGATTTGGATTCAAGTCTATATGGTCCCAAAGCCTATGGTTTTACTGCTATAATCCCCTTCCAAGAGGAATCCTTTACTTGATTCCATAAACTCAACATCATAATCACTAGGAATTTTTCCCCCTAAGGCAAATGTTTTAAAAAGAGAGAAATGGCTTTGGAAGAACAGTCCAAAATTTTAAAAAAGCATTCTGCACAAACTTAATGGTAAAGAGGTTTTAAAATCCAACAGATTTATTACTATTATACTTTAAGTTCTGGGGTACATGTGCAGAATATGCAGGTTAGTTAAATAGGTATACACATACCATGATGGTTTGCTGCACCCATCAACCCGTCATCTACATTAGGTATTTCTCCTAATGCTATCTCTCCCCTAGCCCTCCACCCTCTGACAGGCTCCAGTGTGTGATGTTCCCCTCCCTGTGTCCATGTGTTCTCATTGATCAACTCCCACTTGTAAGTGACAACATGTGGTGTTTTGTTTCCTGTTCTTGTGTTAGTTTGCTGAGAATGATGGTTTCCACCATCATCCATGTCCCTGAAAAGGACATGAACTCATCTTTTTTATGGCTGCATAGTATTCCATGGTGTATATGTGCCACATTTTCATTATCCAGCCTATCACTGATGAGCATTTGGGTTGGTTACAAGTCTTTGCTATTGTGAACAGTGCCGCAATAAACATACTTGTGCATGTGTCTTTATAGTAGAATGATTTATAACCTTTTGGGTATATACCCAGTAATGGGATTGCTGGATCAAATGGTATATCTAGTTCTAGATCCTTGCGGACTCGCCACACTATCTTCCATAATGGTTGAACAAATTTACACTCCCACCAACAGCGTAAAAGCGTTCCTATTTCTTCACATCCTCTCTAGCATCTGTTGTTTCCTGAGTTTTTAATGATCGCCATTCTAACTGGCATGAGATGGTATATCAGTGTGGTTTTGCTTTGCATTTGTCTAATGACCAGTGATGATGAGCTTTTTTATACGTTTGTTGGCTGCATAAATGTCTTCTTTTGAGAAGAGTCTGTTCATGTCCTTCACCCACTTTTTGATGGGGTTGTTTGTTTTTTTCTTGTAAATTTGTTTAAGTTTTTTGTAGATTCTGGATATTAGCCCTTTGTCAGATGGATAGATTGCAAACATTTTCTCCCATTCTATAGGTTGCCTGCTCACTCTGGTGGTAGTTTATTTGCTGTGCAGAAGCTCTTTAGTTTAATCAGGTCCCATTCATCAGTTTTGGCTTTTATTGCCATTGCTTTTGGTGTTTTAGTCATGAAGTCTTTGCCCATGCCTATGTCCTGAATGGTATTGCCTAGGTTTTCTTCTAGGGTTTTTGTGGTTTTAGGTCTTACATTTAAGTCTTTAATCCATTGTGAGTTAATTTTTGTATAAGGTGTAAGGAAGGGATCCAGTTTCAGCTTTCTGTATATGGCTAGCCAGTTTTCCCAGCACCATTTATTAAATAGGGAATCCTTTCCCCATTGCTTGTTCTTGTCAGGTTTGTCAAAGATCAGATGGTTTTAGGTGTGTGGTGTTATTTTTGAGGCCTCTGTTCTATTCCATTGGTCTATATATCTGTTTTGGTACCAGTACCATGCTGTTTTGGTTACTGTAGCCTTGTAGTATTGTTTGAAGTCAGGTGGCATGATGCCTCAGGCTTTTTTTTTTTTTTTTTTTTTTTTTTTTTGCTTAAGATTGTCTTGGCTATGTGAGCTCTTTTTTAGTTCCATATGAAATTTAAAGTAGTTTTTTTGCCATTCTGTGAAGAAAGTCAATGGTAGCTTGATGGGGATAGCACTGAATCTATAAATTACTTTGGGCCCTTTTCATGATACTGATTATTCCTATCCATGAGCATGGAATGCTTTTCTGTTTGTTTGTGTCCTCTCTTATTTCCTTGAGCAGTGGTTTATAGTTCTCCTTGAAGAGATCCTTCACATCCCTTGTAAGTTGTATTCCTTGGTATTTTATTCTCTTTGTAGCAATTGTGAATGTGAGTTCACTCATGATTTGGCTCTCTGTTTGTCTGTTATTGGTGTATAGGAATGCTTGTGATTTTTGCACATTGATTTTGTATCCTGAGACTGCTGAAGTTGCTTATCAGCTTAAGGAGATTTTGGGTTGAGACGATGGGGTTTTCTAAATATACAATCATGTCATCTGCAAACAAAGATAGTTTGACTTTCTCTCTTCCTATTTGAATACGCTTTATTTCTTTCTCTTGCCTTATTGCCCTAGCCAGAACTTCCAATACTATGTTGAATAGGAGTGGTGAGAGACAGCATCCTTGTCTTGTGCCAGTTTTCAAATGGAATGCTTCCAGTTTTTGCCCATTCAGTATGATATTGGCTGTGGGTTTGTCATAAATAGCTCTTATTATTTTGAGATACGTTCCATCAATGCCAAGTTTATTGAGAGTTTTTAGCATGAAGGGCTGTTGAATTTTGTCCAGGGACTTTTCTGCATCTATTGAGATAATCACGTGGTTTTTGTCATTGATTCTGTTTATGTGATGGATTATGTTTATTCATTTGTGTATGTTGAACTAGCCTTGCATCTCAGGGATGAAGCCGACTTGATTGTGGTGGATAAGCTTTTTGATGTGCTGCTGGATTCGGTTTGCCAGTATTTTATTGAGGATTTTTGCATAGATGTTCATCAGGGATATTGGCCTGAAATTTTCTTTTTTTGTTGTGTCTCTGCCAGCTTTTGGTGTCAGGATAATGGTGGCCTCCTAAAATGAGTTAGGGAGGATTCCCTCTTTTTCTATTGTTTGGAGTAGTTTTAGAAGGAATGGTACCAGCTACTCTATGTACCGCTGGTAGAATTTGGCTGTGAATTTGTCTGGTCTTGTGCTTTGTTTGTGGTTGGTAGGCTATTATTTGCTGCCTTAATTTCAGAAGTTGTTATTGGTCTATTCAGAAGTTTGACTTCTTCTTGGTTTAGTCTTGGGAGGGTGTATGTGTCCAGGAATTTATCCATTTATTCTAGATTTTCTAGCTTATTTGTGTAGAGGTATTTATAGTATTTTCTTATGGTAGTTTGTATTTTTGTGGGATCGGTGGTGATATCAGCTTTATCATTTTTATTGCATCTATTTGATTCCTCTCTCTTTTCCTCTTTATTATTCTGGCTGGTAGTCTATCTATTTTGTTGATCTTTTCAAAAAACCAGCTCCTGGATTCATGGATTTTTTTGAGGGGTTGCAATCCTAGTCTCTTATAAAACAGACTTTAAACCAACAAATATCAAAAGAGACAAAGTAGGGCATTACATAATGGTAAAGGGATCAATGAAACAAGAAGAGCTAATGATCCCAAATATATATGCACCCAATACAGGAGCACCCAGACACCTACAAAGAGACTTAGACTCCCACATATTAATAGTGGGAGACTTCAACACCCCACTGTCAATACTAGACAGATGGAAGAGACATAAAATTAACAAGGATAACCAGGACTTGAACTCAGCTCTGGACCAAGTGAACCTAATAGACATCTACAGAACTCTCCACCCCAAATCAACAGAATATACATTCTTCTCAGCATCACATTGCACTTATTCTAAAATTGACCACATAATTGGAAGTAAAACACTCCTCAGCAAATTCAAAAGAATGGAAATCATAACAGTCTCTCAGACCACAGTGCAATCAAATTAGAACTCAGGATTAAGAAACTCACTCAAAACTGCACAACTACATGGAAACTGAACAACCTGCTCCGGAATGACTGCTGGGTAAATAACAAAATTAAGGCAGAAATAAAGATGTTCTTTGGAACCAGTGAGAACAAGGGCGCAATGTACCAGAATCTCTGGGACACATTTAAAGCAGTGTGTAGAGGGAAATTTATAGCACTAAATGCCCACAAGAGAAAGCAGGAAAGATCTAAAATTGACACCCTAACATCACAGTTAAAAGAACTAGAGAAGTAAGAGCAAACAAATTCAAAAGCTAGCAGAAGGCAAGAAATAATAAGATCAGAGCAGAACTGAAGGAGATATAAACACCTACAAATATTTTTTATACAGGCAAACCAGGCACACTAAAAGCATAAGACATAAAAATGTTAAAAAAGATGAAAAAGTATGTTTCAGACAAATAATAGAAAGGGAAAGCTGATATAGATATATCAAATTCAGACAAAATAGTCTTTAAGACAAAAGACCATTTTAAGGATAGAGAGAGTAACTACATAGTAATACATGGTGGAGTGCACCAAGATGATAGAACAATTCTAAACTTACATGCACTTAATAAAACAAACTCAAAATAAATAAAACACTATCGATGTCGTAAAATAAAAGGAAAGACTGAGAAATTGTTCTAGATTAAATGAAACTAAATAAAGACACATACAATGAATACAATTCATGGCCATGGATTTGATTCTACATTAAGAGAGAAAACAAGATTGTTACAAAGAACATTATTGAAAAATTGGTGAAATTAGAATATGGGTCCTATATTCCTTATTTCTTGAATTTGATATTACTGTGGTGATGTAAGAGATTATTTTTGTTTCTAAAAATACATGTTGACAGATTTAGGAGTAAAGAGGCATAATGTCTGCAATTAGTTTGCAGTGGTTTATATACACACATGGCAGAGGCTAAGATGGAGAGACAGGAATAGATGAAGGAAAATAATGTAGATATGGTAAAATGTTATTAATGGTGCTGCTATATTGTAGTAGATTGAAGTGTGTCCTTCAAAAATATACGTCCAATTCCTCTTAGTCAGTACCTGTGAATGTGACCTTATTTGGATATAGAATCTTTGTATATGTAATAAAGTTATGACTCTTGAGATCAACCTGGATTTAGGATGTGCCCTAAATGACTGGTGTTCTTATAAAAGAAAGGAGAGAGAGATGTGAGACACAGAGACATAGGGGAGTAAGCCATATGACGATTCATGCAAAGATGGAGGCAGAGATTATTGTTTTTTCTTTTTCCATGTAGTATGTTTCCCTTGAGATCCATCCAATGTGTGTGTGTGTGTGTGTGTGTGTGTGTGTGTGTCAATAAATCTATTTATTGCTGAGTAACAGACTCTGTGAGGAGGATGAAAAGGTAAGCTACAGAATAGGGAAAAATATTTGCCAACCACATTTATGATAAACGAATTACATAACGCAAAACTCAATAGTAAAAAATCCACACAAACCGTTCATTTAGAAAAAGACAAGTTATGAACAGATGTTTCACCAAAGTGGATAACTAGATGGCAAATAAACACATGAAAAGATGTTTGATATCATTAGCCATTAAGGATATGCAAATTAAACCACAATGAGATATTACGTGATCTCGGTATCATTTATACGTTGCTTATATAGCCTATCTAGATAAACTGCTCCCATTCCCTGGTGTGGAATTGTTCCTTACTCCTGGTGTGCAATTGTTCCCGTCTTACAAGTCATTATTGTCTAGTATTTTATTTCAATTTTTATATTCTGGAAATGATAATAAAAAATAGACATTCAATATATTCAATATATTTATCAATTTGGCCAACTATGTAGCAAATACTTTGCTTACCGTTTTTTCTTGCATCTCTAGAAGAACATGGGTTTGAACTGCATGGGTTCACATACATGCAGATTTATCTCAACCAAACACCGTATTTGTAGAACGTGAAACTTGTGTATACTGAGGGCTGACTTTCCCTATACCTGGATCCCTCAGGGTGAACTGTGGGACTTGAATGTGTGCAGATTTTGGTATATGTGAGGGCCCTTCTGTTTGGGTTTCATTTCCATCTTCTTCAAGTATACCCTTTACAATTTTCATTAGTGAGGATCTGTTGGTGATAAACTACTCAGTTTCTATTTGTCAGAAAATGTCTTTAACTATCATTTTCAAATGAGAGTTTAGCTAGGTATAAAATTTTATTTTGGCAGTTTTCTTTTTTCCTGAGCATTTTGAAGCTATTATTTCATTACTTTCCTTTTTATGCTGTTTCTCTTGAAAAGTCTATACTCAGTCTCTCATTCCTTTAAATGCAAACTGTCTTTTAAATAAGGCTGCTTTTAATGTCTACTCTTTGTTTTGGTGTTCTATAATTTCACTATGATCTATCCAGAGCAGTTTTTTGTTTGCTTGTTTTTGTTTTTAGTAGGTTCTATGCTTGGGATTTCTTTAGAATTCCTGAATGTAATGTTTCACACCTTTTGTCAGTTCAAATATTATTTGTCTCCATTATCACTATTCAGCTTTTCTGTAACTTCATTTATTTGCATATTATATATTCACATTCTATTATTTGTTCTCCAGAATGGAACCTCTTTTTTATAGTGCTTATTACTTTGTCCCTTTGTGCTATATTTTGGGGAGGTTTTCAGTTCACTATTGTCACCCCTTGAAGAAGATGGGTTTCAACTGCATGGGTTCACATACATGCAGATTTATTTCAACCAAACACAGTATTTGTAGAATGTGAAACTTGTGTATACAGAGGGCTGACTTTCCCTATACCTGGATTCCTCAGGGTGAACTGTGGGACTTGAATGTGTGCAGATTTTGGTATATGTGAGGGCCCTGGAACCAATCCTTCACATATATCAAAGGACAACTCTAATTCTTTTTTCAGATAATTGTAATTGTAATATAGTATATAAAGAAATCATTAAGAATTTTTTTTTTTCTGAGATGGAGTCTTGCTCTGTCACCCAGGCTGGAGTTCAGTAGTGAGATCTTGGCTCACTGCAACCTCTGCCTCCCAGATTCAAGCAATTCTCCTCCCTCAGCCTCCTGAGTAGCTGGGATTACAGGTGCACAACACCACGCCTGGCTAATTTTGTATTTTTAGCAGAGATGCTGTTTCACCATGTTGGCCAGGCTGGTCTTGAACTCCTGACCTCATTATCTGCCCACTTCAGCCTCCCGAACTGCTGGGATTACGGGTGTGAGCCACCGCACCTGTCCCACCATTGAGATTTTAATTATAAAATTTTAATTATTTTAGGTATTCTAATTTGCCTTTTAAATATAGTATCTTGTTTATATCACTTGCTTTGTATGGCATCTCTTATTTCTTTAAACATATAAAATATGCTTATTTCACATTATCTATATTTCTATATTCTGAGGTTTTGGCTATTAGTTTCTGCTATTCTTTTGAGATGATTCACTTTTTTTATAGTGGCTCCTTCAACAAAAATCTTACAATTGCATTTTTGAAATTATACTCATTAGAGTTTCATTTTTCATATTATGTGGGGGTTAGGTGCAGAAGGATTTGTATTTACTTCTTCATGTGTCTCAGGTAGACTTGATAACTTTAGCATAATTTCCAGTTTTAGGTAACTAAATCAAGTAGCTAAAGTAAAATTAAACCCTAACCTCATGAAAGGAAATGTCTGAGATCATTAATGTTTAAGGGAGATTATTTCCCATTCATACTTCAGGTCCAGAAAGACACATTTCCTATGTTGAGTAAGCTTTATGTGTTCATCAGTCCATTACTCCCTTAGTTAAGGTGAAAGACACACAATCACACCCAGATGCCCATATATAAATATACCACATGATGTTATTATAAGGAGGTTACAACTTATTTTGTAGACAAGACTATTAATTATTTTTAAAAATTAAAGCATTATAGAGAAATGCTGTAATCATTTATAGTATATGTAATCTTTAGATGTAGTGATATTGACTGAGTGAAAAGAAAGTTGTCAATACAGGAACGTTTAAAAAATACTTTATAGAAATTTGGAGTATTAAGTTGAAAAATAAATATGATCAGGATAAGCTTGTCCAAGAAGTAAGAATTCCAGGAGATAGTATTCTAAGAGACAATGAATGCAGTATTTCTGCAGAGAATAATGAGAAAAAGACTTTTGACCAGCTTTGAGATAAATATAAAAACTTCTAGCTAGAGTTTCTGAAGCAGAGGAATTTAGACTTGATGGTAAATAAAAATAGCTAATATTATTGAGCCTGTATCATGTTCCTGGCATTGTTCTAAGCATTTTAACTTCAACAATAATTCTGAAGTAGGTACTATTACCATTTTTCAAATGAGGAAACTGAAGCACAGAGAAACTCAACTTGACAAATATAATAAATGGTAGAGATGAGAGTCTTTACCAATTTGTAAAATATTGAAAGCCTGTTTAATAGAGAATATTTTCTGATGGCTACATACAGATACATTTTGGTAAATAGAAAGTTCAATTTTCTAGAAATAATTACAAGCTTGCTATAAGATGAGACTTTGAAAGGAGTACAAGTGGGAATGCAGGAGAAAATACTAATTCCTCTGAGGGAAAGAAAAGGTTTTCCTCCTTCTGTTTAATGATCTTTTATGATACTTTTTCTTGGATCACACTCCACCCCCAAACACACACACACACACACACACACACACACTCTCGCGCTCTCACACACACACACTTGTTCTCAATTGGCAATCTTCTCTCTTTTCTATATTCAAGTTGGCCCTTTTTAATTGTTTCCATGTTCTTTCCTGTCAACATCAAGCATCTGTATTTTTGATAAAAAGTCTCTACTCCATCTCTCATCTCTCTATAACTATACTCCATTTCTCCCCGCTTTACAGGTTTCTTTGAAAACATGTTTGCCTTTGTTGTCTTCACTTTACCTCAACTCACTGACTGACTTCTCAGCCTCCTGCTGATTGTCTCTTGACCCAATCAGTTTTCTACATACGCTCTTGCTGAAAACTCTGTAGGGCTAATTATTAAGAAATACCATCTCTATCGTTCATTTCTCACTCTTCAGATCTTCCTGGAAGCAGGAGATACTGATTTATTACTTTAAAAAAAAAAAACACTCTGTTCCTTTGCTTTCATGACATTGCATTTTCCCTGAATTCTTCCTACCTCTCCCTTCCCTGAGGAGCTCTGCCTTTGCAGCTCCTCCTCCTTTTCCCTGTCTCAGAAGCGTCAGCCATCCTCAGGGTTCTGCTTTTGTTCCTATTCTCAGTCCACAATACATATTTTTTGGGGGCAATATTAAAAGTCATGCGGCTTCATTTCCTTCCTGTATTTTGAGCACTGCCTGGAATCATAAGACTTTAGGAATATAATTTATTTTATAGGAGAAAGATCTGTTCAGGGGCATTTTAGACTTGAAAAGGTTTTGGGAAATCCCACGTCGATGTCTCTTAGATGGTCAGAAATATGTATTTAGAGTCGGAAAAAAATTAGGGCTTGATACATAGATTGAGTAGTTATATGAGATAAAAATCTAAGGGCAAAACATGGGAAATTCTTGAATTAAGGTTTAGAAAAAAATGAGAATCGGCCACTGAAACAAAACTAAAAGTGGTGAAATAATTTTGATAGCCTTCATGTTGGACTGATTCAGAAAGGTGAGAATAAAGGAAGAAAATAATCGATCCAGAGAGTGTGATTTGGAGGTTAAGAAGTCTGATCATCTTTGATATTTGTAAAATGATGAGAAGAAAGACTAATATTCAAGTGTAGGGGTGAATGAGTGATTTATAGAGAGCAAAGATCACTCTTTCTAAATGTTTGATAGTGAAATAACATAGGAGCCATAGCCATGTCCATGTTTTCACTGTTGCTATTATATTTTCTCAGTGCTGCATGGTGCCTGGTAAAAATAAGTACTCAATAAATATTTGTCTAATAAACAAATGATTGGATGATTATAAGACAAGGTGAAAGATAGATGGCTTATGGGTGAGGAAGAAATGGTGTAATAAGGAATGTAAGAATTCTCACTTTATATTTAAAACCTCAAAACTCAAATTCTAGAGGTCCACAAAGGTTTTCTGCTGGTTGATGAAGGAAATCTTCTGAAAAGTCAGATGGTAAATATTTTCAGGCTTATATTGGAGAAGGGAGTCATTCATTATAGAACAGCATGTGAAAGGCCCTAAAATCAATAATTAGTAATATTAAGAATTCTGCTGGTAGAAGCCTAGTACATCATATTATTCACTAAAGAATCTTTTTTCACAGATTATAACTAAAATTCAAAAGTTTATATATGTGTGTATAGTATTTAAAATATTGGTTTAGTTATGTTTTATATAGTTGAAATTTATATTACAATGTGTATTCATCTCATTTAAAATATTTTTACAGGACAATTTCCTCTCTATATAATCCCTTTGCTTTCCTACATATTTAGAGCCATGAACCTGTCAGTCATATCTAGAATCAATATCAGAAGCACAGATATTAAAACAGAGAAAGAGAAATCATGATATTTATACTGCTATTCTTGAAAATAATAGATATGAGAAAATAAATGATGGAATGACTTTTCCCTTCTCCTTTCCTCAGTAGAACTAGATACCTTTGATATAATTCACCAGACAATCATAAAATAATTCTGAAATGGGAAAAGAGGAAAGTAGGCTAGCTAGGGTCCTTAAAACTTCAATAACTATGGTGATTTCCACAGTTTTTATTTTTATCTTTCATACATGCTGGATTTTGGAAAGCCTTGCATCCTATGGCCAATAGGCATAGACAGAAAAAATTAAAAAAGAAAACAAAAGGCTTCCTCTTTCTGGCCAAGGGATTGGGAAAGAGGAAACAAAGTGGAGACTTGGTGGGGAGACCCATACTCAGTGTCAGTGGGGTCCAATGTGCTCACAGCAGTGTCAACATCAGAATCCAGGAGGCCAATCCAAACACCACCCACGTTGCTGACAGCATAAGTCCTGATATGCATGCAAGGTGACATTATAGAGCTGTAGAGTGCCGGGCCAGCACCTATACACTAAGCCTTAACAGTGCAGCTGCCTGCTGAAACAGAAGAGTTAAATAGGATCCAGTGGATTTAGTGGATCCTGGTTCTCCATATGACAAGCGATATTTGAGTGTATCTTAGATATTTGGATATTAATATGACAACTCAAATGAAAATGATGAACAGAAGCCAAAATTGAGATGAATCAGATATTAGATGTGTGAGACAAAGAATTTAGAGCAGCCATAATGAAATTCCTTTAGGAAATAATTAGGAACTAAAATGAAAAAACATTTTAGCAAAGAAATAAAAATTGTTTAAAAAATGAAATAGAAGATGTAGAACTAAAAAATACAATAATTTAAATAAATGATTTGCTAGAAGGCAAAGTGAAGATGACAGAAGATAGAGTTAGGGAACCTGCAGACAGATCATTAGAATTCACTTAACCTGAACAACCGAGGGGGAAAAAAACATGAGTAGAGACTTGGACCTGTGGAAAAACATCAAAAGACCTACTGTTCTTAACATCAGAGTCCCAAAAGGAGAGGAGAAAACATCTGAATCTGATAGAGTGAAGAAATAATGTCTGAAAATTTTCAAAAGACGTGAAGTACAGACACATCAGACTAAAATTCTGTAAACTAAAGACAAAGAAGAAAAAAATCTTACAAGCAACCAGAAAGAAATGGCACATGGCCTACAGCAGAACTTAAATTTGATGATATTGGATTTCTTATCAGAAATCATGGTGTAGAAACAGAAATTTTTCAAATGTTGAAAAAAAAAGAATATGAGCGTGAATTCCGTATTCAAAACTATTCAGGAAAGAAGGGGAAATAGAGATGTTCTCAGATAAAGAAATTATGAGAATTACTTAAATGAATAAAAAGGGAGCTCTCCAAACAGAAAGTAAATGCTGGCATAAGAAGGAATATAACTTTGGAAAGAAAAGGAAAAAACATAAACAGATAAAAACAGGGGTAGATATGCATTATTCTTCTTCCTAAGAGTTTCTTATATCATGTCTAATGACAAGATAAATTATATCTGCTTGGTGCTCAATGTATACAGAGGAAATACTAGAGATAATTTAAAACATGGGGAGGATAAAGACACCTAAATGGTGATCAGATTTCAATACTTCATTTGCATGGTGAAACATAGACATCAGTGGGATGAAATAAGTTACACATGTGTATTATAATATCTAGAACTACTAGTAAGTAAACTATACAAAATGATATACTCCTATGAAGCATAAATAAAATAAGATAGAATCCTAAAAATATTCAAATAACCTACAGGAAGGTAAGAAAAGACAGGGGAATGAGAAACAGAGGATAAATATTAAACAAATAATAATATGACAGGCTTAATTCCTAACATAGAAATAATTAATTTAAATGTAGATGGTCTGAAGTCACTGATTAAAAGTCAGAGTGAATTTGAAACATATCATCCAAAACTATGTCATTTATTTTATGAGAAAGTCCTACTTTTTCCTACAAAATTTATAATTTTATATCTAAATATAATTTACAATTTCCTACCTAAGTGATCCATTTTGAGTTAATTTTCATACAAGATGTGAGATTTAGGTTAAGGTTAATTTTTTTTAGCTATGTATTTCCAATGCCTCCAGTACCACTTGTTTAAAAGCTACTCTATTAAATTTCCTTGTACCTTTATCAAAATATCAGTTTTGTAGGTGTCTTTTTCTGAGTTATCTAATTTGATCTATGTGTCAAACACTCCACCAATACTACATTCTCTTTATTACTGTGGCAATATGTTAAGCTTCAATAACAATGAGAGTAATTTCTTCCAGTTTTTAAAAAATTGTTTTACCTATTCTAGTTCTTTGAATTTCTACTTAAATTATAAAATAATCTTGCCTATATATACAAAACCCTTGCTGGTATTTTGATAGAAATTGTGCTAAGCCTCTGTATCAATTTAGTAAAAGTTGTCATGTTTACTATGCTGAGTTTTCCTATCTATGAATATGGTATGTATCGCCAATCTTCTTTGAGTTCTTTCATAGTCCTATAGCATTCAGCATAAAAATTCTGTGCCTGGTTATGTTTACCCCAAGCATTTTACTTTTTGTGCAATTAAAAATAGTGTAATTTTTATTTCATTTAATTTTTCATGTGATCATTTGTACTATATAGAAATACAATTGATTTTTGTATATTGATTGTTGTATCCTGTGGTCTTACTGAACTTGCTTATTCAAATTTTTTGAGTTGATTCTTTGGGATTTTTTAATGCAGAAAACTAGTTGTCTGTATGTAGGGGCAGTTTTATTTCTTTTTTTTTTCAATTTACATGCCATTTATTTCTTTTTCTTACCTTATTGCATGCAATGGCTAGAATTTTCAGTACTATGTTGAATAAGGGTGATAAGGATGGATATATTTACCTTGTTCCCTGTCTTAGGGGAAAGGACTTCATCTTTTATAATTAAGAATGATGCTTCTGTAAGTTATTTATAGACACACCCTCTCAAGTTGGGGTAGTTTCTCCCTATTTATAACTGAGAGTTTTAATCACAATTGGGTATTAGATTTTATCAAATTATTGTCCTGCATCAATTGATATAATCATAAAATTCTCTTCTTTTAGCCTGTTGAGATAGTGATTACGCTGATTTATTTTCAAATGTTTGAGAAGTCTGCATATCTAGAAAAAAATCTCACTTGATCATTGTCCATAATTTTTATACATTGTTGAATTTGATTTGCTAATATTTTACTGGAGATTTTTGCATCTAAGCTCATGACAGACATATGTCTGTAATGTTCTTTTGGTAGAATGACTGACTTTGATGTCAAGGTTATACTGTCCTCATAAAAGGTGTTGAAAAGCATTGCCTATTTTATTCTGGAAAAGATTATATAAGATTTGTGTCAATTTTTAGAAATATTTGGTGGAATTCTTCATTGAAGCTTCTGGAACTAGAGGTTTTGGAGATTTTAATTACGAATTTCTTTTTTGGTTTTAGGGCAATTGAGGTCATTTATTCATTTTGATTGAATTTTGGCAGGTTGTGGTTTCAAGGAACTTCCCAATATCTTTTAAGTTGTCAAATTTATGAGAATAAAATTATTCATAGTATTCCCTTATTAACCTTTTAATGGTTGCAAGTTCTGTAGTATATCCTGTTTCACTCCTGATATTGTTGATGGGTATCTTTTCTCTTTTTATTTTGGTCAGTCTTACTAGAGAGTTATAAGTTTTATAGTTTTTTTTTAACCAATTTTTGTCTTTATTGCTTTTTCTGTATTGTTTTCCATATCAATTAGCAACATCTAACAATTTTTTTGTATACTATATTTTCATTTTCATTTAATTCTGTGTATTTTTAAATTTTCACTGACATTTTCACAGGTTGTTTAAAAGTATGTTATTTAATTTCCGTTTGTTTGGAGATCTTTCTGTTGTCTTTCTGTGATTGATTTCTAGTTTGATTCCATTATGGTAAGACAACATACTCTACATTACTTCCAATCTTTTAAATGTGTTGAGATTTGTTTTAGGACCCAGGATATGATGTTTTGTTGGCTGTTTTACTGGCTCTTGCAAAAATATTCATGTTTTTGTAGTTGAGTAGCAGGTTTTAAAGACAGTAATTAGATTCTGCTGGTTGATGTTTTTGTTCAGTTCTTCTATATCTTTGCTAGTTTTCTGTCTTATAGTTTTAACAGTTACTACCAGTTGAGTGTTGAAGTCTATAACTATAGATGGGAGTGTATCTATTGATCCTTTCAGATCTATTAGCTTTTGTTTTAAGTATTTTGAAGCCTTGATATTTGGTTCATACACATTTAGGATTGCTGTATCTTCTTGTTGGATTGACCCAATTATGATTATCAAATGGTCCTTTATGGTTATGGTAATTTTTTTGCCCTAAAGTCTACTTTGATATCACTGTAGATATTTTGCTTGTTTCAATTAGTTAGTACGATACATCATTTTCCTTTTTCTTTTCTTTTTCTATTTTTGCTTTAGTATAAAATAGTATACCTATTAAACTGTATTTTGTGATATAGGGCTAAAAAAGGAGTTTTTACATATGACATCAAAAACATGATCTATCAAGGAAAAAATTGATAAATTGAACCTTGTCACAAGGTGGAAAATTTTGCTCTGTGAAAGATCCTATTGAGAATCTCTGTACAGCTTATTAGAGGTAAGCTAGAGTTTGAAAGAAAATATTCACAAATAACATGTTCAATAAAGGACTAAAATATAAGCTCTGTAAAAAACACTCAACATTTAACAGTTAACAACCCAATTACAAAATAAATAATGACATAAACAGACATTAAATGAAACAGAATATACAGATGACAATTAAGCACATAGAAGAGTTAGAAATTAAGATCACAATCGGCCGGGTGCAGTGGCTTACGCCTGTAATCCCAGCACTTTGGGAGGCCGAGGCAGGCAGATCACCTGAGGTCAGGAGTTCAAGACCAGCCTGGCCAACATGGTGAAACCCCGTCTCTACTAAAAATACAAAAATTAGTTGGGAGTGATGGCAGGTGCCTGTAATCCCAGCTACTTGGGAGGCTGAGGCAGGAGAATTGCTTGAACCTGGGAGGCAGAGGTTGTAGTGAGCCGAGATCGTGCCATTGCACTCCAGCCTTGGTGACAAGAGTGAGACTTCGTCTCAAAACAAAAAAAAAAAAGAAATTCAGATCACAGTCAAATCAAATACCACTACACACCTATCATAATGGATAATGTAGAAAACAGCAACAACACTACATGCTGACAAGGATGCAAAGAGACTGCATCACTCATACACTGCTACTGGAAATGTAAAATGGCAAAGCCGCTCTAAAAAACAGTTTGGCAGTTTTGCAAAATGCTAAACCTATAAATACCACATGGCCCATCAATTTCACTCTTGGACATTTAGGCCACAGAAATGAAAATTTATGTTTACACAAAAATCTGTTCATGACAGTCGTCAAGATCTTTATTCATTATAACCCAAACCGAAAACAACCCAGATGTTCTACAGTGGATATATGGTTAAACAAACTGTGGAACATACACACCATGAAATACTACTCAGCAATAAAAAAAAAACAAATTATTGATATACACAATAATTTGGGTGAATCTCCAGGCAATTATGCTGAATGAAAAATCCCAGTGCTCAAAGGTTACATATTATGTTTCCATTTGTATAACCTTCTTGAAATGAAAAAAAAATATGAAAATGGAAAAACAGATCAGTGGTTGTCAGGAATTAGGAATGTAAGTGGAGAAGATTGGAAAGGAAGTGGATATAGTTATAAAAGGGCAATGAAATGGATACTTGAGGGGATAGAATTGTCTTGTATCTTGACTGTGGTCGCACAACTAAACACACACACAGACACGTACACAGGAATACGGAATACATATAAAACTAGTGGAATCTAAATAATGTGTAAGAATAAAATCTAAGTAAGATCCATGGCCAATTTCCTCTTTTCATGATATGCAATATGTTACTATTGAAGGATACTGAATGAAGAGTATATGGGTTGTCTCTGTATTATTCCTTACGACTGTGTGTAAAACTACAATTATCACAAACAACAAGTCAAAAAAATAGATATCCAAAATCACACACAGAGACAAGGAAAATATAGCAATTCTTGAGCCTCTGGTAACCTGACAAATCATTGAGATTAATATCAGCAATTGGTTTTGGCTTTAGTAGTTTTAAGGTGTTCTATTTTAAGGCTCTAAAAACTGCTAAATTCAACATCTTATTGCTACAGAGTACATTTTAAATGACAGTGTTTTTTAAAAATCTTATTAATAGTCCATTTGAGAAGATTAGGATCTGGCATATTTACCTACATTTAGGCACCACGTGATTGAGAAACTTTTCCATTGACACAAGCTGGGTAACAAGATGATAGGAAAGAGAGGTAAATGTCTAGATTGCAGTCCCTTCCTGTAGGCCACACTAACTTGCCCAAAGGTCAACCACTCATTAAACCAAAGCTTAACTATCTTTCCTGTAGACCATTTCCTTGGTTAGCCACAGAGTCCACACCTTGCTTTCTAGAACTTCTTAAAAATAACTAGGGGAGTATGTTTGGACATAATCACAGTTTTACACTCCAGAAGAGCAGTTTAGACATAATTTGACTGGCAGTGTCATTGAAGGGATTTGAAAAAAGATACACTTTAGCAAAATTTGTCTGTTCTACAACATAAAGAAATGAGACTGGAAGGATTAAGTATGAAATTATTGCAATAATCCAATGGATAATTAGAAAGAGTCAAATTAGCATGTGATTTTTAAGGACAGAAAGAAAGAGACATATATTTATAGGCACTTACTATAGATATTGAGCAGTATAAAGACATTTAAAACAACTTTGAATATATGAACCAAAATTTAATGACTTTTGTAAAGTATAAAATAAAAACTAGGTTGACTAATAAAACGCAGCAGCAAATGATTATTGGTGCAACAGTGATTGAAAACAGAAAAGTAGGAATCTCCAGGAAAAAAAAAAGAAATCTCTATCAGTGAAAAGATATTCAAGGAGTATATACAAATGTGTTTCCATACTTTACCAGAATTTGAACTGACTGAAGAGTTAGCAGGATGATAAAGGTCCCCACTGAGATTAAATTTCCCGTGTCATTAAAATTTTTAATTAAGCAGTTCACATCTTCAAGATCAACTTGGTTTCTGTTGGACATTCACTTATTGCTAAAATGTTCAATAGCCCTAAATTAAATATATTCTGTCTCTGATGGACATTGTATAATAACATATAATATTAAAGAGAACATAATACAATCAAAAGAACTGAGCCTGTGGAACTGTGAAAATGGAAGTTAGGAGGTAGGGAAAATTCATTCAAACCATCATTGTTTCTTCAAATGGCCTCTGCCTTTATTTTGAAAAGGATGGGCCACTCTGAAAGGATTCAAAATGAGAATTATCTCTGCAAAAGTGTGTGTGAGGGAGGTGGAAGGCTTCATTACTATGTTAGTGGTCCTCATGCTTTGATGTCTATAAGAATAATCTGAGGGATTTGTTAAAATGTAGATCCTCAGTCTTCATTCCAATCCTCACTCAAAGATCCTGCTGTTAAATCTGAAATAGGACACATACGTTGTGCATTTTTACATGTATTCTGCTCTGCTGTCCTCACACACCTGGTCAATTCTTATAAACTGTAAAGATCATCTGGGAAAACATTTCATGAAATACAGATCGAGTATATAGTCCACATATCCTTATGTTGCAGAAGAAGGAACAGAGACTCAAAGTTAAGCAGCTTGTCCTGGGTCACACAGCAAGTTAGCATAATATAGATTGATTCAACCACCACCATATCCTGTGCTGTTTATCTTAGTCTATACAAAAGATGGAAGTGGCATTCTAGTATGTCAACATTTCCTTTTTCATACAATCTTTGTTGACCTGTAAAATCTTTGACCTATGTATTGACAAATGCTTACATTCGATCTTGCCCATGGCCTGGTTTGATATGGATTCAATATATGCCTAGGGAAGGAGCATTAGGAGACTTCTTTAAACCCTTTGTTTTCTCATAAATATACTTTGCAAGCTCATGAATTGCTGTCTTCAGGGTTCTCTTCCCTTGCTCTCTCCAGTAGCTTAAATTTTAGCAAATTGGGTGTTGATGGTCTAATGTGGACATATTTATCAGGATCATGCCCTTTCCTTTCTAGACACCCTCATTCTTCTACAACTCCTCTTATTAGATTAAAATAACAAAAACATTTGTTCAAAGCAAAAATACAGATCTCTGATGGCAAAAAAAAGAAGTTGAGAGAATATTGCATTTTTCTAAAGGCTGTTTCTTATTAAGCCAGACTTGATTGGTTTTAGACCCAAGAGACATAGGCCAGTGCTTATTTCCATGGTTCCCTCAAAGTTATACTCCCCCAGAATCTTTCCTTTTCCCATATTTTTTCTAGGAAATGTAACCAAAGGAACACATTTTCAACCTTGATGCTATCTCCTAAGAGGTTAGAAGAATCAGTTAACTTTTTTTCTGTATTTGGACTGTCAGCTTCAATATTCTCCCTGATATTACTTTATTTTTTTTTAATCACAGTCTCTCAGCAATAGCAAATTTTTATTCATGCACATGATGGCTGTGATTTTCTAGATAGAGTTTTGTGCTTTGGAACTTGAATTGCAATGCAATTATCTTTCCTTTTTTACCCTTGCTTTCCAGGGAGATAACCCTACAAATTTTGATTTTCTAGACATAGTATGGTCTTGTTTGAATTGCAGATTTTCTCTTTTTTATTTTTAGGCTAAAATTTTTATATTCCAAGATACGTTTTTATATACTTATGCACGAACACATATATGCCCTTACGCGTTTAAACTTATATGTTTATTAATTCAAATATAGAAGATGGGTAATAACCCACTGCTCAGCATTACCTTGAAGGCTTGTCTAATTTTAATATTTCATGTACATGAAAATACAAGAAAACATCTCTTTCAGTTCTTTTAAAGCTATGACTGGTTAATTTACCATGCCAGTCAATTATATTTTCATAATTCAAATGAGTGCCTTCTGTCCTTTAGGATTAAATAAAAATTTAAATATTAGCTAGTATCTTAGGCTAATTTTAGAAAGTTGAAGGGGGAGGGTAGTAGAATATTGGCTATGATATTTCATAATATTAAACTTAGAATGTTAAAATTAGAAGAGCTTAGAAAAAGCAACCTAAACTATTGATGGCTTATAGGAATCTAATAAGAGGGATGGCTTTTCTTCCCCACCCATAAAATATATTTGTGGTTACATGCACATACATACACACACACACACATAGATAATTTCAGTGAAAATCTGAGTGGGCTTCTTGTGTACCTTTAATTCTAGATTAGAACACCTGAGTAACTCCAGTATTTATAGGTGAAGGTAGTCTAGTGGTGACTTTGCTACTACTGAGTTGATCACACCTAAGGTAATGCCTAACACAGAGTATACAGTGAATGACTAGATGTTTAATAAAGAATGACTGAGTAGCTTCCTTGTTCCTTCATAAAAACAGATAGTCATCTTTTCTTTCTTCCCTTTAAACCTACAGTTCTGTTAGAAATGAGTTGAAATTTACCTTCCAACAAATTTGACCTCTCTGCATATTTCTACCTATTGTAAAAACAAACAAAACAAAGGATAGGTGTGTTTTTTACTTAACTGTGGAAACTTTTGAATACAGTTACCAAGAGTCCCTTCAATTTCTTTTTTTAAAATAAACATATTCTTGAAATATTCCAAATATTAGGTTTTCAGAATCTCTCACAACCAATCTTGTTAAGCCAGACTTGATTGATTGTAGACCCAGGAGACATAGGCCAGTGCTTATTTCCATGGTTTCCTTAAAGTTTTCTCCAGAAACTTTCCTTTCCCATTTTTTTTTCCTAAGAAAAGTAACATAAGATCACATTTTCAACCTTGATACTATCAAGGTTGTTAAAGCTCTGTTAAAGGGAAAGGAAAGGGAGAACAACGAAATCCAAACTTTGAGCTTACCTCTTCCTCCTGGCTGGATCACCAAAATATGCTAATGGTGGAGGGTGTCTAGGTTCTTAGTGTCTTGAACAAAGAATTGGACAAAACATACAAACAAAACAAGAAAGGAATGAAGGGATTTATTGAAAATAAAAATACACTCTACAGTGTGGGAGTAGGCCTGAGCATAGTGGCTCAAAGGCCCATTCCAGAATCTTTGGGAGTGTAAATACCCCCTAGAGGATTCCATTCGCTACTTTGGGTATGCCCTATGCAAATGGAGAGGATGAAGTAAAGTTACAAAGTCATTTATGGTGTATGCCCTGTGGAGAGGATATTTCCTGTTATAGCTGAAGTGTGAATTGGCCTTATGTTCCCTGCCTCCAGAACCGATTTTCCTGCCTCACCAGGACATTTGACCTGCAAAGTTTCATCCAAGAGTTCAGAGTTTTCACTTAAAATTCTCTATTACATGATTTATCCCTTTTTCTTCTACACCAATAATTTTAGTTCTTAAGCTTCCCCTTATAAAAAAATAAGTCTGTTCCCACCTTACACAACCCACTGTTCTGCTACTACTTCCCAGTGGGTTTTGAGACCAAATAAGTACATGTAAGATGGTGACAGTGATATAAATGACTAAAGTTTTGGTCAGTCTGAAAATTGAGAGGAAAACCAAAAGGGGGAAATTGTTAAATCAAATTTATCCTAAAGCTGCCTCCTTACATATTTTAAGTTCAGCCTAAAGTTTCTCTATATGTAGTGAACTATAACTTAAAGGGTGGTGTAAAGAGATAAACAACTCTTGTGTCAATCTCCAAGTTTTGGCCAAAAGGGGCCAATTTTTCCAACTGTGTTCAAATAAGGCAAACACTGAGCTGAAACCAATCTGGCCATTTCTGTACCTCACTTCTGTTTTTGGTAAGTCACTTTCTTTTTCTGTCTATAAATCTTCCACTATATGGTTGCACTGGAGTCTCTCTCAGCTTACTGTGGCTTAAGAGGCTGCCTGATTCACAAATCATTCTTTGCTCAATTAAGCTCTGTTAAATTTAATTTGGCTAAGGATTTTCTTTTAACAATAATAATTATTCATAGTTTATCCCACTTTAAACCACAACACTCATAGAATAACAATAGTAATATGCTGCCTGAAAGTGGTCCTGAAAACATTTGCTAGTCTCTTCTCCATTTTATGTTTGTATTATGTATTCTTTTTGATATCATAGAGCCATTATACACTATACACTCTTTTCTAAAACCCTCATTTATCCTTAAGTCTACAATGAGCTATTTTAAGGGAGAAAAAATAATTTTTACTCTTTGTTAGTTCTTAGCTGAGATTCCCTGTAACAAAAGACAGGTTAACAAGAGAAAAACAAACAGGAGTTTATTAATATGTAAACCTACTGTAGTCTTAGGTGATAACTCAGAGAAATGAGTAAGTCTTTAGAGTAGATCTCAAATAAGTGGCTTTGACTTCAGGTTGAAATACTGTTTTTCTCTGAAACAAAGAACGAAGAGTATGAGGGCAGACTCAGTTAAGATGAGATGGCCAGGAAAAACGTTTTATAAAAATCAGGGTTGTTAATGCATATTTTAGTTGATACCTTCTCCATTGATTAAGAACCTCTAATTATTTCAAGTCATTCTTCTCTTTCTAGTGCAGAAGGCAAGACATCCTTACAAATATTTTCTTTATAGATGTTAATTTTTCTTACAAAAGGTAACTTTTCAAAGCATCTCTTGCATTTGTAGTTTCTCTAAGCCAGCTCAGAATAATCTTTGAGCCAAAGAAGTATATTTTACATTTTACAGTGGCATATTCTGGCATAATACAGTCATAATTGGGGGTGGTATCTTGAACCCCATCACAACTAAATATTTAATGCTCATTAATGTCTGTTTAGTCATTTTTGGTTTCTGAAGCTTTATCTCTAGTTGATTCTTTAGAAAGAAATCATAGCGGCAATATTATCCGAGTTTCTGCGTGTAGGTAACAGTTCAATTTTTCTGTACTGAAAATTGAAAATTTGAAGATTTTCTTTAAATCCTTGGTTTATATTTTCTGTCATTAGGTATCCTAAATATTTTACTCCATTTTCTTCTGGCAATATTGCTGTTGAACAAACTGATAATATAATTTTCTAACACTAATTGTTCCTTCTGCTTAATTACCCATTTGTTTTTTCCTTTAAAACCCAATAATTTTACAGGAATCTGCCTTGGTAGGCTTCATGCTGACTCAATATTGTCAGGTAAATGCCAAACTCTTTTCCTATGTACTTCTTTTTTTTTTTAATTTCTGAAAAGTTTACTTCAATTATAACTTTTAATATTTATTCAATTTCCTTGATTTTTTCTTTCATTCGCTCCCACTAGCCACAGGTTACATTTCCTTTTTTGGCTTATCTTCAATATTTACCACTTTCCCACTAACCCTTTAGTGTCTCCTTTTTTCCCTGATTTCTAAAACTTTCATCTTTGTTGCCCGGTTCACTTATGACATTATATATTGTAATATTTTCTTTGTGTTTCTTCTAGTTTAGTCTTAATTTAAGAAATAATTTTTTTCATTCATTTTCAATGCTTTTAAAAGTCTTCTTACCTAAATTCTGAGTTTTTCTAATTCTGGTTCATGTTTTCTCTCTTCTTTCAAATGATATATAATTTTCTTATTGTTTCTTAACTCTTTTTGAAGTAGTCTGCTATCTTTATTTTTTAGTCATTTGTAGGTATTTTCTTTTTTATTGATACATAATAATTGTAAACATTTTGAGGTAAACATGATGTTTTGATACCTGTATAAAATGTACAATGATCAAATCAGGGTAATTGGGATATCCATCATCTCAATCATTTATGTTTTATTTGTATTGGGAACATTCCAATATTTGTCTAGTAGCTATTTTGAACTGTACAATAAATTATAAACTATAGCCACTTGTACTGGTGAACACTACAACATACTGTATTTTTATTCTGCTTTATTTTTGCGCCCACTAACTAACTTTTCTTTACCTCTTCCTCCCCTTTACCTTCCGAGCCTTTTGTGGTCAGCTTTGTGTCTTCATGAGAGCAACTGTTTTCGCTCTCACATATGAGTAAGAACATTGTCTTTTTGTGCCAGGATTATTTTACTTAACGTAATGACCTCCAGTTCCACTCACATTGCTGAAAATGACAGTATTTTTTTATAACTGAATACTGTACCATTGTGTATATATTACCATATGTTCTTTATATATTCATTTGTTGTTGGACACTTAATTTGATTGCATATTTTGGCTATTGTGAATAACGCTACAATAAACACAGGAGTGCAGATATCTCTTCGATACACTGATATTCTATTTTTGGCTGTGTACCCAGCAGTACAATACCTGGAACTTATGGTAGTTCTATTGTTTGTATTTTAAGGAGCCCCCATACTGTTTTTCATAGGGGCTATACTAGTTTAGATTCCCATGAACAATGTACGAATATTTTCTTTTCTTTGTATCCTTACCAGCATTAGTTATTTTTTGTACTTTCTATTGTAGCCATTTTAACTGAGGTGAGATGAATTTCATTGTGGTTTTGATTTTTATTTCCTTGACGATTACTGAAGTTGAGCATATTTTTATTTACTTTTATCCATAGGTATGTTTTTTTAAATGTCTATTTAGGACTTTTGCCATTTTAAATGTGTTTTTTTTTCTTTTTGCTATTGAGTTCTTTGAGTTCCTTAAATATTCTGATTATTAATCCTGTGCAGAGGCTTTTTAACTTGATGTGATCCCATTTGTCCATTTTTACTTTAGTTGACTGTGTTTGTGGGGTATTACTCAAGAAATCTTTGCCCAGTCCAATATCCTGGAAAGGTTCCCCAATGTTGTCTTTTAGTAGTTTCATAGTTTGAGGTCTTAAATTAAAGTCTTTAGTTTATTTTGATTTAATTTTTGTATATAGTGAGAGATACGGGTCAAGTTTTAATCTTTTGCATACGGATATCCAGCTTTTGCTGCACCATTTATTGAAGAGATTGCCTTTTCCTCAACATATGTTCTTGGCAACTCTTTCAAAAATGAGCTCACTGAAGGTGTGTGAATTTATGTTGAGGTTTTCTATTCTTTCCCATTGGTGTATATGTTTGTTTATGCCAATACCATACTGTTTTGGTCACTATAGCCTTGTAAAATATTTTGAAGTCAAGTATGGTAATACTTCAGCTTTATTCTTTTTGTTTTGGTTTGTTTTAGCTATTCAGGCTCTTTTTAGGTTTCATATAAATTTTAGGGTTATCTTTTCTATTTTTTTCAAAAATTACATGAAATTTTTTTTCCTTTTTGTTGTGTCTTCTTCAGTTTCTTTCATCAGATTTTTATCAGTTTCATTATAGTTATTTCACTTCTTTGGTTAATTCCTAGGTATTTTATTTTATTTATAGTTATCACAAAATTAAGTTACTTTCTTGATTTTTTTAAAAATTGTTTACTGTTGCCATATAGAAAAGTGACTGATTTTTGTGTGTTTATTTTATATCCTTTACAAAATTCATTTACCAATTAGAATAGTTTTTTGGTGGAGTCTTTAAGTTTTTCCAAATATTAGATTGTATCATCTGTGAACGAGGATAATTTGACTTCTACCTTTCCAATTTGGTTGCTCTTTCTTTCTTTCTCTTTTCTGATTGCCCTAGTTAGGATTTCCTATACAATGTTGAATAAGTGTAGTGAAAGTGGATGTGCTTGTCTTGTTCTAGATCTTGAAGAAAAGGTTTTCAGATTTTCCCCATTTCCCTAGCTGTGGATCTGTCATACATAGCTTTTATTATGCTGAAGTATGTTCCTTCTATAAGCAGTTTTTTGAGGGTTTTCTTCATGAGGGGATGTTAAATTTTATCAAATGCTCTTTCAACATCAATTGATATGATCATATGGTTTTTGTCCTTCTTTCTGTTGATATAATGTATCTCATTGATTTGCATATGTTGAACCATTCTTGTGGCCCTGAGATAAATCCCACTTGGTCATGATAAATAATTTTTGATGTGTTGTTAAATTTAGCTTGAAAGTATTAAGGACTTTTGCATCCATGTCCATCAGGGATATTGGTCTATAGTTTTCTTTTTTTGATGTGTCTCTGTCTTGTTTTGGTATCAGAGTAATACTCGCCTCGCAGAATGAGTTTGGAAGTACTCCTTTTTCCTTTATTTTTCTAAATAGTTTGAGTAGGACTGGTATTAATTTTCCTTTAAATGTTTGGTAAAATTCAGCAGTGAAGCGATCAGGTGCCAGGCTTTTCTTCACCTGGAGACTTTTTATTATGGCTTCGATCATCTCACTTGTTATTGGTCTGTTCAGGTTTTGGATTTCTTCATGGTTCAATCCTGGTAGGTTGTATGTGTCTAAGAATGTATTCATTTCTTCTAGGATTTTGAATTTTTTGGCATATAGTTGCTAATAGTAGCCTTTAACGATCCTCTGAATTTTTGTGGTATTGGTTGTAATGTTTCCTTTTTCATATCTGATTTTATTTATTAGGATTTTCTCCCTTCTTTTCTTACTCTGGCTAAGAAAAAGTTTGTCAATTTTGTTTATCTTTTCAAAAAACCAACCTTTGTGCTTAATTCTTTTTAGTTATTTTAATATTGTTGTTAAATTTATCTGATAGTGTTCTGAATTCCTTCTCTGTGCTCTCTTGAACTTTGTTGAGCTTTCTCAAGTTAGTTTGAATTTCCTGTCTCAAGGTTCACATATCTCTGTTCTTTGGGATTGGTCACTGGTGGCTTATTTAGATTGTTTGGTGAGATCGTCTTTTCCTGGACGTTCCTGATGCTTGTGGATGTTCATCGGTGTCTAGGCATTGAAGAGTTAGGTATTTATTGTAGTCTTCACAGTCTGGGTTTGTTTGTACTCATCCTTCTTCAGAAAGTCTTCCAGATATTTGAAGGAACTTGGGTGTAGTGATCCAATCTTTGGTCACTTGCAGCCACATTTACATTTGGGGGTACCTCAAGGTCAGTAACACCGTGGCTCTTGTAGACTTGTGGAAGTATCACCTTGGTGGTGTTAGGTAAGATATTGGAGAATTCCTTGGATTACCAGGCAGAAAATCTTGTTATCTTTTCTTACTTTCTCGGAAACAATTGGAGTCTCCCTCTCTGGGCTGAGCTGCCTGGAGGTGAAAAAGTGGTGACACAAATACCACTGTTGCTGTCACCATTGGGACTTTGCTGGGCCAGACTCAAAGTCAGCACAACAGTGGGATAATAATACCCAGGGCCCACAGTGACCACTGCCTGGCAATTACCTATGATCACTTAAGGCCGAGGGTCCCTATAATTACCAGGTGGTAAGTCCAACCAGGCTTGTATCCTTCCCTTCATAGGGACTAGTGCTTTCTGGCCCTGGGCAGGTCCAGTGATGCTGGCCAGGGCTAGGGCTTTGAGTTGAGAACTTTAGGAATCTACCTGGTGCTCTATTCTACTGCGGTTGAGCTAGCACCCAAGACACAAGACAAAGTCCTTCCCACTCTTCCCACCTCCTTCCTCAAGCATAGGAGTTTCTCCATGTGGCCACCACTGCCCCAGGCCTGTGGCAAATTCAGCCTGGCTATGGCTGATGTCTACTCAAGGCCCAAGAGCTCTTCAGTCAGCTTGTGTTGAATGCTGCCAGGCCTGAGTCTCTCCCTTCAGGACATTGGACTCTCCTTTGGCCCAGGGCAAGTTCACAAATGTCATCCAGGAGCCAAGGCCTGGAATCGGAAATCCCAGGAGCCCAGTTGGTGCTCTACTCCACTGTGGACAAGCTAGTACCCAAACTGCAAGACAAAGCCACCTTTATTCATCTCTCTCCTTTCCTCAAGAAGACGGGGTCTCCCCCTATAGCCACCACAAGTGGGAATCTGCTTGGTCATGCCTGAATTCAGCATGGCTCTGACTCTCGATCAAGGCCTGTGGTAAGTACTGCCTGGCTCCCACTGCTGACTATTCAGGTCTCAAGGGATCTTTAGTCAGCAGGTAATGACTTTTGCCAGGACTGGTTCCTTCTCTTCAAGATAAGGGGTTCATTTTTGGCTCAGGGTGTGTTTAGAAAAGTCCTGGAGCTATGGCCTGAATTGGAGACCTCAGAACTTTGCCTCATGCCCTATTTTACTGTGGCTAATTTGGTATCCAAGTTGCAAGACAAAGGCTTCTTTACTCTTTCCTCTCCTTTCCTCAAGAAGAGGGAAGGAGTCTCTTCCAGAGTTGTGAACTGTGAGCTGTGCTTCCTGGAATTGGGGGAGATGTAACACAAGCACTCCCTTGGCCATCTCAGCTGGTGGTATCTCACTAGGTCACATGCATCTCAAGGCCATTAGCTCTGAGTCCAGCACAGCACAAGAACTTGCCTAGGAATTGTAGTCCTTGTGGCCTAGACTGCCTTTCAAGTTTATTTCGAACCTCAGCGCACTTTAGCCCATGGTAGCAGGACTTCTAGACATCAGGTTCCAACCACTAGGATGGACAATTTGCCACTAGCTAGTGCTGGTCTAAATGCTCCCACTCCATGGGCACCGTCTGAGTTCTGCCTTGTGTTGCTTTCCACTGTGACAAAGCAGCACTGAGTTCCAATGGAAAGTTCTATAATCACTTTTTTCTCCTTCCCCCAAGCAGACAGATTCTCTCTCCATGCTATGAGACCACTGCAAGGGGATGTGCAAAGAGTGGTGTAGGTGATTCTCCTTTCAGTATCTCTCCTTACTATGATATTAAAACCAAGTACTGTGATCACTCACCTGATTTTTGGTTATTATGAAGTTACTTTGTTGAGTAGATAGTTTTTCCATTTCATGTTCTGTGGGGGTACGACCACTAGAGGCTTCCGTTAGGCCGTCTTTCTCTGCCTCCTCCTATACTTTATATATTTAGGTGCTTGGGTTTGGGTTTATATATATCCCCAATTATTTTATCTTCCTGCTGAATTGACCCTTCTATCATTATATAATGGCTTTCTTTGTCTTTTTCTTTTAACAATGTTTGATTTAAAGTCTATTTTATCTTACATAAGTATAAATATTCCTAATCTTTTTTGATCCATTTGCATAAAATATTTTTTCATCCCTTCACTTTTATTTATTTATTTATATTGATACATATTAGATGTACATATTTTGGGGGTACATGTAATAATTTGATAGGTTCATACAATCAAATCAGGGTAATTGGGAGATCTATCAGCTTAAATGTTTATCTTTTCTTCATGATAAAATCATTTGAATTATTCTCTACCAGCTATTTTGAAATGTATAATTGATTAATGTTAACTGTAGTCACACTTTCAGTCTATGCCTTTTGTGGTAAAATGAGCTTCTTATAGGCAGCATAGAGTTGGGTCTTCTTTTTTGTTTTGTTTTTTATTCCATTCAGTCACTCTATGTATTTTAATTGGAGAATTTAGCCCATTTACATTCTACGTTATTATTGACAGGTAATACCTTACAACTTCCATTTTGCTACTTGTTTTCTAGTCATTTTGTATCTCTTCTCTTCCTGGCTTCTTTTATTGTTAAGCAATTTTCTCCTATATTATCTTTTAATTTTTTTAAAATTTTATTTTCAGTGTATCTTTTGTAGGTTTTTGCTCTGTTGTTACTATAAGGCTTACAGAAAACATTCTATAGTTACAACATATTATTTTAAATTCATACCAATTTAACTTTAATCCAGAAAAGATCACTTTATAAAACTCCATTTAGCTTTTCATGTAGGACAGATCTGGTTGTGATAAGTTATTTCAGCATTTGTTTGTCTGGGAAAGTTTTATCCCTCCTTCATTTCTCAAGGATGGCTTTGTGGAACACAGTATTTCCTTCAGCACTCCAAATATGTCAACTCACTCCCTCCTGGCCTGTAAGGTATCTGTTGAGAAGTGTGCTGACAGACTTCTATGTATTATTTGCTTCTTTTCTCTCACTATTTTCTGGATCTTCTCTCTGTCTTTGACCTTTGGGAGTTTGATTATGATATGTCTTGGGGTATTCCCATTTGGGTCGAATCTGATTTGCTCGCCTTTGGCCTTCTTTGACCTGGATTTACCCAGCTTTGTAAAGTTTGCTGTTGTTATTTTTGTGGCTAAGCTTTCTATTCTTTTGTTTTTCTTAGTTCCTTCTCTAACTCCAATGACCCGAATATTTGCTCTTTTGATGTCATTTTATCTTTCTTAGTATATGTTTTTGGTGTGATTTGATTGTCTGAAAGTATGCAGGTAGGTATTCTGGTTCTTATTTTCTTTGCTCTTATGTTAACTTTACGTGGAATTTGACCTCAAATATTTCTGTTGCTCATTGACATTTTAATTTAATTTTTGTGAACTTTTCAAAGGAGATTTGGTTTTGATAACTTTTTAAAAAATAAGTGCTTTGTTTTAGAATATAGTTTTGCAGAAAATTTGTGAAGCTGGTGCACAGAATTCCCATATACTCTCCACTCAGTTTCTTCTATTATTAAGATTTTACATTAGTATGGTACATTTGTCATAATTAGTGAACTAATTTTATTACATTATTTTAAATTAAAGTCCATACTTTGTTCAGATTACTTTTTTGCCTAATGTCCTTTTATTGTTCTAGGATCCCATCCAGAACACTGCATTACATTTAATTTTCGTGTTTCCTTAGGCTCTTTTTCACTATAGCAGTTTCTCAGATTTTATTTTTGATGACAGTTTTAAGGTGTACTGGTCTCGTATTAGGTAGCACGTCGATCAGTGGGGATTTGTCTTGTGTTTTTCTCATGTTTAGACTGGGTGATGGGTTTTTGAAAGGAGGGCCACAGAAGTAAATTGCTGTTCTTATCTAATCATACCAAGTATACATGCTATCATCATGACTTATCATTGATGATGTTGAACTTGATCTCCTCTCTAAGAGAGTGTTAAATTCCTCTTCCTCCACTTTATAAATAAATCTTTTTCTGTCCTTCTTAGACTATTCTTTTTAGAAAGAAGTCACTATGCTCAGCTTACATTTGGAAATTACACTCTACTTCCTTGAGGATGTAGTATATGCACAAAATATATGAAATCCTTCTGTATGAGAGATTTATTTATTCTTCTGATAGTTTTTTTAACTTCGCAAATTTTCCTTATATTTTGACGTGATGTTAGAAAATATGTCTGCTGGCTGGGCATGGTGGCTCACGCCTATAATCCCAGCACTTTGGGAGGCCAAGGCGGGCGGATCACGAGGTCAGGAGATTGAGACCATCCTGGCTAACACGGTGAAACCCCGTCTCTACTAAAAAATTACAAAAAAATTAGCTGGGCGTTGTGGCGGGCACCTGTAGTCCCAACTACTGGGGAGGCTGAGGCAGGAGAATGGCCTGAACCCGGGAGGTGGAGCTTGCAGTGAGCTGAGATTGCCACTGCACTTCAGTCTGGGCGACAGAGCGAGACTCAGTCTCAAAAAAAAAAAAAAAAAAAAAGAAAAGAAAATATGTCTGCTTTCTTTCTGAGATTTTCTAGCTCTGTTTCCTTGCCTCACTTTTATCTCGACTTTTTCCTTTATTTGCATTTTCCTTTACCCTGTGCAATTCTGACTTCATTCCAATATTTTTTCTCTGTTTGTGTCCTTGATTTATGAGAGAGCATTACTTGTCTGTTTCCAGAGTCTGTGCTGGATATAATAACTGAATGGGCAAATATCTTTCCAATTTCAGCTTTTCATTAATGGTCTTGCCATTATGGCATTTGGAGAAATTCCAAAAGACAGAAAAAACCTAGTAAATACCTTTTGTCTTTTTGGATTTTTCCTGTTCTCAGATCCATCAGATGCCACATTTTACCTATAAGAGCAAAGGAGGAAACCTTATCCTCCACCTTGTGAAGATTTGCTGAAAATTAACTGACAGTAGACAGATTAATACTAGAAAAAGGCATACAAATTTATTATCATGCATGTGGAAGAAAACCATAGCATTATTATCCAGTAACCCATTGGGGTACAGATGCTTATATAGCCTTCTTCATAGGGAGTGGGAGATAGAGAATGTAGACAATTTTTTTTGTTGGATAGTAAACAATAATTAAGGAGAATGAATGGACCCAGGAAACAGAAATTAACTTATAGATGATGCTTTTTGAATGATCCTGAGAGTCAGATATTATCTTTGGAAAAAGCCTATCCAGGTGTGGTTGCATTCTTCCATCTTCTTTTCTGTGATAGATAATGGGACTTCAGGGAGGGGATGGAAGGCAATTGTGTTCTCTTTGGCGGGTCCGGTCTTAAGGTAAATAAAGAAATATCAACCGTGGTTCATGACTGTAATTCCAGCACTTTGGAAGGCCGAAGCAGGCGGATTACTTGAGCTCAGGAGTTTGAGACCAGTCTGGCCAACATGGTGAAACCCCGTCTCTACAAAAATACCAAAATTACCCATGTGGGGTAGTGGGCATCTGTAATCCCAGCTTCTTGGGAGCTTGAGGCAGGAGAATTGGGAGATGGAGGCAGGAGAATAACTTGAACTCAGGAGACTGAGGTTTTAGTGAGCTGAGATCATGTCACTGCACTCCAGCCTGGGTGACAGAGGGATACTCAGTCTCAAAAACAAAAAGATACATACATATATATATATATATATAATTGTCTTTCAGCATCTGTTGAACTTCAGGGACCTTTAATTTAAAATAAATCAGCATACTAGGGTATCATTTTTGGGGGTAAAATATTCTAGGCTTCTTTCTTCCGCTGTCTCTAACTTCCCTAGACATTTTGCTCACCAAAATCTTCACTGATGGCTATGAAGACAGAAATTGGGTTAGTAATCAAGGGGCAAAAGATCTGCAAAGGGAGAAAAGAACATAGATTAAAATGAGAATGAATAAGCAGAAAGAACAAATCTAAACACATTTCCCCACACACCATTAAACCAGTCTCCCATACTTGGGAATAGGTCAGACAAATAGGATGATTTAGCTTCATTTGTCTGATGAAGAATATTTATCTTGTGTTTCAAAAGGTGCAGATCAGAGTCTATTCGTTTCGAATGCTTTATGTAGAAGCAGCATTTCTCACCAATGGTTATGTAGCTCTTCCTCACTGAATTATCAGCATATCCAGTACATGGCCATTTTGAAATACAACAGTGGTTAGACTGTTAACTTCTGATTGGAGTGCTCCCAGTGCTTGCATAGTGACATTGAACTCTCATTCTGTTACCATGGAAATATTTAGATCGAGTGATGTAGTTTTTCTGTCTCATAAGTTCCAAATGCTGGGAAAAAGAATTGTGGTATACAAGTGGATTTTCTATAACATTGTGTCTAATATGTTTGTGTTGCACCACTTTCTAAACAAAGGAGCCCAAGTTTGTAATTTGGCTGGCAATCAAAGTGGAGTACTTGGTGGCAGAAAGTGTCAGATAACCAAGTCCAGAGTGTTCTGATCATGTAGGTGGAAACCACTCATATTTCTTGTCACCAGCCTAGACGAAAAGACCAGGGTTGTTTATGGACAAGGTCAGAGTGGAACTTGTGATGCACAGATGGAAGTTTATTGTGCTTTGTCTTCTATCATATTGGCATTTGCACATCTCCAGCTTCCATGTGCCCCTGTCAGTCTGTGGGAGTGAAATAGTTGCAAAGTATTTAATATAAGATGCCTTTCAGTTCAGTCCTGGCAGTTATACAGCTTGGTTTTTTCACCTGGCCAAGTCAGTCCAGGCTTTTGATCTATCTGTATGTAACCTTCGGTGTGTGCTTGCTTAATGAGAGGAGCAGGTGAGCTATGCCAGCTCACACAGGGCTGGCTTGTGAGTCATTCATAACATCTGGTGATTTGGCAAGTGTTGACATCATATGAGTCAGTGTCAGGACCATCTATGATCTTTGTAGGAGGTATAATGATATTATCTGTGGAATCAAACTATAGGATCTGATTGCAATATTGCCCTGTTATGTCACTAGAAAAGGTCCAGAATCATCTCTCTTTTAATGCTGAATTAGTCCATTTTGTATTGCTGCAAAGGAATACCTGAGGTTGGGTAATTTAAAAAAAAAAAAAAGAGTTTTTTGTACAAGAAGTATGGTGCCAGCATCTGCTTCTGGTGAGGGTCTTAGAAGAGGCTTACGGTATGGCAGAAGGCAAAGAAAGATCCAGGATATCACATGGTGGGAGAGGGAGCAAGAGAGAGAGAGGGGAAGATGTGCCAAGCTCTTTTAAAAAACCAGCTCTCATGTGAACTAATAAGAATGAGAACTTGGCCAGGCGCGGTGGCTCACACCTGTAATCCCAGCACTTTGAGAGGCCGAGGTGGGTGGATCACGAGGTCAGGAGATCAAGACCATCCTGGCTAACACGGTGAAACCCTGTCTCTACTAAAAATATAAAAAATTAGCCAGGTGTGGTGGCGGGCGCCTGTAGTCCCAGCTAGTTGGGAGGCTGAGGCAGGAGAATGGCATGAACCTGGGAGGTGGAGCTTGCAGTGAGTGGAGATCGTGCCACTGCACTCCAGCCTGGGCGACAGAGAGAGACTCTGTCTCAAAAAAAAAAAAAAAGAATGAGACCTTATACCCAGTGGGATGGCACCAAGCTGTGCATAAGGGATCTGCCTCCATGACCCAAATAGGTCGCACTAGGTCCCACCTCCAACATTGGGGGTTACATTTCAACATGAGATTTACACAAAACAAATATCCAGACTACATCAAATTCAAAAGGAAAAATCACTTTCTAGTCATTTAACCTTATCAAAAGACAGTTCTTGAGCTTCCACAGAGGATTTTCTGTGCTCAGTTGACTTCCAAAACAAGCTGAAAACATTGCTTCCTTAGTTGTGGATGCTGTATCTTATACATCAATCTTCCAGACTGGATCCAGCAGATACTGATGGTGACAGGAATGAAAATACGTTCAGATTCTTCTGCATCCTCTAGATGATGGCATACCAGCAATTCGACTGATGAGTTAATGTGGCCAGAGTTTGGAAGACAGCTTCAAAAGAATGCCAGGTCTGTGCCTGACCTTTTGCAAAAGCAGTAAATAAGAGTAAGAGACTGTTTGAAAGAAGGTCCATGGTGGAAGATCAGAGGGAGAATAGGACAGATTGATAACAACTTCAACAAGCTTCCAGTGGGTTATCCACAAAGAAGAAGGCTTAAAAGAAAAAGAATGTAACGTCCTTTTAAATTTTCTCTTCAGGAGAGAGGCTTATAAAGAAAAGGTGATGGGGTTAGATGAAAGTAAGTTTTCTTGATCTGTGATTTTGGGAAAATAGCAGTCTACCTCATGTTACCTTCTGCTTTAGGGGTTTGGGGATTGGCTCTGGAAATCCTTACTTTAAGGTCACCTGTAGGGATGGTTTTCCAATTGTCCCAGTATAGTTTGGAATGGCTCATATCAATCTAGCAGCATTTGTCTTTTATTTTTATAGAGGTATAGATGGTTACCAATTCATAAGGGCCTCCTTGATAGGTGACAGCACGGGCTTTTTTCTAAAAACTTTGATGTACACACAGTCTTTTGGTTGAAAGGATGGTGAGACTTGTCAGATGGTGGAGGTCATGCTTTTTCCACCTGTTGATATGCCCCAAGTATACTAGTTAGTCCCTGCACACAGACAGTCATGAATCAAATTGCTCCCTTAAATACCCATAGTGTTCCTTCAACCCAGGAATGGAAGATTTAGAGGTATCATTATGTATGGAGTGACCAAACACTATTTCAAAATGGATTAATCCATGTCTCCTATTTAGAGTATTCCATATTTTATAAGGACCTGAGATAATGCTTCTCACCATGTAAGTCCAGTACCTTGATAAGACTTTTCCCAAAGTTCTTTTTATATTACACATAGATTTATACATTCCACTTGCCCTGAGGATTGGGGATGATATGGGGTTTTGAAATTTTAACGAGTACTGTAGATTTTTGCAAGGAAGTGGTTTATTTCTGCTATAAAATGAGTCCTTTGGTCTGACTCAATCCATAAAAGGATGCCAAAATGCAAAATAATCTCAGGCACTTATTTCTTTACCACTGTTGTTGTATCAGCTCATCTAATTGGGTAACATTCAGTCCATCCACTAAACATGCAGACAATAACCAAACAGTGAGAAAAACCTAAACATGGAGGTAAATCTACCAAATCTATATGGAATACCACAAGGGACAGTGTGGACTTTGGAGGACTTCCTCAAGTTAGTTTCCTTTAGAAATTTGGTGGAATTTACAAATAATATTCTGAAAAATAATTTGGTTATAAATATTGTTGATCCCAGAGCAGTACCAACTATCTTTTAGTTCCTTGATTATCCCTTCTCTGCACATATGCCCCATTTGATGGAAAATAAGTGCAAGCCAAATGTTAAAAGGAAGCCAATTTTGCCCAGTATACAATCTATCTAATAATTTTTGGTAGTCCTTTTTATCTATTTATTTTTTTTTCAGATTGTGGGGCATTAATCTGATGACCAATAATATCAGTGAGGAATAAAGACAGATTAATAAATTGAGTGAGAAAAGATGGGACGTGGTTGGTTTTGGCCACATAGTTAGCAGCACTGTCTGACCTTTCATTTTCTAGGCATATAGTATCAGTTTCCTTAGTGTGGGCCGGGCAATGAACAATAGCAATCTTAGTAGGAAGGTGAATAGCCTGTAATGGTGCATTAATTATGTGCCCATTGGCAATAAGGATATCAGCAGAAGTTAAGAACCCATGGGATTTCCAAATCATGCCAACTAATTGGCAGACTTCAAAGGCATATTTGGAGTCAGTATAAATAGTGGCAGTTTTCCTTTTGCCAAAGTGCAAGCTCTAGTGAGAACTAGAAGCTTAGCAGCTTGTGCTGACATTATCGAGGGCAGACAACGTGCCTCAAGAATTTCATGTGGAGAAACTATATCAAGGCCAGTTATTATGTTCACCTTGAAATTTTATTTGCAAGAGCTGTCACAAAGAAGTAAGTCTGGGTTGTCTAAAGAGATGTCTGTGAGATCCTGTCATGGCTTCAAAGCCATTTCTATAGTTTCAAGGCAACATTATGGAATGAAGTGAAGGTCTCCATCAGCAGAGAGAAGTAGGAGGGTAGCTGGATTTTAAGCATCACAATGGTGTAGTGCCAGCTAATCAGGAGGGTAAAAGGAGGGAGAATCTCTTGAGCTCAAGAGTTTGAAGCTGCAGGCTATGATCACAACAATGCACTCCAGCCTGTGGGACAGAGTGAGACCTCATCTCTAAAAAGTAAATAAAATAAAAATAAAATAAAATATATCACAATAATGTAAGATTATGAAGACATTGATTAACATGCCTTGCTCATAGGTGGTCCATCATCACATAAAGAGGTGTTACATCTTACAAACTTGCAAGATAACAGACACAGCATGGGGAACATGAGATGAATTGGGGAACCTAAGGTAACAGTGCTGGCTTTGTCAACCAGGGCAACCACTGCTGCTACTGCATGCAGGCATGGGACATGTATTCTGCTACAGGGTCCAATTGGCATGAAAGATATGCTACAGGATGGATCTGAGAAGCAAAAGGCTGCCCTAGAAGAGCAATCTCATTATTTCATGGCAAAACCTTTACCAAACATAGGTAAACTGAGAGCAGGGTAAGTAAAGAATGCTAATTTTAAGGCTTTAAAGAAGTTTAATGCATCTGAGGACCAGGGAATGGGCTCTGGAATGATACCTGGGGGACGGGCATATAATTATTAAGCAAGAGCAGCAAAATTGGAACCCATTGACTGCAATAGCCAGGTACTTCTAAGCATATGTTTCATTACTTTGGGAGGAGGGATGAACAAAACTCTTTTGGGTTGAGCTTTTGAGTGCCTTATCCTAAGTAGGTAACAATTGTCCGCACCCATTGAAGTTTAGATCTGGATGGTTTACGGCATTGTTCAGCTGGAGTTTTTAGGAGAATGGAGTCAACAAGGGTACCCCGTTAGTCTCATTGGAGAGCAAAGGATGATCAACCTACTGAAAAAGGATAGCTCTTTGGATAAAGGTTATAGAGTCTAAATTGGCGTTAAGGATTTGAGAATATACTCACAATATCCCTAAGGTATGTGAGTCCATTTTAATTGTCTTCTTGGTTTACTGTAAACCAAGCTGCATCAGCGGGAATTGAGGTGAGGATAGGAACAGAATTAGGCACAGAAGGAGCTTATGGCTCTTAGATACTGTACAAATTGATAGATTTGGCTGCTGTATGAATCATTTTTTTTTCCTTCTTGCCTGGTAAAATTAGGTGGGGTGTTACACAGAGAGGTAGTAAACATAAGCACTCACTGCTATAAAAGGAAGCTTATTATAGATTCAGTTCCTCACTCTGCATCTCCTGAAAGGAGGTACTAAGCTTCTAAAGGAAAAGATTTTTTCCTTTCCAGTAAATGTGTTTAGGCTTGCACACAGTAGCAGTCCAACTTCATTTGTATGTGAAGCCCACAGACTAGCTGGGACATCTTGTAATATTGTATTCTCTGAGGAATTTATATTAAGATGTGTCTCCATTAGGAAAAGTAGAAAGTTTGAAGTTTGGTCTGAGAACAGAAAAATAAAAACACCTTCCTTATTACATTACATGGTGCCATTAAATTTACACAGCAGGTATCTACCTAAAAGGTTTGGTGGTGAAGAGTAAGATACTAGAAAGGCATGGTGGTGTTAAGACAGCCTAAGGATATTGATGTGGCCTTAGATACAGGCAATAAAATAGGTTACCCAGAGACTCCAACAGCATTAATAGAATCAGAAGTGACAGGTAGAGATATTTCCTCTTGATCAAATAGTAGAGAAAGTTGACCAGTATCAACTTAAAAACCCAGTTCCGAATCCTCTAAGTTTAATGGGGGGCTCTGGGGTGTGACTGAAGATCAGCTGACCCCCTCAATCAATGGGGTATTTTCCCACGGGAGGGAAAAAATGAACTTTCTGAGGGTGCTGACTTTTAAGGAGGGTTTTTTTTTCTAGTTTTCCTTTCTTTTAAGTGCAGGACAATGATTTTTCCAGTGCCCTGATTTTCTATAACATTTGCAAACATAAGGTGGAATGTTCTATGATTGACGTGAAAAATGGGAACACTTTGTTCTTTTTACCAAGGCCTGCTTTTGTCTTTGTAGAGACTTAACCTGCAAAGCAAAGACCATAGATTTTAACTGTTTTTGTTCTCATGTTTTCCTGAAAGTCATTTTCAAAGAACTGTGTAGTTGCTTTCATTATAACACTTACAGGCTGACCAGCCCAGCCAACTACACTGTTCTGGAGTTGCCTTTTTTAAATCAGGAAGTAGATTTCTGACCAAGGTTGAAATTAGAAGATTTCTATGCTCTTATTCTTCAGGATTTAATGAAGTATGCCTCTGAAACACTTGTGTAAATCACTCAACAAAAGATGTAGGGTGCTCTCCCTCCTTCTGGGTATATAGTTCAACCTTAGGCCAATTTACCTTAGGAACAGGCTTCTGATATTGCCCCTATTAGGACCTGAATATTAGCATTAAGCTGAGCCATTTCTGGGTCATCTGTAGGGGGACCAGGAACAGGTTGTGGCCACCTGTTCCCTCTGTGGGGAGAGTTTTCTCATGGAAGCCATCTGGCCTGTCTAATAACAGCAGTATAATCACAGATGGAAAGTACACCTCTTAGTAGCCAGTCAAGGTTCCTATGAGTAGGATTGTGAATGGCTACTAGCCTCTCCAATTGTTCTCTAAACTTAGCAGAATCTTCTGAAAGTGGGAGCAAAAGGGTTTATAATTCATAAGACCTGCTACTGTGCAGGCGATGAGAGTTTTTGTGGGGAGGATCCTGGATGCATGATTGGGGGCACTGTGTAGGGAGGTCTGGAGCTGATGGAGGTTGTTCCCACAGCCCCAGGAAGTAAGAGATATCATAAGGCACAGGGAACCAAGACCGGCTGCACTTTCCCTGACTGTCTGAAGGGCTTAGTTCTTATTTGTCAGCTTTTACGCACCGACCTATGTGCCCTCACAAAGATGTGGACATTAAAGTTGGCAGCTGGTTCTCTAAGGGATTTTCTGGAGAAATGGGATGTGCAGTAGTTTTAGGGGTTATTAAGGAAGTTTACTGAGGAGCTGGGGTTGGATTTCAAAAAGGGGATTAGACTAGGGGCTCAGAGATCCAAAAGATCTCTGGAGGATCAGAGTTGAGGAAAAGGAAGAGATCAGTGGGAGGGGAACTTAAATCAGGGTGAGGGTGGATTTTAACTTGCTCTAGGTCAGATTTCTGCTCTTTAATTATGTCAAAGGAATTGCTAAGGCTAGGCATGATACTATTATGTATCTTTCAATTTGATTTTACTGTACAAATAAGTCAACTGCTTAGAATAAGAGCTCTCTAAGTTTTTTTTCAAAGATTAAAGTCTTTCTAAGCCAAAAAAAGTCCATCATCTGACCATTGATGATTAGAAAATTCTAATGGTGTACTTATTCCAATAGTGACTCAATCCACTAAACCTATTCATGGAAATACCAGCATAGTTTTTAACCATATAATCAAGAGGCACTCCTGGAGCGGACATAGAGGAGGCAGTCCCTATGATATCCAAAATTTTACTCCCAGAAATAGGCTAAGAAAGCCAAAGGACTCTTGTTTCCACAGACAGTGAACTATATATGGTGTCTTCAGTATCCCACAAATTTCTGAGATGCCACCAGCCACAGACTTCCTGACAAGGAGTAGGCCTTCCTGGGACTGTACTTTTCCTGCACTAACCAGACAACAAAAATTTGGACAACAAAAGCTTCTTATGGATAGGACTTCTTGTTAAGACTGGCAAATATCCAGGTTACTGGCGATGAAGCCGTACGGGTCTGCAGCAATGTCAATTCCCTTCCTCAGAAGAAAGAATTTGACGGAGGGGCATAAGATAGAAAAAGAGACCGAGACAAGTTTCAGAGCAGGAATGGAAGTTTATTAAAAAGCCTTAGAGAAGGAAAGAAAGGAAAGTACACTTGGAAGAAACCCAAGCAGTCAACTTGAAGGACAAGTGTTCCATTTAACCTTGATCCTATAACTTCATATGCTGGCCCACTTCCAGAGTCTTGCACCCCTTTCCCTTCATTCTTCCCTAAGGGTGAGCTGCCTGCGTGTGTGGTGTGCTCCTTACACTTGGGAGGTGAGCAAGCGCTGTGTGTTTAGCAAGTTGTACGCATGCCTACCTAAGGCCTAATTCTCTTTTCCAATGGAATGCCCCCTGAAAGTGATGCTGTGCCATCTTGCCTCTTAATGCACATGCTCAAGCTTGCCTGCCCAATTCCTGATATTTTATTGGAAGCTGGCTACCAATTTCAAGTGTTTTTATCTATTTGAGAAATTGCCTCCCCCTGCCACCTGCAACCAATTATCATTTTTAGAGAGGAAATGTGATAATTGCTGAACCATCACCTGATGGTCGCCTGACATTCCTGGTGGAGACTGGAGCACTCTCTTGCCTGGCTCATGCCTGACTAACTACCTACTGTAACAAGACAACCTTTTCTGAGTGCTTGTCATATTCAGGCAGAGAGTATGCTGATTAATATCTTAGGTATCTTGAGTACCCAGTCTTTTCAGACTGGCCATCTGACATTACTAGAAAACAATGCCCCCTAAATCACAGGGACCAAGAGAGATTACTACCACTTGGTCACAAGTCAAGCTCTCAAGCACATAAAACAAGATAAGAGGGAAATCTTATCAATTTTTAATTTCAGGGGCCCACAGCAGTTTGTCTAAACACCACTCTGACAAGAACCCTAAAACTTACCAGTCTATGAGCATCAGCTCAAACAATGGGTTTGACCCATTGTTTGTCTTGTGGTACGACCAATGACAAATGACACAAGAAGACAGGCAACAAAAGAGAAAGAAAGACTAGTTCTGGGTGGAAAATGAATCAGACAATATGAATATTCATACCAAAAAGTACACCAGAGTTGCTACGTTCAAGACTAGCCATACAAATGCTTTTCTCTCATTAATCTTAAATTTAGAAAGGATACAGAGATAAGTAATAATTTTTACTGCTCCCTAGGCTGGATTCCACAGATAGACATCCAGGGGTCTGACTGGTAAATATTTATTCTTTTTGATGCTTTTCAGGTCCTGGGTTCCCTTGACTGTGACTTCCAGAAGACAAGGGTGATTCCAGTTTATCCTGCTTACAGTGCCAGAACTGTAGGGGCAAAGAGAGAAAGCATCCCCTTCACCCTGTGAAATTTCACTGAAAATGGACTGACAATAGATAGATTAATAGGAGAGAAATGCATACAAATTAATTTTAATATGCATGATTGGAAATTATAGGAGAGTGGATACTCAATAATTCAGTGGGGTGCAGATGCTTATACTTTTCTTCATAGGAGAAGGAGGAGAGGGAAAATGGAAAGGGTAGTAAAATAATTGTTAGGGTAAACGAATGCACCCAGGACATAGAAATTAACTTATAAATGATGCTCTTTGGAATCTGAATAAGCTCAAGAGACAAATATGATCTTGTGAATAAGTCCATCCAGATATGGTGGCATTCCTTCGTTTTCTTTTCCGTGATAGCAAAATTTCATGGAGGAAATGAAAGGCAATGGTGTTCTCTTTGGTGGATCTAGTTTTAAGGTGGATTAGGGAATATCAAAGAAAAGCCTCTTAGAGCATCTGCTGACCTTTGAGGTCCTTTAATTTAAAATAATCAGCATACCAGGGTGTCATATTTTATGGTGAAATATCTGGGTTTCTTCATCGTTTTCTGTTTTCTTCTTCACAGAACCTATACCAAGCAGCTCTTGTGATTTTTGATAGTTTGTCTTCATCTTTTATAGTTTGGGTTATTGGGAATTTCTGACCATTTCTTTAGTTTGGTTTAAAATGTCATCCGAGGACTTTTAATTTGCTATACATTACCTTTCAGGTGTGTGTGTGTGTGTGTGTGTGTGTGTGTGTGTGTGTGTCTATGTGTTTAAATTCACAAAGACCCAATAATTATGTTCCCACGACATTTACTGTCTTTCCAGAATTCTATCTGATCTCCCCCTGCCCCCCATTTTTCTGATTGGTTATTGATAGCACCATAAAATAAGAAAAATCAAATACTTGGTAATTCCACCCTATAAAATCACCAAAAGGTGCATCTATCCTTTCATACTGATCTCCCTACTTTGGTGAAGTTGCTTTTACTTTAACTTTGGGTGTGATTCTGTGCATTGCACACTTACCATATGCCCAGACACATATGTACAACACAGGTGCTCTCAGACACATGCACATTGTTAAAAGATAAATCAAAGCAAGTTAACACATTAGAGACTTTATTTGAGCAGATAGTGATTCATGAATCGAACAGCTTGAGACTGCAAGTGGTTGAGGACTCCACTGTGGAGTACAACGGAAGAGTTTTATAGGGCGGACACATAAGGTAAAGAAAACATGTGATTGGTTAAAGTGGAGCAGTAGCCTTACTTGGATCATTCCAGTGGAAAGTCTCTGGTTAGAGGTTAGTTGGCAGTTTCTGATTGGCTAAACTTAGGTTTTGTTTTACCATTTACATTGAGTTGAGTTTCTGTTTGCTCACATAGGAAGCCACAGTGCTGGAGCCACTTCTGCCTAATGACCTACCAGTTAATTATTTTAACAATGTAAAGTCACACATACACACAACCATTCAGGCACACATGCTCATATACACATACACATACAGCTACATTTACATACATAAACACACACACATACAAACTTATGCATACACACACACATATACAAAAGGAGAATGTATATACATGTTATAAAATGCTTCCTAAGTTAATTTATAAAACCATAAATCAAGTATATATTTTTCTGTGAAATCTTTGTCCTTTATTGCCTACAAAAGTCCATACAAAGGAATGACTTATACTAAACATATATTAGTAGAATAAATGCAAGAATAAATAGTTCACATTTTTAAAAAGCTAATGATGTCACTAAAACCTACTTCCCATGTGTGTGGATCAAATTCAAACAGAGAATTTCAAAGTATATATATCACTCCCTATACTATAGCAGAATCCATCATCTAACCTCTTAGATTCTTTGGATCATCAAATATTCCAACTATTTTTCTTTTAAACTAAACAAAATGCAACAAAAGATAAAATATTACTTCCCAGGATTTTGAATTGAATTTTCACATAGAATTTACAGAGAAATTTAATCAATGATATGGTTCGGGATTTAAATTCACTATTGTTCCTTAATTTGCATGATAAACAAATACCTTTGTGAATTCTTCCTGAAAAGGCAATCAAATACTTTATTTAAATAGACTGCATCTTTAGCTTAATTTAACTTAAAAAAGAAACATTTATGGTCACATTAAATCTGTTCTACAGTTTTATTTCATTGATTTAAGGTTCTTTTTAAAATGCACATAAACTGCCCACACTAGTAATTACCCTAATTTTTAACAATGCGATCACAATTCCATCATTAAAAAGGGATGCAAAGCTTCAGTCCATTAGCAGTTGTTTATAATAGCACATCTCAATTGATTAAACTGCAGATTCTTTTTGTAGGTCTTGTTTTATAAATTGAGCCTAGTCAAGTAAACATAACATTTGGTAATGGTCTTCATAGCAACTGTCAAAATGACTTATTGTTTTTCCAGTCCTGCATTCCTTTAGAATTAATAATACCTTTGTGCCCTTTATAACACTTATTATTGATGCCATGAAGTTCTCTATATTTAATGAGTAGATGTTTCATTATGGTACAAAGTTCTGTTGACAGATAGAAAATTTTTCTAATCTTTTTCTCTTTGCCTCTTGATTGAAGGATTGTAAATATGCAATTAACAATTGAAGTAGAAGTAAAAGAAAAAAATCGTCTGTCAAGATTTCTTTTGGAAGACACAGGATGCTTTAAGCTAACAACAGCATGACAAAAGACAAAAGCATCTTTGCCAATGAAGCTGAAAGTTGCAAAATGTTTAAACATTTGATTTTTCTTCTTGAAATAATTGTAATAATTGTCTCCTGTGAAACAGAAATTAATGAAATGACACATTCCTTGTTACAAAGCTAAGGTTAAGTCTCATATAGACCCTGCTTATGATTTCTATACATAATTGCTTCCCAGTATTTATTTCTCAATAATAATGGAGTCACTAGCTTCTGAGAATGGAAGAAAATAGAAAACACACCTATAGCAGTTTCAAATTTATAGAAATGATGTTGTCATAATAACAGTATAATGCTAGGAATTCTTAGTTAACATTGGCTACAATATTTTTTACTCCTTTCTGTTTGCCATTTTAATCTTGGAAGCAGCAGAAGCATTATCATGTTTTGTTATCCTAAGTTACACTCTTCAATTTTCTATTACTTAATTTTTGATCTCATGATTTTTGATAAATGTCTATCTTTTATTTCATAAGACCTACACTTTTTCAGCAGGTTGTCAGATACAAAACAATCTGTATCACCCGTGAGTATATCTGAGTTTTTCCCGTATTCCCAGAAGAAAATGTTCAAATATTTTGAAATGTGCAAAAATATCATAGAGATTAGACAATGAGAAATGCAACTAATTCCAGGTTTAAATAGCATTTCATTACAGGTTTTAATTTTATATTGTAAGTGTATATTATATAAAATAAATATATATTTATATCAATATTAATTATTTTATATACTATTTGAAGTCTTTCAATGAAGTAAATAACTTCTCTCACCTGTTTCCTCTGTTCATGGTGTAGAAAACGAAAAATATCTCTGTAACAAAGAACATATTAATAAGAGAAAACATACACATTTATTTAATATGTTTTATGTGTCACAGGAGCCTTCATAAACAAATGAAAACCTGAAGAAACAGTTAACCCAGTGTGTTTTTAGACTAGAGTTGATGAAGACTGGAAAGGATAGGATGAAGGGGTATTAGCTAGGTGCAAACTGGGGGAACCTTGGTAAGACCTGTTCATTCAGCTTCCTCTCAGTGTCTCTCTGTTTTGGAGATAGTCTCCTTTCCTCTGAGTCTATGGAGGGCACCTCTCACATAAAGCATCTATGGCCTGGTCCAGGGCACAGTCAGAGAGTCCTTTTTGTATCTGCTATTTCTCAAATTTCTTCAGCTTAAAATATTCAATATGCTGAGATGACATATTTTAGGGTAGAATGTTCTGAACCCTGTCAATGGTTTATGAAGAAAATGTTTAATTTTGATTGGCTTATGTTTTTATTTCCCCTATTAAAAAGTAAATTCTTCCTTATTTTGAAGAGACAAGAAAATTCTACATTTCTTCTCTTAAATTTATAGCCCTATCAATTCTAAATATCTGACAGAGTTGGGAGTTTTATTTGCGTATGCTGTAAGGTAGGGATCCAGTTTTACTTTTCTTTACATAGTGAACCACTTTCCCCTGCAACTGTTGTTAACCCATTATCCTGTTAAAGCAAATTAAATATAACCGGAAAAGGGCTCCTTACTTCTATATCTGAGTACTTGTGGAGGAATTGCAACCAAACTTAATAGGTAGACAAGACTGACAACCTAATTTGGGAGTGTGACCCTCTAACAGTGACTGGGTCTTGGCCAATGCCAGCAGCCATACTTCAACCACTCATACGAGTGTTCAAATTGTGCTCAAATAAGGCAAACACTGAGCTGTAACCAATCCAGTTGTTTCTGTACCTCACTTGGGATTTCTGTATGCCATTTCCCTTTTTTGTCTATAAATCTTCCACCATATGGCTGTGCTGGAGTCTCTCTAGATCTGCTGTGATTCTGGTGGCTACGTGATTCACAAATCATTTATTGCTCAATTAAGCTCCTGTAAAATTAACTTGGCTGAAGTTTTTCCTTTAACAGATGAAGTCCGAAGTAGGATCTGAAGTAGACCTTCTAATGACCCCCAGGAGCTCTGAGTGAAAAAGTAAGGTACCTGCTGCAGCCTCTTCTGTCCTTTGATTTCTCAGAGCAACTGACATTCATGGTAAGCTCTCTCTTGGATTTCAGAGCTCCATGGATTTGTGTTTTGAGCTCTCTGAGTTTCTTTGAGCAAGTTTCCGCTCCAAACTGGGTTTGGAAGTCACTACAGAAACTGGACTGGGTCCAGGATGGGATTTGATCCGGTAATTAACTGGCTTAGATCCAGTGAGATGCCTCTTACATCTGATTGGGTCAGAAAGAAACTGGTAGTAACTGGTAATATTGCAGAGGTTGTAAAATGTAGCTTCTGGAAATTCACAGGGATTTTTGTGTTCTACCCATTTGTTTCATTTTTCTTGTGCACTTAGGTAGGAAAATATCATTGGCTAAGTTCATCAAGGGAACCTGAAAGTAAAGCCAATATTTTAGTAAAAATGAGATCCTTAATTTCTGAAAAACTGAGTTCCCTCTGGCTTATACATTAGGCCTCAGAGGCAGCAAAGTCTTACAGAAATGATGAAATCTCACTGAAGATAACTTACAATGGAATGTTCCAAATGAACAAGAACACACTGAAGTGGATTGAAAAACAACAACAACAACAACAGCTGGATGAGAACTCCATCTTGTTTTATGTCCTTGGGAGCTTGACCTTGTAACCGTGTGGCAGTACTTTCTCTTGGACTCCACCTTCCAGAGAATAGAAATTTTAGGGTTCATGTCATAGTTACTCTAAAAATTATCTTGAGCAGTTAAAAGGCTTTGCAAGCTCAGAATTAATGATTCTAGACTCCTGGGAAGGGCAATAGAGACTGCTGAGTGCTGTAACTCAGTAGCTAAGGTTTTGTCCTTTCACAGTGGTGGCCCAGATTTGAGTCCCAGCTTAGTGAATGAGTCCTTTCTGGTTTGATATCTGTGTGACTTTTACCATTTGTTGACTCTCTTCCCCTCCACCAGCCATCTTGAATTTTCCTTTGTCTGATCACCTGGGAGGTTATCTTAGGTAAAGTTCAAAAACCAGAAATATTGGCTGCTTGGTGTGGCTAAAGTCAGGTAACAAACGGATTTTTAAAATAGCACTATGGTTAAAAGTCAGCTTAATTGAAAGTGGACATCCAAGCTATAGATATATTTAAAAGGCCTTTATGGATTTTTACTTCTTGAATTTTGTTTTTTCTGCCAAAAAGATTTTTTTCTTCTCAGTTGACTGAATTATTTTTCTCCATTTTGTCTTGCCACTCAATGCACACATGAGAGGCCCTAAGATAACTTCTGATATCCTGGGATTCCTTGGAAAAACAGAGAAGGCACCACTAATCCATTTTCAAAAAACAAACAAGCAAACAAACAAAAACAAGACAACACACACACACACACACACACACACACACACACTGTTTTCCTCATGGAACTCCAAGAATTAAAAGTGGACAGATCCCTCTCAAAATCTGTTTTGCCTTCCAAATGTTCCTGCTCATTAGGCCCTAGAAACTGCATGTTTTCCTAGCCATTTCTTCCAAGGACTCCACCCTAAAGCCAGTAATCCAATTAAGAAACTTAGAAACTGGTAAATGAAAAAATTTAGAACTACTGGATCTTCTTCTGTCTGTCTGCATAGTTATATATGTGTATGTGTTGTGTGTGTGATATGAAAGAGCTCTATTTAATTGGCTCAAAGAAAAATAAGTGCTTAAATCAAATATTTTGTCAGAAAAGTAACTATAATGCCTTTTAGGTCATGTGACTAAAATAATCTTTTGGAAATAAACACAGTTTTAAAGATTATTGGTAAAATAGAAATATCTTTAAAAATGTAAACATTTGGTCTGAATTATGCAAGCCAGATATTAGGTTTGCTAAATGCTTTAAGGTTATAAAGTGCTTTGACTTTTAAAAATTGTTCAATGTACTGGAGACATTAGATTCTAGATAAACCTGGGGACATGTGGAATGAGCCATGTTCCCTGGCTGTGCAAAGAAGTTTATAAGGAAAAGAGATGTTGTATAAAAAAATAATCTTGTATGTTAAATTCTTTTCCTAAAGTAAAATACCTGGTTGTTTAAAAAGACAGTTGTTTAGGACAAGTCAGAAAGTCAAAGCATGTTGTAGGTGGTCTGTGTAAGTCAAGAAAGGATTCCTGAAAGAAAATTTATGCACCAAAATTAAAAGTTGCTGAAAGTTACCCTTATAACATATAACTGAGACCACTGAAAATAGATTTACATGCAAGGTGTGTAAGGAAAGTAAAATATGTTATTAGTAAAAGACTATAAGAAGGCATGGGAATGTAAATTTTTGCCTAATATAAACAGTTAAAGGATTGTTTTAAATTAAGTAAGATAGAGCTAAAATTTGAGCAAGTTGTGGAAGGTTTGTAAAAGTTAATCTTGTAAAAGAAATTCTGTGTGTGAACATATTGACTAAACTCAAAAGGGTATTATTTGGTTTTTCCATAAATTGAACATTGGAATCAAAGCACAACAAGGTTTTCTTAAGGCACTGATCTGCTCTTTAACAAACATTTTTAAAGGGTTATAAAAGGTTTATAAGAATCTCACCTCATGGTCAAACTGGTTAAGTGTAATATCAAGTGTTTTAAACCTTTAACACATTTGATAGGCTTCCCAAAGTCAAATTTCAGCTTCAAAATTGTCTTTTTGAACCCCTAAATTTTGTGTGCTACAAAAGACACCTGGAGCATCCAAAAGAGAGGTAAACAGGATTATTTAACATGTTTAGTTACATGGGATTGTCAAAAGAGAAATAATGTTTAATTTTCTTCAGGTTATAATTTAATGAATAATATTAATAAATGTTCTAAAATTGTATGGGATTTCTAAAATTCTAATACCTATATGCTATCAGTTATAATTAAGGTTATTATGTTAAGTTATTGTGGACCACCAAAATAACCAGACTTCCTTGTCAATTGTGTCTCTAATTATGACTATTTAAAGTCATTTCCACAGTTAGTTGCATAATGTTAATGCAGTTTCTGAAAACTTCACAAGCACACAAAATCCTAGAATATAGTGTCTTTTAGGAGGCTCATGAAAGGATGGAAAGGACCCTAAAAAAGCACTCTTAAATATAGGTTTCTAGTAACTTTAAATTCATATCATTTGGACTAAGTAAAAATTCCTTAAACTTCAATAAAAAGACTGAGTGGTTTATAAAACTGCTAATCCAAGTAGAGCAAAAAATTAAGTACCAACACAATACTTTGCCAGATTTCATGCTAAATTGGGCAATACTAAAATTGTTTAGATATACAATTTGAATAAACTCCATGGCCTAAGTCAAATTAACTATGATAACCCATTAGTTATCACTGCTATGCACCTAAATTGGAGAAACAACTGGTATTCAAGAAGACATAAGTCCAATGTTAAGCATGGACTCATGAAGAACCAGGACAGCCACCTTGTCCTCCCAGAGTCCTTAAAGCTCTTGTTATTAAAGGTTGTGCATTCTATGACTTGTCATAGAAAAGATAAAATAATCCAAATTAAATACATATTGGTGTGGTGACTTATAAATTGCTAAAATAGTTTATAATCAATGTTAGGTTTGCTAAATCCATATTAATGCATGTTTTCTGGTTGTATAAAAACTTTCCCATGCAAAAGGGCTGATGTTATAATAGTAGATTTTTATGCTACAGTATATTTTCACCAGGCAAAGAAAACATTTTATGTTTCACTGAGGACAATCAACCCCTTTACAATATAAAACCTGAAGATGGGATCTTCTGAGAACATCAGAGAAAGATAGTCCTTGTAATCCACACTACAGCAAAACATTGGGACCTTGAACATTGGGTTCATAATGTCACAACTGAGAAAGGTCCCTCCACACTCTTGGAACTGTATACCCATTGGAACCATTAAGGTAAAGCTATTCAGGGAAATTTTTCCCCAGAAGAAGAAGATGGCATCCTTGATGTGAACAGCTTTCCCCAAGATCATGAATTAAGGCTTCTCTACTATCAGGAGACTGTTATCTTTGAATTTTTCTCCCTTGATTATGCCTCTATGAACAATAGAAGTGAAAAGGGGACTGTTATGTGCACTTATGGGATATACTTTTATTTGTGAAGACTTTGCAGCCAGCCTTGTACATGGATAAACATATACTTTGTTAGATAAAAGATGAAGGTCCAATGCAGATGTTAAACTTTAATGGTACATATGTTGCCTCATAATCAGTCAGAAACAAAATATTGGCTCATTCCTCTTAACCCACATCTTGGGTTAAAAAGAGCATTGCTAGGAGGCCTTCACTCCTCTATAAGGCATCTTTTTTCAAGTCCTTTTTCCATGGTTTGAAGTAAAAGAAGCAATGTTAGAAATGTAAGCCTCATGATAGGTCCCATAACAGATTCTACTGAAGAGGCTATGGTTACACAACAGACTTTAAATTCTCTTGTGGAAGTTATGCTAAATAGAACTGGCTAAACAGAGAAGTATCTGTGCAGCTGCTGGCACTTGTGGCCTATGGAAAAATACATTGGGTATTACAGAGATTTAGTTGTAGGGGATTAACAAAAAGACCACTTAGTTAAGTGAGTAGACTCTTTATCTAGCTCATTCTTTGATCTATTTGATTTTAGGTGGTTTGGTTTATGGGGACCCCGGGTAAGGAGCATACTCCAAATTCTTGGTATTAGCCTCCCGAAAGTCATAATAGAAGTCTCCCTGGTGTGCTGTATTCTCTCAAAGATTTTAAATGTTTGCATGCAGCCATCTCTAGAATGTTATACGGTCTGTCTTCAACTGGAATGACAAAAGCTGAAAGAAATGTGTGAACATGAGGACACCGTAACCTATGAATGACCTGCTGAGACTGGAAACCCAAAATGATGGAAACTGAGAGTGAAACTAAGGCCCTAAGTTTTGGTCACACTCTCACTTAAGTGAGAACCTGACCAAAAAGGAGGAATTTTTTAAAACAAAATTATGGGAGGCCATTGTTTTGGACTGAGCTCATGCAGTAGGCCCCCAACAATCCAAACCAAACCAACTAAGACTTTAAGAAAACACATAGAACCTAGAACAGACCAGGTTTTGTTTTTCTCCTGTAAACGGGGTGTTCCAGCATAAGGAGGTATCCTCTCCTCAAGTCCTTGTTCCTATCTTTGCAAAACTCACTGTTCTGTTTCACAGTGGGTTTCAAGAACAAGTAAGTAAATTTATGATGGTAATAGTGGCATCAATAACTAAAGTTTTCGTTGATCTGTCAAAATTGAGAAAGTGACCAAAGTGGGGAATTGTTAAAGCAAATTAAATATGGTCTGAGAAGGACTCCATACTTTATATTTGAGTCCTAGTGGACAAACTGCAACCTAACCTAGCACATAGACAAGATTGAGAACCTAACTTAGGAGTGTGCCCCTATAACAGTACTGGGTCTTGGCCAATCCCAGCAGCCATACTTCAACCACTCATACACTGTCGAATGTTCAAACTATGTTCAAATAAGGCAAACGCTGAGCTGTAACCAGTCCAGTTGTTTCTGTACCTCACTTCCTATTTCTGTATGTCATTTCTCTTTTTTTGTCTATAAATCTTCTTCCACGATGTGGCTGTGCTGGAGTCTCTCTGAATCTGCTGTGATTCTGGGGACTACCCGATTCATGAATCATTCATTGCTCAATTATACTCCTTTAAATTTAATTTGCCTGAAGTTTTTCTTTTAACAATCCCCAGTGCAAATCTCCTATAATTTGCAATGCCACCTCCCTTATTTGCTAAGTTTCCATGAATAGATAAGTCTGCATCAGGGCTTTTTCTCCTGTTCTGTGACGACTGGCTTATTCATCTGTCTATACATTATTTCATTGCTATGATTTATCATAGGTTATATACCATAGTAGGGTGCTTCACTGTAGTTTACATTTACTTTTTAAAATATTGCCCTAAATAATTGTGGATATTTTTTCCATATTAAATTTAAAGTTAATATTTGTAAAGTTTCTTCCCAAAATATTGGTATAAATTGACTTGAACTTGATAATTAATTCTGTGAGATTGGTGGAAATTGATATTTTTTCAATATTAAGTTATCCTGATCAAGAGTATAATGTTTTAACATCATTTGTTTACACATTCTTTTATGTTATTAAATAGAATTTCAACATTTTTTTCCCTGTTTGGATGAGATTTAATTTATATCTTCCTTCCTAAATTTTATTTCCACTTATTCTTGGTGTAATTGAAACAAACAATTGAATTTGTAAAGTGATCTTTTATTTGGCCATCTTACTGATTTTTCCTTTAGTTGTGAAAGAGTCAAAAACTACATAGGACTGAAGAGTGAAAATCGGCTTTGACTGTAAAAGCAAAAAGCAACCTGCCATTAATCAGGATGGGAAGACAGACACAGATAAAGTCAGCTGCAAATTTAACAACACTGTATCTCCCAAGGTCATGCTGCAGTTGTAAAATGCCATGAAGACACCACTTTGAGTGATTACTGGTTTCTCTCCAGTGAAGTCCCAGATCTGCTTTGCTTGTTTCATTAATTATAGGAGATATCCAATTGTTTAGTCACTCTCGCCACAAGACAGCAGCCAATCTCTGGTTAATCCCTGTGTCTTCAATTCCCTCTTTAAAAACAGCAACCAATCTTTTCTTGCTTTCCTTTGACCCTCCTCAGAATCCTTCAGAGGGAACCCAAGCCTAGCAAAAGTTGAATTTCTTCTCCCTCTTGTTTAACCAACATTTCATCTTTCTCTGAATTTATTCCTTGCATGCAAGCAAAAAAAAAAAAAGTGGATTTTATTAGACTGCAGGCTAATTAGCTTTAACAAACTGTAGTCACTTCTTTGATCATTCTGTTGGGGTTCTATGAAGATGCTCGAATATTCTGCAAAATTGTCTCATGCCTCTTAGCAATTTTCTTTCCCAAATGCACTGACCAGTTGGTAAACACTACAATGCTGAATCAAAGCAAAGGTACTGAACATTCTTAGCTAGCTCCCTGTCTTAAAAGAACAATGGTAAGAAACCTCATCTAATTTCCTATCTTAAAATAATAATAGTAAGAAACCTTATTTAATTTCCTATGATAAAATAATTCATCAAACTCATCTGGCTCTTGTCTTAAAGGAAATAAAATCTCAATGTTTTGTTATTGTTTTGTTTAAACATAATATTTGGCAAAATTTTTGTGCAGCCAGCCTTTGCTAAGACAAGAAATTGCTTTCTCAGTTTTGTCATTCTTATCTTGCTTTTATCATATATAGTAATTAACAAATGAAATTAATGATTAATTTATCTACTGAAATTTTCCTGTTATTTTTGAGCATTTTTTAATGACAAATCATCTCTGATTACCTGGAATGATCTAAACCATACTATGATGCATTATTTTAAAATACATTTACTGCATGTCATTGTACTTTTAATTTCCATTTCCTTGATGACTAATGATATTGAGCATGTTTTACAATATGCTTATTGGTCACTTGTATATCTTCTTTAAAGTGGAGTAAAGAGTTCATTTTACATTCCGCATATAATTTTTTTTGTATATATGCAATATATATTTCAGTCTCCCTGTTCCTGGCTTGCCTTTTCATTTTCTCAATAATGAGAAAACATTTTCAATTTTGATACAAATTTATTAATATTTATCTATGGCTTATGGTTTTTGTGTCATATATAAGAAGTATTATCCTAACATATGGTCTAATGATTTCTCTCCTATTTTTAATTACAGAAGATTTATAGTTTTTAGTTTTCCATTTATTTATTTGGGTTTTTCTTCGATAGGTAAGGATATACAGTTGCCCCTTGGAATTCATAGGGAAATGGTTCCAGATATCTTTGGTATCTTCCCAAAGATACCAAAATTTGAGGAAGCTCAAGTTTGTAATACAAAATCATGTAATATTTACATATTACTTTCCCAATAAAGTCTATTTTACATGTTGGGTGAATTTTTGCATTTGATGTGAGGTAGGGGTCAAAGTATATCCTTCCACATACACAATTTTGTTTAACATCTCTCTTTTGTAGGTTTCAATGTACAGATACTACACATTTTTCTTAAATTTATCTGTGCATGTTTTATGGGTTTTTTTAGCTATTGTAAATTTTATCAGCATTTTATTTCAATGTCTAGTTGTTACTAGTATATAAAAATATAATTGATTGCTATCGATCTTGTATCTTACAAACTTCATAAACTCAGTTAAGATATCAGCTTCTTAAAATAAATTTCTAAAAACTTGCTAGTTTTGTGTCTATAAACATGGCTTCACTTTTTCCTTTTCAAAATATTTTTCCTTTTCTTTCTTTGTACTACATAGGACCTCAATTATAGTGTTAAGTAGAAGTGGTAAGAGCAGACATCCTTGCTTTATTTATGATTCTATGAAGAAAATTGTCAGCCTTGGCTGGGTACAGTGGGTCATGCCTGTAATCCCAGCACTTTGGAAGTCCAAGGTGGGCAGATCACGAGGTCAGGAGTTCGAGACCAGCCTGACCAACATGATGAAACCCCATCTCTGCTAACAATACAAAAATTAGCTGGGCATGGTGGCACACACCTGTAATCCTAGCTACTCAGGAGACTGAGGCAGGAGAATCACTTGAACCTGGGAGGCAGGGGTTGCAGTGAGCCGAGATCATGCCACTGCCCTCCAGCCTGGGCAACAGAATAAGACTCTGTATCAAAAAAAAAAAAGAAAATTATCAGGCTTTTAACACTAATATAATGTTTGTTAATCAATTTTTACAACACCTTTATTAGGTTGAGGAAGTTCCTTCCCATTTCTAGTTTGTTTTGATGTTTTATTATAACTGTGTATTAGATTTGCCATTTTTCCCCAAATCTATTGAGATAATAAATTGTTTTTGTCTTCTACTCTATAGATATTGTGGCTAACATTGATTGATTTTGTAATGTTGAGCCAAATTTACATTCTTGGGATAAACCATATATTCATGAAACATTATAGTATTCATTTTTTTAATTTTAGATTTGCTAAACTTTTGTTAATAAATTTTGCTATTTTATATATATAAAGGAGAATGATTTGTACTTTTTCTTTCTTCTTTTCTATTCTGATTATCTGGTATTGCTATCAGTTGATGCTGGCCTCATAAAATGAATTAGGAAGCATCCTCTGTGTCTATATTTGGGAAGAGTTTACGTGAAGTGGTTACTATTTCTTACTTTAAAATGTTGGTAGAAATTACCACTGAAGCCATCTGAATTTTAAATTTTTAATAAAACTTTTTAAACTATTACTTCAATTTCTTTAATAGATATATTTGAGTCTATTTACATTGTTTATTTCTTCTGGAATAAGGATATGAATTTGTGTCTATCAAGATTCGCTCATTTTTACCTAAGTTACTGATTGTGTTGACATAAAGTTGCCAATTTTATTTATTATAATTTTTAAATCTGTAGCATCGATAGTATCTTCTTTTTCATTCTTAATATTTTTGAATCTTCTGGGGTTTTTTTTCATTATTTTGGCTAGTTTTATTAGTTGTATTGACTTTCTTTAAAAATTTATTTTTGTTTCAGTGATTTTCTCTATGGCTTCCTGTTTCCTATTTCCTTAATTTTTGTCTTTATTATTTTCTTTTCTTCCATACTTTAGATTACATTTGCTTTCTGTTTTTACCCTTAGCTTTGTAAAGTGTGACCATCAGTGATTGATTTTAGACAATTACTTTTGAATATAAACATTACATGCTATGAATTTTCCTCAAAGCACTAGCTAAACTGCTTCCTGCAAATTTTGAATTATTCCACTTTCTTTAGTTCTAAATGTTTTATAATTTTACCTTGTGATTTTTTCTTCGATCCATGAGTTATTGAGCTGTTTGAAAATGTAATGTATAATTTCCAAATATTTATAAGATTTTCAAATATCTTTTGTTGTTGATTTCTTGGTGAATATCACAGCAGATAGATAGCACAATTTATAAGATTTCAGTTCCTTAAATTTGTTAATACTTGTTTTATGGCTTGGAGTGAAATCTAGCTTTGTGAATATTCTATGTGCACTTGAAAAGAATGGGTATTCTGGTGTCATTGAGTGCAATATTCCCTAAATATTAAACAGGTAAAGTTAGTTGATAGTGTTGTTCAAATTTTCTCTAATTATTGATTATTTTTTGTTATTGTTCTATCATTTAAAGTTTTGAAATTTTTTACTTTAAATGGGAGTTTATTTCTTCGTTTATTTTGATAGTATTTTTGCTTTATAGATTTTAAAGTTCTGTTATCAAGCACATACAAATTCAATGTTTTTTGTATTAACTTCTTTGTAATTATTACATGTTTCTCTTTAGCAATATGTCTTATTCTGAAGTCTACTTTGCTAGATGCTAATATAATCATGCCAGTTTTTTAAAATTAGTATTTATATGGTATAACTTTTTCTATCATTTTTACTTTTCACCTATGTGTGCCTTTACATTTAATGCTAGTTTCTGGTAGAAAGCATATTTGGAGTATTTAGCCATTCATATTAATTGTAATTATCAGTATGATAGGTTTAAATCTAATATCTTTTTATTTGTCTTTTACTTGTTACGTCTGATCCTACAACATTTCTATTTAATTTTTTTGCCTTCTTTGGATTACTATTGTTTAGAATTATCTTAACTAAATCACTGGCTTATTAACTTATCAATCTTTGTTTTAGTTTTTAATTTTGTTGATTGCTATGTATATAATGTTATATATATATATATAAATAATATGCACGTTTTGTTTATCACAATTTAACTTTAAAAATTGTAATAATATGCTGCCTTCCCCCATCATAAAAAGTAAAAACCTTTAACTCATACAATTCCATATTCCCAATTCATGTGTATTGTTGTCAGTTATTTTAGTTTTAAATTCTATAAACTTCACATTACAGACAACTTTTATAAAAAAATTTATATTAGAGATGAAAAAACCTTCACAAGGTATTAAAGAATGACAGGGAATAAATTTATTGGATCACAAATTTATAAAATCCATGTTCAATATTTTAAAAATCCAGCTAAACTATTCACTGAAAGAAATATCCTTTAGCTCTGTACTGCTAAAACAGATTCTTATTTTGACACAATGTATTTATTTCCATCCCAATTGTTACTATGCCCTTCACAGTTTTTTCACACTTTAAGCCTTTCTTTACCACTTATGACACGTCTGTTACTTTTAAGATTTCTTTAAAAGGAAAGCTTGAAATTTAACTTTCACCTGAAAGTGTTTAGCCAAAAAATAATGACATCACTAACACATGAATCACAAGAAATAATGGAATAAAAACAAAAGTGGTATTGAGAGGTGACAGCGTGCTGGCAGCCCTCGCTCGCTCTTGGTGCCCACTCTGGCCGTGCTTGAGGAGACCTTCAGCCTGCCGCTGCACTGTGGGAGCCCCTTTCTAGGCTGGCCAAGGACGGAGCCGGCTCCCTCAGCTTGCGGGGAGGTGTGGAGGGAGAGACACGGGCAAGAACCGGGGCTGCACGCGGGGCTTGCCGGCCAGCACGAATTCCGGGTGGGCGTGGGCTCCGCGGGCCCCATGTTGGGAGTGGCCGGCCGGCAGGCAAGCCCCAGGTAATGAGGGGCTTAGCACCTGGGCCAGAAGCTGCTGTGCTCGACTTCTCACCGGGCCTTAGCTGCCTCCCCACAGGGCAGGGCTTGGAGCTGCAGCCCACCATGCCTGAGCCTCCCCTCCTCTGCTGTGGGCTCCTGCACGGTCCAAGCCTCCCCGATAAACGCCAAACCCCGGCTCCACGGCACCCAGTCCCATCGACCACCCAAGGGCTGAGGAGTGCGGGTGAGCGTTGCAGGACTGGCAGGCAGCTCCACCTGCGGCCCTTTGCAGGATCCACTGGGTTAATCCAGCTGGGCTACTGAGTCTGGTGGGGACTTGGAGAACCTTTATGTCTAGCTAAAGGATTGTAAATACACCAATCGGCACTCTGTATCTAGGTCAAGGTTTGTAAACACACCAATCAGCACCCTGTGTCTAGCTCAGGGTTTGTGAATGCACCAATCGACACTCTGTATCTAACTACTCATGGGGACACAGAAAACTTTTGTGTGGACACTCTGTATCTAGTTAATCTAGTGGGGAGGTGGAGAACTTCTGTGTCTAGCTCAGGGATTGTAAATGCACCAATCAGCACCCTGTCAAAATGGACCAATCAGCTCTCTGTAAAACAGACCAATCGGCTCTCTGTAAAATGGACCAATCAGCAGGAAGTGGGTGGGGCTAGGTAAGAGAATAAAAGCAGGCTGCCCGGATCAGCAGTGGCAACCTGCTGGGGTCCCCTTCCGCACTGCGGAGGGTTTGTTCTTTAGCTCTTTACAATAAATCTGGCTATTGCTCACCCTTTGGGTCTACACTGCTTTTATGAGCTGTAACACTCACTGCAAAGGTCTGCAGCTTCACTCCTGAAGCCAGCGGGACCGTGAACCCACCGGGAGGAAGGAACAACTCCAGACGCGCCGCCTTAAGAGCTGTTAACACTCACTGCCAAGGTTTGCAGCTTACCTCCTGAGCCAGCGAGACCACGAACCAATCAGAAGGAAGAAACTCCGAACACATCGGAACATCAGAAGGAACAGACTCCGGACATGCCACCTTTAAGAACTGTAACAGTCACCGCCAGGGTCCGTGGCTTCATTCTGGAAGTCAGTGAGACCAAGAACCCACAAATTGTGGACACAGTATCAATATAATCAGCAAATTATCTGAGAAGATATTTTAAACATTTCACATTTCTATAGTTAGCACAAGCAAGAATTATCTGGCACTAGGTTACTAAAATAATTGGCATTTTTACTGCCAATTTACAATCATAGCTTTATTCTTTAAGAAATTCATCTCTAAGAAAATGAAAGTGTTTATAAGTATAACATTTGTTATATCCAGTAGGTGGTATTTTACATAGTCAAGATGATAAGAGAAATATTTATAAAATTAGATAAACAAAATGCAGAATGTTGATTACCAGTATCTCAAAGACAAATCAAGGAAAAGAAATGCAAAAATTAGAAGTGCTCACTGGTTAATATTGCTTTGCTTTGAAAAAGTCAGAAATAATTATATTCCAAGAAATAAGCTATAATGCTAAAAGTGTAATTAATATTTTGTATCTTTTTAAAGCCAAAGCGCATTTTTTGCTTTAGAGAAGACGATTCTGTCTTTCACATGATTATTTTTTTTTTTGCCCAGAACAGAACCTCAGTTTAAGCCATTATTTGAATAATAGATTTAAAAATCTAACATTATTTTCCCCATGGGGTGTTTTCATTTTAGTACATAGGCCTTAAAATGGTAGACGACTAACTAGTTATAAAGGATTTGTAGATTAGCAAATGCTAATTTAAAATGACTGTCAACAGAGTCTAAAACTACACTCAAGATTAAAAATTACTAATATGATTCTTCTGTAAGGTCAGACTGCTTACTCAATAAGCTATCATACAAACCAGAGAAGAAACCATAGTGTGTTCTTTCAAGGTTTTCTCTAGTTGCAAAGCCTATTCTTTTCATCAGTCCTTTTTCAGTTGTTTGGCTTTTGCGATATTTTCTTGATGTTTTTGTTTCTTCTTTTGATCCTTTTTCCTGGCTTCAGTCATTTTGAACAGTTTCCAGGGATGTATGACATTTCCTAGGATCAGTGGAATAAGGGCCAAAATCAGTTCTAAAAAGCTGGAAGGGTCCTTTGCACATTATTCCACAACATACTCAGCCCAAGTCTTTATATTAGACATCTGTTTATTAGTCCTAAGAAAACATATGCTTGAGAAATAGCCTCTAATTTTTTTTTCTGGGATTACTAGTGAGACAATCAAAATTTCAGATGAGCATTTGTTGTTTGTTTCTCTTGTAGTTCTACCATATACTTCTGAGAGAAGGTTTAAATTCGCCTGTGAATCTCAATTTGGGGCTGAAATTTCAATTAGAGACCAAATGAAAGTGCCTCTCCTACTTCAGGAATAGATATTCCTTCATCCTTCTAAAAGGGGTAGACAGAGCTTGACCTGTGGACCAGACCTATTCAGCACCTGAAACTGCAGCTGGTGGCACTCCTGCCATCTGCACTCTCTCCTTTTTCTTTTTTTTTTTCCTTTCTTGAGTTTACCCCTTTGTTCACTCCTTTCCCTCCTTCAACATAGCCCCTCACACATGAGATGGTTTTCATTTCTAAACTTTGGCCTTCATGGCAGATGTGAGCCCCTCAGTCTACAGCAGACCCTGCAGGGCCTCATGATGCATAGGGTCTCTGGGAATTGGGCCTCATCTTGCCATGCAACATCTAATACCCTGGCACCGTGTCCACTTGCATTGAGCGCAGGGAGGGAACATGGCAACAGCTACTGGCAGCTTTCCCTATGTCATGTACTGAGCCTAGGACCCAGACCTCCACTCCCAGCTCACCTCCAGACTAGAAGCAGGAAGGTAGTTTGCTTTCATTTTGGAAAGGCCATTTATTTAGACACAGAATTCTAGGTTGACAATGTTTTGTTCACAGTACTCTAATGTTGCATTTTGTTTACTTTGCATCATTTCTGATGAGAAGTCAACTGCCATTCTTAACTTTATTTCTCTGTGTATCAGGCATCCTTTTATTCTGGCTACTTTAAAGTTTTTCACAGTAGAACAATTGGAGGTGCTTTGGTATGATTATATTTATTCTGCTTTTATTTGTTGAGCTTCTTAGAACTGTGAGCTTATAGTTTTCGTCAAATACGGAAAATTTTCAGCCACTACTTCTTGAATTTTTTTCTCGTTACTCCTACTTTTCATTTTTGGTCTCTACTTATACCGTATTTGACTGCTTAATATTTCCCACAGGTAACTGATGATTTTCGTTTTACTTTGTGCTTAATTTTTATAGATTTTATTTCTTTGCCTTCTAATTCACTTGTTTTTCCTTTTGTAGTGTCCAATATGCTCCAGTGTCTAATTTTGGATTTTTTTCTTTAGGAATTCTATTTTTGTCTGTTTTTTTATATTATCTTTTCTCATCATGTTTGTAATTTCCTTTATATTCTTGTCATGTGGAACATATTTCTAATAATTATGTCAATATTCTTTTCTGTTACTTTTATCATTTATTTATGAGTTTGTTTTTATTGATTTATTTTTATTCCAGTTATAGATCATATTATCCTGCCTCCTTGCATACATGGGAATGTTTTATTGTGTTCTAGATTATGTCGTTCATGTTGGACATTTTTGTATTCCTTTAAAGAATGTGGGGCTTCGTTCTGGCAAGCAGTTATGTCACCTGAGATCTGTTGATTCATTCAGGGTTTTCTTTTATGTTCTGGTAATGCTTTTCAGTCTTTTTTCCTAGAAGAATCAGTCCTAATATTGAGATGAGACCATTCTAAGAATTCTATCTAATGCCCCATACTTATGAGGTTTCTCTACTATGGCTGGTAGTGGCACAAACTATTACTATTCTTATATAAGGCCTAGGAAATTGCTGTCTGATGGTGCTATCGTAGACATTTTGTATACACAGAACATTACTTAGCCAAAGTCTTATAGAGACAGGCTGCAGATCTGCAGCACAATTTCTCTGTTCATATTCTTCCTTTCCATTACCCCGTCCCACAGCTCCTTGTCCTACCTGAAATCCAGTGTCCATTCAGGCAGAGATTGAGATTGGTAGGCTTTATTTGGGTTCCTGTTCTTTATGCTGCAGACTGGAAACCGGTTTGGGAAGTAAGTCTGGAAATAAGCTTGCTACGTTACTTTTCCCTTTCCTTGAGGATCAGAGTCTTGCTCTGTCAAAAACATCGGCTGGTTTTGTAGTTTTATAGGAAATGTAGTTCCCATAATGGCTAATCCTTTACACTGGCAAACAGTGGAATTAACTAGCTTTTTGGTAGCCTGTATGTCCTTGTTTTGTTTTGAAATAAATAATTTTAAGCCTTATTACATGATATGACCAACTTTCTTGTTTTTAAATATTTTATGTAACTTGTATATCTTATCACCAAAAATTTCCTAGAATGTACCTCTTAAGCCATGTGGGACTGATTTATTTGTTTTTGTTTTAAATCATCATTTTAATTTTGTCCTTAATAGGAACATTCATATGAATTGTTTATCTGCTTTTGTACTGTATATACATCTTCCATCTTTTTGTTACACCTTGCCAAAGTTTTGCCTATTTTATGGTTTTTTTCTCTAATAAACCAATTTTTAAAAAATATTGTATCTTTAGAGCTTTACTGAGCTCATTTTTTTCTATTTCATTAAGAAATAAATGGCAATTATTGATCATTATCTGTACCCTACCTTCTTAGTTTGGGTTTATTCTTTTGTACTTTTCTAGCTTTTTATATTTCCAATACTTCTTTTCTGCTAAAAATATTTTTAAATGCTTTAAAATAAAAAGAAGAGCAGAAAAATTGGAAACAATTATGAATAGGCAGTTTACACAGTGTAGAACCACATAACTTAGAGATGTGTTGAAACCCTAAACTTTCTAGTGATTGAAGAAATTACGTCATTTTATTTCTATTGGGTTGCCAGATATTAGGGAGTTTTATAATTTCCTGAGTCAACAAAGTATGGGGCAGGAGAACAAGGATCCTCACATATTACTGATGACTGTTTAACTTGGTGCAGCTATTCAGATTCTGACAATGTTTAGTGAAATTAGGAATGTTTCTGTCATGAAATCCAGGGGCCCTATTCACAGATATATTCTGTAGAGAAAATCCTCTGGAATATAAACTCATTTGAGGCCAGGGCTTTTTGTTTCTTTTGCTCACTGATGTATCCTATATACCTAGAACAGTTCACAATGCTTATTTGGTACTTAGTACATTTTTGTGGAATTAAATAACATATACAGTGTTACAAATAGATATATATGAGAATGTTCGTTGCACATGATTTGCAATAGCAAAGAAGGCTTCATTAGATTTATTACTGAGGGAATGGATAAGCAAAATGTAGCGATAGTATTCAGTGGAATTCTATGCTGCAAAAAGGTAGGAATCATATAACAACATGGCTAAGAATGAAGAGTAAACATCAGTACAAGATCAAAGCACTATGTCATTTTAAAATAAGAAAATACATATAAAATAGAACTTACTATTTGAAGGAGGCATGCATTTGAAAGTAATACATTAAAGCAATTAGAGTTGGATAATAAAAATAGATATAATAGAAAACAAGTTTAGAAAAATAATAAAATGAAATGAAACCACAAAGGAGCCTTGCATTGACTGATGGAGGGGTGCTGTATGTGTCAGGTCTGCATTATGTCTCTGAAGTCCAAGAAAAAAACATATGCACTAGCACATATCATTTTAACTTGTTTTGCCTTTTTTTTTTTTTTTAAACACAGCCTTGCTCTGTTGCCCAGGCTGCAGTGCAGTGGCATGATTATAGCTCACTGCCAGCCTCGAAGTTCTAGGCTCAAGCAGTCCTCTCGCTTTAGCAACCTGAGAACCTGGAATTTCAGGTGCACATCACCACACTTGGCTAATTAAAAAAAACATTGTCTTATAGAGATGGGATCTTGATATGTTACCCAGGCTGATAATTCTTGCCCTCAAGCAATCCCCCTGCGTTGGACTCCCGAAGTGTTGGGATTGTAGACGTAAGCCATGGTGCCTGGCCTGTTTTGTCTTTTTAAACATACAATTCAAGTTACTAATGACACAGTTTTTCAAGAAGGCTTTAGATTACAAATTTACTCCTTTGCTAAGTGAATTGATGCTATGCCCCAAACCAGGAATTTCTTTGAGCTTAATTTACAATTAACAATCTGGCTTGCCAGCATGCGCCAGACAGACCACCTGTTTGTTTAGATTATACAAATCTGGCATTGTAAGCAGTAGCATCATTTTAGAAAATAATTGAGGGACTGAGTAGCCATGGAAATAATACACAAAGAGGATATATACTACATATTTGGAAGTAACTCGTTAAGTCAGATTGGTATCTAGAAACTGAAAGTCATCACCACCAGCAATTGCCTACTGGCCATTAGCACACGTGAGGTAACAGTGGAGCCCACCCCTCCGCAGCTGAGCTGGAGTGATGAATATGGGCTATCATGGTGAGGCACCGTCCTCGAAATGTGCTAGGGGAGGAACATAGCTGGCTGGAAGGAGAGCAGAGGCACAAAGAGAGGAAGTGAATGGATTGCTGTGCTTGAACTCCTCCAAGAGGTGTAGAAAAGAGACCAGAAAGTGAAGTACAAGGGGAAAAAGGAAGAAGACAAAAGAGGGTTTATTTTAAAGTCTCTATTCAAAGATGCAGTTCTCTTTTCAGATAAGCACAGCAGTTACAAGAAGTGTGTTTGTCTCTTACCTATAAATTTCACACTGCTCACATCATTTTAGAGAGTGGCATTTTAAATGAAGCACCCACATTTTCTGTTAACAATAATTAGGGGAGAAGGAGTTTGGAAATTGATGGCAACGTTTCTGTTGTTTAGTCAGACTAAAGATTTTGTTTGTCTCCACCTACAATTTTTACCTTCGAATTATATGTGTTTATGATTTATATACAGATAATCCTAACAAGGATTAGAAGTGATTACATCCTTGTGTTGTATCTTCTAGGATAAAGTGTAATATTTTTTACAGTATTTTCTTATGATTCACACCCTATTACTTTAATAAAACCTCAACTGTAATACAAACCTTACACTCAGAAGAATGAGTGGACCTCAGAAATCCTATAGCATGCCGAGTATACAGTATGGCAAGTATAGTTATAGCAATGGATTGTATGCTTCAAAGTCGCTAAGTGTAGATTTTTAGTGTTCTCACCACAAACAATAAGAATGTGAGGTAATGCATAAGTTAATTCGCTCTGTTGAGCCATTCCACAATGTATATATATTTCAAAACATCATGTTGTATACCATAAATATATATTATTCTTGTCAATTTAAAAATTATTTTAAAAAGAAATCCTTTATTCTAATCATGAGTTTCCCTTTATTTGTTTTTCATAAGTACACAAATATATTTTTCTAGTGAAAATTATAACAAAAAAAGTAAGCCTAAGGGACCTCAATTGAAAAAAATCTTAGGCAGTTGTGGGGATTTATGGATCTATACCCAATGGTGGCAGCGGTGGCCAGAACCTAATACCCTCTTTGCGTACACCTTGGAACTTCCACAATGTTGTTTTTTGTTTGTTTGTTTTTCCCCCTCAGGCTCTCTTTTTAAGGTTGTAAGGTCACTGCAATGGCTTTAGCTTTCCTCCTTTCACTTTGATATTTTACAATAGCTTTTTAAGTTTCCGGAATTGAGTTTCATTTGTTTTGATTTATGGTCTTGAGCCAATCACTGTTTCCATGAAACTAGAAAACACTGATTGCTTTTGGTCTTGTTTACATGTTTCAATCTTGGATCGGGGTGTTCAGTTCCACCCAAGCATATTGGTTGACAGATGGAGAAGTTTCTCCAAAAGCAAATTCATGTACTTTTAAAAGGTGTAATAGATGCAGGGGAGTAACAATAATAGATGTCCACTATTCACTCCTTTGATGACTCCTTCCAAATGCTGATTCCCTCTTAACTCCCTGAAGTATTACTGTCTCAATTTTTGTGTGGTCATTCATCCAGCCATTTTTTCTGTTCATTTACATAAAATATTTGCATACAAAGAGAAATATTTTACTGTATATTTTAATTCTTATTTTTATATGCATTTTTACCTTAAATGACGGAACATTTTCTTCAATGCTTTTTACACTTTATCTTGGAGACCTAATCCATGTTGGTACATACAGATTTACCCCTACAGTGTATGCACATGGAGAGCTATCCAAAGAAAATTAGTACCCGTGGATCTACCTTAACAACTACTGGTAATTTTATATAATATGCAGTCTATGGTATATTTAGTTATATCTAACAAAAATGCATTTATCTACTACTCCATTAATGGGCACTAAGGGTTTTTCTCTCTCCTCTCCCTCGCTCTCTCTCTCTCCCTGCTTTTAGTATAAGCAATGCCATGATGAACATTTTTACATAAGTACATATGAACATATTTCCTTAGGGCAAAACTTATACTGAGAAATGGCATTATTAGATAACACCATGTATTTTTTAATATCTGCCAATTTATACTTATAGCAATTTATTTATTTTATTATTTATTCATTTTAATATATTTAGGAGATATAAGTGCAGGTTTCTTACATGCATCTATTGAGTACTGGTGAAGTCTGGGTTTTTAGTGTACCCATTCCACGCATAGCAAACATTGTACCTGATAGGTAATTTTTAATCCCTCATTCCCCTTCCACCACTCTTAGCAATTTTCAATGTACTTTTATAGCTGTAATAGCAGAGACTGTTTGCTGACCACCTCACCAATGTTTGATATAATCAACTTGTCATTTTTGCTAATCTAAAAGATGAAAGAATTATATCAGATTTTTATTTTAATTTAAAGTTCGCTGTTTATCATTGAAGCTTGTATTCTTTTCATGTTGTTCATGGTCTTTTGCTTTTTATTTTCTATGAATTGCCTGTGCATATGCTTTTCTCTTGCTGATTTGTAGACGCTTCCTATGCATTCTGAATAACAATTCTTTGTATATTATGTAAGCAATGCATACTATTACCCAGACTACCATTTATGTTTTTAATTTGTTTTATTCCCTTATGGTTTAAATTTTTTTAACATATGATTATAAACATATATTCATATTTTTCTTTAATATTTGTATAGTTTTTTTACATTCTTATATTTGATACATTAATTCCCTTAGAATTTATATTATGGGTGATATGGGAAATAATCTATCTTCATTAAAATTTTTTTTACAACAACACTTAATGGAATGTGCATCCTTTCTTGCCTGATTCAAAATACACACTAAGTTCTTATGTATGCGTGAGAATTTAGTGTCCTGAAAAATTTAGTAAATTTTTGTTCCACTACTTTAGAGAGTAGAAAATCCTGTGTCCTGAAAAATTTAGTAAATTTTTGTTCCACTACTTTAGAGAGTAGAAAATCCTGTGTCCTGAAAAATTTAGTAAATTTTTGTTCCGCTACTTTAGAGAGTAGAAAATCGTTTTTGTTCTTCTTTGTTAAAATTGTCTCAGCTATTCTAATTCCATAAAAATTAAAATCCAACTTGTTGATGGCCATAAGAAACATTTTTTTGTACATTAGGTTGGAATAGATTGAAGTTACAGACAAATCAAGGGAAATAGATACTTTTACAGTATTCAGTATTCTCGAACATTAACATAGGACAGCTCTCCATTTATTCTGATTTTCTTTGAAGTTACTAAGTAAAGTTTTAGAGATTGCTTTTTTCCAAAAGGAGCTAATATATTTCCTCATAGACATTTTTTTCCAGGAAATTAATGGTCTTGTTATTTTTGTTTATATTACTGTTAAGCTGAAAAACTATTAATGAAAACATTTATTGAAGTAAAATAGACATGAAGAAAAATGCTCGTGCCATAAGCATATGACTGGATGAATTTTCTTTTTCTTTTTTTTATTATACTTTAAGTCCTAGGGTACATGTGCACAACGTACAGGTTTGTTACATATGTATACATGTGCCATGTTGGTGTACTGCACCCATTAACTCATCTATTTACATTAGATATATCTCCTAATGCTATCACTTCCCCCTCCCCCCACCCCACGACAGGCCCGGGTGTGAGATGTTCCCCTTCCTGTGTCCAAGTGTTCTCATTGTTCAATTCCCACCTATGAGTGACAACATGCAGTGTTTGGTTTTTTATCCCTGTGATAGTTTGCTGAGAATGATGGTTTCCAGCTTCATCCATGTCCCTACAAAGGACATGAACTCATCCTTTTTTATGGCTGCTTAGTATTCCATGGTGTATATGTGCCACATTTTCTTAATCCAGTCTATCATTGATGGACTTTTGGGTTGGTTCCAAGTCTTTGCTATTGTGAATAGTGCCGCAATGAACATACGTGTGCTGTGTCTTTATAGCAGCATGATTTATAATCCTTTGGGTAGATACCCAGTAATGGGATGGCTCGGTCAAATGGTATTTCTAGTTCTAGATCCTTAAGGAATCACCACACTGTCTTCCACAATGGTTGAACCAGTTTACAGTCCCACCAACAGTGTAAAAGAGTTCCTATTCCTCCACATCCTCTCCAGCATCCGTTGTTTCCTGACTTTAATGATTGCCATTCTAACTGGTGTGAGATGGTATCTCATTGTGGTTTTGATTTGCATTTCTCTGATGGCCAGTGATGATGACCATGTTTTCATGTGTCTGTTGGCTGCATAAATGTCTTCTTTTGAGAAGTGTCTGTTCATATCCTTCCCCCACTTTTTGATGGGGTTGTTTGTTTTTTTCTTGTAAATTTGTTTGAGTTCTTTGTAGATTCTGGATATTAGCCCTTTGTCAGATGAGTAGATTGCAAAAATTTTCTCCCATTTTGTAGGTTGCCTGTTCACTCTGGTGGTAGTTTCTTTTGCTGTGCAGAAGCTTTTTAGTTTAATTCGATCCCATTTGTCAATTTTGGCTTTTGTGGCCATTGCTTTTGGTGTTTTAGACATGAAATCTTTGCCCATGCTTATGTCCTGAATGGTATTGCCTAGGTTTTCTTCTAGGGTTTTTATGGTGGTAGGTCTAACATTTAAGTCTTTAATCCATCTTGAATTAATTTTTATATAAGGTGTAAGGAAGGGATCCAGTTTCAGCTTTCTACATATGGCTAGCCAGTTTTCCCAGCACCATTTATTAAATAGGGAATCTTTTCCCCATTTCTTGTTTTTCTCAGGTTTGTCAAAGATCAGATGGTTGTAGATGTGTGGTATTATTTCTGAGGGCTCTGTTCTGTTCCATTGGTCTATATCTCTGTTTTGGTACCAGTACCAGGCTGTTTTGGTTACTGTAGGCTTGTAGTATAGTTTGAAGTCAAGCAGCATGATGTCTCCAGCTTTGTTCTTTTGGCTTAGGATTGCCTTGGCAATGCGGGCTCTTTTTTGGTTCCATATGAACTTTAAAGTAGTTTTTCCAATTCTGTGAAGAAAGTCATTGGTAGCTTGATGGGGATGGCATTAAATCTATAAATTACCTTGGGCAGTATGGCTATTTTCACAATATTGTTTCTTCCTATCCATGAGCATGGAATGTTCTTCCGTTTGTTTGTATCCTCTTTTATTTCATTGAGCAGTGGTTTGTAGTTCTCCTTAAAGAGGTCCTTCACATCCCTTGTAAATTGGATTCCTAGGTATTTTGTTCTCTTTGAAGCAATTGTGAATGTGAGTTCACTCATGATTTGGCTCTCTGTCTGTTATTGGTGTATAAGAATGCTTGTGATTTTTGCACATTGATTTTGTATCCTGAGACTTTGCTGAAGTTGCTTATCAGCTTAAGGAGATTTTGGGCTGAGACGATGGGGCTTTCTAAATATACAATCATGTGATTTGATGAATTTCACAAACAAAAATTGCCCATATAACCAGCACCCAGATTAAGACACTATTATTAGCACTTCAGAATCTACTCTGTGCTTCCTTCTAATATCCCTTCCCTGATGAAAAAACACTGTCCTCAATCTTTACAGCATAGATTAGTTGTGTCTCTTATTGTAATTTACATAAATGAAAGCATGCTGAATATACTTTTATACACCTGGCTTCTTTTACTCAGGATATATGAGTTTCATCCATAGTGTTTCATATAGTTGTAGAGATTTCAATCATATCCTTACTTTATTATATGTCATTTTATTAATATATGAGGATTTATTTATCAACTGTACCACTGATGGTTATTTGGGTAGTATATTTTTAGTATATTGTGAATTGTGCTATGTTGAATATTCTACTCAGTGAGTTTTGGTGAACATTTATGTACATTGATCTGGTGTATGTAGCCAGGGCTGTAATTGCTGAGTCATAGAAAATGCACATGTTCAGCTTTAGTAAACATTGCCACACTTTTCCGGATTGCTTCTACCAATTTACACTCTTTCCAGCAATGGAGGAGGATTCTATTTACTTCACAGCCTGGATGACAATTGGCATTTGCCATCTGGTGTTTGTGCAGCAAGTATCTCATTGCAGTTTTAATTTGCATTTACTTGATGTCTAATAAAGTTGAGCCTCTTTTTGTATCTTATTGCCATGTTCATAGTCTCTTGTGTGAAATACCTATTCAAATCTTTTGCCTTTAAAAAATTAATTTGTCCCTGTTATCCCAGCACTTTGGGAGGCTGAGGTGGGCAGATCACTTGAAGCCAGGAGTTTGAGACCAGCCTGGCCAACATGGCAAAACCCTGTCTCTACTAAAAATGCAAAAAAAATTAGCTGGGCGAGGTGACCTCTGCCTGTAATCTTGGCTACTCGGAAGGCTGAGGCATGAGAAAATCGTTTGAACCCGGGAGGCAGAGGTTGCCGTGGGCCGAGCTTACACCACTATACTACGACCTGGGTGACAGAGTGAGATTGTCTCAAAAAAATAAATACATAAATATAAATAGTCAATCTTTTCTTAGTAATTAAGAATTTCTTTATATTTACTTTTTCTGAGTTCTTCTTTGGGTATATGTATTGTGTCTAGGTTCTGTGGTTGCTTTTTTTTTACTGTCTTAATAATGTCTTTTGATGAAAATTGCTTAATTTTAATATAGTTCAACTAAACATTTTTTTATTTCATCAATATTGCTTTTTGATTTCTGTTTTAAATTTTTTAAATCTATTTCAAGATCATATTTTCTGCTATATTTTCTTGTAAAACATTATTGTTTTACCTTTTAAGTTTATGTCTCAGACCATTTGGAATATTTCAACATTGATTATGATACTTGCTATAGATTTTTAAGAATTTTTTATTATGTTAAGAATAATCTAACAAATTATTGGAAATGATATTTTATATGTGGTGAGGTAGGGATCAAAATTAACTTTTTTCTCATATGAATAGCCAACCATCTGCAACATTTATGAGAAAGACCATACTTTCCTCAATTACACTGTTGCATCGTGTTTGTCATTTAAAAAAAAGTGACTGAATATATGGCGGTCTGTTTCTAGACTGTCTTCTGTTCCAGGGGTCCCTTTGTCTATCTTTAAGCTATTCCACATTGTCTTAATTAGTATACCTTCAGAATAGATCTTAGTATTGGGTAATGTCAGTCCACTACCTTTATTCTACTCTTAAAAATGCTTTAGCCATTGTTGGTTTTTGCATTTCCATATAAATTTTAAAGCCAGCTGTTCATAAAAAGTATTGCTAAAATATTGACCAGAGTTTCCTTAAATCTATAGGGAGAATTGGCATTTTAATAATATTAGTATTACAATCTATAAAGATGATACATCCATTCACTTACTTAGATCCTTTAAATTTCTATGAATAACATTCTATAGTTTTCAATATAAAAGTTTGCATGCTTTTTTTTAGAATTTTCCCAAGGTATTTTATGTTTCTGAGAAGTATTGCAAATGGTAAGTTTTAATTTTTTTTTGTTTCTTGCTGATAAAGAAATACAATTAATATTTGAAAATTGATTTTGTATTCGGTGTCCTTGCTAATTATACCTATTAATTTTAATAGTTTGTAAATTCTTTTGGATTTTCCAGGTAAAGAAAACATGACTTCTGTGAATAATGACATTTTATTTCTTCCTTTAAACACTTTATGCCTTCTATTTGTCTCTTATTTCAGTGGCTAGGGTGTCCAACACAATGTTAAAGAGAAATTGTGGGAGTAAGCATACTTGTCTTATTCCTAGTTCGAGGGAAGGATTTCAGTATATCACTATCGAGTGTGACACTTGCTGTAGGTTTTTAGAGATCTTTATTACATTAAAAATGCTCTCTTTCATTCCTTCCTTGTGAAGACATTTCATGAGTGGATGTTAAATTTTACATGGTGCTTTTTATGCACTTGAAATGATCGCATGCAATTTCTCTCCCGCTTTAATATAGTAAATTACATTATTTTTGAATATTGAATCATACTTGCATTCCTGGAATAAACATTAACTAACTGCAATATATTGGACTTTCTGTATATCACTAGAGTATATTTTCTTATAAGTTCTTTTCTCGTTAAAAGTTTTCACATCTGTGTTAGTTAAGAATGGTCTGTACTTTTCCTTTTTTATAATGTCCTGGTAGGTCTTGGAACCAAGTTTTGTTATTCTCATAAAGACAGTCATAAAGTGCTCCTATTTTACTATTCACTAGAGGAGTTTAAGATTTGTGCTATTTTTTCCTTAAGTTCCTGAAATAAATCAACTGGCAAAGCCAGGCCTGACTTTCTTTTTAATGATTGACAAAGATTTTAGTAAGAAATTTAATTTCTTCAATATGTGTGGGATGTATTATTCAGATATTTTATTTCATCTACCATCATGGCAAATCATTATTTTGGTGATAATTTTATCTATTTTATAAAAATTAACTGGCACAGTCAGGCCTGAATTTCTTTTTAATTATTGATAAAGATTTCGGTAAGAAATTCCATTTCTTTAATATGTATAGGATGTATTATTCAGATATTTTATTTATTTTAATTTATTTATATTATTTCAGATATTTTATTTCATCTACCATCATGGTAAATTATTATTTTGGTAAATAATTTTATCTATTTTATACAAATTATCAATTGTATTTGTGTTCATAATATAGTCTGAAGAAGCTACATGTAATGTTGATTTTTATTTGTAGCATTGATAACTTGTGTTTTTTTCTTGTTTTTATGGATTAGTCTTGATAAAAGTTTTACTAATTTTATTATCTTTTTACAAAAAATATTTTGGCTTTGTTTATTATCTTTACTGTGTATTTGTCTATATAATTAACTTATGTTATTACATTTGTTATTTTTTCTTTTAATTTTCTTATATTTGATTTTTTGTAGCATTTTAACACTGAAGTTAGAAGTATTGCTTTTCAGCTTAAAAAACGTGTGTGTTTGTGTCTATATATATTTATATTTATCTGTATGTATTTAAGGACACAACGTTTTGAAAATATTACTTTAGCTGTATTCCATGTATTTTGATGTGTTTTCTTTATCATTATTCAGTTTTAAATATTTTTAAATTTCCATTTTGACTTCTTTTGTGTTCCATGGTTTATTTAAAAATATATTTTTAATTTCTAGATGTGGAGTTTTTCTCATCTTTTGTTATTGACTACTAGCTTACTTTCAAGATGATAGACATAATTTAAATATTTTGAGTTAAATAATTTTGTTTATGCTTTATTTTTGCTCCAACTTATGGTATCTTTTGATAAACATTTCTTCTATGCTTAGGAAATGTGAATTATAGTGCTATTAGACATGGTGTTCTAGCTAGGTAAATTAAATCCAATTTGTTAACTGTGTTGCTTATATCTTGTATATCTGTAGTGGTATTTTTCTTCTCTATCATCTTTTGAGATAGGTATGATAAAGTCTCTGTATTTGTTGCATTTGTTAATTTTTCCCCTCAATTTTGATGTTTTGCTTTATGCATTTACAGGCTATATTTTTGTGTGCATACTGATTTAGAATTGTGATTCCTTCCTGTTAGGATTATTTGTTCATAAGATGTCTCTTTATATTAAATAATTTTCAAAAACTGTGAAGGATCTGATAATTTGCCCTTCTTGCAAGCTAACATGTTAGCGTGCCATAATTTCATGAATGTTGGTGGAAGACAGATTTCTGACTCAGAGATAAAGAACTTTTACTCACACTAGTGGTAACCAGAGATTTATAATTTTATTGCTTTGCTCCCCTGAACCCTAATTTTCACAGGGTATTTAAATTCACTGGACACTGTTGGATTTTTAGTTTAGCCAAATCATCAGTACACCAGGACTATGCATTTAGGAAAACCTCTGTGAATCAAAGGCCCCACTGAGCCGGTGGCATTACTTAAGGTAGTGAAGGAAGCAATAAAATCTCTCCCAAAGCAATAGCTGCATTTACCTCATTTGGACTTCATTGCTCTTTTCAAAAATGTAATGTTTTTAATCAGTTCTAAAAAGGTTTCATGGTTCGCAGACTTCTTAAATTCTCCTTATTCAAATTTATATCGATCTCCTTACTTTCAGCCCTGTCTTACACAATGTATGATGCCTTGAATTCCTGATCCTCTTGGGGGTTATGCAATATCAGTTGACTTGCTTATCATTAAGATTATTCCCTTGAGACACTTGGTGTTCACTCCTCTTACTTCTAAAATCTTTTTCTATTTAGTAAGAATTTGTTAATCTCTTTATCCACTGTTCTGTTCTCTTTGTTTTTGTCTATTTTGGTTTCTGGAGGATTAGGGAGAGATTATGGATAAACCATGTGTTTATTCTGCCATACATTATCTGAATTCTCCATCCCATTATTTTCAATTTTTCTTTTTATAACTTTAAGTTCAGGGGTACAAACGCAGGTTTGTGTCATCAGGGTTTGTTGTACAGAAAATTTCTATTTTATTTGGTTTTATATATGTCTCTTGTGCTCATCAGTTAGCTGGATATAAGTCCAGATTAAATGTGTCTGTATTTTAGGTGACTTCAAACCATTCACATCATTTATTATTCACATTTATTTTAAGTGATAGTTCATATTGTTGGTACTTCTCAAATGTTGAATGATTTCGTATTTAAGTTTTCATTTGGGTATCTTTGCCTCTACTTGCACAGTCAGGCTATGGGAGGACTGGGAACCACTTGTAGGTTGTGGTTTACACTGTTTTAGGGGGAGAATTGGGGACGGGATCTACAACTAGATCATTGTCTGTTCTGTCTTCCCAAAACTCTCACAATAAATATTCCTGCTTAGTGTCAGATACCCCACTCCCTACTGTTTAGTGCTGAGCTTAGGGAACAGTATACAGGGGCCTCCCTTTTTGGTTTCTCTTACTCTGTTATTCCAGTTGACCACTCCGCTTATTTCTGAGGATTTCCTTTTGCTCATGGATTCTATCATTGCTGATCATGCTGAAACGGCAATAACCTTCTGTGGCAGTAGGGTACACTAGCCTAGAATGTGCCCAAGTGTGCAGGCCACAATGGGGCATAACGATCCATTCTGTTTTTAATCTCTCACAGATTTCTTCCATGATCTGAAACATTAACAGTATTTTTCTCAGTTTTGAGCAATGCTACATATATATTATTTACAGGATTTTGTACAGGGAGTGAGACTGCTGATTTGGATATAATCAGTCTTCTCTCTTAAAACCAGATCCCCTAAGCATTACCACATTTAGGTACTTGATGGATCAGTTGTTAATTAATGAAAATTAGTCTCTTTTGCTAAATCCCGCTTTTTATATTGGCCAGTACAGTTTGAGCTCCCTATTTCAAAAGCTATTAAGAATTCAATTAAGATCCTCTCATACAGTATGAATATTATATAACACTATCAATCATTTGGGTTCCCTAGGATAATATGGCTGTCTTTCCTTTTAAGAAAACACAGCCCATCTTTAATTTTTAGTTTATATCATAAATATAAACTATGGTGGCTGAAATCTAATGTTACCTGTGATTGGCTACTCTTTTTTAAAATCTATAGAATCCTAAAGTACTTGCTTATTCCTGATAAAAATACATTCTGAGATTCATTTGGGAGATTGTCTTCTATTACCAGTGACTTTTGGGAATAATCTTATAATCCACTTCTAATAAACAGATTCTTTGCTATAGCCCATTCTTCATTAGTGGATTCAACTCTTTCAATTTCCAAACTTGCCTACTTTCTAGAAAAATAAACCAATACTTTTTTTTCTAAAAATAGTCTTACAGAGATTTTTTGCAGTTATCCTTCTTCTCAATTCTTGGTTTCTAGAGTTTTTTGAAAGGCTAGCAATGAAAGATTGTATATATGTATATATATATATATATACACACACATATAGTCTATATATATATATACATATAGTCTATATATATATATATATATATATATATATATAGTCTACAAACACATGCATCACTCATGTCTAACAGTGACTGAAGTGTTGAGAGTATGTGGTAGATACAGTTATATTAAATTTAGTCAGGAATAGATACGCTTTGAGTTGTAGAAGACCCAGCTGTATTTTATTTAAATTTAACTGCAAAAGAGACAAAAATGTTCAAATAGAATCATGGTTTAAAAGTGAAGATTTATAAGAGACACTATTAGGACTGACTGTCAGGCTAACATGGGAGGAAAAGCCAATAAAGGTGCAAACTGGGGAGAAGAAAAGAGGTATAGAAAGAAGAATATTCCTGTTGCCAAATCTGACAGCTTCAGAACAGCAATACTCTTAGATTACAAATTAAAATGATCTTAATCAGGGGCTTAAACTGAGAGATAAATGTTGTATCTTTATATAGCTATATATAGATAAATCTATTCAACATATTTAATCACATTATATCCTAATGTTTTTGTATGAAGATAGAAATTTTTTTATATATGACCAGGGAAGTGTTTGGTTTTACAAAAGAAAAATAGTATTGGTGGAGGTTAGAAATAGAGCCATTTCTTCTTTCCTTTCCTATTAAGGTTGCTACATCATAGACTGTCAATCTTGTTCTCACTTCACAGGCTTCCTAAAACTCTTGTGTCTCTATATTACTGCAATACTCCATCTTTCTAGTTGATATGTGGATAGCAACATATCTTGTGTTCGTGTGTGTGTGTGTATGCACACATAGACATATGTAAAAACGTGTGTGTGTGTGTGTGTGTGTGTGTGTGTTTTATCACCATCTAGGCTAATTCCCTTCCTTTTTGGCCCTGTGCAAATGTCACACATTGGGGTCTTTTTTAGAAAAGGTTAGCCAAGGTTAAATTTTTTTGAGCTTCAGCTGATTCCAGATGACTATTTAAAGAAGATACAGGAATAATACAAAGCTGATAAATAAGTGAATATGACACACATTTGCCAGGCCCTGTACTTCCATACAGAGCTACTAAGTTGCATTTGCCTTAATTTTAAGTTTTCACTTTTTTTCATTTCTCTGTTGTATAAAATAAACAAAATTTTAAAAGGAAAGATGGATATGTATCTATGCCCATCCCCCTTTTCTGGACACATAAAAGGCAAAATTCTGGCATTAACTTAGCCCCCAATTATAAATTTATTTATATGTATATACCTCATTAAATGTTATGATTAAATACTCTTATTTTTAAGCATTAAAAACATAAAATGGAGGTTAGATGCAGACATATTTGGGACAATCCAGCATTAGCCCAACTGGAAAACTGCTTAGCTGCCTCCCGTGTTCTGACTTCAAATTCATTTTAACTCTTTCTGGCCCATTTACAACACTTCTGTCTTTTCTGAAACAATTTCTTGCCCATGCTTAGCATCAACATCCTTTCTGCTTCCTCCATCTGCTCACTTTCCTTCAAAAGGAATGTTTGAGGAAACAATCAGGGTTTCTAAGAATATAGATCCCTAAGGTATCCCTTAAGGTGACCCCAAGGCATCTAGTCTAAAGATCCTGATTTCTACAGGGTTTTAATATTTTTTGCTTGTATTGTTATGATATTCTAAAAGAATTATACAAACATTCTGAATTATTTGAAACATGACTTTTTAACTGGATAGTGATATAGGATTCCAGTGTCTCTGTTACCATTAATGTCCCATCTTGCTTGTGCCAAAAGAAGCCACAGCAGGTCCTGAGCTTCATAAAACTGAGGATTAGGCAGAGACAGCAATAGGAGGGTCCAGCCGTCATACGACACATGCATAAAGCCAAACCCAAAACAACATGCTCCATAGTAAACATTGTGTCCACATTTTGAGTGAATTTAAACAGATGCTTTCTTGGTATTCCTTAATAATGAGAATAGTAACAAACATACAATAAAGCATTGTTTGGTCAATAAAATTTAGAAAACAACTTCACAATCATATGTTAATGAAGTATTAAATTTATTACATCATAAAGTAGGTAGTTAACAATAAAAAATTTGTTCATTGTTAAAGCATTAACAATGATTGTAATGACTTATATCCATTGGACTAAAACTTAAAAGAACCAAGATGACAGTAAAAATCAGATACATAAAATTAAGCTCTCTCTTATTAAACCTAGTAGGTAATGGATGTTCAGCCATAAAACACCATCCACTATTATAGTTTCACTTTGGAGCTCACTGATTTCGTAGTTTTGTTTATATTTAATATTTAAATTAAAATATAAGAAATATAAGCGCAAGCAAATTTTTATCAATTTTGGTATGTATTAAAGTTATATCTGAAAACAAATACTTTAAGTCAACACGTTAGACCTATTAGAATTCATAGGTTTACATAAAAAGAAGCTACATACTGTACAAGCTACGTAACTGTTCTGTTTGGCTTTACTCAGATAAAGAGTAAGACTTGTCTTGAGAAGGATAATGGTGCATATATGTGGTAAGTTGAACATGAATTAGGAACATGAATTAAGAGCTAAGTAGGAGAAAGGAGCATTATTTTCTGTATTCTCAAATTTGTACATAATGTCATGAAATTTTTTCAGTATCAATAGATATAAGTTGATGGTGTAGGGAATCTTACATGATTTTTACAGAAGAGTATAAGTCAACTACACACAGAGTAAAAATTAACCCGAGCACCTCTGTGAGGACAAAGTCAGATGTAATTTTATCTTCTTCCATAATAAAACCTTGAGGTCTAGGACACCATCAATTCTTTAATATCTAAAATATTCCTTTCACCATTTTAGCCACATGTGAGGACCCAGGTGGCTTAATGGTACTAAAATAACTTTACATAATAATACATAATGCTTCCGTTGGGGGAAAATGTTAACTTACAAGCACAAGTGGAAACATTTCTCAAGAAGCCTTTACATTTGGGTGGGTAAATAGAAGCATACCAGGAGACATACATTTAAAACAAAAAAAAAGAGATCAATTTGGCTTTTTTGTTTTCAATGAATAAGAGATCCATTTTAAAAAAATGCCTGGAGAGTGTTTCTCCAGTTACACAAAACTGTGGTCTAGATAAGTGTTTCCAAAATAAATGAATAATAAAAAAGTATCCTATTTTTGTTATAGCTTAGATTTGTAATGGTTCATAAGTATGTCAAAATTATATTATAGGAAGCCATACAATTTCAGTAAAGAGAGTTTATAATCCTGTTTTAGTCATTGGGAAGTAATTTAATGTACTGAAATTTCCTTTCTGAAATTAAATTTCAGTTACAATCCAAAATAAGTTTTTTTAAAAAAAATCTGCCAAGTTCTTTATTCATCAGATGCAAGCTAATTTTACTTGAACCAAACATCACTCAAGCTCAAACCTTTTCTGTTTATTATTTTGAAAAAAATATTGTACATAGATGATGCTAGAGTTTCAGGGAGAATTCTTATAAGCTTTTTCTAGAATAGTTCTTTATTTCCAAAAAATAGACAAATTATTTGGGAAACAAATCATTTTTTAAAGAAATGAACTTTTAGCTCATATTCTCATGATGTAAGAAATTATTTCTTTTGAAGAGAAACTGTGCAATATGAAGTCTCTTTTGAAGAGTCTCTGTGGAATATAGTGGCATAGAAAATAACTCAAATAATACATTCAATAATCATGTAAACATAATCTAAGAGCCCGCAGGTTAGTATAATTTTAAAGGTAGTGAATAACAGCGATGCTCAGAATTCAACAGTTACTGGTGATAGATAAAGCTGAGGCTTTTCAGATTAGGAATGGGAGGAAATAAGACTGAATTACCGATTGGAAAAGGAAAAAAGCAAGGGGAAAAAATAACTTCTTAATGAGTTTGTGGTCTTCAGTTTCACTGTGACTAGTCTTGCTCAGGGTTAGAACTAAACATTTGCGGTTAGCTTTGGATAATTGATCAAATTTCTTTTGATTAAAACACACAAAAAATGTATCTTTAGAAGAGTCCAGCCAGTCAGGATGAAGCTCAACATTGCCAGTCATGAAAAAGTTGGGAGCTATAAACATGACTCTTTAAAATTACTATAGTGATAAAAGGGGAAGGGTGCAGCATTTCCTACATATCACAGATGTGCATTTAGTTTTCATTACTTTGGCTATTGATCGTAAATGACATTTTACTCAATTCAATGTATTTAGAGACTTGGAGTTCACCAAAACCTTTTAGTAAAGTGGATTATTTTATTTGGGGAACTCAAAAGCAATACATGTTGAAGAACTGATTTTATTCTCATTCCTATAGAAAGAAAAACATCAATTTCCTCACAAGTATCATAGTAACACATCCACCTGGGTTCTTGCTCCCAACTGTTCTCGAAAGAAGCCAAAGAAAAACACACTTGTAATAGTAGAAACGCAAACTCAAATTTCATTGAAAGAACTGAAAATGGACTTGCTCCATTATTTGTGATATCCTTATGTGTTACAGATACAAGTTTTTCTTATTTCCAAAAGAGCAGAAGTAATCTGAGGCACTCTAGTTAAATAAATCTGTTATATTGCTTATATATAAAGTCCTAGATTCATAAGTTCAATCAGGTATGCATTCAAAGTACTTACACAAAATGTGTCACCAAGGAGAAATTCAATACATGTATATTAAACTGCTGTTAAACTGTATAGTTTTGACATTAGCTCCATGTCTCTGAATAACATGCTTATATTGTTTATATAAAATTATTGATTTTTAAATATTTGACATTATTTAGGGACTTTCTGTTGTGGAAATGTGAAATTTGCCTTCTTTTTTTCCTGATTCCACTATACACAGAAATTCTATCCATTCCCCATTTTCTCTCTATGTATGTTGTGTGTATACATATATATTTAAATGTATATCTATATATGTTTATACATATCACATAACATATAATAATATATGATACATATATATTATATATGCTATATATATGTTTTATATATATGTTATATATTATATATATGTTATGTATTATATATTACATATGTTGGTTAATTCAAGATTAGTTATTATATTATTGGGCCTATATATAGGATAGTCTCAGCTGAATGATGCAGTGTATATATAATGATTCTCTTTCCTGTGTAATTTGTTTGCCTGGGAGAATTAGTAGAATTGCTTTTATATTAGATTTTTATGTATCATTCATCCAATACTAAAGTCTACCAATTATCTCACCGTCTTCTCCACATGTTCAGACGCATCAGGTATTTTATCAGTCTCTCCTGGGACCTTCTAATTCACCTCTTATAGACTGGATTCTCTCTTTGTTGCACACCTATTATGTTGTATTATTCCTTTACCATTATCTTAGATAGCTCCTTTTTTTCTTCTTGTGTTGAAACCCTTGGTTCCTACAGTTGACGTCTCTCTTCATTTTGGATACCCTTTCTTTTTAAGGAGTACATCCTCCAATAGCTTCCAGAGAAAGAGTGCATGAAAGGTAATCCTTTTGTGATTTTACATGTCAAAAATGGCTTTATTTGATTTTTACAGGAGTAAGGGTTTGGCTTGGTATATCAATTCTAGGCTAAAATTTATTTCACTGGGAATTTTTAAGGTATTTATGTAGTTTCTAATGCTGTTAGGGAGAAATTGGAAGCCATACCAATTCCTTATCTTTTTTAATGTGGCCTGTATTTTTTTTTAAGTGGAACATTTTAGGAACTTCTCTTGTCCCTTGTGTTCTGAAATTCATAATTATGTGCGTTGGTCTGAGCCTATTTTCATCTGTTAGGCTGTAACACAGTTGCACAGAGTGCAAATTTTTAATCTCTTTGATTTGGAAATATTTGTTGAAGAATTTCCCCTTCATGTTTTATTTTATTTTCACTAACTGAAAATCATCATTTGGAGGTTTAATTACACGAATGGACTGGGAATTCAATTTTATTTTATATTATTTTACTTATTTTATTTTCATTATTACTTCATATTTTAAAACAATCTATATTAATCTGTTCTCACGCTGCTAATAAAGACATACCAAAGAGTGGGTAATTTATAAAAGAAGGAGGTTTAATTGACACAATTCAGCAGGGCTGGGGAGGCCTCAGAAACACAATCATTGCAGAAAGGGAAGCAAAGACATCTTTCTTAACACGGCAACAGCAAGAGGAAGTGCCTGGCCAAAGGGGGAAAACCCCTTTTAAAACCATCAGATCCCATGAGAACTCACTCACTATCATGAGAACAGCATGCAAGTAACCAGTAACCGGCCCCCATGATTAAATTACCTCCCACCGGGTCCCTTCCAGGACATATGGGAATTATGGGAACCACAGTTCAAGATGAGATTTGGGTGGGGACACAGCCAAACCATATCACAACCTTTTAAAATAACAATAAAATTGAGAAGATAGCACAGAGGGTTCCTACATACTACACACCAAGATTCACCTATTACTAATATTTTATATTAGTATAATAATAATACATTTGTTATATTTAATGAATAATAGATGCATTATTATTAAAGAAAATTGTAGTTGATTCAGATTCCCTTAGTTTTTACCTAACCTCCTTTTGTGTTCCACTCTCCTACATTACATTTAGTTGTCATATCTCCTTTGCCTCATTTTTACTGTGGCAATTACTCAGACTTTCCTTGCTTTTGATAACCTTGATTGTTTGGAGGAGCAGGTAAAGTGTTTTGTAATATGTCTGTCATTTGAAATTTGTTTGATATTTTTCTCATTATAAGAATGGGTTATGGATTTGGGGGAGAAAAACCACAGATATAGAGTCTTTTTTTAGCACATCGTATTAATGGTACACACTATCAATGATTTACTCTCTGGCCATACAAGATGCTCCAGGATCATCTGGTTTATTTTCTGTCTCATTCCAAGGATTAGCCATTTCTTCAAGGAGCCCTGGTTCCTTTTATTAGGGAATGGCATTAGAAACCATGATCTGGGCACTAACTAAGCTTACTGGCACTAGAAGTGTAAATTTTTCTAGGCCCTCTCAAATGACCAAACAAGGAAATATATATGTGTGTATACTAAACTGTACATATAATCACATCTGTAAACTATTCTATATGTAAACATTCATATCTTCATTAAGCCAAAAATAAGTTCATAGTCTCCAACTACAATCCATTTATTTCCACGTGGATTATTCAAGCATTCTCCTTTTGTTTAACTGTAACCTACCACTCCAACAGTGAGAATTTACTCATTCCATTATTGAATTCCAGCATAAATGAATAGTGGTATCAAAATGTTAACTACAAAAACCATAGAAAACAACTTTATCAATTAGAGTATGATGTTTATTAACAGCTTTTTAAAAAATTATTCTTTGCCTTAGTCTCGCAGACTTCATTCATTTCCAAAGTTAGTTAGTTCAGGACTTTCTCCCAACTTCTGTAAGTGAGGTTGTTTAATTATTATTTATAATACAATTATGTTATTTTTTGTCATATTCTGCTTTCTATTCCGGGACCACAACCTTCTAAATATTTTTTTTAACGTTCACATACATTAAGGTTCACTCTTTGTGCTATAAACTTCTATTGATTTTGACAAGTTGCATAGTGTCATTTAGCACTATTATAATATCATAGAGAATAGTTTCATTGCCCTAAAAAATTTCTTGCAATTCACCTATTTAATCCTCCTTTCTCTGTCATTCAAATTTTTACCCTTGTTTTATGTTTTTTTAAACCATATTCTCAGAGATATTTTCTTAACATTTTCCAACTCATTGGTATTAATTATTATTGCTACATAACACATTAACTAAAACACAGCATCTTAAAATGACATTTACTATCTCACAATTTCTATAGGTCAGAAGTCTAGGTAGGGCTTAACTAAGTCCTCAGTCCTCTGTCGCTGGGTCTCTCATAAGGCTCAGTACGTCAAAGCTCAACCAGGGAGGGTGTGCTTTTTAGCTCACTCAGGTAGTTCTTGATAAGATTAAATTCCTATAGGATATTGAATTGAGGGCCTCTAATTCTCATAAGTTATAGGATAGAGGCCACCACTGGCATCTAGCCACATGGACCTCTCCATTGGGAAGCTCAGAACATGGAAACTGGCTTAATTAGAGTAAGCAAGTGAGAAGGCAGAAGAAAGAGAATCCTAACAAATGGAAAGTAATAAACTTTTGTAACCTAATTTCAGGAGTGACATGGCATCAGTTTTGCTGTGCTCTGTTGGTTGCAAGTTAGTGACAAGTTCCAGCCCACTCTCAAGGGTAGAGAATTAAACCAGGTGTCTGGAGCATCAGGAAGCATCTTAGAGGTCTGCCAACCACATTGTCTATTGAGCTTTCCACTTCCTGCATTATTTACTTTTTGCTTTTTAATTTCCAAGAGCTCTAATTCTTCAAATACTATTTTAATCTATCCTTTTCTTATTTCAGATGTGACTCTATTTATCTAGTAATAATAATAATATTTTCCGTGATTTTATTTCTCTGAAAAGTCTCTCTTCCTTCAAGATGATTCAATATTGGTTTATTTCTTTTATTAATGGTAGAAACTTAGCTCAGATGTCTGAAATCCTTGATTGTCATGTCATATATTTAAGTAAGGAACTTTAAATCTAATTAGAATTTCTGACTGTATGGGTGGGATTTACAATGTAAACGTCACTTTATGGTAATCTGACCGAACTATATGTAGGGGAACCCTGATTTCAGAATTCTTAGCTCTTTACTCTTCTGCTGGTGAGATTCCTCATGGTAGGATATCCCAGTCTTGCCTGGAAAATAGTAATTCTGAAAGCAAAGAGCCAACTTAAGTATTGTTAGGAAAGGACTGAGAAGTCTCAATGTTCATTAAATCATCACCTATTTCCCTTGTTTTCATTATGTTACACTTACCCTGGTAACCTGGTGTCTCTCACAGATGAGTCATTGGGAACTGAATATGAGATCTATTTCTTCTTAAACCAACTTTCAGCTAATCCATTTATTTTTAGCTACATTTTTACTCACACTTCCAGAGGTACCTTGGGTTGCCAATTCCTATGTTAATTGGGGTTCTGTGGTTTAAATATATTGCTTCTCAACTTTCCCAATGCCCACTAAAAATTCAGATTTCTTGAGCTTTTTAATTAATTACCCCTCATCAGTTTGTTTTTCATATTCCAAAATGTTATTGTTTCCTTCTCTCCCATTCTGTTTATTCAATAGACTATGATTTTAAAATAATTATATATACTGTATTTTTAGAGCAGTTTTAGATTTAAATAAAAATTGAACAGAAAGTACAGAGGCCTCATATGCATCCTCTCACTCACTCTTGCACCAAACAGTTTCCCCTATTATTAACTTCTTATATTAGTGTGGTACACTCGTTAAAATTAATGAATTAATATGGATAATCTATTATTAACTAAAGTCTATAGTTTACATTAAGATTCTTTTTTTTCTTTTTGTTATTATACTTCAAGTTCTAGGGTACTTGTGCAGAACATGCAGGTTTGTTGCATAGGTATACACGTACCATGGAGGTTTGCTGCACCCATCAACCCGTAATTTACATTAGGTATTTCTCCTAATGCTATCCCTTTGCTAGCCCCCCAACCTCCAACAGGCCCCGGTGTGTGATTTTTCCCTCCCTGTGTCCATGTGTTCTCATTGTTCAGCTTCCACTTATGAGTGAGAACATGTGGTGTTTGGTCTTCTGTTCTTGCATTAGTTTGCTGAGAATGATGGTTTCCAGCATCATCCATGTCCTTGCAAAGGATATGAACTCATCCTTTTTATGACTGCATAGTATTCCATGTTGTGTATGTGCCACATTTTCTTTATCCAGACTATCATTGATGGGCATTTGGGTTGGTTCCAAGTCTTTGCTATTGTAAACAGTGCTGTAATAAACATACTTGTGCGCGTGTCTTTATAGTAGAATGATTTATAATCCTTTGGGTATTTTTATGTTACGTATTCTATAGATTTTGACAGATGTGCAATGACACGTATCCACTGATATAGTATCATAGAGAAAAGTTGCACTGTACTCGAAATTCTCAGTGTGCTGCACCTATACATCCCTCCAAACCCCTGGCAATCACTGATCTTTTTACTCTCTTTACACTCTACACTTTTCCATATGTCAAATAATCAAAATTGTATACTATATAGTCTTTTCAGATTGCCTTTTTTCACTTAGTAATATGCATTTAAGATTTGTCCATGTCTTTTTGATAGCTCATTTCTTTTCTTTATTTTTAGTATTACTTTAAATTTAAAAATCAAATTGTATACACTTTGGTGTACAATGTTTTATTTTGATGTATGTATACAATGTGGAATATTTAAATCATGACAATTTCTTACTAATATTCCTTACTAAAAGTCAACTGATTATGGACTTTAAGCACATCTACAAAATACGTTAACAGCAATGTTTAGATCAGTGTTTCATTGAACAACTAGGGACTAAAGCCCAGCCAAGTTGACACACAGAACTGATTCTCGCACCAGCCCAATTGTCATACAAGCTATTCCACATTCTGGACTTAATCTGTTTTCTTTCTTGTGATGTCATGTACCTTGTTTCTTTTCTTCTCTTATTTCCTATAAATGTAGTTTGGCTTTACAGTCTGATTGGATTTCTGTTCCACTGTTTTGGCACAAATACCTCATAGTTGGTACTGTTTACTTTATATCACATAAGGAGGCCCACAGTATCTGTTACCTATATTTTGAAGGATAATTTTGTTGGGTACAAAATTCTAGGTTGTTATTTTCTTTCTTTCAACATTATATTCTATTCACTTCTTGCTTGTATGTTTTCTCAAGAGAAGGCTGATGCAATTCTTGTCCTTGTTCCTCTTTAGATAATGCATTTTTGTTGTTATTGTTCTCTGGCTTTTTTAGCTTTTCTATTTGCCTTTGACTTTTTGTAGTTAGATTATGCTATCCCTACGTATTTTTTTTTTTTGTTGCTTTTGGTTTAGTTTGGTGTTTTATATGCTTTGGTATTTATCTGCTTATGCTTATTGGATCTGTATTTGGTGTCTGTCACTAATTTTGGAAATTTCTTCTTCATTATTATTTAAAATATTTTTTATTCCTTTCTCTCTTCTCCTTCTGGTATTCCCATTGCACTTATATTATACCTTTTGTCATTTCCACAGTTCTTAGGCATGTTATTCTATTTGTTCTCTTTTTTTCTTCTTGATTTTCTGTTTGGGAAGTTTCTGTGCCATATTTTCAAGTTCACTGTTTTTTCCTCTGTTGTACCTGATGTATTGATGAGCTTGTCAAAGGTATTCTTTATTTCTATTACAATGTTTTTGATTACTAGCCTTTCCTTTTGATTCTTTCCTGAAATATCCGTCTCTCTACTTACATTATCCATGTATTTTTGCATGTTGTCTACCTTTTCCTTTAGAGTCCTCAACATATTAATCATAGTTATTTTAAATTTCCAGTCTGATAATTCTAAAATATCTGCCATTTCCAAGAGTGGTGCTGATGCTTGCCTTTTCTTTCCTGACTGGTTTTTTTTGTCTTTTAACATTTCTTGTAAGTTTTTTGTGGAAAAGTGGACATGGAACTGAATTAAAAAAATGAGGTGAATAGGACTTCAGTGTGAAGTTTTTTATTTGGCTAGCAGTTTGGCTGTATTTACTGTTTGCTGTATCTATTGGTGTCAGAGAGTAAAATTTCCTCTAATATCCTTGTTTTTGCCTCTTTCATTGTCTTTGGGTTTCTCTGGAGATTCTTTTATAAAAACAGTCTGAGATTTACAGTTCTTTCACCTGTAATCTCCTGTTATTTTACTGGAAGCCAACTGATGCAGTGATAAGTTATGGAGTTACAAAAAACATTTTATGGTCCTATGATTTGGTCTTAGTCTTTCATTGAACCTGTGACCTTGAGATGCAACCTACATAGCTTGTGGCCTTAGGTTTACTTCCTGTCAGGTGAGACTGGAAGGGGAGGAGCGGCTGGAGTTGTGCATTTTTTTTTTCATGCAGGTTGATTAGGCTTTGGTGAAACTAAGTCATTCAGGTTCTTTTACAATGTTTTTTCTCCAAGGCAGGTTTTATGAAAAGAACAGAGAGCTCTGGGTATTATTCATGTGGGTTACTTTTCCTTTCCTACCATGATGAAAGCATGAGGTATTTAACTCCATGCTTTCACCTTGAGAATCTGTTAAGGTTCCTAACCCACCCTCCCTCTTCTTCTCCCCTCACATGCCCCTGGGACTGGGCTTCTCAAAGTTTTTAACCCTCTAGCTCATTGACACTGAACCTTGAGCAATTTCTCAGTTACAGTTTAAGTGTTCCTATTGGGATGTTCTTGAATGGTAGGCATCTGCTCTTGTGCTTCTGCTTCTGGTAAGCTGTGATTCTCTGTATTTTCCTGTCTCTCCAATTTTAGTCATGTTGGTTTGACATGACTTCAGTTCTTTGACGGATCTCAGAAGAATTGTTGATTTTTTATTTTTTCATAGTACAGTTGAGCCTTGACATACACAGGGATTAGGAACATTGACACCTCTCCTCCACAACACACACAGTGGAAAATCGAGTATAGCTTTTGTTTTTCCCCAAACATAAGTACTAATTAGCCTCCTATCATCTGTAAGCTTTACCAGTAACATGAACAGTTGATTAATACATATTTTGTATATTATATGTACTATGTACTGTATTCTTACAATAAAATAAGCTGGAGAAAAGTTAATGTTAATAAGAATATCATAATGGAGAGAAAATATATTTGCTATTCATTAAGTAGAAGTGGACTATCATAAAGGTCTTCATCCTTGTTATCTTCACTTTGAATAGGCTGAGGAGGAGGAGGAAGAGGTTGGTCTTGCTGTCTCCGGGGTGGCAGAGGTGAAAGAGATAGCGGAGGTGAAAGGGGAGGTAAGAGAAGTGGGCATATTTGGTATAACTTTATGGAAATACAACATAATTTTTGTCTGAATTTTTTGCTTTTTCATTTCCACTAAAATGTTTCTATATGGTAACAATTGGCAACAATCTTTCTTCTACCATTTGGTTTCATTTCAGTGACCATATTATAGAAGGCTTCATGTTATAAGTCAAAAGCAGTCTTGAATAATGGGAATGATTTTGCAAGATAGTCTAATGTCAATTTGATTTCTGACACTGTTTCTTCTGTGTCTTCTTTTTTATTATCTAGCACTGATTCAGAAGGACTCATCTCCATCAGGTTGTCTTCGTTAATTCCTCTGGGGTGGTGTCTATTGCTTCTTGATCTTCCCTGTCATTCAAATTTTTACCCTTGTTTTATGTATTTTTAAATCATATTCTCAGAGATATTTTCTTAACATTTTCCATCTCATTGGTATTAATTATTATTGCTACATAACACATTAACTAAAACACAGCATCTTAAAATGACATTTACTAACTATCTCACAGTTTCTATAGGTCAGAAGTCTAGGTAGGGCTTAACTAAATCCTCTGTCGCTGGGTCTCTCATAAGGCTCAGTATTTTAAAGCTCAACCAGGGAGGGTGTGCTTTTTAGCTCACTCAGGTAGTTCTTGATAAGATTAAATTCCTATAGGATATTGAATTGAGGGCCTCTAATTCTCATAAGTTATAGGATAGAGGCCACCACTGGCATCTAGCCACATGGACCTCTCCATTGGGAAGCTCAGAACATGGAAACTGGCTTAATTAGAGTAAGCAAGTGAGAAGGCAGAAGAAAGAGAATCCTAGCAAATGGAAAGTAATGATCTTTTGTAACCTAATTTCAGGAGTGACATGGCATCAGTTTTGCTGTGCTCTGTTGGTTGCAAGTTAGTGGCAAGTTCCAGCCCACTCTTAAGATCCATATCCTGAAATTCCTTCAGCCTTCACCATTTTTATCCTTATCTGCAATCTTTCTCATGATTTCCTTGATTGGCCCTCTCATAAATTCTGTGAAGTTAGGAATTTCTTGTTTTCTCCAGTAGGAATTTCTAATTTTTTGGCTATTGGCGCATATGGCTTTTTAATAACAACAGTGACATCGTCAGTGGTACAGTCCTTTCAGAATTTCAGGTTGTTCTCTCTATCAGAATTCTCTTCCACAGTGTTGATAATTCTTTCCCATAGAGTACTGTGTAATGAGTCTTATGGGTCCTGATGATCCCTGATCTAGAAGCCGAATCTACATGTTATGTTTCGGGGCAAGTAGACCACTTAGAAGTCTTCGATGCTGAATTCATGGGGTTCTGGGTGGCCAGGGGCAACGTCGAATATCAAAAGAACTTCAAAAGGCAGTTCCTTACTGGCAAGGCAATTTCTGACTTCAGAAACAAAACATTGATGGAACCAAACCAGAAAAAGAGTTGTTGTTCAGACCTTCTTGTTGTACAACCTAAAGGCTGGCAACTGGTGTTTATTTTTTTCCTTCAAAACTCAGGGGTTGGTAGATTTATATATAAGGGCAGCTCTAATTATACATTTAACAACATTTGCACAAAAAACAGAGTTAGGTTATTGCTTTCTGCACTAAATCCTAGTACTTGCTTTTCTACCCTACCAATAAATATCGTCTTTGGAATCGTTATTTAGAATAGGGCACTTTTATCTGCATGAAAAATCTGTTCAGTGGTGGTATGTGCCTGAAGTCCCAGCTTCTTGGAAGGCTGAAGCAGAAGGATGGCTTCAGCTCAGGTGTTTGAGGTTGCAGTGAGCTATTATCATGCCATTCCATTCCAGCCTAGGCAACAGTGTAAGAATCTGTCTCCAAACAAACAAATCCTGTTCAGGCATATATCCTTCCCTCTCAATGATTTTCTTTACATTGTCTGGGAACTTTTCTGTGCCTTTTGGTTAGCAAAAGTTACTTCTTTTGTTATCTTGTCATTTTTAAAGCTAAACCTCTTTCTAAAATTATCAAACCATCTTTTGCTGGCATTAAATTCTCCGACTTTAGAGACTTCGAATTCTTTTTATTAGGTTATCACATAATGACTTCACTTTTTCTCAAATCATATTAGAGTTTATAGGTATGTCCTTCTTATGACAAACCTGTACCCAAATAAAAGCTAAACCTCTTTCTAAAATTATCAAACCATCTTTTGCTGGCATTAAATTCTCCAACTTTAGAGACTTCGAATTCTTTTTGTTAGGTTATCACATAATGACTTCACTTTTTCTCAAATCATATTAGAGTTTATAGGTATGTCCTTCTTATGACAATCCTGTACCCACATAAAAGCTATATTTGCAATGCTAGATAACATAATTTGCAAAAAGTACAAGAGTTTCACTTCTGCTGGAGTAGGTGCAGTAATGCCTTCACGAATTCCCTTTTTTTTTTTTAGTGATGCTTAAGCTAGATTCACTTACTTTGAAACGATGGGAAACCACAGTTGCAGACCTCAATTTACAGTATATATAATTAAGCTATGCTTTTTCTTGTAATGTTATGAATTTTCTCTGTTTTTTGGGAGCACTTCCAGCATCACTCGTGGTATTTCATATGAGTCCTACGGTTTTATTCAAGATTTACAGTATTGTACAACAAACTATGAAAAACATGTGAGAACCTCAACAGATTATTTTTAGTGTGATAAGCAATTTGCTGGAAAGACAAACTACTCATGTGGAGACGATTAGTGTTACATGGCCACCTGAGCTCAATGCAATAGTAACAAGAGGTGGCTACAAAATTATTAAAGTAGTACAGTATATACTATAGTTAATTTTATGCAGTTATGATTTCATACTGCATTTTTATATTTGTTTACATTTCTGTTTACTATGAATGGTGCCTACTGTGGTCTGTAAGTGAATGTATAAGTTTTGATAAATTTTAATTTTTAAAAAATATATTTGTATACGTTTTATGGTAGTAAATGATAAAATAGACTAGTATCTACATATATTTTGTGCATTTATGACATGCCTAACTTTTTCTTAATGTTTTCATTATTTCTAGGCTATGTGGTTCATATGGGAGTTTCTTCAAATTGTCAAAAATCCCTAGAATATTTTCCAGTATATTTATTGAAAAAAAATTTATGTATAAATGGATCCACGTGTTCAAACCTGTGCTGTTAGAGGGTCAACTGTATTTCTTATTGTAATTTTCAATCTGTTCTGAACAGTAGTGACAGCTTCCAAACTGTTTACATGTCAGGCCATAAACTGGAAGTTGACCATGAATTTTTACATACCCTCTCTCTATTCTTTACCGGGCATTCTGGAAGCAGAAAAATTAAATATTACATTCATTCACTGTATTACCTGACAGTCTACGTTCATCTCTTTATACTTCCTTCAATCCCGTTCGTATTTTCTCCTTTCTGCTGTCCTTCTTTCCTTCATTCCTTTCTTCCTTCTTTCTCTCTCCTCAGGTTTTTATTGGCAACAGATTGTCTTTGACTAGACAATAATGCTACATTTAAAAAGTTACCAGTCCAGCCATAGCCATAGTTTTCATAAATATTAGGAAACCTATGAGTTTCCTGGTCTATTCAGATGCAACATAAAACAAATAATTCTAGCAATTTTTATTGCTATGTTGTTTTTTGCTGAATATTCTTTGGACATATTAATTCTATATGTTAATTCTAATTACATATATTAACATTTATATATAAAAATATATATAACAATTCTATATTAATGTATAAAATTCTAATTCTATATGTTAATTCTAATAAACATTTAAATTATATACATAATTTACTCAATTATGAATGCTTTTATTAAAACAATTTTTTTTAACCAACACATGTCTGCTGTGGTCTGGAGTCACAAATATTAATAAGCTTTAGTTCCTAATCTGTGATACTTGGCATCTTTGAAGGAAGACACATCCCATACAAACATAATCAGTTCATTCTGTGATAGGAATGTTAAGTAGAATGCTAAGGATACAGCAGAGAAATGTTCTGCCAGAGTTTGCAGAGATAGGTTTACAAAGATGGAACCATTGAACTAGGTATTCAAAAATGAAGATAAATTCACCAAAGTTAAATTCAGTCAAGTTAAATTCACAAAAGATAAATTCAGTCAAGCAGGTCAAGTGTATCTTTCAATAAAAGGAAAGAGAAATCTAGGAACAACAGAGTAAAAGAACACAATGTATTGGAAGAAAGATGATTTGTTGGATTCATTGGTAGAAAATGCTGAGAAATATTGTGAAATCAGATTATAAATTATTCTTTGGCATGCTAAAGAGAGTGAATATTATCATATGGGGCAGGCAACAGAGAGTCAAATATTGTCAGTTTTGTTAGTATTTGCAAAAAGTACAAGAGTTTCACTTCTGCTGGAGTAGCTGCAGCGATCTCTTCACGAATTTCCTTTTTGTTTTTTTTTTCAGTGATGCTTAAGCTAGATTCATTTATTTTGAGATGATGGGAAACCACAGCTGCAGACCTCAAAACTTGGATATAGAGGCGATATTGTAACTGGAGGGGGGAAAGGAGGCATAGAGAAGGTGAAGGATACCAGTTAAGAGCTATTCATAATCCGGGAGCAAAACTGTGAGGATCTGAATTAAAGCAAAATTTGTGCGTCATTGTGGAACAACAGGGGAAGGAGCAAGAAGCTAGATCTGAGGTTCTGTTGTACAATCACTATGACTTGACGATGGATTTATTGCAGTGTAGAAGACAGAGGAGACATAAATGAAAACCTCAAAATTTCTAAAATATCTAAGTGAATGATAAGGCCGTTGATCAAAATTGAGCTAGAGCTAGAGGAGAAGTCAGGTTCAAGGGGTTGGATGAGGTGGAAAGCCAATTACATTTAGAATATATTAATTATCAAAGGAAGAATGACTGTATCCAATAAATACCTAGAAAAGCAGTTTGGAGGCCAGGAAAACATAAAAAGAAATACTTTGTTTTCTTTTCATTAATTATTGGGCATTTATAACAAGCACCAAAGTCAGTGGTTTTCCCTAAAGCCATTAAATGGAATGTTTTGGATTTTACTACACTCTGGGATTCTGTCATCTCTAGAATGCTAGTTATTTAAGGACATGAGTCTTTCCATATTTAGTTTCATTTTTTCCAGAACCTGGCAGGAGATCTGACACAAGAAGATGCTCCATAAATATTTGACCAAATTGAGATGCAATATACAAATTGAGTATCCCTTATCTGAAATACTTGAGACCAGAAGTGTTTTGGATTTCAGGTTTTGGAATATTTGCATTATACTAACCTGTTCAGTATCCCAACTTTAGAAATTCAGAATGCTCCAATGAGAATTTCCTTTAAGCATCATGTCAGGGTTCAAAACATTTCAGATTTTTGAGCAATTCAGATTTTAAATTTTCATATTAAGGATAACCAATTTGTAATTTTAAAGCATTTTTTTTTTTTTCAGTGAAAACAGCCATTATACTAGTAGTGATAGACAATGTGAGGCATTCTGGGAAATTAGTCTGTCAGCTAAGTATATGGATTTGAAGTGGTTCTCAATCAGATAAGACCTTGCTGTTGCTGTAACAAGGCAGGCAGGACACAGCAAAGAAGGCATAGGCCAAAAGTTTCCAAGTTGGGCTCCTATTGAAATTACATGTAAATTGCTTGAAAGCTCATATTCTTGTGGTCTAGGCCACAGAGAATGAATCAGAATCTCCGGTGGAGTTTGCAGTTCGTAATTCTTAAGCAGCTAGCCCAACAATGATCTAGAACTTGAATTAGTTTGCTTGAATTAGTTAGGCAGTGCCATGATTTTCTGGTCACATACACTTGGCCAATGATGGGTAAAATATTGTTTCAACAGGTTAATTTTCTGCATGATTTTATGACAGTTAATACACTAATGTTTCCGTAAATCTCCAAGAGAAGGATAGAGCACACTACATTTGTCAAGCTTATTTGACCATCTTGTTTTGCAGGTTAATTACGATTAGAGTTTTGCCAAAAAATTTGAATTTGGGATATTTAGATAGGGATCTAATCATGGAGCCTTAAGTCTAAGTTCAGAGCACAATTATCAGCAAAGTTAATGTGATGCTAAATCAAAGGAGCTACTGACCCAGAGCATTTCACAATTTCCTGTCTTAGAAGCTGAAATGGATTCCAGTGTTGGGGGTATTGCTTTCACCCCAACCTCCTAAATTAAAGGGGTTTCCCAAAGGTGGAAAGCAAGGCATGTCTTGGGAGTGTCTGGCTTCATACCTAGTTGCCTTAAATCTCAGTGTATGTTCCAAAGCAAAACATTCAGATGCAATCAAAAGAATAATGCTTTACAAGTTTAAAAATAAATAAATATTTATTTATTTAACATTTATTTATTAAATTAAAATTAAATAATTACTAGTTTAAAAAATAGTGTTGTAATAATGATTAGAAAACACAGAAAAGTGTAGGTAATTTGAATGAAAAATGTTTTCGGACCAGTGTATAATGACTAAAAAAATAAATTTGCTGCAAGTGATCTATTATATATGAAGATGACACTTCTCACCCAGAACTAACAGAACACATATTTTGCACTGAATATTAACTAGTGTTTATCAGTTAAGCTAGCATCATAGGGAATACACATGATATTGTTCTCTAGGAGGTTTTGTTTTTATTGATTGTTTTGACTTTGCTTTATTTTCTATCAAAATGAAGAAAGTGCCCCAAATAACTGATTCATCGTCACATCTTCAGCTATTAAATTATGCCTAAATTATCTTCATCACATCTTGCTGGGCGCAGCTCCCTTACTAGATGTCAACTATGACAATAACACTTACAAGAATATGATATGAACAACAGGTTGATTTATTCACATGAAAAATGCTTTCCCATTTATATGTATTTAAAAGCTATGGTCAATTAATCTGAGACTAATTATTTTTGTCATTACTCATAAACAATAATATCACATTATGATATTCATCTAATGTAAACATATGGTATTTTTTGTTATAAAATGTCACTGAAGACATAGACATTAAATTTGATACCATGGCCAAGACCACGAATCTGCCCTTGTTTATAATATTTTATTATCTCATTACATAAATACTTTCAATCTATTTAATACTTATCACGTTTTTGAAGAAAAAATCAAAAGTGAATAAAATATTATATCTCTAAACACTTGCTTTTTGCATGTGTGGCTTAAACTAGATATTGTCTCTTCTGGAATTGTCCTGACAAATTCGTTCTAAGTGTTAGAATATAAGTGTAAACTTAGCATGTAGAAATCAAATCTTACGGCTGTGATTATTTTTTCTCATCACTTTATCTTATAAATTTCTAAATGGAAACCATAGGACTTATACGAGGAAAACATGAGTTGCTAGAAATTATGACCACAGGGAAAATGTTGGTAGTTTCAGTTTATGTTGTTTTCCCTAGAGGTTCCACTTATTTCTTAATGAAAATGCATCAGAAAAGCTGTAACGTCATCAGAGGTAGGTAAAAGTAATATCTTTATATTACTGAATACAGTTATGTTATTTTTTATATATAACTTATTTTGAACATATATATTTTTAGTCATCAGCTACTTTAGACAGCAATTTAAAAAAAAAAAAAGAAGCAAAACCGGCTGGGCATAGTGGCTCACGCCCATAATCCCAGCACTTTGGGAGGCCAAAGCAGGAGGATCAACTGAGGTCAGGAATTCAAGACCAGCCTGACCAACATGGTGAAACCCCATCTCTACTAAAAATACAAATAATAATAATAATAATAGCTGGGTGTGTTGGTGCATGCCTGTAGTCCCTGCTACTCGGGAGGCTGAAGCAGGAGAATTGCTTGAACCTGGGAGGTGGAAGTCGCAGTAAGCCGAGATTGCACCCCTGCACTCCAGCCTGGGTGACAGAGTGAGACTCTTTCCATCTCAAAAAAAAAAAAAAAAAAAAAAGAAGAAGAAGAAGAAGCAAAACCAAAATCATTGAAGATTTGATCGTTACTTGAGATACTTTTAAAAGCTAAATCAATTATAATGAATATATTAAATCATATTATTCACTTGTTTATCCACAAAACATGGTCAGATCTCCATGTAGAAAGCATCGGGCTTTCTCCTTCCCTTTCCTACCATCCTTCTTTACCCACTAGTTATGAAAATATAAATAAATTTAAATATTAATACAATGAAAAATTCTAACACACTGCTTTTCATGTAGCAGGTTCTAAGTAAATAGGTGAATGAATGACTAAAATCAATAATAATTCTCAATATGAATTTACTATTGGTATTGCTCATATTTTTAGTATAAATAATCAATATATTGCTATAGGATCAAACCTGTATAAAGGTATACTATAATATGTAATGATTTTCCCAACCCAGGGAAGAGTGTAAAACACAAATATTAAAAGTTGAGGGGAAAGGTAACTGTAATAGTGGGTGGCATACGGCAAAACTGGCCGAAACTTAATTCTCTTTATAAAAAGACTGAATTGGACCATGGATAAGATTTCAAAGGTTTAACAAGGAGGATAATTTGTTAAGATGTGTTGTGTTGTGAATTCTTAGTTCCTAAATCTCTTATTCAACTGTATGAGCCTCTAGTTCTTGTTTCCTTTCTATCTTTAGAGATGTATTTGTAGACAAAATTCTATTTCTCTAACCTTGCCTTCACCTGTGCTATTAGAATTCTCACAGGACTTTCTATGTTTAAATTGTCTCCCATTCCAACTTAGCCAGAAAATGTGTCTGTCATTGCTGAGGTTCAAAGTAGCTGATACTGCCAGAACCTGCTGAGGACACTACTATAGCAGCCCCTGAGGAATACCAACATTTTTCTCTAGACCATAGATGCTTGATGATGAGGGTTCTTATGTCTGTGCCAAATAGAGGGATGTCAAATATCCTTAACTGATGAGGGTGTTCCTGTTGCTACAGATTCACAGCAATGTCCCCTCATGTCTGCTATATATGATGCCAAGAATCTTGCCACCTGTGTCAAATGTAGCGCTTCTGGTCACTGCAGTATGATGCCGTCTCTTATTGCTCGTTGTGGGTTTGAGTAAAATACAAGGAATTTCGCATTTTTTTTAACCTGTTCATTAAATTTCCTTGCTTTGTCTTTCAGATATTAATCCCTACAGGGTAAGCCAGAAAGCAATATGGAACAGACACTAAGCCATATTTCAGGAGTTCCTTGGCTCTGTCTTTCTCTAGGGCACAGTCTTATTCAGGCAGTGCCTCAGTCTCTGTAAGTAGAGCCCTAGTGAACCCACGAGATGAGTTCTCTAGACATGTTGGCAGATCTTGAGTCCTATAGAGTATATACTATGGATAAAATGCTCTCCAAACCCAAATCCAATTAAGAAATCTTGTATTGCCATTATTCTCTTTCATTATTAGAAATTATCATACTGTTCTAACTGTAAAAGTACAATTCACTAAAAACACAATTATAATCTTAAATAACGGCTAAGCAGGAAAATAGTTTAATATTGCTATTTTGCTCATTTTCATTCATAATGAATCCCATTATAGTTCCTTTCTCCCACCTGCAAAGCTATTCTGGCTAAAAACAAATATGAACTAATACCTTTATCAGGGAAGACTAATTAAAATAATCAATTAAGTTTTGGTGAGCACTCATTTTATCAATGCAAATCTTTTGAGCTAAAACTCTTCTGTCTTTATTTTAGCCATTCACCTTCATGTAGTATAAAAACCTAGGTGTTAAGTTCACATACAATTACATTTTGGCATAGGTTAGCATTCAGGTAATTCCACCTGTGATCATGGCAGAGGTCTACTCTTTGCCTCTTCAGAGTCACACTGTCCTCTGCCCGCCCCCCTGTGAGTGCACGCTGAACAACTACATGATTATATCAAAGACATGACTTAGCCAAGGTCCTCCAGGTAGGTTCAGCTCAGTAGGAGCTCTGGAAGGAAATTAGAGGGAAGAAAGAGAGTGAGGTCAGGATTTTAATTATTCTGGTCTGCTCCTTATGTATTTGCATCCTGTTGGTTATGCCCCTAGGCTAAAGGGACTGCTTCTCTTCAGGCAGCCTTCTCTACATGATTCTCTTCTTGTGGATCTCAGTCACTGGAACTCCTTTGTTTCCAGACCTGAGTGACTGTACTATGCCTTGTAGTTCTTCTGTAACTCCAGCCACCTTTTGTAGATAGCCCCTCTATAAATAAACTCTTCTTAAATTATCTTTGGTCGGAGGTGCAATTTTCTATTGTTGGGACCCTAATACACTGAACTAAGGTGTAATATCTTAACTTTAATAACTGATTATTAATCTTATATTAAAATTATAAATACCTTCATTGGTAAATATGTCACTAATGCAGACACTAGTCTTTGTGGGGTTCTTAATCTCCCCGTGTATACTTGACATTTAGCCAAGTGATGAAGGTTGATTTTATACTAGAAGAAAATAAGCTTATCATTGGAAAAGAAATACAACTTAGAATTTGGTTTCTTTGACACTGATTACAGTTTCCTGATCAGTGACAATCATATGAAGATATTTTCTGCATCTATTTGATTTGTAATTCTATCATGAGAGAATTCAAATTTAGATAACCAGTAATGGTCAAGGTAGTGCCTTTTTGAAAAAAACAAAATCTTCACTATGAATGATTTTCCTCATTAAAATTTTCCTGTTTCTCTTCTTAAGTTCATGATAGAAATTTGACATAATTCTGGACTCTTCTCTCTTTCTTATCACAGAAATTAAATGAACTATAAAATCCTGTTGATTCCATTTCCTGTTCTGGAACCTACTCTCCAACTCCTCTGCTAGCTAACTAGTGTAGGCTACATTCTGCCAGAAAAAGTTCTAAAATCATGAATCTGATCACCTAACTCCCCTTAAAATCATCAACTACTTTTTTGCCTCTAGAATGAAATTCAAATATCATTGCTTGGATTATAAGAATCTCAGTAAATTAATTCATACCTATGTCTCAACCTCATTTCTTACAACTCACATTTTAAGTACCAACCATACTGAATTTCTTTCAGTTTGCTCCCTAGTACACGCTATGCTTTCTCTTTAATATGGACTTCACATCTGTTTGCAAAATTCTTACCACACTTGACTCCAACACTGTATGTTCCCCTTGCAAAATCCTGAACTATTTTGCTTTTGGAAAAAAATTAGTTACAAGTCACTGAATACCTAAGTAATAATGGCTTACAGCATAGGGTACGTAATGTTTACTAGAATGTCCTGAGGTAAACAGTTCCAGTTTGGGTTGCTAGTTCACCCAAGAACCTGGCTGTCTCTGTCTTTCTATCTTTTCACATCATCAACATACTGTCTTTATCCTGAGGTTTTTTTGCCCCATGGTCACATGTTACATGCTCTCATCTCTAACATCCAAACAATCAACTCTTCCATTCCAGAGTGGGAAGGACCAGCAGGAGAAAGAGAATACTCTCTTCATGCACGTCTCTATCAGGGAAGAAGCCTTTTCCTACATCTTTAGCTGACTTTCACTTGTGGCTTATTGGCCAGAATTGGATGTTTTGTCCATCCTTAAAAATATCACTTGCTGGCTCACACCTGTAATCCCAGCACTTTGGGAGGCTGAGGGCGGATCACGAGGTCAGGAGATCGAGACCATCCTGGCTAACAAGGTGAAACCCCATCTCTACTAAAAATACCAAAAGAAAAAAAATTAGCTGGGTGTGGTGGTGGGCACCTGTAGTCCCAGCTACTCGGGAGGCTGAGGCAGGAGAATGGCATGAACCCGGGAGGTGGAGCTTGCAGTGAGCCGAGATTGCACCACTGCACTCCAGCCTGGGGGACAGAGCAAGACTCCGTCTCAAAAAAAAAAAAAAAAGAAAAAAAAGAAAAAAATCACTTACATGAGATGGCTGTGTTTAGATCCTATCAGTCGTGATTCACTCCCTAAGACTAATCCCATTTTTCTCTATGAGTAGAAATGGGATTCTTAAACAAGGAAGAAAAAGAAATGATGGTGCGTAAGCAACTGGTGCACTGTGTGAGCCCTGGGCAATCTCAGCTGCTGCCTCCTGATGTGGCAGGCTTCCTCATGCTCCCTGTACCCCCAGCCTCCTCATACTCAGACTCTAGATTGCAGTTATAGTAAATTTTAGTTTCCAGAAAGTCCCACGTGCCCTTGGAAGCCAAGCCTTGCTGTCTCCCATGCCTAGAATGAATAGCCTTTCAAGAAGACTATTCTTACTAGACCAGGTCTTACAAGAAGTCTTACTCAGGCATTTTTCTGCCTCTGCCATCCTGAAACCAACCCCTTCCCTTCCTCCTTCTCTGCCTACTCAGTGTGAAGATGATGAGGATAAAGAACTTTGTGATGATTCACTTCCACTTAATAAACAGTAAATATATTTTTCTTATAATTTTCTTAATTACATTTTTCTCTTCTCTAGCTTACTTTATTATAATAATGCAGTGTATAATACATACAGTATATGCAATACATATTAATTGACTGTATGTTATTGGTAAGGCTTCTGGTGAACACTCGGCCATCAGTAGTTAAGCCTTTGGGGAGTCAAAATTTATGATTGACTTTTCAACTGCACAGGGGGTTGGCACCCCTGCTTCTGCATCCTTTATGGGTCAACCACAATCTCTTAGGTCTCACCTTTGACATTGTTTGCTCTGTACTAACATTCTGCATCCACAAATCAAGGGAAGTGACTCTCCTTGCACTTAGCAAATTTCCTGCTAGGGCACATTGTCTATGTAAATATTTGATGTAACTTATAAGCTCCCGCTTCCTCCCTCATACTTCCTTTTGAAGCAGCGTGGTTGTCTGGGGCAAATACCCGAGGATCATCATATCATGCCACGGAAATCAAGTACACAGACCCAGAAGTGAGTTTAATAGAGAGAGAGGTTTAACAGAGAGAAAGAGAAAAGCTGTCTCCCCTTTAGAGAGAGAGGGGCTCCTGAGTGGGTCTTTGGGTTTCCTGGTGAAATGCACGCGGTTTTACAGATGAGCCTGAGGAGGCGGTATCTGATTTACATAGAGCCCAAAGATTGGTTAGACCAGGTGTGACGTTTGCATAGTGTGCCAAGAAGCTGGCCACCCCACCTTATCTTTTACTATGCAAATAGGTTTTCTACTTGGCCAGAGCCATGTTGTCTGCTCTTTACTGTACATGTGGTTGGCAAGGAATAGGGAAGATGGAGCCGCCATGTTGAACATGCTTGGCTCCCAGGTAGCCTTTTCCTACTGGCACAGCTGCTCATTCACCCGTGCAAGCTTCCACCTTGCTTATCTATGTCTGCAGCTTGATTTTACAGGCTGCTCTTTATTAGAGAAGAAATGATTTGGGGGCCGCTTTTCATTAAGAGGGAAACCTCACTGAGGACTTCCTTATTCTCGCTATCTGCTTAAATAATTGCTTTTTAACTCCTATATCACTTCGAACTTGTGATGTCCTTCATATTTTGTCAGCAAGAAGTTTATCTCAGGTAAGGGATGTTACAGCAGAGAAACGTCTTTTCAATGTTAAAAGCTTAGGCAGAAGATAACTCAGAAGACATAGGTTGAGGCAAAGTTGCTGGTAGCTCCTGTCCCAAGTCCATAAATGGTTTCCTGGACTGAGGTGGAGAGTTACGGGGGAAGTTTAGAGGGGGTGTGTGCCTGCAAAAGGAGCTACAAGCCCCAGCAGGGCAGAGGACGACAGATACCTCATATGGGTCTGAGAGAATGAAGACTCTGCCCAGGTGGACCTAAGAGAGGTGGCAAAACCTTGGTTTCCCCCATGCAGGGGCTGCAGTGGGAGTAGAAATGCCTGAATGATGTGCTTAGACAGAGGTACCTGGGCGCACTGGTGGAATATGCCCTGCACCCTGGTGTAGTGAGAGGATATGAGTAGTTTCTGAGTATCAGAGATTGGCATGAAAGGATGAAGAGTCTCTGTATTAGTCGAAATTCTCCAGAGACAAAACCAATAGAATATATCTGCATATGTAAGAGGGGATTTATTACGGTAATTGGCTCACAATGATTATGAAGACTGAGAAGTCTTACAATCTGCTGTTTGCAAACTGGAGAACCAGTATTATAACTCAGTCTGAGTTTGAAGACCTGAGAACCAGGAGAGATGATGATGTATCTGTCAGTTCAAGACTGAAGGCCTGGGAAGAAGAAGGGTTTGGGGAGACAATGTGTAAATCTCAGTGTCTAAAGTCTCGAGGATCAGGGAAGCCAGAAGAACTCCAATGTCCAAGGGCAGGATGGGTTATCCAGTTACAAAAGAGAAGCCAAATTCACCCCTCCTTTGACATTTTGTTCTATTCTGGCTCTCATAGAATTGAATGGTGCCCACCTACATTGGTAAGGATGGATCTTCTTTCCTCAGCCTACTAAGTGAAATACTAATATCTCCTGGAAACATCCTCACAGATATGCCCAGAAATAATGTTGCACCTGCTATCTGAGCATCCCTCAGCCCAGTCAAGTTGACACATAAAAGTAACCATCACAAACAGATGACTCTAAATGACAAAGGCCCAACAAAGTGAGTGCTGTGTTTTAGAGAGGCAGACAGCCTATCAGAAACGTCCTCAGAGGGCCTGGGGAGAATGGCTGAAGGAATGTTTTACAAGGAAAGGACCCGTCTCAGGGAACGCTGCTGGTAATAGGGAATAAACCATGCCAGAGCTATCCAGCCTCCCTGGGACCCCCAGGACCTCCTGAGAACGCAGACACACCCCAGAAAAACAAGGAGGGTGGTAGGGAGTTGTTGTTGAGAAACTTTTCACTAACTAATATAATGAAGACTTTAAAAAAAGTTATTGTGGAAAACAATTTATACTTCTTGCATAGTAAAATTCCTTCCCATAGTATCTGTGTTCCTGCCCAAGCCAGAGTCCTTGGGGACAAGGATGTGCCTTGTGTTTTTAGCATTGTAAACCCAGAGACTGACACAGCCCACATAGACAAATGCATAAAATATATTGAGTGAATGAATCAGTAATAGCATAGCATGGGAATGGGGTAATATGTTAAGAATCAGAGAGGATTGGATGAGAATAAATTAAACCATGAATTAAATCCCGATATACTTTAGAAACAATATTCAGATTCCTACCACTATAACGAATTTCATATGTAAAATACCCTACAAGTAAAAAGTCACTGAACATAAAATGTGTTTGTATATTTCTATGTAATTCACACTTCTTGTATCAAAGAATATGCAAAACTTCTTCAGAAACAGAAGACATGTGTATTATGATGGGGGTTGCACACTCAAGAAAAGCTTTTGTGCAGAATAGACGTATTTGCATTATATAAATATACATGTAATACTGAAAATCAGACAATTACACCGTATATATGCATTCCTCACTGCATTTAGGTGAGAGAAATATAATTTTAGTAGAAAATTGAATTCTGGATGAAATACCATCGTGTTCCCAATAAAAATTAAGCAAATTTCACAATTTGAAAAGAGTCGAATGTCATAGAAAACTAGTAACCTAATAACCAAGAGCATGCAGGATTACAATAAAATGATTTCTTGTTATAATCATTATGTACCTGACTCTGTGGTTACTCTTTCTTTACCTTTCACATTGGGGAAAATGAAAATTATAGCTTCCTGCTCAAAGTATTCAGAAATAAAAATAACTCAGTGGCTTTGAGCAAACTTGTTTCCAACTCAAAAACATTATATACTTATATTGTTCTTCACAAAATGAAGAAAGATAACTTGGAAATAGAAGAGAAAAAGCAAACAAATAAAATAGAAGAAGTAATCACACAACATATTACAACTTCCCATACAATGTTAGATTATTGTGGGAGAGCCAGCTGGTGAAATTATTGGTCTTTCACTCTTTCTCCGCTAGTTTCAAATTTGGTTTGTGCCTCTAGGGAAATGAGTTTGAATGTCTCATCTCATTCCTAAAAGCAAAAAATTTCAGAAAAAAAAAATATATATATATATATCAGTACAATTCTCAGAAGGAGTTTGCTCTGAATAGGAAGCGTGAAGGCCTGAGGTATCTGTAGGGCTTGGCTCACATCTTACCTTGCTGTATGGTGGGGCTAGGTCTGTGCCAGTGTGGATCTTTCTGGAAGAGCTAACTGGTTCCTCAGAGCCTCTGCCCCACCATGTGGATTTCACAGGAGATTCTTCCTTCAGTGGTGCTGGCATATGTCCGTTTGGTGATGGATTTTCTTCCAAATAGCTTTTTCCTTTAGACAAAATTAGTGATATTTCACAAAATAGAATAAGATGGTGGGATAAGTGCTAAGACAGAATGCTCCTGAACCCCAAGCAGAGGTGGTCAATCCCGTCTCCACCATCAAGTGGGTGGGCATTGTCAGTGTCAACTCTTCTGGGGCCTCCCTGGGTGTTCCATGTGCAAGGGGACTTCAGCAGCAGGAAGCTACCTCTTCCTGCCATGTATCTGGCCACAGTTTAATAGTTTTATACTTGTTATTTCCTTTACGTCTACACAAAGCAGCTCTATGAAATGAGATATTGTCCCTTATGCCTCCTTTTCAGCTGAGAAAAAAGTGATTTTCCCAATGAATGCAGAGTCAGATAAGAACCAGCCTCTCTCAGGATCCCAGGCCATGAGCTAGGATTATTTACCTTGATTCTCAAGAGAAATAAAAAATATGTAGCATCAGTCATAAAACCCTTATATTGTATAAAACCCAACATCTTTCAGTATTGGCATAAAAGTGCTAATGTTAATAAAAAGAATTGATACTGAGAAATTTGTGCATGTATTTGTTTGGAAGCTGTTCACCTGGGACTAGGATTTCAGCATCAGATGAGAATTAAGAGCACTGCTCAGCTAGGGACTCGGGAGTACCTGGGAATGGTTGAGCCCTTTCAGCACAATTAGAAAACAAAGCAAAATCACTCAGTGCTGATATTTTTTTTCCTCAGTTATGCAATTAAATTGTAGTTGAAGATTGGCTTACAAAGACTGGGCTGTTGTCGAAACGAAAAGCACAGAGAAACATATCTTTGTTAAAAAAAAAACAAAATATTCCATGAAAATAAAGTATTAGCTGAGCTTTTGAAATGCGTAAAATATGTAAAACATTTCATCAAGGCAGTTATATCCTTATCACAATCCATTTAATCCTTTTTTCTTTTTGCCTATGAACTATTGCTCCATTCTAATAAGGAAATAACTTTGAGTGTATAATGTTTTTGTCGTGTATTTTTCTTTCGTCTTAGTAATAAGTATATTAGTCTGATAGAAAAGAAAAGTCTGTTTTATATTGTTTTCTGGCATGGAACTATAAATAAGTACTATAGTAAAACTTAGGAAAAAATTTAGGAAAACTTTTGGTATGCTCACCATTCCTGAGTCATTACATTCCACTGAACTTTTGCAGCTAGGCATAAGCAACATATTTTAGGCCCATGGCATATTTAAACAGCAAAGGTTCACTCCATAAGAGACTTTTGCTTCCTCTCTTTGTCTGATCAGCACCACCAAGAAGGTTGTGAAAGATGTCAGTAGGGTCATAATCTCATGAAAACTCCTCATTTTTTACAAGCCCTGGTGACCTTCTGGCCAAAATAGCTTTCAATTCCTCACAACTATTCTTTGGTGGTAGTAGTTAAAGGCGTTCAGAGTCATGCATGGGTGAAAGAACTTATAATATGGGTTAAGCATCCCTAGTTTGAAAATCTGATTGAAAATGCTCTAAAATCCTAAACATTTTGAGTGCTGACATGACACCACAAGTGGGAAATTTCACACCCGATATCATGTGATGGGTCACAGCCAAAATGCTAATTGGTAGCATATAAATTCAGAGGTAGGACAAACCACAGATTGTCCACATGAGTGGCTGAGATTGAAACCTTTATTTCTGATGGCTCAATGTATACAAACTTTGTTTCAGGCACAAAATTATTAAAAATATTGTACAAAATTACCTTTATGTATAAGGTATATATGAAGCATAAATGAATTTCATGTTTAGACTTGGGTCCTATCCTTAAGATATTTTATAATGTATTGCAAATATTCAAAAATCTAAAAAAATCTGAAATCCAAAACACTTTTGTTCCCATGCATTTTGGATAAAGGATACTCTAGCTGTTCCCAAATATAGAAATAACATAATGCCCAGGGCAGTTATATTTTCTATTTCCCATTATCTTCTCCCACAAAGAAGAGTCCAAAATTAGAAAAGAAGGTCCTCTGTGGAAGTTGTTTTGACTGAGCTAAGGGAGCAGTGAGCTTTGTCCTACAGAGAGTCTTCTTTACAACAGGGCCAATGTCCAGGGCCAGCACTTGCCACTTGCCAGTGACACATGTCATTCCACTGAGAAGACTGGTGCTAAGCTGACGTTACCAACCCACTTTCTGAAGAGTTTAGGGCTGATTTCATGCCTATCACAGAAAATTTTTCTTATTATGCTTCCTGATATATTTCATTTCATAGACTGAGAGGAGTCCGATCAGATTGTTGGAATCAGGGGAGCATGGGCTCACCTTAAAGGTCCTTAAAACCTCAAATGAAAGTCTAAGAACTTGGTGAGGGCAAGTTTTGTGATGAGAACAGATGGCTTCACACCCCAAGAAATGTGTTATCATTTTATTTGCAAATAAGTTTACTTCAAATTGTCAACCATGACAGAATGAATCACGTTACTTGGGTTTTCAGCTAATCACAAGAAGCAGTGGAAAAGCAAAAATTATTGTTTATTTCATATCTCTAGAAACATCCTGCACCAAACACATGTGCTAGGTAGCTTGTCCACCTAGACCAAAGCCTGCAACTCTCTGTGTAGCACACCTAACTTTTATCCCATTCCTTGGCCTTAAAGCTTAGTAATGTATGAAACTGGAAAGGAACCAGGTTATTCAAGTGAAAGGCCTGTTTTTGCCTTGATCCACTGACAGGCTGACCCTAGTGGTGGCCTATTTGACCACTTCTCAAGGGAACCTGCTTGGAGGAGGCCAGGTGGTAGAAAACTCCAGCTGCTGCATTTTCAGGTCCATGTCAGTGTTCATGCCAAGACCATATTTGTTCTGGGCTGCTCCCCACCAATGAATGAGCACAGTAGGGGCTCTAGTGCTGGGCCACTCTGTCCTGATGCAGAACTCTTTGGACTGGCAATCTGCTCTGGACCTTCTGATCAGCTCCAAGAAAGTCTTGGAGTGACCCTTGCAGTTTGGAACTCTTCTCACTTAACTATTTAATCCTTTTTTCTCTTTTCACACATTGTCAGTCCTCAAGAACTCTACCCACCTACTCCTGCTCCCTCTTTCCATTATCCTTCATAGGTTTTCCCATCAATGTATCTCATGCACATCTAATTCTGTCTTGCAGTCAGTGTCTCAGAAAACCTGAAATGATTCACTCAACCAGGTAACACTGGCTGGATTCTTGTTGGCCCTGCTTCTGCTGATGATCCAATCACTCTGGGTTGTCATGATTTTCTCCCATAGGGCTTCTTGGGAGCCAAGGGTCCTGGGTAATGTATTAGTCTGCTTGGGCTGCCATAAAATACCACAGACTGGGTGGCTTAAACAACAGCCCTTTATTTTCTCACAGTTCTGAAGACTAGAACATCAAGATCAAAGTGCCAACATGGTTTGCTTGAGACCTCTCTTTTTGGCTTGTTGACAGCCACCTTCTCTCTGCTTCTTCACATGGCCTTTCCTCTGTGTGTGCATGTGGAGGGAGAGCTCAAGATCTGGTGGCTCTTCCCCTTCTTATGAGGACACCAGTTCTGCTGGATTACAGCTGTACTATTATAACCTTAACTACCTCCTTAAAGGCTCCATCTCCACATACAACCACATTGGGGGTTAGGGATTCAACAAATGAAATTGTGGGGGCGGGGGGGACACAGTTCAGGTCTTAACAGGTGGGTATCAAAGCCAGAACCCACAAAATGTGGGGCTTTTCTTGTTTTGTGCTGTGAAGCCAATACACAAAATTGAAAGTAAGCATCAAACAGTGCAGACTTTAGTTGATGGCCATGGACTTGAGAAGTGGGAGTTTGGCTCACACATCAACTTCTCAGCTCATGAGAGCTGGGAAGTCACAGATTTAGGGCATCTTTAATGAAAGGCTTGTGCATTAAAAGCAAGGGGGTAAATATGTCATTTCTGGGACTGGGCAAAGAACCTCTTGAAAACAGAGTGCTGCCTTCTTTTTGTCCTTTTATGATTTCTTTGAGTCATTGTCATCATGATTGTCAACTGTCATGGCACTGGTGGGAGTGTCATTTAGCATAGAAATTAGATTATAATGAAGTTAGAGGTTCTTCAGATGTCAACTGAGCTGCCATCTTGTATCCACCTGTTTTAGCTAGTTTGGTCATGAGGGGAAACTTTTGACCTCAGGCTTTCCATTTCCTGAAGGTAATCAGAGTTAAGACAGGGTAAAAATTCACCTGGGTCACATAGACATCACACTGTGTAACAACAGAGTGGGGGTTCCCATATTAATTGAGTTGAAATAAACCACATGGCCTTACATAGGTCATTTTACCTCTTGGGCCTAAGAAAATAATAGAATTAAATTAAACAACAAATCTATGGGCACTAAGAAGGAACACTCTTCCAGAATTCAAATTCCTAGAAGAGAACAGTAATGTGGTTACTGATACGTTTTTCTCCTTTTAAGCAGAGCTGAGAATGAAGAACATGAGGTAATGTCCAAAGAACAAGGATTTTGCATCTTTATAAGCACATCTCCTTTTTATAAATCAAAATGAAATGGTATGAATTCCATTGTGAATATAGCATTTGTGTTTCCTCTGGTGTATTGTTTTGTATAATTATTGCGTAATTGACTATTAAAAGCTAACTGTGTGTGTTTAATAAAAACGGTTAGCTATCAAGTTTCAAAACCATGTTAATGGCTGCTCAAAGGCAAAGAGATTTTAAGTATTAATGAAGGTGTCCAATTTACCTGGCTACCAATGCTGTGCTCTTGTTGAGAACCTGGGTAACTAACTATGTGTTCAGCATGAAGTATGTACTCTGCAAGTGGTTACTGAATGAATAGAAACTGAATGGTAAGTGAAATACAGTGAGAGCTATTCTATTTTAGATGAAAAACAAAATTGACTCAGGCAGGTCTTACATATAAGAGTAATTGATGCAATGTTTAATATATATATGTACCTTGATTGCTCTTCAATCTTTATTGCAATGAGATGTTGTCTTTATTATCAATTTAATTTCTCACATTTGCCTAGATTTGTTAACTCCACGAATACTACAAAAGAAATTACTAAGCAATTAGAAATAGTTCTTTTGTGGTCCAAATTGTTTATTTAGCAATCTTGCTACTGACGTCTGTAAAGAATCCTCAGAATATAAAATCTCAGTAAAGCATCTCATTAATAAATGTAACATTCAAGTAATTACATTCTTTCTGCTTCTAGCAATATATATTCAATGTGTTCAGAGAATTACACAATTTAATAGCTAGAAACAGTACCTTGAAATGAGTAATGAAAATAAAATGTTTTTTCAGACACTCTGAATCTTTTTCTTATTACTGTCTCAACTGCTTATATTTCAGACAGAAACCAAGACTGGGTAGATGGAATATGATACAGTTTTCAACACAATTGAATACACTGTTAAGAGTGGACTCCATTTCTCTCATGTGGGAAACCAAACACAGAACACAGTTTAGGTAAATATAGACTGAGAAAGTGTTCCTCTTCTCTTAAAATGGCATTTGAAGATAGCTGATGGAGGAAAATCCTTAGAAGACTGCAACAAATCTCCCCCGAACGTTCCCTCTTGTCATGGGAAACACTGTGAAAAGCTTCGTTTAGTAGGACTAATACCAAAAGAGAGAGAGAGAGAGAGTAAATGAAACTATTTCTAATGTGTTTTGGTACTGTAAACATACATGTATTATATTCAAACACTCAGGCTAACTTACTTACTGCACAAGCCAATTAGATCATCTCCAATCGCATGTGGAAGGAGCTCAGGCTAATCTAATAGGTTCAGAGATACTCTGTGTATTTCTGAGTTTCTGATGCCTTTATGATATTACAAACTGATCTGTAAACATACTCTCCAGTGCGGAGAGCTCCTGCTTTTAGAAAAAAATGTTTAGCAGATGATAGTTTGGGCAAATAACAATTTTTATCATGATTATCATATTTGCCTAAATTTTTAAAACTCTCCATGTAAGAACACTTTTTCTCCCTAGAAAGTATATTAGTTTATTATAATACTTAACTAAAAACGTGAGCTGTGGTTTTCAGATTTCATTGAACTTTCCTGGCCATTTGAGAGTTTTTCTATGTGATTCCTAAGGAAAATGGGAAGATGGTTGTGTGGAAGACGAAGGTTTTAGGTTCTGTAACTTCAGCAGATACTGCAGGTGCTCCATCTAGATCGCTTGGATCTCTATGCCCTGCATAACCTCCTCTCTAAGGGAGGTTGTGGGTTAATGCAAAGGGGAGACCATCCCCTTGGAATACTTTCAGTGGCCATTACCTACGGCTCTTGGACCTTTCTAAGGCTACTGAATCCACTTTGATTGCAAAGCAGAAATGAAAGCAAATTATAGGCCATCTCTTAGTAGAGTAATGGTCACTTTTTGACTGTTCATCAATGCTTTGTCATCGATTCCTTCTCTTCACTGCCAACTCTCTGGATCTTAGGATGAAACGCTAGAAACTAAAAAGAAAAAGAAATCTACACTGGGAAACTGTTTTTTCAAGATCATGCTCTTTCATTTCCAGGCCATGACACTTTAACTAGATAGCATTAGGGGTCATGCAGAGCTATTGGTTGGGCTCTGAATAAACTAGGAAATTCAATTTCTAATTCCATAAATCTGGCCTTGTTCATTTGCTTTATGGTGGAGGGAAGAAATTCACCACCTAAATATAAACCAAGACTTGTGATTATCAGTTTTTGCAGTATTTTGTGTTTAACAAAATAAGTACTTAATAATATTTATTAAGAAATTAAACATTAAAGAGAAGAGATAGGATATCCTCATTGTTTTGTTTGGACTAAATTACTTATCATAACTCTTTTTGGATTATAGATTATTCCAGGTATTATAATTTTAAAACTTTTAAAGAGTCATTTATTGGCAGCTAGCTTTCAAAGCAGTTCATGGACTAAATGTCATTTAAATGCCTTCAAATATAGCAGCATTATGGCTAGAAAGATTTCATGTCTACATAGTAGGATCTACAATGATCCTGAGCATTTGCTTGAATATATTCATTCAGAAAAGCAACACCTGCATAAATACTCTGAAATGAAATAGTACATTACTCATTAAATCCACAGGTTTAATAGTACATTACTCATTAAACCCACAGGCTCATATCAATAAATACCTGGCATGAGAAACAAAAAGTTGCAAGGCTAATAACATCTTTTTTAAAATTTCTAAAATTTAAGTTCCTATAAACAAAATGAAATGTCAGGAGCAATAATGAATAAATCTATGTTATTTAGAACGTAAAACATTATTATAGTAAGGTTTTAATAATAGAGTCTATAAAATATTTTGTCCTGAATTGTACACCAAACACCCCAACAACAAGGCGAATATCATAGACGTGTCTCTCTATAAATGCTAGTTAATAGGTAAGGCTCAACAAAATATGGGGGCCGATCTGGAGAAGCTTCAGAATTACATAAAAATAATACTTTGAACTTGCATAATCATTTTTATTCTTCAAAGTGACTTATCCAAGGTCAGAGGAAGCAAAAGCTGCTCCAGGACGAGCACAGACTCTTTGATATATCATCTAATAAAATCATCATGAAGTTCAATAGAAAATAAATATTAAAATATTTTACAAGCAAAAGGAGAGAAACTCATTTAAAGAGTACTAATAGTTGCAATGATAACAGAAGAGTAAGTTTTCTTAAATCCTGTTATAATATGCTAATATGTTTTTTTATTATTTTTATTTTTATTATACTTTAAGTTTTAGGGTACATGTGCACAATGTGCAGGTTTGTTATCTATATACATGTGCCATGTTGGTGTGCTGGACCCATTAACTTGTCATTTACATTAGGTGTATCTCCTAATGCTTTCCCTCCCCACTTCCCCTACTCCACAACAGGCCCCAGTGTGTGATGCTCCCCTTCCTGTGTCCAAGTGTTCTCATTGTTCAATTCCCACCTATGAGTGAGAACATGCGGTGTTTGCTTTTTTGTTCTTGAGATAGTTTGCTGAGAATGATGGTTTCCAGCTTCATCCATGTCCCTACAAAGGACATGAACTCATCCTTTTTTATGGCTGCATAGTATTCCATGGTGTATATGTGGCACATTTTCTTAATCCAGTCTATCACTGATGGACATCTGGGTTGGTTCCAAGTCTTTGCTATTGTGAATAGTGCCTCAGTGAACATACGTGTGCATGTGTCTTTATAGCAGCATGATTTATAATCCTTTGGGTGTATGCCCAGTAATGGGATGGCTGGGTCAAATGGTATTTCTAGTTGTATACCCTTGAGGAATCACCACACTATCTTCCACAATGGTTGAACTAGTTTACAGTCCCAACAGTGTAAAAGTGTTCCTATTTCTCCACATCCTCTCCAGCACCTGCCGTTTCCTGACTTTTTAAAGATCGCCATTCTTACTGGTGTGAGATGGTATCTTATTTTGGTTTTGATTTGCATTTCTCTGTTGGCCAGTGATGAGGAGCATGTTTTCATGTGTCTGTTGGCTGCATAAATGTCTTCTTCTGAGAAATGTCTGTTCATATCCTTCGCCCACTTGTTGATGGGGTTGTTTGTTTGAGTTCTTTGTAGATTCTGGATATTAGCCCTTTGTCAGATGAGTAGATTGCAAAAATTTTCTCCCATTCTGTAGGTTGCCTGTTCACTCTGATGGTAGTTTCTTTTGCTGTGCAGAAGCTCCTTAGTTTAATTAGATCCCATTTGTCAATTTGGCTTTTGTTGCCGTTGCTTTTGGTGTTTTAGACATGTAGTCCTTGCCCATGCCTATGTCCTGAATGGTATTGCCTATGTTTTCTTCTAGGGTTTTTATGGTTTTAGGTCTAACTTTTAAGTTTTTAATCCATCTTGAATTAATTTTTGTATAAGGTGTAAGGAAGGGATCCAGTTTCAGCTTTCTACATATGGCTAGCCAGTTTTCCCACCACCATTTATTAAATAGGGAATCGTTTCCCCATTTCTTGTTTTTGTCAGGTTTGTCAAAGATCAGATAGTTGTAGATGTGTGGTATTATTTCTGAGGGCTCTGTTCTGTTCCATGGGTCTTTATCTCTGTTTTGGTACCAGTACCATGCTGTTTTGGTTACTGTAGCCTTGTAGTATCATTTAAAGTCAGGTAGCATGATGCCTCCAGCTTTGTTCTTTTGGCTTAGGATTGTCTTGGAAATGCGGGCTCATAATAATAACAGCTATTTATGACAAACCTATAGCCAATATCATACTGAATGGGCAAAAACTGGAAGCATTCCCTTTGAAAACTGGCACAAGACAGGGATGCCCTCTCTCACCACTCCTATTCAACATAGTGTTAGAAGTTCTGGCCAGGGCGATCAGGCAGGAGAAAGAAATAAAGGGTGTTCAATTAAGAAAAGAGGAAGTAAAATTGTCCCTGTTTGCAGATGACTTGATTGTATATTTTGAAAATCCCATCTTCTCAGCCTAAAATCTCCTTAAGCTGATAAGCAACTTCAGCAAAGTCTCAGGATACAAAATCAATGTGCAAAAATCACAAGCATTCTTATACACCAATAATAGACAAACAGAAAGCCAAATCATGAGTGAACTCACATTCACAATTGCTTCAAAGAGAATAAAGTACCTAGGAATCCAACTTACAAGGGATGTGAAGGACCTCTTCAAGGAGAACTACAAACCACTGCTCAAAGAAATAAAAGAGGATACAAACAAATGGAAGAACATTCCATACTCATGGATAGGAAGAATCAATATCGTGAAAATGGCCATACTGCCCAAGGTAATTTATAGATTCAATGCCATCCCCATCAAGCTACCAATGACTTTCTTCACAGAATTTGAAAAAACTACTTTAAAATATGCTGATATGTTTTGCTTGTGTCCCCACCCAAATCTCATCTTGAATTGTAGTTCCCATAACCCCCATGTGTCATGGGAGGGACTCTGTGACAGGTAATTTAATCACGGGGAAGTTACCTGCATGCTATTCTCATGAGAGTGAGTGAGTTATCACGAGATCTGATGGTTTTATAAGGGGCTTTGCCCCTCTTTGCTTATACTTCTCTTTGCTGCTGCTATTTAAAGAAGGACATGTTTGCCACCCTTTCTGCCATGGATGTAAGTTTCCCTAGCCCTCTCCAGCCATGCAGAATTGTGAGTCAATGAAACCTCTTTCCTTTATAAATTACCCAGTCTTGGGTATGTCTTTATTAGCAGAGTGAGAAAAGACTAATACAATGCTTTCCCAAACAACAATGATCCAGCTCTTTATTTCCCACACATGACCACTAAAAGATAATTAAAACAGTAATAGGATAGAAAGCATGGAAGTGACCACAGAAGTCATTTAATATAATATCCTGTTTGAAGTTCATATCTCTTTTATTACATAATTTATTCATTCACTCATTTTCAAATTAAACAACAATCATGACTGTAGCTAAATATCAAGAATTAGGACTGTGTCTAATCCCTGAGGATCAAAGATAAATAAGGCTTCTAAGAAGTCCTGGACAAGTAGAAAAGACAGACATATGCATATTCTCACCATATAATCAGATGCATCCCATTCCCCACCACCCCCATCCCCCATAAAAAGGAAAAGAAAACAGAGAGAGAGAGAAGGAGCAACAAGCCGGAAAAAAAGGAGAGATGTAGTACGATTCGCTAGAAGGTAAGGCATGGTTGAATTAGAATATAATGAGGCTGAAAAAGAGAGCAAGCTTAAACTTTGAAGGATTTTGTATGTTATTCAAAGTATTTTAGTATTTATCTACAAAGATACCACTTTTTTAAAATAAAGCAACCAGATCACATATAAGAACAGAAAAAAATTACTCTGTAACAGTGTGAAGAATGACTGCTAGAGGGAGAGTAGAATGGAGATGTGGAAAATCCAGTCACAGTGGTTTTTACTAAGCCAGGTATGGAAAGATAAGAGCCTGTACTAGGGCATTCATGTTTGGGGTGAAAAATGAAGGCATAGAATTTGAAAGATATTTAGAAGGCAAGACTGGCAACCCCAAGTGGCCAACGGGTTGCTGAGAATGAGAAGTCACTGATGATGGTGGGACTTCCATTTTGGATAAAGTCTTTCATGGTGGTTCTGCTGTTTGAAAGAAAAATGTAAGAATCGGAAATGTTTGTATTGGAGCGGGAGTGGGTGGTTGATAAATGACATTGAATTCAGTTTAAATGCCTGCTCTGGAATAACATATAAAATTCACTTACCTCTTGAATGCAGGATTTATAAGACATCTTAGAAAAAGCTAAATAATTGAAAGATTCATCCCAGCTTTTATCTGATCATCACCCCTCTTTATTCTCATCTTTATGAGTTAAAAATAATTGTAGATTTCACCTACATCCAAAATGGTTATTACCTCAATCACTTAACATTTTGTGATTTTTTAAAGAACCTAATCTTTTCTTGTGGCCCACGGTTTATAAATTTTTTTTAATTGAAAGCCAATTTTGTAACCAATTGCTTAAACTTTTTATTATGGTAAATATGCATAACATAAAATTTACCATTTAACCATTTTAGGTGTAGAATTCAATGGCATTTAGTATATTCGCAAGGTCTTGTAAAATCATCACTTTTTATTGCCAGAACTTTTTTCATTATCCCAAACAGAAAACTCAGCAACTCAGTATTCAAATATTTATCTCCCTACAAACTGTACATGTGCATTTATGCAAGAGGTAGGCAACCTCTAAGGTGACCCTCAATACTATCCACCTTCTGGTGTTCATGCCATTGTCTGTTCCTCTTCCCAGAACATGGGTTGGACCTAATGATGCAGTTTTAATAAATGTAGCAAAGTTGTGGGATGTCACTTTGAGATTAGGGTATGAAAAGACAGTGGCTTCCATTATGGGCATCCTTTCCCATTTTCTCACTCTGAGGGAAGCCAGCTGCCACAATGTGAGCAGTCCATATAAAGCCCATGTAGCATAGCAAGGTGTTGAGACCTCAGCCTAGCAGACGGTGAGCATCTGAAACCTACAAAAACCCACGTGAGAGAGTTTAGAAGCAGACCTTTCAGCTCATGTTGATTCTCAAGAAGGACTGCAGCCTTTGCTAACAGTTGAGTTTCACCTCATGAAAGACCCTGAGCCAGAGCCACCCAACAAAGCTGTGCTTGCCTTCCTCATCCACAGAAACTGTGAAAAATAAATAATTGCTGCTTTAAGCCAGTAAGTTTTAGAGTAATTTTTTATGTAGCAGGAGATAATGAATACACTGACTTAATTTATTATGTAATTTTACATCGCAAAAAATACACAGCAATAGAAATTTTAAAATGAGATAAGAAATAAACAATATTTTATATTTTAATTCAACAATTTTTTGTTCTAACTAAAGCATTATAAAGTAGTGTCTTTAAATGCAATCAATAATTTTTAAGCTCTCAAGATTTTGTAAGGCAGAAATTTGAAGGTCTAAGTTTAGATTATTTTGATACTTAATTTAATGATCATTAAGGATTTAAAAATACTTTTAAAATAGATAAAAGTGAAAGAATATAATTAATCTTATCAAACCAAAGTATTTATTTTTCAATATCATTAGGTTTTTCTTAAGAATTCCTTACATATTTTTCATTTTTCTGGATAACAATTCTTGATATCAAACTTCTGTAAAGTACTTTATTTTTATTTTTTAAAAATAAGCTCTGAAAATTTTTCAAGTTTCTTAAAAGTATACTGATAAGGATATTTATAGTTCTCATATTTTGTTTTGGGCAAAAAGTAACATAATTGATGAACATTTTTCAAACACTGATTCCAAAGTGTTCTTCCGTAACATTTATTTCTTTTGAAAAGCAGTTATTTTCTCATTCATTGTTAAAACATTTTCCTTATTTTGAGGAGTCCAGTGAGATGTGTTTACATAAAATTTATATTTTTATTTTCTACTTCACATCTGTACACCACCACCAATGTCAACAGAATTGGAATGCTGGTAAAAGAAAAAAAAATGAGCCGGGCGCGGTGGCTCACGCCTGTAATCCCAGCACTTTGGGAGGCCGAGACGGGCGGATCACGAGGTCAGGAGATCGAGACCATCCTGGCTAACACGGTGAAACCCCGTCTCTACTAAAAATACAAAAATTAGCCGGGCATGGTGGCGGGCGCCTGTAGTCCCAGCTACGCGGCAGGCTGAAGCAGGAGAATGGCGTGAACCCTGGAGGCGGAGTTTGCAGTGAGCAGAGATCGCGCCACTGCACTCCAGCCTGGGCTACAGAGCGAGACACCGTCTCAAAAAAAAAAAAAAAAAAAAAAAAGAAAGCAAGTATAATTTTAAGTTAACGTTTTAAAAACACTCTGCCATGATAAAACTGCAGCAAAATCTACACTTGTTTCAAAAAATGATAGCGGCCTCTCCCAATCTCATAATAAACTATTTTAAATATTTTCTTGTATTTTAAAGCTCTGGATTTTATTAACTGGGTGTATTAAATCTCTCACATTCTGTTATGTCACTTTGCTACAATAACTCCTTTGTGAGTAATACTGTGGATAATTTCACTTATGGTACTATCTCTGTACACTTATTCGAGGAACTTTTAAATCATGTTATTTTTATTCTCATCAGAGAAGTTCCTCTATTGGCAGCTAAACTTACACATTTTTCTCCTTTAAACTTTATTTCATTAATGAAATTTTTTTTTTTTTTTTTTTTTTTTTTTTTTTTTGAGACAGAGCCTTGCTCTTGTCGCCCAAACTGGAGTGCAGTGGCCGATCTCAGCTCACTGGAACCTCTGCCTCCTGGGTTCAAGCTATTCTCCTGCCTCAGACTCCTGAGTAGCTGGGATTACAGGTGCCCACCACCACAGCCGGCTGATTTTTGTACTTTTAGTAGAGACGGGGTTTCACCATGTTGGCCAGGCTGGTCTCGAACTCCTGACCCAGGTGATCCGCCAGCCTTGGCCTCCCAAAGTGCTGGGATTACAGGCATGAGCCACCGGGCCCAGCCTCATTAATGAAATTTTTAATGTTCAGACTACATCTTCTTTAGAAACTCTTTAGTAACTTATAATAATTACTTCTATATCCATTTCATTGTTGGCACAGATTTTAGAAAATAACATGATACATGCTGGAAACATCTATACTGTTATTGAGCTGTATAACCTCTCAGGCTGCATAATATTTTATAATATTTATTTTTCACAAATGATCAGCAATGTACTTTATGTATCATCCAACATTATTTACTGGCTGAAGAAAATGTTTAATTTATTGCCACACTTTCTATTTATTATTGCAAAACTTACCATGGTGGAAAGAACATTGTTTCCTCAATGGTATGTACCTTTTTTTGGCCTCTTTTATTATTTATTTAAAAACTTCAACAGAGGCTTTTAAATATTTATCAAGTTTAATGAAATTCTATAAAGTACTAAATCAAGGCTTGCATTACTTAAATATCACATGAAATAACGTAGTCATTGCTATCATGTTCTGAATGCAAAGTTTTCAGTGTCTTCCATAGCATACTGGATTCCCATTATCGTTAGCTAAAAATCTCAATATACGACTTAGGGTGAAAGTCATATTAATAATAGGGAGTATTGGAGCTTGACATGGTGGCTCGTGCCTGTAATCTCAGCAACTTGGGAGGCTGAGGTAACAGAATTGCTTGAGGCCCAGAGTTCAAGACCAGCCTGGGAAACTTAGAAAGACTTGGCTCTAAAAAAATAGAAAAAAAAAAAATTAGCTGGGTGTGGTGTGAGCCTGTAGTCTGAGCTACTTGGGAGCCGGAGGCAGAAGGATCCCTTGAGCCCAGGAGTTCAATGCTGCAGTGAGATATGATTGTTCCATGGTACTCCAGTAGGGGCAACAGAGTGAGATCCCAGCTCTAAAAATAAATAAATAAATAATAGTGGATACAAATCCATATTTAAAATATAACTTTAGAAAATTTTAGACTTTTGGGGACAATTTTTCACACAATTGGAATATAAATATATAAACACACATATATGTATGTATATATGTATGTTTTTATACATATAAACTTATATTCAATTAAAATATCTATATTTATATATATCATCAAATTAGAATATATATGTTCTTTCGTGAAAATAATCTTATAATATGTCTGCAAACTTACACTAAGTGTCAACTCTGCCATTTTCTCATTGTTTCTGGTGCTAATATTATTTATATTTTCCTCTGGGCTGGAAAGGTTATGTTGGCACTCAGCAACCATTCCATTCCCTACTGGGTTTTTCCTTGTTCTTCAGGGTCTGGAAGACTTTGCCAGACTCTCTTGCCAGAGGGTTCTGGATACAGTTTAGGACCTGCCAAAAATGTGCTTCAGAAGCCGTGGAAGGTGGAAAGGTGTTTCAAGCCATTCCATCTTCCCTAGTTTAGTGATGTATCCTTGGGCTTTGGCAACTGAGCATCATGACAAGGCTGCCCAAATACCATCCTCTTACCATTGTCACCTTCTCAGGCTCACAGAACAGTGGTGACTATAAACTTGGTCACAGTTTCCTGCACTTCCTGATCTTTGCATGGCAATAACAACTTCCTAATTTTCTGCATCAGCATCTGAAAACTGGTGATGTTCCCCTTGATTCTGCTCTTTCCACCTTTTTTGTGGTTTTGTAATCACTCAATTCCCTGAATTAAGTTCATTCCTGCTGGAAATACGTGGAGTGATTTTTATTTTCCTGACTTAACCTGAGATTATTTAAAAGCACTTGTTCATTTTGAGATATTTTATTTCATAACACTTGACAAAACCAGGCACACATAAACATAAAAAAGGTTATAAATGCTTATAAAAAGCACAGTAGAATACTTTCCTCGGGTTGCCTCTTGTAATATAGGAGCTTAATTGTTTTCTAAACTTTTTAGATAAAAATATGAATAGAAGTGCTATTATTTTCTTTCCATATCTATAGATCATCTTGTGTTCTACAGAATGAATGTACCTCCCTTTAAAAAACAGTGCTTTAAAGGGAGGTATATTCATTCTGCAGAACACAAGATGATCTATAGATATGGAAAGAAAATAATAGCAGAATGAATGTACCTCCCTTTAAAAAACAGTGCTTTACAATGTGCACATGTACCCTAAAACTTAAAGTATAATAATAAAAAAAAAAGAAAAAACAAACAAACAAAAAAAACAGTGCTTTAGACAATTAGAAAAATAATTCAAGTTTTCTAGACTTTTTGACTGTTGTGATTCTTTAGGCAGAATAATAGGATGATAACCATCAGGTTTCCTTCTACACTCCCCCTTGAGTCTCTCTTTTTTTTTTTTTTTTTCTTCCTAAGGTGTCTTCCTTTGAATCCAATTCTTAGCGAAATTTCCCCTCCCTTATTTAAGGTTTCACTCAGATTCTTTAATCCCAGTATCAAAAACTTCTGATAAATGTTTTTTTCTGATTGTGAAAATCATGCAAACTAACTCTCCTTAATTCAATCCATGAGCTAATATGTACAGATTATTTTCAATGTGCAAGACACTGTGCTAGGTGGAACGAGTGCTATGGACTGAATGCTTGTGTCTCCCCTAAATTCTTATGTTGAAGCCCTAACCCCCTATGTGATAGTGTTTGCAGATAGAACCTTTGAGAGATATTTAGATTTAGATGAGGCCATGAGGATGAGGCCCTTGTGATGGGATTAGTGCACTTGTAAGAAGAGATGGCAGAGAGCTTCCTCTTTCAAAGGAAGTACATAAAGAGGAAGCCACAAGAGCAGATAGTGAGAGAGTGGCTGGCCACAAGCCAGGGAAAGAGCTCTCAACAGGACCATACCATGCTTGCACCTGATCATGAATTTCTAGCCTCCAGAGTTGTGTTTAAGTTATCCAGTTTATGGTATTTTGTTATGATATCCTAGGTCAATGAGGAATTCATAGAATCTAAAACATGCTTCTCAGCTCCAGTGAATTTAAAGTCTGATAAAAAAATGTGTAACAATACAAGGCAGAATAGTCCACAAATATTACAGAAATTTAGTGAAGAGATAATTTTTGCTCATGTCAAAGAAGAAAAAAGGCATCATCAGAAAAAAAAAATGCGTGGTTAATGTATCGTGCTGTCATTGAGCTTATGACAATGAGACATAGAGTTTAAATTTATTCCACAAGTGAGGACTTTTCTTTGTAAACTCTATACCCTTCTATTAATTTTTTATTTCTTTCTTTTACATTCGCATTTTTCTTCTAACCCTTTTGTAGTCACCAACACATTTCAGCATGCCTCTGAGATGTGAATGATATTGTGATGGAAAAAAGATCCACAAAGAAAAACTGTGCTTACTTTTATATTTTAATGATGAATCTGGAAAGCTTCCCAGATGAAACATTTATTACACTAAATGTATTCTGCTGAGGAGGAAATTGGCCAGAGAAGCATTGGACAACTATATGTATTTACAGTATGTTGACCTCTCTTCTCTCAATTTCTGTGAAACATCTGTGAGTGATCTTACCAGCATTTTTGGCCTGTGGCTGATTATTTGAAATCAGATATTTGAATTGCAGATATACGCATTTTTATTTATGTAGCCAATAAGTCGTCTTTACAAGACATTTTGAAATCAAAATGCCAGTTGCCTTGTTTGATGAAGATTGACAGAAAGTTAGACTTTTATTTGTTTATTTTTCATTATCTATTTAAACCATATGTCTTTGTGCAAAGACCTTAAATTTTATAAGAATAGTAGTAATCATGCATTCCTTATCTATCAGCCATGCAGAAGAGAATAGATTCATTTTTCTGTTAGTCATTATCAGATAACCCATGGTAACTTTTCTTGAGGCCCTAGGTTAATGATTGGATGAGGAGAAAAGACCATTTTATTAGCCTATGGTGGGGGTTGGGAGTCTATGGTTTGAGAAAAATGAGAGAGAATGTAATGCTGGGGAGATGAGTCACTAAAACAAGGTAGATTATGAAAGAATACATGAAGAAACAATATTTACCACTAAGAGGGTTTTATATGGGGCCTGCAAATAGTGAATTCTCTTGAGTCCATCAGAAAGGTAGGCAGATTGCACCTGCAGTGCCATGCAGTGCTTTTGAAACCAGTTCCATTTTCCATGGACCTGGGTTGCAGACCTCTGTTTTTAGCCAAGAATAAAACTAATTATATGACATACTAGTTAATAGCTCAATCAAATTAGGCTTTAAATGGCTAAAAGGAAAGAGAGCGTAATTGCCTGTAGCCTAATATGACTGCCAACTATAAAATTTGATGGTGTCGTGATTACTCCTGAGGCAACATAATGTGTTTTTAAGATTGCTGGCTTGGGATCCGATGCACCTAGAACTGAGTTCTAGTCTGGTGCACTGACTAACTGTGTGATCTCACATAAGTAACTTAACCTTGTTAGCTCTCAATTTTCTTATTTAAAATTGGGGAAAATGGGGTTTGCTTCATCCAGTTATCATGGGGATAAATTAAATGATGCAAAGTGATTACTAAGATGTCTGACACCTAGTGGGTCATACGATTCTTATTTATATTTTTATCCTTACAATTTCACACCTGAGGTTTCATTTAATCCTGGAACCACTCTTTATATGATACTTCCATAGTAGTAGTATAACTAGGGTTAGTAAATGAATTTTTATAGTGATGTAGCTTCCATTCCCTTTAAATCTGCATATTTTCCATCAAATCAGTCCCCTGAAAAGTGCTCACAGGTACTTGTAGAGTTTACTCACTTTTGCGGGAAGGAGATTCTGTTGTACTCCCCTTTTCTGATATCAGAATCCCACTCTACCACACTGTAGTAATAGGAAGGAAGATATGGAGAGACTTTGGCCCAAGAGTTTTCTTAGAGTATGTACATACACTTAATAATAGCATAGATTAAATCATAAATGTTCAAGTGGACATGTAAAGTTTACATGCCTACGTTCCTTGTGCGTGCATATGTGTGTTTATTGCAGTTCTGTACGACTAAAAAGTCAGCTGTGCCTCTATAGTAAACATGGCAGCAATGACAACACGAATAGCCTAAGATGCCATTCTGGTAATACATTCTTTAAATTTCCAGTGTTTCTGGAGGTGTTTTAATCTTTTGTTTGGCAATATTCATCTTAGCATGAGCCTGTTTTATGCAGGGCCTTAACACAACAGTTGGAACTACATTAAATATCGCCAATAAAATACTTCATCTCCCTGAAGTGCCTGAAGTAAAGCATAACATTTAATTCGGTACTGTAGTTGAAATGTAACAATCTGGACTTATGGTATGTTAAAATTTTTTGTCATTGAGCAAATTCCACAGTAGGCAAGGTACACTGTATGTCACAGGACATTAAAATGATCACTCAACCAAAAGAAAATAATAAACTGGCTAGGTCATAAATCTCAGGCACCCTTGGTGACTATTAAAAATTTGCCCAGATTCACTGTCTAATGATGTGATTCCAATCAACCCAATTTATGAACCTTATGGGCTGATTAAAACTATATTACTCCATTAAGATTAACTCCTTACTTCTGGGAATTAGGATTTCTTGATGTTAAACACCAGATTGACAGCCTGGGATCTAGTAACCACAGATTGTTCACAGAAACTGTGATTCTTAAAACTTTCACCTGATTAATGAATATAAGTTTTTAAGTTCAAGATATCCTGTTATAGTTCTTATATAGTTTAAAAAGCATGCATTTATCTTGAAATCTGTACCTTCCACCTTACCCATTTTCAGAAAGGATTCAATTCAATCCAGAAATACCCCATCACGCCCCTCTCACTAGATCTGTATTCTTTGAGCTCCCTCAGGTATATAATCAGAAGTGTCTACTTACATATTGGATAGGGAGAGTGATTCATTAATCACAGAAAAGCATTCTTTATGTAGAAAAAAGCGCTCACCCCACACTTTTTCTACATAAAGATGTGACATTCAAGTAGAAATGGATGGAATTCGTTTTTATGAATAGGGCCCTTGCTGACTAATTCTTTTCTGGGGTGGGTAATGAGCAAATGTTATCCAGATGCATTCCTCTGGAACTATTCCCAGTTTGTGGAAGTGAAAACTACTGTACTTGCAGTATAATAAAGGGCAGTCAGAGAAACACAATATCCACATGAATAGTGCAATGCCATTCCTCTCCCTCCTGTCGGGTATCATAAAGCCAGAGCCGTTACAGAGATCTTCCATGTCATACTGATAAGTTAGATTCATCCAACATAATTTGTTCTTTTCTTATTCATTTTCTAGCAACGGCAAAATTGGATCAAAATGAATCAAAGTCATGTAAATCTGCTCAAAGTCAAAAATAGCAAGAAATTTACTAACATCTTCTTGTTGTTTTCCCCATCCCACTGGTAGGCAAGGAAGGAAAAATGATCCCTTCTTCCCCCTAGAAGAGTTCTTCCCTCCTCTCACAAATTTGTCTCCAATTCTGTCCCATCTTCTTAGTTTTCTTTTGCTGTCTGGTTCCCATTCCTTTGCCTACCTATTGAATTAGGTGCAGATATTATTTCTAATTAAACTTTTCTTTTTTTCTGACCTTCTTATTGCCAAAGAGCACATATAACCGTACTTTATTTATGTGTATATTATTTATATGTGGATTTAAACATTGGAACAATGTATAGTTTGCTATTTGTACTTACATAAATTTAACAATGCCAAGGCTACAGTGGATTCTAACAGCAATTTCCAGTCCCTCTTATCTATAATTGTTCACCACCTTTATTTGGTGAGGCTAAGGAAATAATTCTGGTCAGGGATGGAGTCATATTTTTGGAGTATGATCCCTGCCACTGCTTACTGCTTGGCCATGTTATTTAAACATTCTTCTCAGTTTCTGCTTCTAGGAAGTAAGTGAAGATTTAAAATTATGTATTGAAAAAACCTACAGTATACATAGGAGACTTGATGCAGGATGGTCATTTCTAATACCTATGCTAGAGTATTAGTTAGCTCAGGCTTCCATAACAAAGTACCGTAGACTGGGGGACTTACAAAACAAAAACTAGAAATATATTTCCTTACAGTTTTAGAGGCTGGAAGTCCAAGATCAAGGTATTAGCATTGTTGGTTTTTGGTGAGGCCTCTCTTCCTGGCTTGCAGATGACCACCTTCTTACAGTGTCCTCACAGGGTCTTTTGTGTGTGTGTGGGAGGGGAGGGATGTGTAGGTGTGTTTGTGTATGTGTGTGTGGTGAGAGAGAGCTCTAGTGGTTCTTCATCCTCTTATAAAGACTCTATTTCTATTGGATTAGGGACCCAACCTTATGATCTCATTTAATCTTAATTGCCTTCTTAAAAGTCCTTTTTCTAAGTACAGTCACATTGGAGGTTAGGGTTTCAACATATGAATTTGGGGGATACATAATTGAGTCTATAATATTTAGTAGCATTATCATTTTGTAACATAAAAATTGACATAATCAAATACATATCATAGTATTATTGGTGGGAGTTACACAAATTCATATATTTTTGTGGTTCCTCAAATTATATCTCTAGCTTCATACTCTACTCCTAGATCTGGGCCTAGATATTCTATTGGATATCTTGCAAATATTCCCGGACAACCTCTTGTTCATGTTTCTTCTAACTTCTTCTATTTCATCTGCCTCTGTACTCCACTTATTTTCTCTTGTATTCATTGACCAATCTACTAACCTAAAGCAGAACCCTTGAAAGTTGTACCAAACTCTCAGTATCTTTGTGCCCATGTTTGATAAAGCATCAAGCATTGTTACTTTTACCTCCAAAATGCCTGTTAAATTTTACTTACATTTTCCACATGCAGTGGTCTCACTTTAGGGTTCTTATAATCTTTTGCTAGATTAACACAGTTGAATATTATGTTAAAAGTCACTATTTGTAAAAATAATATACATTAAGTGAAAATAACTAAAAAGTACAAGGAGTATTTTTTAAAATCGACCAAACAAATATTACTGATAGCCTTTATTATTTTGAAGAAATTGTTTCCAGATACAGCTTCCTACATATATATTATATGTATTTCATAATATATGGTACTTTGTATGTCATACTATACTGTATTATATATGGCATTTTATAATATAGAGTATATGATGAATTAAAGAATGAAATATAAAGTATGTACTTCGTAGCAAATAGGATAGATGTGACATTCTCTATATTATATATAAAGCACATAGAATGTTAGAGTGTATAATGTGTATGATATTATGAGACCTTATAATACATAGTTATGCAATAGTATAATATAATAGGGTACAATGTAATCCAGCATATATAAGATACTCTATATTAATAACTTACAAGATACTCTCTTTTATAATTCAATAATTAGTTGTTTGGTAATTCAGTGTTAGGTTTCCAGTAGACTCATGATTGGTCTTTTTTTTCTACTAACTTGTCTCTCATTAATCCAAAATCCACTGAGTGTTGACAGAACTCAGGAAAGTCTCCCTTAGACTTGAGAACAAAGTTCAAGTTTTATAGCATGGTATATAATTCAGTGGTGGAAGGATAAGTTGATAGATAGATGAATGGAACCATTTTTAATCTGTCCAATCTGTCTTTTCACATTAGTCTCCTTCAACTTCTCTGAATTCTATGCTGAAAAAACACTAAATCACTTGTTATTTAATGAGTACACTAAACTACTCCACATATTGTTTTTTTTCTTACATGTTTTCCTCTAACTAGAATATTCTTTTCATTGTATTTGTCTAACAAATTTCTATCTCTTCAACATTGTTTGATCTAGCCTGTCTCTCTGACCAACCTGAACAGAATCATGGCCCTTAACCTCTACTCCAAATTAATTTATCCTACATTTGGTGGTATATTTCTGGTACAAAAATTGTCTTCCATGTCATAATTACTTTTGTAATTGTTTATTTCTCCTTTCTTCTATTATTCTATTTTTTCAGTCTCTCTTTGTTCCTTAAAGTTAGAATGTTTGGCTTGAAAGAGGCAATCAAATGTTTGCTAAAATGTTATTAAACTGATTTCTATGTAATTGGAGAAAGTTTTAAGAGTCATTTTTTGCTGGATTCGGTGGCTCATACCTGTAATCCTAGCACTTCTGGAGGCCAAGACAGGTGGATCATTGAGGTCAGGAGTTCCAGGGCAGCCTGGCCAATATGGCGAAATCCCGTCTCTACTAAAAATAAAAAAATTAGCTGGACGTGGTGGCGGGTGCCTGTAATCCCAGCTACTTGGGAGGCTGAGGCAGGAGATTCACTTGAACCTGAGAGGTGGAGGTTGCAGTGAGCTGAGATGGCGCCATTGCCCTCCAGCCAAAAGTCATTCTTCAAGTATGATAAAGATATGTCATCATGGTTAAAATTATTAGCTTTCTATTTTGCATATGTTAAGACTAAAAAAGTATCTTCTCCTTTTTGTTAAATGCAATGAATAAGCTTTCTTAGTAAATTCTAAATACGCACTTGTTTTATAGTTGAAAAACATCTTTAATATAAATGTAATACTGTATGCTTTCATTCTGACATTGGCAATTTCCTGAAGATAGGTGTATACCTTCCCCAAAAGCAACATGGAATATTATTTATACCTAGGATTTCAATGAGGAATTGAAAATTTATAACACACCCAACATTTCCCCTGAATGTGGATGGTGTTTGAAATACCACTCCTTCAGCCCCATCCATCCAGCTATAAACTTTGTTAAAACACAAAACTCTCCTGTGGAGTTCTCTGAAAAAACTTATCATAAGCCCTAACAAAAAAAGTTTCTCTAATTAAGAGAGGAGCGGGAACATTAGCCATCTCAACACCATTCTGGCTTATGGGCTGATAAGCAATTTAACGTCGAAAAAACAGAATTAAACTGTGTTTATTTCTTAAATCATATTTATTCTTAGTCCTGAAATATATAATGGGTATTTGGAGAGAAGACTTGTAAAGACATGTTGTTACTCCATGTTATCCACCACCAAAACAAAAGAAAATGCTCATTACTTTGGAACAATGATCTGAAAAGAAAGAACACTCCCTATACATGCATTCAGATTCATGCAGTGTTTCCTTTATATTCCAGAAGAGATATTTCCCATTGCAATGTTTATATCAAGATTTTAACAGATTATAATATTTTGGAAAGAGAAAAAATATTTCCCAAAAGAGATTATATGACATCTCTTCAGGAGAAGAGGAGAGAAAATTTTTCAAAGATGAAAAAGCTACTGTGTTAGTCCGTTTTTGCATTGCTATAAAGAAATGTCTGAGGCTGGATAATTCATAAAGAAAATAGCTTTATTTAGCTCATGTTTCTGCAGGCTGTACAAGCATGGTATCATCATCTGCTCAGCTTCTGGTGAGGGCCTCAGTAAGCTTACAAAGGGGGAGCCAGCATATCACATGGCAAGAGAGGGAGCAAGAAAGAGAGGAGGAACCTCCAGGCTCTTTTAACTAACCAGATCTCACATGAACCCAGAACAAGAATTCACTCATTACCATGAGGAGGGCACCAAGCCATTCATGAGGGATCCACCCCCATGACCCAAACACCTCCCATTAGGCCCTCCCTTCAACATTGGCGATCACATTTCAACATGCGATTTGGAGAGGGCAAACACTCAAACTCTATCAGCCACTATATATAAAACAAAATCACTAGGAATAACTTAATGGTTCATGGTTAAATTAATAAGAAACAATAAGCACAATTCCATAGTATTTTCTAGGAGTCTAATATGAGTCAAGTATGTTTTGAGATTTGTTTGTTTAAATGGAATCTATAAGGCCAAAATGAATCAAAACACAGGAACAAAGTTCAAAGATGTCATAGTTGTAAGATACGGGATTAACTGGAATCAATGAAGCAACTTAAGCATATATACATGCCTAGAGAAAAATAATGTGTTTCAGTAATAAGACACTAATGAATGACTTCAGCACAATAAAACAACTCTGGAATATTTTTGTGACCAATAAGTCAGTACATAATTCTCATTGTTACATTATCAGAAACAAAGATCATCCATACTATGTCAATTTGGGAAGTATAGCATATTTTAGATATATTAATACATATTTCTAAACAATACGTTTTTCCTCTAAAATTATGAGATGAGACCTTTCATTTTATGTCTTGGTTTTTAGATTTTTTTTTTTTTTTTTTTTTTGAGATGGAGTTTCACTCTTGTTGCCAGGCTAGAGTGCCATGGCACGATCTCGGCTCACCGCAATCTCCGCTTCCGGTGTTCAAGCGATTCTCCTGCCTCAGCCTTTCCTGAGTAGCTGGGATTACAGGCATGCACCACCATGCCTGGTTAATTTTGTGTTTTTAGTAGAGACGGGATTTCTCACCATGTTGGTCAGGCTGGTCTCAAACTCCAGACCTCAGGTGATCCGCCCGCCTCGGCCTCCCAAAGTGCTGGGATAACAGGCGTGAGCCACTGCGCCTGGATGGCTTTTAGATTTCTGTTGTCTACCTATTGGAAAAACAAAAACCTAAAGTGGTCAATAATCCAAAAGGTATACTTTAAACACCTCCATGATATTGATATAAATTGAGGACCAGCAGACAATGAAGCGTATAATAACAAAGGGTCTGAACCACTTTGCATACAAATTATTCAGGTCTTCAGAATTTCTTGATTCCAACTTGTACCCAAAAACATTTATTTCACAATGTAAAATTCACTTGGTGTGCCATAAACATGGGTTGCAGAGACAATAAGTATATACTAGAAAAAACACACATACTGCTTGTAAAATGTAGGAAGATCTTAATAGGTTAGTTCTGCCTCTTATTGTCTTTTTTTTTTTTTTTTTTAAATTTTGGGCCAGGCCGTAATAAGAGGAAGGGGCCTGGTGGACCAGAGAAGATAGTGGAAGTTCTTTATTTCATACCTATGAGAAGAACAAGAAACTGAATGTGAATTCTGTCTGAGAGAGAAAGCTTAGGGTTGTGACAAATAAATAATGTGCAAATGTTATTAACACAAAGAGGGACTAATGTTATTATCAGAGACCTGAGGGTGAAGCAGGAGCATCACAGAGACTGAAGATACGACATCAGGAAATAGGTCAAATGAACTAATGTAAAAAATATATGAAAATATATAAGGCTTTTACATGCTCTTTGTAAAATACCAATTTATAAGGTTATGGAAAAAGCATACAGTCCTTTACACATAGATCATTAAAAACATATTCTTAAATACAGTATAGTATTTTAGAGGAAAATTCTAAACAAGATTTTGAAAAGAATCCCTACCTCTTTTTTTCTCCATTTTTTCATCCCTTAGACTAATTTGAGGGAGAGATGGACAGTATTAGTCACAAAATTTGCCTTTACATAAGCACAGCACACTACTTAAATTTATTAGAGTTTTATGTGCTTTTAGTAACTATAATAAGTGCCAAGATATGTGTTTATGTTGGATTGTATACAATTTGCAGACATACACACATATAAATGTAAATATATATGTCTATGTAATTACATGTATATCTGCATATTACAAACTGATATACAGTTTTTACCCTCATGCAATATGTAAAAAATGGCCCAGATTACTTATCCCTGTACAAAACTTCAAACACAAGTACATAGTCATCAAACTATCACCATAGGTTTCCATCATAATAAAACAAATTCAAAAGGTGATGAATTAAAGATCTCTTTACTCAGTTTTTCTTTTATTTCCATAATTTAAACCAGTAACATGATACTGTGAGATTATTTATACATTTTTAAAAGAAAAATATGTTTTATGTATTCCTTATACATTAACAGTAATATTATGCCTGTTTAATGAATACACTGATCAAGTAGGTTAGAAAAAAAGTTACATCATCAGAGAAAAACTGGATATATGTAGCATCTAAAGTACTAACACCAAGCACAGAGATAAGGATAAGACTAATGGTCTGTTGAGGGCTTAGAAGAAAGAATTCTTCTGCTACTATTTATTCCAATCCAAATATTCAGCCTGTTTTTCTGCAGTTATTTATTTACCGTAATACTGTAGAAGAGACTTCTGGAAGGTATAGTTGACTGTGTCTTCCTCCCTTTCCTCTAATACCTGGTCTCCAGGAGTGGTGCTGTTGGTGTTTATTGTTTAGAAAACTAATATTATAAATTCCCCTCTACCCTCCAAAAATTTGGAGATTAGTTATTTATTCTCAGAAAAGATCCTAGTTGTTGAATAGGGGTAAACATCACAATCTTCAGTGTGGACACCACTTTCCCACTTGGATACAATATTCACCTTTGTGTTAGGAGGTAGAGATATTATTGCTAGTTCAGTGCACAGGTTGAATACTGCGATCAATGGATTGTTTAATGAATAGTTAGACACAGAAGAACACAATTATTTCAAATGATGAGTATTGTATCAAGTGATCTGCTAAGTGTAAATAATATCAATGCCACGTACACACAAAGAAAACCTACCTTACATTTTCACTAAAAAATCTGGTGATTGGTCATTACTTCAATCTTAATTTAATCAGCCATCTCTCTCTGAATGTCTGTATTAAGCAAACAGTAAGTGAATGATTTATCCAAGGTTAGAAACCTCTGCCTATAAGGAGAATCTAGGACATTGGTTCTGTTCTCAGAGCCACATTTTCTTTCCAGAATTTCTAGAAGTTTGTTCAATTTCCAAGCTTATTTAATCCTTGGCCTCTCAATTGAAATTGATAATTCTATAGAAATATTATTAGTGCACCTATCACTGCATCATTTAAGGGTTTGGGGTATATGTGGTAAAGATTGTGTTGTGAATGTCTGTCTATAAGATAAGGACATTGACTATTAATTTACCTCATGTGATTCAGAATGTCCATCAGACAGTAGCATTAAATTGAAATAAATGTGTTAGATGGGCAGGGTGTGGTGACTCACGCCTGTAATTCCAACAGTTTGGGAAGCAGAGGCGGGCGGATCACCTGAGGTCGGGAGTTCAAGACCAGCCTGGACAACATGGTGAAACCCTGTCTCTACTAAAAACACAAAAACTAGCTGGGGGCAATGGCACATGCCTGTAATCCCAGCTACTGGGGAGGCTGATGCAGGAGAACCGCTTGAGCCTGGGAGGCGGAGATTGCAGTGAGCCAGGATTGCACCATTGCACTCCAGCCTGGGCTACAGAGCGCGACTCTGTCTCAAAAACAAAAACAAAACAAAAACAAACAAATAACAAGAACTCTCTCTCTATATATATATAGTTAGATTACATATACAGTTAGATTACATATATATATATATATATATATATATGTATGTTAGATGATAGTGGCTTCATAATTCATTACCAATCTCTTGAGTCATCCTATTCCCTTCTGTTTAGCTAGTGAAGTAAATTGCCATTAACTATGCAAAGACAGGTGAAATGGTATGGGATAGAATTAGCAGTTCTAGTTCCTTTTGATTGGATTTGGATAGAAAAATATTTTAATATGTAGTTTGCAAATTAGAAATTGATATTTTTTCTAATTTAGGAGTATTGGGAAGTATTAGGTAAACATCTATATCTAAGCACAACATCATTGGTCTTTGATAGCATATGGATTACAACTTAAAATCTCTTTTCCAGTTTCCATACAAATTCCCAAAAGTTAACTATTTCTGGTCTTGTTTGGCTTACATGCCCATCTCCCATCTGTGACTGAGCCCAGAGAAATAGGATTACTCTTTCCAGTTTAGGTTTATGTCCACTTCTGTGACAGAAAAAGTGGCGTCGTTTGATTGACAGCCTTCCTCTCAGTTTTTCTCCATCAAAAAGAAGGAGTCGATACCTGCTTCTGCTTTCAAGAGTCAAGTAACATGGTAATATGCTAGAAACTAAAGAAAGAGATGGCCAGTGAGAAATTATCTATAACAAGTATTGTTTTTAAACAAAAGCAAGAACACGGGTTTAGGAGGTTTTAGGAGGTACTTACCTCCTATTCTGAGCAATGATATAGATCAAGAATTCTGTGTCCCAAGGTTATCAGAGACCAAAATTTTTGTTTAAAAGCAGGGTATATAGCCTTCAGCATGGATTATTTCAATAACAGGTATGAGAAAAACCCTAATTTTTCTTGAATATACCTACAGTAAGATGTATACCTAGTATATACATAGAGTTTGATGTAGGGGGGAAAGTTAAATCCCATTTTGTGAACTGGGATTATTTAGTCAGCCAACATTTATCTTTTTCTGCCATTTTCAGGGGATTTGGGAAGAGAGAAGAGATTTATGTGAGTAGTATTTAACAAATATTTCTACCAGTTATGTTGTATTCTCATTTAAAAAGATAAAATGCATAGAGTTTAGAATATCAGTCATTGCACTGTAGTAAATATCATTTCACATGTGAAAATAGAAAGTGCTGTCTCTAAAAGCAAGATGTGCTCTGATCTATACTTCTCATGTATTTTGACTATTATATTGTGCTTATGAAATTTTATGTTATACAACTCTAACTTTTATTTGTAATAAGCATATCTAAGAAGCACTGCTTAGAATCCATAGGCAATAGGTTCTTCCACTATCATCTGCAATAAAAATATAATTTCATATTTTATGTCAATTCTTTCAAGACCAATCATTCTAACAAGTTGGACCACAAAGGCATTTATTTTATAGGTTAAATGACAATATTATTCTCCAGGATCAGAATCAATTTTTAATCTGTTATTTTTCCTAAGCAAAGAATGTTGTGTTTACAACCTAAGAATAGTCAGTAAAAATAACTAGTTTTATTTTGTGTTCAATATTTGTGTTTTTTTCTTAATTCAGTACATCCAACAGGCGTTACAAATATTAATTTTCTATTTCACCATTGCGTTTACTAGTAAATTGATTTAGGTTAAATATATAAATAAGCACATATGACTATAGGATTTAGTCCTCTCTTGTCTTTTTTTTTGTTTTTTCTTTTTTTGCCACAATACCGTAAACTTTCCAATGTACTCAGATCTATGCTGATAGACTAACCAAAATGTTACAGGGTGAATGGACAGTGTCTTCAGAGAAACAGAGAAAAAACAAGTTTTATTATAGACACAAAATCAGATTAAAATTCTCAGAAACTTGTGTTGCTTAGAATTAGGAAAAAATGTGAATTTAGTTATTCAAAGAAAAGGCAAGTTTTCCTCAGAAAAACTGTGAATTTACCTAGTAGGTATTTAGTGAATTATAATCTTAAAGAATCAAATTCAAGGAAAATTTAGCACAAGAGATTTCACCTACCCAATGAATCATTTTCAGTCCCTTCTCTGGATTCAAAGATAAATGTTCTAGATATTTTTTTCTCATACATTTAGTAAATAAATATTCATTTTAGGTAAATGCTAATGTAAATTTATTTTACTGTTTTTGAAATATTATAAAGCTAATTATAATTTTAAAAATAAGATATTTTAATAAATTGATATGACCTATCATATTTAAGAGTATAAAAGAGTTTAAAGAACTCTTCCATAATGAAATAATTAAAAATATAAGGAAGAATAGAGATCAATAGACACTCAGGTATTAAATATCAAGTTTACTTCATATATCTTCTTAAGAATTAAAAATAACAGAACCAGCTAAATCTGCCAATATATCATTGGTGGGCACCCAGGTTGATTCCATGTGTTCACCATTGTGAACAGTGCTGCAATGAACATATGAATGCATTTGTCTTTTTGGTAGAATGATTTATTTTCCTTTAGGTGTATACCCAATAATTGCTAAGTCAAATGATAGCTCTGTTTTGAGTTATTTGAGAAATCTCCAAACTGATTTCCACAGAGGCAGGATTAATTTACATTCCCATTAACAGTATATAAGGGTTCCCTTTTCTCCACAACCTGAACAGCATCTATTATTTATTTATTTGACTTTTTAAGAACCATCCTGACTGATGTGAGATAGTATCTTATTATGACTTTGATTTGCATTTCTCTGATAATTAGCATTTTTTACATGTTTGTTGGCTCCTTGTATGTCTTTTGAGACATGTCTGTTCATGTCTTTTGCTGCTTTTTAAATGGGGTTATTTGTTTTTGTTTGTTGATTGGTTTAAGTTCTTCATAGATTCTGGATATTAGACCTTTGTTAGAGGCATAGTTTGTGAATGGTTTCTCCCGTTCTATAGATTGTCTGTTTACTATATTGACAATTTCTTTTACTATGCAGAAGCTTTTTAGTTTAATTATATCCCACTTATCAGTTTTTGTTTTTGTTATAATTTCTTTGGGGACTTAGCCCAAAATTCTTTGCCAAGGCAGATGTCAAAAAGGGTATTTCCTAGGTTTTCTTCTAAAATTTTTATAGGGTGAGGTCTTACATTTAAATTTTTAATCCATCTTGAGTTAATTTTTATGTATGATGAAAGATAGGAGTCTAGTTTCCTTCTTGTGGATGTGGCTAGCCAGTTATCCCTGCATCATTTATTAAATAGGGAGTCCTTTCTCCATTGCTTGTTTTTGTTAACTTTGTCATTATCAGATGGTTGCTAGTGTAAGGCTTTGCTTCTGAGTTGTCTATTCTGTTGCATTTGCCTGTGTGTCTGTTTTTGTACCAGCACCATGCTGTTTTGGTGACTGTAGCCTTATAGGTATAATTTCAGTTGGGTAGTGTGTTGCTTTCAGCTTTTTTCTCTCTCCTTCTGTCTCAGGAATGCCAGTGAGTCATAAGCTCGGTCTCTTTATGTGTTAGTTCATTTGCATTGCTAAAAATAAATACCTAAGACTGGGTAATTTATAAAGGAAAGAGGTTTATTTTGGCTCACAGTTCTGTAGGCTGTACAGGAAGCATGACACTATGATTCTCTGCTGGTAAGTGCCTCAGGAAGCTTCCACTCATGGTGGAAGGTGAAGGGGGAGCCAGCATGTCACATGGCAAGAGAGCAAACAAGAGAAAGGGGAAGAAGTTTCAGGCTCTTTAAACAACCATATCTTGCATGAATTCATAGAGTGGGAACTCACTCATTACCCTGATTATGACATCAAGCCATTCATGAGGGATCCACCCCCATGACCAAAACACCTCTCACCAGTCCCACCTTCAACATGGGAGGTCACATTTTATCACGTGATTTAGAGAGGACCAGACATCCAAACTATACCACTTTACATATTCTCATATTTCTTGGAGATTTTGTTCATTAAAAAAAAAATGCTTTTTTCTTTATTTTTATCTGTCTGAGTTGATTCAAAGAAACAATTGTCGATCTCTGAGATTTTTTTTCCTCAGCTTGGCCTATTCTGCTGTTAATACTTCTAAGTGTTTTATAAAATTCTTGTAGTCAATTTTTCACTTCCAGAAGTTCAGCTTGGTTCTTTCTTAATTTTTTTTTTCTTTTTTTGAGATGAAGTTTCGCTCTGCCGCCCAGGCTGGAGTGCAGTGGCGCAATCTCAGCTCACTGCAACCTCCACCTCCCAAGTTTAAGAGATTCTCCTGCCTCAGCCTCCCACATAGTTGGCATTCCAGGTGCCCACCACCACATCCAGCTTTTTTTAAAAATGTATAGTTTTGGTAGGGGCTGGGCGTGGTGGCTCATGCCTGTAATCCCAGCACTTTGGGAAGCCAAGGCGGGTGGATCACAAGGTCAGGAGATCAAGACCATCCTGGCAAACACGGTGAAATCCTGTCTCTACTAAAAAATACAAAAAATTAGCCGGGAGTGGTGGCAGGTGCCTGTAGTCCCAGCTACACAGGAGGTTGAGGCAGGAGAATGGCGTGAACCCGGGAGGCAGAGGTTGCAGTGAACTAAGATTGCACCACTGCACTCCTGCCTGGGCGACAGAGCAAGACTGTCTCAAAAAAAAAAAAAAAAATATATATATATATATATATATATATATATATATATATATATATATTTATATATATATTTATATATATGTAAGTGTAGTTTTGGTAGAGATGTAGAGATGGGATTTCACATTGTTGGCCAGGCTGGTCTCCAACTCCTGACCTCAAGTGATCTGCCCACCTTGGCCTCCCGAAGTGCTGGGATTACAGTCATGAGCCACCACACCCAGCCTCCATTCTGGATATTTTATACCAATACTATCACACAGTATATGGCCTTTTAATTTCTAACTCATGTTTTTTGTGAAACATATTCAAATTGTAGCAGCTAGATCATGGCACCTGTCCATAAAAATAGTTTACTTTTTCCTTTCCTATTTGAATGACTTTCATTTACTTTTCTTGTCCAATTGCCCTGGCTAGACCTTCTAATACAATATTGAATAAAAGTGATGAGAGTAGACATTATCTTATTCTTCCTGAACTCAGGGGAGATATTGTTTTGTTTTGTTTTGTTTTGTTATCAATGAATATATTAGCTGTGGCTTTTATAGATGTCTTTCTTCAGGTTGAAGAAGTTATCTTCTAAGTTTCTTGTGTACTTTTTATCATGAAAGTGTATTGGATTGTATCAGGTGCTTTTTCTGTACCAATAGAGATGATCATGTGATTTTTGTTTTTTATTCTATTCATATGACTCATCACACTAATTGATTTTTATATGCTGCATCCACCTTGCAATTCTGAGATAATTCAATTGGTCAATATGTATAATCCTTTTTATATTTTGCTGCATTCAGTTTCCTTGTGTCTTTGTTGACACATTTTGTGTCTTTATACATAAGATTGTTTATCAACAGTTTCCTTTTCTTGCAATGTCTTTGGTATAGTTTTGGTATGAGGACAAACATTTGGTAGAATTCTCCAGTGAAATAACCTAGTCTTGGGCCTTTCATTGTGAGCCCTTTTTGGGCTACTAAGTCAATCTCTATATTTGTTATAGGTATATCCAGCTTTCATATTTATTCTTGAGTCCATTTTGGTAATTTCTGACTTTCTAGGAACATTTCCATTCCATTTAGATTATATAATTAGATGGCATACAATTATTCATAGTATATTTTAAAATCCATTTTATTTCTATAAGGTTGGTAGCATTTTACTCTTTCATTTATCATTTTAGTGATTTAACACTTCTATCTTTTCTTTTTGATTGGTTTTGCTAAAAATTTGTCAATACTGTTGATCTTTACAGAGAATTAGTTTTTGGTGTGTTGAGTTTATTGTTTTTCATTCTAGATTTTAATTTCTGATCTAACTTTTACTATTTCCTTCTGCTTATTTTGGGTTTAGTTTATAATCAATTTTCTAATTTTGTTTTTAACTGAGTCTCTCTCTATCGCCCAGGCCAGAGTGCAGTGGTGCAATCTCAGCTCACTGCAACCTCCGCCTCCCAGGTTCAAGTGATTCTCCTGCCTCAGCGTCCTGAGTAGCTGGGATTACAGGCACCTGCCACCACGCCCAGCTCATTTTTGTATTTTTGGTAGAGACTGGGTTTCACCATGTTGCCAGGTTGGTCTCAAACTCCCGACCTCAAATGATCAGCCTGCTTCAACATCCCAAAGTGCTGGGATTACAGGCATGAGCCACTGCGCCGGGTCCTAATTTTTAAAATGAAAAGTTAGTTATTTGATATGATTTTTTTCTTTTTTAATATAGGCATTTACAATATAATTTTTCCCCATGTGCTGTTCTAACAGCGTATCAGTTTTTATATGTTGTCCTTTAATTTAATCCGAAAGTTTGTCCTAACTTCTCTTTTGATTCCATCTTTGAACCATTGGTTATTTGAAATGTGTTGCTTGATTTCCACATATTTGATAATTTTCCAAATTTCCCTTTATTAATAATTTTTAATTTGATTTCAATGTGATCAGAGAACATATTTTGTATGATTTCAGGCTATCAAAAAGAAAAGCGAGGTTACCTAAAAGCTGTGACAATTAGGCTGACTGTAGATTTATATCAGTAACAATAAATAATATGGTGTAATATACTCAAAATGCTGGAGAAGAAATAATGGTCAACCCATAATTTTTCCCAACTGTGATGGTTCATTTTATATGTCAACGTATCTGGACCATGGGGTACCTACATAGGTGGTGAAACATTCTAGATGTGTCTATGAGGGTATTTTTGGATAAGATTAACATTTAAATTTCTAGACTAACTGAAGCAGATGCCTCCCCCTTCACCCCTAGCATGGGTGGACCTCATCCAATAAATCGAGGGCCTAAATGGAATAAAAAATATCTTCCCCTTCTGTAAGTGGATGTAGGAGTGATCATAATTTTTGGTTTTGTATTTTTATATTTTATTGGTCATAGCTATGTATCTGGAATAGATTGAGTTGTCCTCATGTGAACGCTCTATGGCACCTTGACAGCTGATGAAAAATTATTTATTTCTTCCATATTTTAAATTCACAATTTTAGCATCTTTAGCAGTACATGGATTTCTAAAAGTCAATATTTAAAGTCTCACTAGTTTTAAAGACAATCTGGGTAAATGGATCCAGGTAAGTCCAGAAGCAAGTAAAGATTTGTTTTTCTTACTAGCTCCATTACCTTTTGGTGCCTCAATGATCTGATTTGTTGGGCTTAGTAATATTTTGCCTAATTAAGTTTTATCCACATACACATCAATTTTTTTCTTCGCATTCTATTTTATTGTTGTCACTGTTCTAGAAAAAAATTAAGGGGGCTTACATCATAGCTTGAGCTTTGTTCTTTAAAAATAATTCCCTTACCATTATTTATATCATAATATTACCCTCCTGGCCCTGGCCTGTGGAAACTTTAATCTTAACTCTTTAGAATACTGGAGACCCAGAAAGTGCATTGCAGAGACAAATGTTAAATACATGTGTAGTATATGAAAGAAATAACAAAAGAATTAATGTATCTTCCAAAACAAATAATTTACCAAAGATTGACTAATATCAGAAATGAATCAGATATATTATATAGAGATACTAACATACAGTGTACATTCTAGCAATGTCCAACTACCTATAGTAAATGGATGATTTCTACATTAGATGCTATACATCAAAGTATCATGAATAAAATTCTGTGAGCTGAGCCAAATCTAAATGATTATACTCAATACTCCTAATTTTAGAGTTTCAGAAGTGTGATTAGGTAAAGAAGACCACATAATGCTAGAAAGAGCATGTCATTGTTTATAAGAGTATCATTTTTAAAGAAGAAATATCAGCTCAACTCCTCTAAAACTGTTCATGAAGCAGCCAGATAGCTGTTTCTTTGCCTTTGCCAACATATTTTTCCCAAAATGAGGTGTCCGCATGTTCAGCCAATCAAATAAACTGTCTGGCTGAACATCCTAAGGTGCTTTAAAATTCAGTAAATAGTACTAATCACTTCCATTTCAGTATTGATATTAAAGACCCTATTCATGCCAAAAAAAAAGTGGAATGCAGCTGTTCTGTGCTTTCCTTTAGAATTTGTATGTAGGAGTCTGCTTGCATAATGAGAAATATGCCTGTATTTTGTGTTCATCTGTATTTAAGAGGTTTAGAGCAGGCATGCATAAAGGCATGCCAGTGATACAGGAACTTGAAGGAATACACCTCTTTTGGCTCAGAGATAGACTGGCATAGAGGAGGGGGTTGTGGAGTGATCAAAAGTGGATGATTTCTATTTTTTATTAGAATGTTGAAAGCATCTGAACATTCTTTGAGAATCATGGGCTGATAGGGTCAAATGCACCTTTGTTTTCAAAAATTTCAGAACTATTCTTACACTAACACTAAGACTTAAGTACCTGACACAATAAAGAGTGTCTAGATAAGTATAGCACATTTTTAATGATTATAACTCTGTATCTATGTTGATCCACTATAATAATGGTAAAAATATGTCCCATGTTAAGAGATTTGTGTTAAGAAATGCCCTAATCTTTAAAAAAAAATCACACCTTGATCTTTGTTCTGCACACTCATCTCCTAGTTTGTACTATTCCCTGATTGCAGTTTGTATTCATTTTAAGCCTCCCATTCTAATTACAATGGTGATATAGTTCGACACATGTACACAGTAGTTCTTTTGGTGTTTTAAAGGAAAGAGCATGATTTCCCACAAACATAACTATCTGTCAAAAAACACGTTTCTATTGCTTTCCATTTTGTTTATTTATAGTCAAGACTTACTCATTTAAATTTCTTTTGAAAAGTGCAGGCCACATTTTAATTTAATTTTTCTAGAAAGAAGATTCAATTACAATAAGAATGAATGAAAATGCTTTCCTAATTACTCCTTTCCCTTTTTATATACCCCTTGCATTTTGGAGTAGGGAGTGACTGGATTGCTCAAGGTCATTTGACCAGAAGTGACTGGAGTAGTTGCTCAAGGAATTATTCTTTGTATAAGTGTCCAAGGGCTTTCTTCACCTTAGATGGGAAAATATTAACTCTCTGAAAAAAGGTTCTGACAATGCTTTCTGGTTACTTTTGATAAATTAAGGAGCCAGTGGGACAGAAATAACATTTTATCTTTTCTTCAACTCTCTGCGCCTGAACCTCAAACACTTTATTTCTCCCGGGCTTGCCGTGTTCCTCCACCCACACAGCTCACCCTGCCACTTCGCCCCCAGTCCCCACAACACACATCCTTTTCTCCATATGTATCAGAAGTATTGAGGCAAATTGCATACTGCATTTTTAACTCACAGGTCTTCCATCTTTTAGCATTCTGAGTCCACCCTTTAATATTCAAACAAAATATTCAGGCTTCCACTACGTACAATGGAGGACAACCAGTATATTTCGAAGTTCTTCCAGGGTAGTATTGAAGTGACGTCCTTGTCTGGAGTAAATATACAAGGTTCGACATCTCACACCAAGGAAATCGAGG